>NC_000007.14:128131779-128756779 GCF_000001405.40 Homo sapiens | reverse complement strand
AATGACAAAACCTATTTTCCTATAGCTCTGCTTGGAATGCTGTATTTATCCTAAGCACCAGTTTTGGCCCTAGCTGGCCTGTATACAGCTTTAGGTAGGCTCTTGATCTAGTTTTGCTATAGGCAGGGTAGATCTCAGTATTTCATATTTTCCTTGTGGCAGAGACAGTGTTAACCTTTCTCTCATGGATAGCGGATTCATTGAGACAGATTTTAACTAAGAGCTATGATGATTTATACCTGAACTCCAAATTGAATCAAGAACACACAGTAACAAAAACTCCTCACTTCTCTAAGCCGACTCATGACCCCCTCAGTGCTGTCCACCCTCATGCCTCTGGGGAAAGATGCCTTATAAAGACATTGCTTCCCAGCCAGTGCTTCAGCTTATGCAGTCTCAGGCAGCAGAAATACCCATTACGTTGAATCATCTGCCTTGTGAGGCAACAGAGCTCTCAACAGATTTTTATGCACATAATCATACACAGCACCGAAGAATCATTCTGGGCAGCAAGTGAGTGCCTAGGTCGGAGCTGAGATTTATTTACACACCATTTTGTTTAGATCACCAATAGCCTACTCTTTGCTTTGTATTTATCATTAATTCCAAATAAATCAGGAAGGTGTTGGGTCTCAGCCAGAGCAAGAAGCAGGATGCCTCTCCATCTGTGCTGACTGTTTAATACATGTGTTCTTAATTGGGTGAAGGATATGTTTGGTTCTTGGCTAAGTGTCAAGCATTGAGAGAGAGTGCCACTTTAGTCTTAGGAATGAGAACAAGCCTGACACAGAAATAAAAGTCTCTTCACCAGAAATGCATGCAGTCCTGTAATTAATGCAGACAGCTGGCTATCTGTGGGGAAACAGATCCATTATACACTCACTGTTAGTCAGTGGCGGAGAACGCTTGCTTTAACCCAGAAGGTTGCCTAATTTCCAGGATTAAAATGGAGAAAGTACCATTTATATTCATTTATATTAATACAATTCTTGTCTTAAACTGTAACCATGTACAACAGAGGAATTTCACAAATAAAAACACCCTGGATCATCAACTCAATAAGACTCACTGCCTAGTATTCAGCAGCAGGCAAGTGTTACAAGTAAAAGAAAATTACTAACAGGTGGCCCAAGCATACAAGCTATCAAATCAACAAAAAGCAATCAAATTAACATTTATTTGCCTTAAAGCACTTGCAAAGCAGGCTGATAAACTCATGTGCCAGAGAAAACAAATGGGAAATTTTCATTTCCAAACTTCAGTAAGCAGACATACTGAAATAGTTAAATTTTATTAAGGAAAACTATTTTATTAAGACTTCTCACCAGTTATAAAGAAATCTAATTTGGTTTGAATTTTAGGTCCAACACTTTACTGGGACCATGTCAAGAAACATCTCAAAGCCCCTTGCTTTGCACTGTTGGAAGTATGTAGCCTCATAGCCTCTTTTTTTTTTTTTTTTTTTTTTTTGGACAGAGCTCGCTCTGTCCCCAAGGCTGGTGTGCAGCAGTGCAATCATGGCTCGCAGCTGCCTCAACCTCCTGGGCTTAAGTGATCCTCCCACCTTAGCCTCCTGAGTATCTAGGACAGGTGTGTGCCACCATGCTTGGCTAATTTAAATTTTTTTTTTTTTTTTTGGTAGAGACAGGGTGTCCCTATGTTGCCCAGATTGGTCTCAAACTCCTGGGCCCAGGCAATCCTCCTGCCTCAGCATCCCAAAGTGCTTATAGGCGTGAGCTATCGGCACCCAGCCCAATGTATTCTTTTAAATGAAATCTACTCCAAAAATTGTCTCTATGAGGGATGACATAAAGAAAAAATGGTAAAATATATGTAAAATGCTAAAAATGTAGAAGATACCAGACTTCCAGACTTCAGAAAACAAAAATTAAACAAATTTAAAAATACATAATATACAAATTTAAAATTAATAAAGGGAATCAGCTTAGCACTGAATTGAACTATTTAAGATAAGCTTCCTTTCCTTTACTGTGTGACCCATTTGTTTCTTTGACTCAAGACCACGGTCCCTGCCAGGCTGACATCTTGCCCCTTACCCAGGTAAGTGCCATAAGTCACGTTTCTGTACTCATCCCAGGAGATTAAGCCGTCTTGATTCATATCAAACTCCTGCCATTGGTTTTCAACATTGTCATATATGTATTTCTTCTGGGCGTGCTTAATCCAGGATTTCAGCTCCCCCTCCGTCACAAACCCATCTTTATCCGCGTCTATTTTATCTACAATCATTCTACAAGACAAAACAGTTACGTTTCAAGGTGCCAGCTCCACAAGGCTTTTTCCCCCAGACAGTAGGGACCTACCTAAAACGTAGCCGTAGGTGGCATTTTTATACTCCTCCCAGGAAACGAGGCCGTCCTCATTGAGGTCATGCCCCTTCCACTGTCGCTCTACATCCTCGTAAATCCAGCGCTTTTGTGCAAATTTAATCCAGTCTTTGAGCTCATCCACAGTGACAAACCCGTCCTTGTCGCCATCTATTTTACTTACAATCTTTCTGTAGAAAATGCAGAGAAATCCAGCAAAAGGTTAAAAAGACACAGAACTCTGGACTTAGCCAGGTGTGTGCCCAGGGCTAATGCACAGAAATAAAAAATTGTCTCCAAAACAAAACTGCCAGGCCAGCAACTGAAAAAAATGGTCCATTACTGGTCTGTAATAAGCCACGTGAATAAGGTCAACACAGTCATGGCTGGTGCACTTGGATCCAAAAGCAAACTCAGCCTATCTCTTTGGAGGTAGATTTCAGCCTATGGTTAGAATTCAGGAGTGAATATCCATTCCTATCCAAGTTCTCCACTCTTTGCATCAAACAACATGTAAAACTTTGTTTTTCCTTGTTTTCATTTTTATTTTCTCTAGCGAAGATGTGGCTGAACTTTATTTTTCTTTATTGCTTACAGAAGAGAAACTCCAATTCTTGGTAAATAATCATGGTTTTCTAAAAATTCAAAATAGTTACATCAGACTTCAAAAATTTAGCTGATTTTAGAAAAAGTAACACTTTTGATAAAAATACAAAGATATCAGAAAAGTTCTGGGATCATTTATATCTCAAGGCAAGATTATTTTTAAAAAACAGATAAAAAGACAGGAAGATGCTTGTCTAAAAAATGGCTAGCAGCTTTTAAATACTGTGTTGAATTGGATTTTTACATGAAAACAGAGAACTCTGAGGAAATGATGTGGTAAGAATGTATATCTGATTATAAGAATGTTAATAAGCTGAAAGGGTTAGTATGTAGATTATAAAGCAAAACCACAAAGCTAAAGAATCAGTGGCTTTATGAAGCTTTATAAGTGTCTTTCTTCCAGATCTGTCATCTTATGGATTTAAAAATATGTCCATGATATGAAAACTTCTGTTTAAAGGTGCAATCACTTAACTATAGGGGCAAAGTCATCCTATGTAATGTCACCCAAGTAAGCAGCCCAGTTTGGAATATGAAGTTGAAGTCAAAACTTCCAACAGAAGAGAAATCTTGGTATAGTCCTATGCTCTATTATTTGCAGGATTGAAAAGATTGTCACTTGGTAGCAAATAATGTCTTTCCCCAGCTTGTGTTCATTTCATGAATACAACATAGGAAAGTGATCAGAATTGAAAAGTACTAGTGACTCTAAGAAAAGAGACTCATTTTGATACAGATCAGGTGTTAGATACAACTATTACTTAAATCCTGTAAGTAACTAGCATTTTCCTTCAGAGAATGTGTAATCTTGCTCTAAAATGTTAACAGGAAAGGTAAACCAGTAAGAAGTTATCTCTGGCCTGGTACGGTGGCTCACGCCTATAATCTCAGCACTTTGGGAGGCCGAGGCGGGCAGATCACCTGGCGGGAGGTGAGGAATTCGAGACCAGCCTGGCCAACATGGTGAAACCCAGTCTCTACTAAAAACACAAAAATTAGCCGGGCATGGTGGCGCATGCCTGTAATCTCAGCTATTCAGGAGGCTGAGGCAGGAGAATCTCTTGAACCTGGGAGGCGGCGGTTGCAATGAGTTGAGATCGCGCCACTGCACTCCAGCCCAGGTGACAGAGCAAGACTTCGTCTCAGAAAAAAAAGTAGTTATCTCTTAAATATCCTCTTCTATCTACATAGACATAAGGACAATTTTTGTTGTTGTAACTTTAGTCCTGTAGAATTTTAACACTATTCACAGATGAAGCTATACCAATATTGAAAAGTTCTACATTATTTATAATGGAATGCAGTTTGTGCTCAAATGGTACTGGCTACCAATAGTGCCACTGTACAGTTCAGAAATAAAGGGCAAGGAAAAAGGGCAACCAGAACCCCTCCTACCCCCAAAAGGTATTTTTAAACTATTATAAATAGCCTGAAGAGAAGGATCGCCCAGATAAAAAAAGACATATGACTGTTCAAGGTGGGCTTTTCTTAATTAAGTTGACTGAAGAGCATTCTATTCAATGCAAACAACTCAAATGGTTTAACCTAGGGGTTGGCAAACTTAAGAAAAAAATTTATTGTTTTTTACTTAAACAGAAATATAGTTTACAAGGCAAACTTCTTTTTTAAAAAAGGGACAGATAGTAAATATTTTTGACTTTGTGGGCAACATATGGTATGGTGTGTGTGTGTGTGTATTTTTTTTTTAACAAGCCTCTGAAAATGTAAAAGCCATTCTTATCTTGCTGAGCACCAAGCCTGCAGGCAGTTGTGTAAGTACACTGGAAGTGGGCACATCCTATTTTAGGCATAAGGCTCTAAATTATCATCTTTAAATGCCTGTGTAAATTTATGAAGCTAATGGTGTCATAGTCCTGTGACAGGGGAGAACCCTATGGACGCCACTAAATAAGCCTTTATTCTAGGACAGACACAGTGCATTAGTGCACCTCATGTTATTTCTTTTAGGAGGTAGCACATACCTCTACATTTCAAGGAGCATAAAGCAAACCCTTCAGTTGTTTAAGAATTTGGATCAATAAATGGGCTCCAGAAGGGTGACTAATATTCCTGAAATTTTCAGTGTGCAAAATTTTCTTATTTTGTTATTATTATTTTTTGAGATAGGGTCTTGCTCTGTCACCCAGGCTGGAGGGCAGTGGTACAATTACAGCTCACTGTAGCCTTGCCCTTCCCGGCTGAAGGGATCCTCTCATCTCAACCTCCTTAGTAGCTGGGACTACAGGCACATGCCACCATGCCTAGCTGATTTTTTAATTTGTTGTAGAGAGAGGGTCTCCCTATATTGCCCAGGCTGGTCTCGAACTCCTGAGCTCAAGCAATCCTCCTGCTTCAGCCTCTCAAAGTGCTGGGATTACAGCCATGAGCCATTGCGCCTAGCCCAAAATTGTATATGTAAGTGTGCACTTTTCTGAGGAAAAGTCCTTAGCTTTCATTAGACTCCCAAAGGGTCTGGGCCTGTGATCCCCAAAAGGATAATGAACTGCTCTAGTTCACTTCTATAGTAAATATATCAAGGAATTTTTTTTTTTTTTTTTTTGAGACGGAGTCTCACTTTGTTGCCAGGCTGGAGTGCAGTGGTGCGATCTTGGCTCACTGCAACCTCTGCCTCCCAGGTTCAAGCAATTCTCCTGCCTCAGCCTCCCAAGTAGCTGGGACTACAGGCACGCGCCACCAGGCCCAGCTAATGTTTGTATTTTTAGTAGAGATGGGATTTCACCATATTGGCCAGGATGGTCTTGATCTCTTGACCTCATAAACTGCCTGCCTCGGCCTCCCAAAGTGCTGGGATTACAGGCATGAGCCATTGCGCCCAGCCAGAGAACTTTTTTAATATTAAGAACCACTACCTCAAAACAAATCTTCATTTTAAGGATACATAAAATCGCCTATTTGTCAACATTCTTAATAAGAAAAAATACCTGAAACTTGTATATTGAATTGTTTTAAAATGCTTCCTGTGTTCTTTTAGCTATTATTATTAAAGATTTCAAAAAGTCGTGAATTTTTGCAACTAAAGGCATGAACAATGACTTATCTCTTAATAATTATGTGCCATATAGACAGATGGAAAAAAGAGGGAACCTGTTGTTCCCAGCTGGTATACATTACCCCACCAAAACAATGTTTTGAAATGCCACAGTAAATAAGTTTTTTAAAAGTTTCATGTGGGATTCTTGCTCCCAACCGTATGTTACTGTATAAAGTAGGGATATTTGTCATTACCAACAAAATTTGGGAGAAGCAAACAGTCTATTCATACATTCCATAAAAAACATGATTTTATCATCTTATTCTAATCAAATACAGAATCTGCATATGTGACAAACTTTTAATATCCACTGATCACAAAAAGGAATACTTTCAACTGAAAAGTGCCAGCAGAGCTTTCTCCCTACCTGCAAGGAGCCAGAACATCCTCATTATAGTACCATCTACCCTAAATGATACCAAACCTAAGGGCCTTTCATTATTTTAGAGTTAATTCTGTGAAAAAATATGTGCAGACCAAAATGTGGGTTGGACGTGCACAATATTAATGGGCATGACATGAAGACTTAGAATACCCTCTGCATTTCTATTTTCTTTTTTTTTTTTTTTTTTTTGAGATGGCTCTGTTGCCCAGGCTGGAGTGCAGTGGCGTGATCTCGGCTCACTACAAGCTCCACCTCCCGGGTTCACGCCATTCTCCTGCCTCAGCCTCCCAAGTAGCTGGGACTACAGGCACGCGCCACCACGCCCGGCTAATTTTTTTTGTATTTTTAGTAGAGATGGGGTTTCACAGTGTTAGCCAGGATGGTCTCGATCTCCTGACCTCGTGATCCAACCGCCTCAGCCTCCCAAGGTGCTGGGATTACAGGCGTGAGCCACCGTACCTGATCTGCATTTCTATTTTCAGCCTGGAATGTTAGTACAGTTATTAGATTAAAACTGAAAGTGAGGATGGTCTCCCAAAGGAAAGCAACCTAATAGAAAACTAACTCTGTGATGCATATCTATCTACTTTCAAATGCTATGTGACAGTGCTCATTCTACATAGCAAAATATCTTTATTATTTCTGTCAATGTTGAAAAATAAAACATTGTACCCTTCAGTCAGTAGATAACCCAATGAAAAAATACATCTATTCTGCAGCATCTTCCAAAGCAAATCCTACAACGTCTTATGATCAAAATGCTACCCATCAAGGCAAAATATTTTTAGAAATTGCTATGTGTGGCACAACTTTCCACACAAATCTCTTGAATACAATCAGGAAGTTGCACCAACAGTGCTCACTGAGAAGAATATTTTTACAAAATTGACCTGCATTTTCTTCAAAAGGAAGGCTTTGGAAGGACCAAAAAAGACATTCTCAGATCCCCAATTAGAAATAATCAACTGGGATTCTACCAAATCCATTTTTCAGGACAAAAGATGTCTACCGAGAGAGCCAAAGAACCTGACTATGGCCCTGCTGTTACTGAAACAGTAACTCATACTCAGACATTAAGTTACAATTTTCTAAAAGACAAAGTTGGTTTGATTTTTGTTTTTTAATTAAACAAATATCTGAGAATGAAAATAAAGAGGGTGAAGGACACCTCGGGAAATCATAAACTTTATAGGGATCCAATGTGCCGTTTATTAGCCCATCAAAGACTTGGCTTGTGCCAGGTCAGTAGGGCACAGATAGTTTTTAAAAATTAAAAGCAGTAGAGATGAGAAGAGATGAGAAATCCCCCCATGCTATGTTCTTCTGGTAGCAAGATAATGCAGTTCAAGTTGGGTCTTGCAGTACTTGGTACTTTTATGCAAAAATGATGCTTTGTAGAATGAGGCACCAACTGTTATTCAATTAAAAATGTATGAAATCAGGCATTTAATGAAATTTTAGAGGTAGTAATTCCATGGTTAGCTTTCAGAAGATGTATTAATAGTTCAATATAACTTTACTCATAACTGAGCCAGAAAAGAAAAGAATTAGCCTTTATAAAGAATGTCATTACCCACACTAGACCCCTGAGAGGTGGTACCTTACCCAAGCCTTTCCTTGCTCTCTTCTGGTGTCAGCTGATCAAAGGTCTTTGCTTCTTCAGCACCCAAGAAGGCATCATGGTCATAATCAAAACTCTGAGCATCATTGTGAACCTTGTCACTGAGCTGAGGCTCATGATGTACACGGTCCTTCTTTTCTGTGGGTTTGCTCAAGGCAAAGGCTGTGCACAGGGACAGGCACATAAGAAACTGTCGCAGGTCCATGATAATTAGATCTTGAAGAAAATGAAAAGCAGTTAATTCAGGAGGCAGTATGCTTAATAACTAAATAAGAAATTAAAAGCTCACATCCGAGTTAAACTATTAATTTGATATACATATCTATGCAAGTCTTTTATATTATCCCAAATATTACTTCATCCATAAAATAAGTATGGTGGAATATCAGACTCTTCAATTATTACAGTGAGAAATTTTTACCAGTTTCCTTCATCTGATTGTAGGCTGATAAGAAACTTATAGTTAAAATGTCCACTTTCTGTTTTCTTTCAAAAGATACCAAAGTAGAATTTTAATCCTTTTGCCCAAGTTCATAAGAATTAAAAGTGAAAGAACCAAGGTTTAAATGTTGACTCCAAATCCTTTACTTCTTGTACGCATTGGTGGTCTGGTCTTCAAACATGGCTGGTTATTAGAATCATCTAGGAAGCTTTAAGTTTCTCCTATTGATTTAGAGTCTCTGAAGCTGAATTCAGACATTCGTAGCTTTAAATGTTTTTCAGGTGATTCTGATGTTCATGAGATTAGGAACCAGCGAAATACTTGGCAGCTTCCTTGGTCTATAGCACCAAGTCTCCAACATCCAGGCTCAACCTTGAGTCACCTTCAAAGGCCAAATCATTCAGATGGTCTAGTCATAGATAAGAACGTCTTTATCCTTCTGCACAGTTGTTTCCCATACTTGCCTAGGCATAAATACCACCTGTAGTACTGTTCAAAGTACAGATTCCCAGGCCCTGATTCAAACTTTCAGAATCTCTGTAGTCACAGGTGACTCTAATGAACAAGCACAAAGCTGGAACACTTGACTGAAAAATGTGACAAAAAACCTGCAAAGAAGCTGCAGAGTACACATCTGTTTAGCACACTCTACTGATACCCCGTGATACTATCCAGAGTGGTTAAGGTCTTAGAGGGAAAAAAAAAAATTAAAAATCAAGAAGAAGGGTTTTCAGGCTTTTACATTTTTTCTTTCATCACTGGGAAGGCAGCTCAGTGGGGGAGGGTGGGAGGTCCTGAAATGGCAGAGGAGGACATATCAGTAGAGAGTGGAAAGTGTTCTAGAGTAAATACGACAACACAGTAAGACAAACAGAAAAGTACCTAAGGAGATAATGGGGGCGGGGGTTGGGGGGCAGTCATTCCCAAGTGCCCCAGTCTCAAATAAGGTACTGTTACTGATGACGTGAAGGTTAAGACTTAGGAAAATCCATCAGAAGAAGCAATGTGAAAGCAAGACCATGAAACCCATAGAGAAATGGGTAGAAGATGGTACTTATTACTCTATTCCTATCAATGTTAGAACTTGGCTATGTTTCTCAACATTGTTTCATTCAATCCCATCAAAATACCCACATTTACAGACAAAGATACTTGTATTAAGATGTTCAATGATGACAGTTCACAATGATTAAAAAATCGGAAAACAAATAAAAACAGAGAATTGGTAAAATATATTAAATCTCGATTATGGAAAAATACACAAAGGTTAAAAAGAATGGGCCGGGCGCAGTGGCTCATGCTTGTAATCCCAGCACACTGGGAGGCCGAGGCGGGTGGATCACAAGGTCAGGAGATCGAGATCATCCTGGCTAACACGGTAAAACCCCGTCTCTACTACAAATACAAAAAATTAGCCGGGCGTGGTGGTGGGTGCCTGTAGTCCCAGCTACTTGGGAGGCTGTGGCAGGAGAATGGCGTGAACCCAGGAGGCAGAGCTTGCAGTGAGCCGAGATAGCACCTCTACACTCCAGCCTGGGCTACAGAGTGAGACTCCGTCTCAAAAAAAAAAAAAAAAAAAAAAAAGAATGACATGAGGCCGGGGGTGGTGGTTCACGCCTGTAATCCCAAGACTTTGGGAGGCTAATGCAGGCGGATCACTTGCATCCGGGAGTTTAAGACAAGCCTGGGTGATAGCGAAACACTGTCTCTACTAAAAATACAAAAATTAGCTGGGCATGGTGGCATACACCTGTAGTCTCAGCTACTCAGGAGGCTGAGGTGGGAGGATAGCTTGAACCCACCAGGTGGAGGTTGCAGTTAGCTGAGATTGTACCACTGCACTCCAGCGTGGGTGACAGAGATCCTATCTCAAAAAAAATAAAAAAAGCAGCCAGGCATGGTGGCTCATGCCTGTAATCCCAGCACTTTGGGAGGCCGAGGCGGGAGGATCACTTGAGGTCAGGAGTTCGAGACCACCCTGGGAAATACGGTGAAACCCTGTCTCTACTAAAAATACAAAACTTAGCTGGGTGTGGTGGCACACGCCTGTAGTCCCAGCTACTCAGGAGGCTGAGGCACGAGAAGTACTGGAACCCGGGAGGCAGAGGCTGCAGTGAGCTGAGATCTCACCACTGCACTTCAGTGACAGAGCGAGACCCTTCCTCAAAAAAAAGAATGTAAAAAAAAAAAAAGAACGAGATGCATCTATCTGCAGTGAAATGGAAAATTCACCAAGATATGTCAAGTGAACAAAAAAAGCAAGGTTCAAAACAACGTCAAGATCTCATTTACATAAAAAGCAAAACAAAATTAAACAATCTCCCCAGCTTGTTTTTATTTGTATAAAATATAACATGCACATAAATGGTGTGCAAAGACAAATACCCATGTGTAAACAGTGGTAACCTCAAGGTTCATGGGAGAAGAGACAGGAATGGGGTGGGCTGGTAAGATTGGTGTGAAAGTGAACTTTAATACTGTATCCTGCTGTACTGTCTAATTTGTATGAACAGCACACTCTCATGTTTATTAGCTTTCTGTGTGCACCACTTGTAAAATATTGCTCTGGGTGAACAACACTCTGGCTGACCCTCCAATAATTCAACTGATCAATCAAATCAGTTAAAGAGTAAACAGAAAATCCGAGATTTAGCGGCTCTATAAATACAACATTAAAGTGAGTATGCCTTTACTTCAGGGCAAAATGAAACTTCTATCTCAAACTATAAACAATTCTTTTTTTGAGACAGGGTCTTACTCTGTCACCCAGGCTAGATATAGTGGTGTGATGATAGCTCACTGCAGTCTGGTCCTCTGGGGCTCAGACCATCCTCCCACTTCAGCCTCCCAAGTAGCTGGGAATACAAGTGTGTACCACCATGCACAGCAAATTAAAAAAAAAAAAATGTTGTAGAGTCTCACTATGTTGCCCAGACTGGTCTCAAGCGATCCTCCAGCCCTGGCCTCCCAAAGTGCTGGGATTACAGTCGTAAGCCACCATACCCAGCCTATAAACAAATAATTCTTTAGATAAACAAAACTTTGGAAACAAAAAACAGAATTATATGTTGTTGATGTTTTGGGATATATCCCAACAATATGTATAGTGACAGAGGCTTGCAGAATCAAGTAAAATCAAGAGTCACTGCAACAAAGGATTTTCCTTATGCCTAAGGGGACTTTATCTTTAGGAAAATTTTACAAATGATTACATTCTCAAAATAAAATATAGCATAATACCCTAACAATTCTTGCCAACCCCAAATATTACAATATGAATAAATACTTATGCACTCTAACATAATCTGGTCCTGGAAAGGATACTGTACCAAGTTTTGAGACATGTAGCATACAGAAATGTAATAGATTGGTTTACTCTGTGATTTAGAGGGAAAACTACATTTATGTTTCAGGCTTAATATCTTGATACAAGGATACCAGAATTCCAAAGAGTAGAAGCCAAGTGATTTAGCTTTATCACTCACCCATTTCTCCTTCCTTCCCCTCTCCTGAATAAACTTTCAATCTCATCCCTTAAACAGGCTCCTCCATTCTGTCAATCAGTGCTTCTCAGGTCTCCACTACCCACAGTCTTTCCCAGACTGTGCTGTTCCTTCATGCTTGCTCCTCCCTTTCCCTCACCCACAGTTTCTACCCTGCTGCCTCTGCTTCCTCACTGTCCAATGCTACCCTGAAACCTGGCTTCCTTACTATTGATGAAACTGCCTACAACGGTCATCAAGGACCCAGATGGACAAAGCCAATGGTCCATCTTTACTTCTTTATCTTTCTGCAGGGAGGAATGAAAAATCTGCACTTTAAAGAAGTTCTACTTAAAAAAAAACAAAACGTCCTTTGTGCCCACATATATAACAACTCCTGGCTATTAGAAACTTTAACAAAGCCCTCTTGTTTTATGAATATAGACACTAAAAACAAAAAACACCATCCATACCAAAAACTGTACTAGATTTATCTAAAACCATATGGTTTTTGGTATGGAGCATGTATGTTCAAGCAGAAACAAAGGACATCTAAGACAAAGGATATCTTACGTGGGAAGATGTGAAAGGAACAGTAAAAAATAACTTCATACACAGCATTTGAAAATCTACTTTAGTGCACTTCGTTTTCTTTTGTTGAGACTGAGTCTGTCTCTGTTGCCCAGGATGGAGTGCAGTGGTGTGATCTTGGCTCACTGCAACCTCCACCTCCTGGGTTCAAGTGATTCTCCTGCCTCAGCCTCCTCAATAGCTGGGATTACAGGCATGGTCTACCACGCCCGAATAATTTTTGTATTTTTAGTAGATACAGGGTTTCACCATGTTGTCCAGGTTGGTCTCAAACTCCTGACCTCAAGTGATTCTCCCGTCTCGGCCTCCCAAAGTGTCGGGATTACAGGTGTGAGCTACCATGACCAGCCAGTACACTTCATTTCTGAAGCATCTTTGTCTTTTCAACCAAATTGAAACCAAATGATACAAAGTTAATGGCCCTTCTCATTTTCCTCACCCACTTCAACACTTTATAAAAGTTTAGACTGGGCCAGCAGCAGTGGCTCAAGCCTGTAATCCCAGCACTTTGGAGGGCCAAGGCGGATGGAATGCTGGTGTTCAAGACCAGCCTAGGCAATCCCATCTCCACCAAAAATACAAAAAATTAGCTGGGTGTGGTGGCGCAGCTATAGTCCCAGCTACCGGGGAAGCTGAAGTGGGAGGATCGCCTGAGCCCCGGAGACACGAGGTTACAGTGAGTCATGATCATGCCACCACACTCCAGCCTTGGTGAGGGAACAAGACCCTGTCTCAAAAAAAGAAAAAGAAAAAAAAAAGTTTAAATTGGATACTTTTGTCCAAAAAGTAAAAAAAAAGTTTAGAGGAATAGGTACAGATCACTTCCAGCTGGAAAGATCTTTGTGTATCCATTGGGCCATACATACTGATCACAATACTGGTCCAATGGATATACTATGGACATAATGGACAACATAATATTAGGAAAAATATGATACACATAAACAAAAGACTTAGCTGTATGAGCTTTTATCATGTGATCTAGAAAGTAAACCAATGGTTGTGAAAACTGAATTTCCCCACCTCCCATTTCTCAAATGAGTTTCTCTCTCTAAAATTCTGTCCCTCTTCCACGAAGGGTAACATCTAATATTTTTTTCTTGGGAAAAAAAAAAAATCTAGGCCTGTACTGCCCAGTACAGTAGCCACTAGCCACATGTGACTACTAAGCACTTGAAATGTGGCTAGTGTGAATTGCGATTGGTATAAGTGTTACATTTCATATTGAAAGAATGGTATTTTATATGTATTAGATTAAACATTATTAAAATTACTTTCACCTGTTTTAGATTTTCACCTGAAAATTTAAAATTACATATGTGGCTTGTATTATATTTTTATTGGACAGCATGTTAGACACAAACCAAAAGATTAGAACAGAAAATATATCCAGTAGCTATCATCCTTTTGTAGTATTAGTATGTCACCAATAATGGTCTTCTATAAAGTTGTTTTCATGAATCGTTCCAGTAATTTATAAAGAGAAAAGCCTAACTGGGTTAAGTGTGATTTTAATAATAATGAGTCTTAAGAATTGGTTTCTTCGATCCATCCAAAAATGTCCTTAAAAGCTCTAAATTCTTATCACTTCTCCCTACCCCACCCTTCAGGTAAGAACTTAGAGCTTTCAAGGAAGTTTTTGTCCTTAGTGTCCATAGTGTATCCATTGGACCAGTATTGCGAGCAATACATGGCCCAAACTTTCAATTTTGGTAAAGTGCCATTGGTCACAGAATACTTAAATTGTTTCAGGGAAATTTAGATGTTTAAATTCAACTTCACAAGAACGTTAACACTGAGTGATCCAACAGTTATTATGGTTGACCAAAGACCCATTGCTCAATGTTAACAATTGGGAGAAATGGGTGTGGTAGTAAAATTCCAGTTCTCTGAGCTGGATGGATATTCACCAGAAAAGGCATTTATTTCTCCATAACGCAGCAAAAGCAGGATCTCATTGTTTAACTGTCTACTTCAATTGGAGATTACAGGGAACAGACTGATAGCAATTTAACTATACTAAGGCCCAGGTTATGAGATCTCGAAAATGAAGTTATCTTGTTATCTATCTGACATTCTTTACTTACAAACTTTAGTACTATACCAATGGACTATCACATAAAAGTGATGGCATCCTTCATGATTTGATAAAAGTCATGATACCAACACATAATTTATTTAACGTCTCTCTAGTGATGAAGTTACATCTGTTCATCAATACATTCTAATTATATTGTGTGATGGAGGGAATACATTTATAAGACAGCTGAGATAATAGAAGTGTAAAATCTGGCTGCAGAAGAAAAACCCTGAGAATGTCTGAAACTATTACTCAAGCTTCATTAGTTCTATAACCAAAGCAACCCAGCACAAACTTTAAATTTTTCTGGCTACAGAATAAAAAACTTTTTAAAGAAAAAAGTTCTAGAAATTCTGAGAGAAAAAAGTTTCCTTTTCGTTGACAAGCCTTAATACATAATCAATTGTGAGAGAAATGCTATTTGAAATGTAGGGATAGGAGCCTTGGTTTCTAGTTGTAATTTTGCTGTGCATGTGTAACATGCGTGACACTGTTGAGAATTTGGTAGTTATTTTAGCTCAAACTTCCTTCAGTGCCAGATGTCTATAAATAAATTTAAGATCCTAGAAGACCTACCTACTATGATCACTCTAGCTGGAAGTGATCTGTTATCTTTTTCTCTTTTTGGACAAAAAGGGTATGATCCAATCTAAACTTCTATAAAACTCGTCTGAACCACTCAAAAACAATGACCATAGGTTACCTTAAGTTGTCTCCTTAGCTCCCCTTTAGAATCGACATTTCTGGAAGAATGTCTACATATCATTCTAATACAAATTATTACCCCTATATTGTCCCTAATACATTGTCTTGCACTTTTTTGATACCAATACATTTTACTGGATTAATACATCTTACTGAATTAATTGGGCGGTACTTGGCAGCAATGTGGTTCCTGCCTGCCTGTGTTCTCCAACTTCCAATTCCGTTTACTGGATCTGGCAATCAGCCAGGAACAGGCAAAAGTGTTATTTCAGCTGTCTTAACTCTAATACATAAATTACTGCATCAGCAACATCCATACTTAAGAGTTCAGAGAGTGAGAATCTAGGGCCTTGTGGCCTAGCTAGCATTTCCAGTGGCTATCCTTGGCTACACCTCTGTCCTTTCAATATCCCTGGTATACCTACGTTACAGAAAATCTGTGTTAACACCAATGTACTAGGGTGTGGTGTTATATACCTCTAGTCTCAGCTACTTGGGAGGCTGAGGCAGGAGGACTGCTTGAGCATGGGAGTTCAAGGCTCCACCTGGTCAACATACTGAGACCCTCAACTCTAAAATAAATAAATTTTAAAAAATAACACCAATATATAGATCCCAATACTGCTCTAATGGATATTAAGTGCTATCAATAAGTACTTCTTGACACATCACTGGATGAATGAAAACAAACAATGATTACATTGAGAGTGACAATGAGTTGGTTTCAAAGCTATATTGAGTACTATTCACTCAGGCATACTCAATACATTTTTGTGAGCTCATGGCTTTCCTACTTGTGATTCTCAAAAGAATCCTATTGGAACCCCCCCACCCCCCAATCACAGTAAAACCTCAGATTAGGTCTTGGCAAACTCATTTTCTTGACAAATACAACTTAGAGGTTATATCTGGTCCCTCATTTGGATTATACTATATAAATTCTTCAGTGATTACTGTCGTTTGGTATTTGGTTAATTAAATCTACTGAGTGAGGTCAAACTTGCATTTGTCTTGTGTCAAGTTCCATTCTATGGCAGACTAATTTAACAGAGATTCCAAGGTTCTCTGCCTCCAAGCTGAATAAGCTACTAGAACAAAAAACAACTAGAAGCCACCTTATTCCCAATTCATTAACGTTGACTTCATGGTCCACACCAGAAAATGAACGCAACTCAATTCTCGAAGACACTATTCTAGAATTTTATACACTTAGGAATTCAGATCACAGGCTCAAAAGTTTTAGCAGGAGACCCACGGAGCTTGGGCCTTGATGCAAAAGCAGCTTTTGAAACTGCAAGCCACTCTACGCTTAATCGCGGCAGCTATAGGGAATTAAGTTTATTTCTGACCGCAGCATGCTAAAAATCAGTAGGATATGGGGCTAGAAGCAACAAAAAACGTAACAAAAATTAATTCCCCAATAAAGCTTTAAAAACTATTTTCCGTCGCTAACTGAAGTACGTAGCCAAATATGGAAGCTCTAAACATTCAGCTTTTCTTTAAAATCATAGATATCACCTAGTGTCGTCACTCGTTCTCTCCCCCCTTGTTTCTGCACCCTTTAGGTGAGTGAACACGACCTTGGCAGATGCACCCTACTGTCGGGATGTGGCCTTGGGGCGGAGCTGGCAGATACAAGCAGGATGGTGAGTGGAGGCGGCAAGGAACTCTTACAATAACACTATCCAAATGCCCTCCGACCTTCCGGAGGCAAAAAATGACCCTCTGGTGCCAGAGACTCGGTGAGTGGCGTGACCTAGAGATGGAGGACCAGGACGCAGCAAACCAGGCACAGAACAGTACCCAACGGGACAGAGTTCCACCGGACCAGCCCCCTTCCCAGAGCGCGCGGTAAGACGGGCGGCGGCCTCCATCCCAGGCTGCACACAGAGGGTCCCGGGATCTCCAGCAGCATCAGGCCTGGGACCCGGGCGCCAGCAGAGACAGCGGCACCGAGTGAGGCAGTCCCCTGCCGCGCCAAGAACAAGACCGGGGACAGAAAGAAAGCGAATAAAGATGAGGCAGTGGTGAAGGGGCTGGGCATCACCGTACTTACCTTTCCTCGTAGCCCCCACAGCACAGGATGCCGTGGCCGCCGCTCACCCACCGGCTCAGCTCACGCGCGCAAGCACCGCCCAACCGGAAGCGGGTCCGCACCCCGCCCTCATCCGCCTCGCCGGCGGCCTCCCGACCAATCATCAGCAAACCCGCCGCTGTCGCATAGCGTCCCCGAGTAGCCATTGGTCTAACAATCGCATAGCCGGGATTGGCTGGAAAGCGCCACGTCCCCGGGACCGCGCCGAGTTGCGTGGAGCGGATTCCCGCCCAACTCTCGTCCCCGGGATTGTTGGGACGGCGGGCTCCAGCCCCAGCCCCAGCCCCAGCCCCGTACTGCGGGTGGCGTGGGCGCGGCCGTGTGGCCGCCACGTCCCCATTCACAGCTCATGACTCTGCTTCCACAGGGCTTCTTAGACTATCCTGCTAGTTATCTTCATTCCCACAAGACCACCAGGGCGGAATTAATCCGACTGAATCAGTCACCAACTTTATTGAACAATCCCAACTTTTTCTTTCCCTTCAGCGCTGCGCCCTGCGCTATCTACAGGAGGCTCTTCAGTCTTTGGCACCAGTGTATCTTTTAGCTCCATCTCCCAACACTCCCCCTCATCTTGCGCTCTGGGCACCATCATCTGTTTCCTAACAACCGGTCCTTTTTCATCTCTTAAGATTTTTGATCAAGAGGCTTCCTCTGCCAGGAATAAGTGCGTTTTCCTGATTTTCTGCCTTGCCAATAGAAGTCCCAGTTCAGATGTTAGCTCTAGAAGCCTTCCCTGACCTCACTAAGCATAATTCTTACCTTATTTACCATCATAGCTGTTTATAGCTTCAGTACACTTTGCCAAATTCTGCTATAAAATGTAGCTTATCCATCTGTCCTCTTCTAGAGTAAGCTCCTGGGTAGGTATCTGTCTATTCATCTTTATATCTGCAACTCTGAGCTTACTGCCCAGCTCAGTAATGTTAAGTGAAGGGAATGGGCCGAACCCGTTGCATGTCCCTGAAAATTTAATTTCATGTCATGAAATTAAAACAAATATCAAATAAAGGCTACTATAGCTTCAACACAAATGGAATGTAAACCTGTGGCATTCTTAGCACATAAAGCCTCTGTAGTTTAAAATCAAATTGAGACAAGTTGTAAACTCATGAAACAGTTAAGCTCATGAAAGCAAGCTAGTTACTGTCAACGTGAAAGGTTTACAACTAATCCTTCTGGCATTCAAAGGAGTGTCAGTGACCCTTGGTGGTAGTCAGGGAAGGCTTCAGAGGAAGATATGACTAAGGCTGGACTAAGGAAGTCCCAAATGGACTATTCAGCAAGAAGAGTAATAGGAATAAGGACAAGTGGAGGGCAGAGTGGGAGGTAAATTCTCAGGCCAGGTAGCAAATGAGGAAGGTTAAAAAAAGGGGTGGGGGGAAACAATGAAAGAAAAGCATGGATAGTAAGTTTGGAGAGGTAATGGAAGATCTTGTCAATTTGAGGAACCTGAACTGAAGACAGTGGGAACTGTGGGTCTTCCTGGGAAAGTTTCTAAGCTTGTGCCTACAGGGAAGCCATCTAATGGGTATTAACAATAAAACAGGCTACCTCAGGAGGCATTATTTCGAAAACAGTTTTTAAAATACCTCCTTAAGGATCACTTGAGGCCAGGAGTTTGAGACCAGCCTGGGCAAAATAACGAGACCCTTCCTCCCCCTATCTCTACAAAAAAACAAAAACTAAAAATTAGCTGGGTGTGGTGGCACACACATGTAGTTCAAGCTAGTTGCTTGAGCCCAGGAGGTTGAGGCTGCAATGAACTATGACTGTACCACTTCACTCCAGCCTGGGCAACAGAGCAAGACCCTTTCTCTTAAAAAATAAAAATAACAACTCCTTAAGGTCAGGCACTGTGTTATGTGCTGGTGAACCCAAAGTAAACAGGACATCGTCCCTGTCCTCAAGGAACTCAGCTTAATGGTGCGCCATCCATCCTGGAATTGTCCTAGTAAAGGCTAAACAGGTAGTGAGGGTGCCAGAGATAGGGCCCTCCAACCCTGAGGTTCCCTAATGGAGAAGGGCCTGGCCTAGCAAGGGAAAGGGAAATGGAAATGAACCTTTATATACAAGAGTTTTTTTGTTTGTTTGTTTTGTTTTGTTTTTCTTTTTTTTTGAGATGGAGTTTTGCTTTTGTCGCCCAGGCTGTAGTGCAATGGTGCGACCTTGGCTCACTGCACCTCCGCCTCCTAGGTTCAAGTGATTCTCCTGCCTCAGCCTCCCAAGTAACTGGGATTACAGGCATGTGCCACCACGCCTGGCTAATTTTTGTATTTTTAGTAGAGACAAGGTTTCACCATGTTGGTCAGGCCAATGTCGAACTCCTGACCTCTAGTGATCCGCCTGCCTCGGCCTCCCAAAGTGCTGGGATTACAGGCATGAGCCACGGTGCCCAGCCACAAGAGAGATTTTAAAAGTGGAAATAAGTCCTGAGCTTAGTGACCACTCGAATGAAAGAAATGAAGAAGGAGCACTCAAAAGTTAAAAGGTTTAATCATGGGAGACTAGGAGAATGAGCTAGGTGCATGGAATGAGGGAAGTCAATTGAGTTCAAGACATAGGAAGTCTATGTGATGGCGGAATAGCCAAAGAGAAAGAGCCAAGAGCCTGGAGGAGATATTTGGGAGGGGTTGTTGGCTAGCAGATGGCTGATGGAGCCATGAGAACAGATAAACTTTTTGAGGAGACGAAAGCAGATTAGGCCTCATGGGAGCCCCAGAGTTAGAAAGTAGGTGGAGGAAGGAAGAAAAGGACCTGAGGGACAACACATATTAGAAATGCCGCCAATAGCTGCACCCGAGGCCATCGAGTGAGAGCAGCACTGAAGGACTGCTTGGGGCCGGCATGATGGTGTCACCATAAAAGGCTGACATTCATCTCCAAGCTTCCCATCTCTGCTCATGGGTGCTACTGAACTTTCAATGTTTCCTGTGTGCAGACACTGTTCTAGGAACTGGGGATACAACAGTGAACAAAATTAAGTCTGTCACGGTGCTTATACTCTGGTGTGTAGAGGTAGGTGAGACAGCCCATAAACAAGACAAAAAAGCAACATACATAGAATGAGAGGTGGTGACAGGTGCTGTTACCTGAAAAACCAGGGTTTGTTCGCTTAGTGAGTAACAAACAATGCAAAACGCAGTTTGTGATCAATAGCAGTTTTATTACTTGGCATATGTAAGAAGGATACTGGGAATGTTCTCTAAAGCAGTGTCTCCCCAGGGGAAAGTGACAGGAGGGTTTTACAGGGTGATGGAGAGAGTGCAAAATCACATGTAGAGGAGGGGTCCCAGTGGCACAAACGAGTGAGTCATTATGCCAGAACATAGGTGGCATGTTATGGCAACGAAGCTATAGCTCCTCCTAGGGTGGAGACTTTGGCATGGTCAAGGGAAAAGTTGACTCAGTTCATCTATAAATTGCCAGGGTCTGCAAGGAGCTGGTTCAAACCAACAAGGTGACCACATTCCATGCAGGGTTTGGGGAAGAACAGGCTGCAGGGCAGAAGGCTGTAAAACAGGCTGATTGCTCGAGTTGATTGAATTCCTTTTATCCCTGGAGACCCTGATATGGTTTGGATCTGTGTTGTAAACCCTAGTATTGGAGGAGGGGCCTGGTGGGAGGTGAATGGATCATGGGGCGGAGTTCTCATGAATGGTTTAGCACCATCCCCGCTTGGTACTGTATAGTGAGTGATTTCTAATGAGATCTGTTCATTTAAAGTCTGTGGCACCTCCCCCGCCCCTTCCTCCTGCTCCAGCCATGCAAGACGTATCTGCTTCCCCATTGCCTTCCGCCATAATTTCCCTGAGGCCTCCCAAGAAGCAGAAGCCACTGTGCTTCCTGTACAGCTGCAGAACTCTGAGCCAATTAAATCTCTTTTCTTTGTAAATTACCCAGTCTCAGGTATTTCTTTATAGCAATACAAGAATGGACTAATACAGACCCTCTCTGTCTGCTTACATAAGGAGAAAAATAAGGCAGGAAAGGAGAACAGTGAGTGTTGGGACTATCAGGAGTGGCGTTGCCATCTCAGAAAAGGTGGCCAGGGAAGCTCATGAGAGGGTGACACGTGAGTGAACATCTGAAGGTGGTGAACATTCCAGGAAAAGGGAACACCAAGGCAAGGCCCTGAGTTGGGAGTATGTTTGAAGTGTTTGAGGAGCAACTGGAAGCCAGTGGGACTGCAGTACAGTAGCAAGGAGAGTAGAGGACATGAGGTCAGAGAGGGAGCAACAGGAATGAGGGAGGGAGAGAGGGACACCATGTAGGGCCTTTAGGCTATTGCAAGGACTTTAGCTTTCGCTATGATGAGTGAGAGGATATGAAGACTGACTATTTGCTAAATTGTTTCTTCTTCTTTCTGTGAACCCAGCTAGACTACATTTCCCAGCCTCCCTTCCAGTATGGTCATATGACTGAGCTCTGACTGAAGGAAGGAGGGTGGAGATGTTGTACACTACTTCCAGTACTGGCCATACAGACCTGCCATGTGTAATTCTCCAAGCTCATTCTCTTTCTGTGGCTAGAAGCTGTGTATTGCAGATGGCAGAGCCACAAGATGGAAGAAGCCCAGGTTCCTGTGAAACTGCCACTCAGTTTTTGAACCAGGAACACCATTTTTGGACTCTTTGTGAATGAGAAGTAGAACTTCTATTAGCTATTTTATGCCATTGATATATTAGGATTTATCTCTTTCAGAGCTAGCATTGCCTTAACTAATACAGAAGGGAAACCATTGGAAGGTTTTGAGCAGAGAAGAAACATGATCTAAGATTTTTAAAGGATCACATTAGACTGAAAGGGAGTAAGGTTAGGAACGGAGTGCATTTAGGAGGTGTTTGCAACAATCCAGGTGAGTGATGATGATGGTTTGGTCCAGGTTGGTAGCAGTGGAAGTAGTGAGAATATCAAATTCTGAATATATTTTGAAAGTAGTTTGAAAGGATTTCCTAATGGGTTGGAAATAGGGTGGAGAGAAAGAGAGGAGTTAAGGATGACTCCAGGGTTTTGAGCAAGTAGAAAAATGAGGCTTCTGCTTATTAGGATGGAGAAGACTTTAGAGAGAACAAAGTTTTGAGGGATAATTTTTTTTTTTTTCTGAGACAGAGTCTCGCTCTGTCGCCCAGGCTGTAGTACAGTGGTGTGATCTCAGCTCACTGCAACCTCTGCCTCCTGGGTTCTAGTGATTCTCCTGGCTCAGCCTCCCGAGTAGCTGGGATTACAGGCATGCACCACCACACCCAGCTAATTTGAGGGATAATATTGAGAGATTTGTTTTGGGCATGTTGAGATACATATTAGACATTCAAGTAGAGATATCGACTAGGCAGTTGGATATGTATCTCGAGTACATGGTGGTCTGGACTAAATATATAAATTTACGAGTATATTTGTGGCATGAAATCTGTGTGTTTTGATTACAAGAGACTTAAGGACTGAATCCTGGGAATTTCTGATGTTCAGATATGATTGGGGGGTGTTGATGAGAATGAATCAGCAAAGGAACTGAGAAAAAGGTCAATGAGGGAGAAGGAAAGCCAGGAGAGTGTCCTGGAAGCCAAGTGAAGAAAAGGTTCAGGGAGAAAGCATGCTGCTGACAGTGAGGTGGGGCCCAGTTGGCCATGGGCTTTAGCAGTGTGGGAATCTTTGACAGGTTTGTCAAGGTAGTGAATGCAAAAACCTGGTTGAAGGACTTCAAGAGACAATGGAGATTTTTAAAAGTTGGTTCCCTTTCATGGAGTTTTCTGTAAAGGGGTGGAGAAAACTGGAGCAAGGAGGCAGAGGGGCCAAGAGAGGTTTTGTTTTATTTTGTTCTGTTTTTATTGTAAGAAATAAGTATGTTTAGGAGGCATGCCAGTATGTTCGTTGCTGATGGGAAGGATCTGGAAGTAGAGATCAAACTGATGACGTAGGAAAAAGGAAAAGTTGCTGGTGTGACATATTTGGGTGAGATGGAATGGGATCTACTACAAAAGGGGAAGAGCTGGACTCTGCTTGGAGAGACAGTTCCTCCATAGTAACAAAGAGAGAAGCTAGAGTCAATGGGTCTGGATCTAGGTAATTGGTAGATATGGTGGTGAGAGCCTGAAATTCTCTTTCAATTCTGACTATGTTCTCAGTGAAATAGGAAGCAGGGTCATCAGGAGGAGGCATTGGCAGTTAGAGGAGAGAGGTGTGAAATAGCCATTCAGCAGAGTGAACAGATTTAGGAGAACACATGATGATTTCCAGGCAACATCAAGGACCCCCTTGAGGCCATGATGATGACTTTGCAGGGAGACTGGTTAGTATGTCATGTGATCTTCTCCAGAGAGGTTCAGTGGCAAGTTCAGCAGCATCACACAGGCATGGAGCTGGTAGAGAACTGAATTTAGCCAAGGGAAGAAAGTGAGAGAGTCACAAAGATGTTGAGAATGCATGCCAGGAAGTGATAATAATAATGACTGATCACAGATAATCTAGGTTACAGGGGAAGGAAATGAGAACATGAAGAGAGCGAGGAACAGTGAAAACCTGGTAGAAGCAATAGATTGTAGGATTGGTGGGTCAATGGATTATTGGACTCAGGAAAAAATAGGAGGTGTTATAGCTAGGGAGTGGAAATAATGGGGTTAGGTGCAGTTATTAATGACAAACACTAGGGTAAAATCAAGGGAGACAGTGGTCGAGGAGGGTGGAAAAAGCATTGCTGGAAGGCAGGAGTTCAGGGAACAGAGATCAAAGTATGGGAAGGATCATCCATGTGGATGCTGAAATCACTAAGAATTAGGACATAACTCAGCCTTTGAGTAATGGTGATCCAGGAGCTTATTTTTTAGCCTTCTAACAATTTCAGGCTGAAAACTAGTTAAGTGAGGAAAAAGATGCTGCTAGGATATCTTAAGTCAAATCAAAATACCCTCCCCAGCTGGGGGATGGACAGCTTTCCTGAAATACTCATAGTCTGTTTCTCATTAAATGTGAAATTTTTCTTTTTTTGAGACAGGATCTCACTCTGTCACCCAGGCTGAAGTGCAGTGGCACACTCATTGCTCACTGCAGCCTCGACCTCCTGGGCTCAAGCAATCCTCCCATCTCAGCCTGCCTGGTAGCTGGGACTACAGGCACACACCACCACTCCTGGCTAATTTTTTTGTATTTTTGGCAGAGATGGGTTTTCGCCATGTTTCGCAGGCTGGTCTCAAACTTCTGGGCTCAAGTGGTTCACCTGCCTCAGCCTCCCAAAGCGTTGGGATTACAGGCACGAGCTACTGCTCCTGACACTATTGCACATTTTAAACAAAGAGGCCAGTCCATAGACCATCTGACAAACACTCCTTCATGACTCCCTTCATCTATAATTGGTAAACCTCTGATTAACCTGTATGTTGAGCCTATATCTCCTATCTCTGGAATCTCTAATTTAAAAAGCACTAACAAGGTATGTCGACATTTCAAGGGAGTGTTATACAAAAAAGAAGTTGAGCCAGTGTTTGCGGCACGGAGATAATAGCAAACTTAGGGAATTTGAACACAAAAGAGAAATTCGCCCTACCTTACACACCTTGTCTTACTACCTCCTATAAGAACCTTTCTGCAGCTCAAACCCAAACCTCTATTAGGAACAACAGGGCTAGCAAGTCCAAGTTAGGGAACAGGCCAACAAAGAAGGAATGAAGCTTTAATCAGAAGACAGGAACTAGCAAGAAAAACAGATAGAAAGGGAAATGGAAGGTGTCTGGCAGTTCACATTTGTCCAGAATGGTCTGAGCAGGGAAGAAAACATTTCTTTTTTTTGTTTATGGCTTTACTTTCAAGTTTTAAATTAGATAAATAGAAGCTTGGTGAGCATCTCTCAGGGGTGTGTCCCTTCTCTTGTCCTCCTTATCTCGTCTACCAAGTCTCTTCCGTTTCCTATTACCACTTCTCTTTGTGTCTCTCATCTGCTGACTTTCTCCCACCACCTTTCTCATCACCTCCATTTTGCTTCCTTCCACTTCTCTGGTCCTACTTCCCTTTCACTCCTTTCCTTCATCTCTTGGGCCCGGCCATTCTGAGAGCACATCTTGCTAGGCCAGCTCTGGCAGTGGCATGGAGGTGGCATATGCCGAGGTGCAGTGGCGAGGACGTGGTTATGTACAGCTGGAAAGGCTCTGCTGTCACCGTGAGATGACTCTATTCTTCCTTGGTTGCAGTTTTCTCCTACTCTCCATCCCGATAATCCCTCAGCAGCTGAATGCTGCAAAGTGGTGTTGACGAGGCTTGCATAGATTCTCCCCAGTGCGGAAGGGTGGCTCAAATAGAATTTCCTGTGAGTGTAGGAGAGAAAAGTGTTTGATAGGATATAAATTACCTAAAAAGCTCTTTTGTGGGCACACAGATACTTATGCTAATTTAAAAAAATTGTCAACTATCTATAATAGGTATCTTATAAGGGTTGGTGGTGGCCGGGCCCAGTGGCTCACACCTGTAATCCTAGCACTTTGTGGGAGGCCAAGGTGGGCAGATCACCTGAGGTTGAGAGTTCTGAGGTCGAGAGTTCGAGACAAGACTGGCCAACATGGTGAAACCCTGTGTCTACTAAAAATACAAAAATTAGCTGGGCGTGGTGGTGCATGTCTGTAATTCCAGCTACTCAGGAGGCTGAGGCAGGAGGATCACTTGAACCTGGGAGGCGGAGGTTGCAGTGAGCCAAGATCATGCCACTGCACTCCAGCCTGGGTGATAGAGTGAGACTCCGTCTCAAAAAAAAAAGAGTTGGTGGTTTATTCATGACATTTTACTTTAGAAAACAGAAATCACCCCTCCCTTTTAGGGAAATCTATCTCTGGTCAAACAGAGGCACATAGGAAGTACTTCACAAATGTTTGTTAAATGAATGTGTGGATGGACGAATGGGCCTTGAGCATGAAGACAGAAGGACTGGGACCTTAGGGAGGTCTGACCCCACCCCAGCCCCCTTAACCTACTTCCTTTTCACTCTCTGCATCCCAACCCAAGCAGTAAGAAGGCCCTTCAAGAGCTCCAGGAAAGGAAAAGAGAGGAAAGACCACATGGGGAGTCTGCAGAGGAGATCCCTTACACCTCCCATACAGCAAGAGAAAGCAGCTATAGCGTCAACAGCATCTGGGGGAACTCTGGGGGCCCTGGAGGTGCCACACATCATGGTTTTGCTCAGCCCAGTTGGGAAAAGAGGGCTGAGGTCTCTGTGGCCAGCATTCCTCGACCACACCCCACAACTTTCTGGAATCACCCTCAGGACCCCAGGATCTGACCCAGCCCTGAGGCTGAATGCCAGGGCTGCCCCACAATGGCAGGGGATTCCTCCCATTGCTGTACCTATGGGTGGGGCCAGCTGTGGCCCGGTGGAGGCTGCCAGAGTGCTGAGTAGTGAGAGGGGCTGCAGGCCGGAGGGGTTCTCTCTTTCCCACTCTCCGTACGTGAATGAAGCCCTCCAACGTAGGTCACAGGTGCAAGGGATGCTGTCTTCACGGGAAGAATCTTTCCCTAGATCAAGTAAAGAAATGCATTTGCTTGTGTGCTGGTTCACAGAGCCCTTACAGGTTACAGCTGACATTTGGGGGGGTGCTTACGATGTGCCAGGCACCATTCCAAACAATTACGTGCATTCATGGTCCTTTAATCCTCACCTCTGTGAGGTCAGAGAGGGTGAGTAACTTACCAACTGTCACACAAGGAGAAGCAGAGTCAGAATTCCAAGCCTGGCAGCCTGGCTCCAGAGTCCACGTTCTTACCACTATGTCACGTGAACAAGACAGCACCAGTAAAAGGAGAGACCCAATATGATTCAGATGGGTTAACTGAGTGGATTTCCCCAGGAGACTCATCTAGCTGAACTAGCAATGGCCTTGAACCCAGAAGACCTTAAGCTAGAGCCTGTTCTTGGTCCACTTGGCCCTGGCTCTTCAAAGGATGGCCCACAGCCCAGCACCTTGGGCATTACCTGGGAGCATGTTAGAATCGCAGTCTCAATCCCGCTAGACCCAAGAAATTAGAATCTGCCTTTTAACAAGATCTATGGGGGACTGTTTGGACATTAAAGTTTGGGAAGCACTGCAATAATAGGCCATACCACCTGCTGGTGGTGAGTGGAAAGATTCAGCCACACAGGTGCTGTTGGGCCTCTGGTTTTTCCAATTTTAAGTCTCTTTTTCATCCAAAAGTTCCAGAGGCTGGGGTATAACAGTCTTTTTAAACTGAGAGACTACACTCCCTCGCCGAATGAGAAAAGAGGGCCTGGAGGCCACCTGGGATGGTTAATTTCAATTCAATTTCAGCCTAGGAACATCTTGGCCGTGGTAGGTCCCATGATGCCAGATACCCTGCGACCCTAAAATTCTAGCTGTTTTCTCAAGTCCCAGAAATGTTTGAAATATTCCTCACATCTGTTTTCTTCAACCCTAATGTCATGGGGTATGTTTTGAGTGTGTATGTTTATACATATGTGTGTTTGAATGTATGTTTAAATGCAGAGAAATGAGTCACCATCATGTCATTAGTCGCATAACATGAGAAAACATTCTTAGGCTTGGACAAAATGTGAGGCAGCCACAGCTGTGCTCACCATTTAGAACAGGGGCTGTGAGCTGGCAGCCTCCAGGCTGAATGTGGTCTGCAGATATGTTTTGTTTGCCCACTAAGTGTTAGCCAATACTATGCTTGAATATTTTATGGGAAGGTGGTATGCCACATATGTCCAGATCTTTTGGCTTCTCTTGAAAAATCAGAATATTTGGCCTGGATTCCAGCATGGCAACAACGAATGGAAGTCTTAATTGAAGCTTTCACTTTCTCATTGCCACTATCCCCACCACTCCCTGCTGTCTTCTCAGTTTTGACACCAAGTGTCAGCTGCCAGCAGTTGTTTTACTTATAACAGAATTTAGAGAAAAGTTAACCTTTTCTTACATCCATGTCACCCAGCCCTTTATCCATTTTTTTTTTTTAAGTCTGAGTCTCGCTCTGTCACCAGGCTGGAGTGCAGTGGCGTGATCTCGGCTCACTGCAACCTCCACTTTCCCAGATTCAAGCGATTCTCCTGTCTCAGCCTCCCGAGTAGCTGGGACTACAGGTACGCACCATCATGCCCAGCCAATTTTTGTATTTTTAGTAGAGATGGGGTTTCACCATGTTGGCTAGGCTGGTCTCGAACTCCTAACCTCGTGATCCATCCACCTCGGCCTCCCAAAGTGCTGGGATTACAGGCGTGAGCCACCGCGCCCTGCCCCCTTTACCCATTTATACCACCTGCAGTCCTATGCATTTGTAATCCCTGATTTAGACGAAAGTTAGCAGAGTTCCCCTGGGACCTACAGCCTTCTCTAAATTTATAAATATCTTATGATATTTTGGCTGCCTACTGAGCCAACGTGAAGGAATAATTTATTAGTGCCATGGTATATGGGTATTAATTGCCTCCCATTGTGTTCTCAGGCCTCTGCTTCATGCTGTGGATAATTGAGAAGCCTGAAAACAATTTAGTATTCACTGAAGAAATATCCCTCAAACCTATAAAACAACTAGGGAATAATGAAAGAGAGGTTATGACCGAGGAAGGATTAGCCTGGCAGGAAGGTGTTGTGTGAAGGGTAGGATTTAGAAGGATAGGGAGGATTTAGAGTGAAGCATCGGGGGAAGGGAGTGGATGGGGGAT
Source organism: Homo sapiens (assembly GCF_000001405.40). Taxonomy (NCBI): domain Eukaryota; kingdom Metazoa; phylum Chordata; class Mammalia; order Primates; family Hominidae; genus Homo; species Homo sapiens. The sequence goes on along the minus strand of NC_000007.14, from coordinate 128,727,734 downwards.
GAAGGAGGCATGGGATGGCTAAGGTTTGCTGGAGCAAAAGATTTGGGCTAGAGAAGATGATTAGGCAGAGGGCTGCTATTAGAGGAAGAGTGAGTGAGCAGGTGAGATGGGTGAGATGGGGGAAGATTGTGCAGGGCCATGCATGCCGAATTGAGTGGATTTGGGGTGAACTAGAACCTGGAAATAGGGAACTGGCTGCTTTTTCCAGAATGTGTCATGCTCCCTCTTGCAGACTCTGTCTCTTCTTCCTAGAATGCCCTGCGTTACCTGTTTCAGCCAGCTCACCTGCACTCATTGTCTATGACTCAGTTCAGAAACCATGCCTCCCAGGCAAGCTTCCTGGCAGGAATGAGGGACCCCCTTCTTTGTGCTCCTTTGGCACCCTAGGCACAAGCTTTGAATGTTGCCTGGAAGGAGACATTTTGTAATTCGGGGATTTTCCCATCTGACACCACCAAATTATAAACTTCTTGCGGGAACATGGTGTCTTTCTACATGGTGGCCCTAGAGCCCATCACAGTAACTGGCACTCAGTGCGTGGTTTTGAATGAATAAATGGATAAATGAACTTATGGAAGAGTGCTACAGGCTTGAGATGAGAAGGGCTGGGCTGGGGTAGGGTCTGTGGGTGTAGAAATGAAGTAAAGAATACAAGATACATTGCAAAGAAAGAAATTGGTTAGGACTTGGTGCCAACTTGATTGTGGTGGCCAGAGAGCCTAAAGGAATTCAAACTAAGGCATGGAAGGACAATGGCAATACTGACAGCACCAGGACAACCAGGATGGGGGCTGGAGGGGATCTTATTCTTATATCCAGAGTAGAAAGCTCTTTGAGGCATGGTACCCTGTGCCCTCCCTTACCTGAGCTGTTCTTGTTGGTCTCCACCTTTCTGCTGCTCCTGAAACTCGAGCCATTTCAGGATCAAGGAAATGAAAGTTGAAAGTAAAGGAAAAGAACATTAAATTTGTATTTCAGATCTTGTTCCAAAGTTCCTGATGCAAAGCTTTAGAGACAGATATAAATATGAAAAAGGCCAGCTGTGGCTATATTGGATGGGTGTGACGCATATTAAAGTTCCAGAAAAAAAAAATCGGGAAGGGGGAGGTGGAATGGGGTGGGAGGTGGGGAGCAGAGCCCATGCTGCTGATTTTGCTGAGGAGGAGGGGGTGACTCCATCTGTTCAGTTCTGCATCTCAGCTATTTATTTTATTTGCTGTTAAGTTGCATGTTGTTGCCAATGTGCAAAAACTGATAATAATTGCAACCAGACTAGAACCAGCCCAAATGAGAGAAAAATCATCACTCAGGGGCTTCATTCTGGGAAACTAACAAGAAAGAGCTAAATGTCTGTACAAAGCAATTATCAAGATAGCAATGAAGCAAAAACTAATCCCTTCCTCCCCTCATTTCTTACATCCTTCCGATCTGCCCAGAGTAGGTTGCCATAGCTCCCTAGCTCGTTTTTCCACATCTCTCCTTCCCTTCAAATTAACTGTCAGGCAACAGCTAGCATGACCTTTTCAAAATGTAAATTGGATCACGTCACTTCCCTGTTTAAAATGCTGCTAAGGCTCCCATGATACTGGAAGTCTAAATATCTTCGCATGGCTTCCCAGGCCCCGCCTGGCTCACTCCTTGCCCTCTTCTATTTATTCTCTTCCACCACTACCCGCTTTTCCCCACTGGCCTTCCACCAAGCTTCTTCCTTTGTGGAAGCCTCAGCCTTGCACCTGCCCATTCCCTTAACCTGCCTGGCCCTTCTTCACCCTTTCTTTAGCTGTCTATTACCTATTTTCTCCTTCAGACCTTAGCCTCCTCTCAACTTCTAGAAATATTAAAAGCTGTCTGTGCCAGAGAGTGCCAGTAGGCCCCCAGTGACCCTTTTTGCCTTCTCCCTGGGGAGCACAGTGTCTAATTTTGTGTTGTGTACATGTCTATGCAAAATGGGGAATGCATTTCCCAGCCTCCCTTGCAGCTGAGTGAGGTCACGTGACTGAGTGTGGCCAATGAGGTATAAACAGAAACGGTTCTTTAAATAGTAATTTAAAAATCAGTGATTTGAGCAGACACAGTGGCTCCCTCCTATAATACCAGCACTTTGGGAGGCTGAGGTGAATGGATCACATAAGGCCAGGAGTTTGAGACCAGCCTGGCCAACATGGTGAAACCCCATCTCTAATAAAAATACAAAAATTAGCCAGGCATGGTAGTGAGTGCCTATAACCCCAGCTACACTGGAGGCTAAGGCATTAGAATCGCTTGAACCCGAGAGGCAGAGGTTGCAGTGAGCTGAGATGCCACTGCACTCCAGCCTGGGCAACAGAGTGAGACTGTCTCAAAAAAGAAAGAAAAAGGAAGGAAGGAAGGAAGGAAGGAAGGAAGGAAGGAAGGAAAGTGATTTGATAATTTGAGATAGCCAAAAAGCAGTTTCAAAATACCTTGCTCTATTAGAGTCCAGTGCCCTCTAGCTCAGCAATATGACATCTCATCGAGAAGTTCCTTAATTACAGAGCTCTGTATGATATATGGAGTGACAATCTCCAGGATATATTCTTTATACTGGGCAACAGATAAGTCTTTTTCTTGTGTTAATAGTTTTCTACCTCCAGCCAAGTTAGAATTAACAATACAAGTTAATACTTATTGAGAGCTTACTTACAATTTGCCTCTAAATCTGCTGAGTAGCATTCTAAGTGCTTGGTGCATATGAGCTCATTGGATCCTGACATCTGGATGGCGTTGGCACTATTTTCATTTCCATTTTACAGATCTGAAGACTGAGCCCCCAGGTTTCGATATGCTCAAGGGTGCAGTCAGAGCAATGACTTGGGCCCATGTCTTTGCGAGCTCTTCGTTGCTATAAGCGCTTGCCTCCTCCAAGCTGTACTGGTTTTCAGTTTATTACCAGTGCTCAGAAAGAAAGGGAATTTGTTCTGCCTCTGAACTGCTGGTCCAACTGGTTCCTGTTGTGACAAAATTCTCCTCTCTGACACCTCATTTTTCTCTCCTGGTGACATTTGCTAATTTATTTCTGTTCTCTCCTTTCTATTAAACCATAAGTAATAGGCACTAGGACCCTGGATCCCACTTTATCTGGGACTGAATATTCTGTGGTACCCTCTGGTCTAAGTACGCTCAACTCCTGTCTCTTTTAAACCAACCAGTTTTATACCAAGACTTAATGCTAAGTCATCTGTACATACAGCGACATTTCCTCAGCCATGAAGAAGATAGATCTGTAGCATGGAGCTTTCCAGAACAGACTCTATATTAAGAAAACGATCACAGAAGCTCCATAAAGTCCAAGCAGAGACCTTGGGTGAGTAGGTAAGTAAATCCAATAAGTTGACAATGTTTTAAACAATGGTTTTGGTTATTTCCCTGTAGGACTAGAAACTGGATTAGAAATTAGGTTTTACATGACTGGGCACAGTGGCTCACGCCTGTAGTCCTGGCACTTTGGGAGGCTGAGACAGGTGGATCACTTTAGGTCAGGAATTCGAGACCAGCCTGGCCAGCATGGTGAAACCCTGTCTCTACTAAAAATACAATAATTAGCTGGGCGTGGTGATGTGTGTCTGTAATCCCAGCTACTTGGGAGGCTGAGGCAGGAGAATCACATCAACCCAGGAGGCAGAGGTTGCAGTGAGCCGAGACTGTGCCACTGCACTCCAGCCTGGGCGACAGAGTGAGACTCTTGTCTCACGTAAACAAATGAACAACAACAACAAAAAGAAATTTAGGTTTTACTTTTTCACCTGTATACCTAACTTATCCTCATTGTTGGAGAACTACTTTTCATTTTTTATAGTAGTCCTCCTCTGGAGTCAAGCCCACCATGCTTGCTGTGTGGAGAAGAAGAACAAGGCAAGAAGAGCTGGAGGAAGGTTGTCCTGAGTCAAGGATAAAGACTGAACAGTGACTGGGCGCGGTGGCTCATGCCTGTAATCCCAGCACTTTGGGAGGCCGAGGCGGGCAGCTCACCTGAGGTCAGGAGTTCCAGACCAGCCTGGCCAATATGGTGAAACCCTGTCTCTACTAAAAATACAAAAATTAGTTGGGGGCATGGTGGCACATGCCTGTAGTCCCAGCTACTCAGGAGGCTGAGGCGGGAGAATCGCTTGAACCCTGGGCGACGGAGTGAGAGCCTATCTCAAAAAGGAAAAAAAAAAAAAAAAGACTGGATAGTGAGTGGCAGTATATCGAGGCCAGGCTGGTCTCAAATTCCTGACCTCAAGCAATCCATCTGCCTTGACCTCCCAAAGTGCCGGGAATACAGGCGTGAGCCACCGTGCCTGGTCACGTAAAACCCTGCGCTCATTAACCAAGCTATTTGGTTTCTGGATCTCACAGCCCAGACCATCTGGGTTGCAGGAGGGAATGTCAGAGGCTGGCTTGATTTAAGTCATGTACCTCAACTGGTTCTGCTGGTGTAAGTCGGCAAAAATCTGAGACAGGGCTTCACTCTCCCCCTTGGTCATTAGCTGAATGAGACTCTCGCTGGGCTGGGAGGCTTGGAGTTTCTTCTGTACTAACTATATGAAGAAAAAAAGCAGAACCAGGTGGTTAAGGCCTTGGGGTCTTCACATTTTCCTAATATCATGGTCCAGACTCTAAAGTGTTGGAACTCAAAATTTTCCAAAGTGCAGCCACACCAGCTGCTCACAGAGGCAATTCTGAGGCCATATTTTTTGGTTTACACTCCTCGTATTGGTAAAAATGTCCTTTTGTGCCTTAAGGGTAATATCTTCATTACATACTTTTAACATTACTTAACAGATACTTATTCCTATTAATATACCTTAATATAATGTATGAATAGCCTATTAATATAAGCTTTAATAAAGTTTATGCTGTTTGGTTTTATACTTAAATGTAGGGGAATCATATATTTGTTATAGAAATTTAATTAGTGGAGTTTTTTTTTTGAGGCAGAGTCTCGCTCTTATAGCCAGGCTGGAGTGCAGTGGTGCGATCTCGGCTCACTGAGACCTCTGCCTCCTGGGTTCAGACGATTCTCCTGCCTCAGCCTCCCAAGTAGCTAGGACTACAGGTGTCTGCCACCACACCTAGCTAATTTTTGTATTTTTAGTAGAGACGGGGTTTCACCATGTTGGCCAGGCTGGTCTCGATCTCCTGACCTCGTGATCTGCCCACCTTGGCCTCCCAAAGTGCTGGGATAATAAGCGTGAGCCACCGCGCCTGGCCTAATTGGTGTTTTAAAACTTAATTTCTCTAAGAAATATCCTATAGTGTGCTGCTTTTTACATCGGGGCAAAATTAATTTCTTTCCTGCTGCCTGTGATACTCAAAAGTGCTCCAGTTGTGCATGCTGTCCATGTCCATAGTCACTCATTCATTCCGTATTTATTGAATGCCAACTAGGAGCCAGGTACTAGGGATATAGCAGTAAAGAAGACAAACAGAAACCCCTGCCTTCATGGAGTTTCTGTTGTAGCTGAAGCCAGACTTACATTCATCATGTTCTGGGGCAAAAAGGCCCAGGTATCTTCACTGGTAAATTCTATCAAATATTTAAAGAAGAAGTAATAGCAATGCTTCATGAATTCTTTCAGAAAATAGAGGAGGGAATACTTTCCAACTTCTTCAATGAGGATAATATTAACTTAATACCAAAGCTAGGGGATCACAAAGATATCCCAAGAAAATTACAGACCAATATCTCTCATGAGCATAGATGCAAAATTCCTTAATGTAATGTAAGCAAACTGAATCTAGTAACATATAAAAAATAAGTATATACACCGTGACCAGGCAGATTTTATCGCAGGAACACAAAGTTGGTTTAACGTTAAAAAAAATCAATTCATGTAATATACTGTATTAACAGAATGAAGGACAAACCACATAATCATCTTAATAGATGCAGAGAAAGCATTTAACAAATCTAATACCCATTCATGATGAAAAAAGAAAAGAAAGAAAACTCTTTCAATAAATAGGAAGAAAGGGAATGTCCTCAATCAGATTAAGGGCATCTACAAATATTCATAATAAGCATCATACTTAACAGCAAAAAACTGAATGTTTTTTTCCTAAGATCAGGAACAAGACAAGGATGTCTGCTTTTGCCTCTTCTATTAAACATGTACTGGAGGTTCCAGCTAATGCAATAGAGCAATAAACAAATCTAGATTGGAAATGAAGATATGAAACTGTCCTTATTGCAGATGGCATGAGTGTGTGTGTGTGTGTGTGGTGTGTGTATGTAGAAGATCCCAAGGAATCTGTAAAACTGCTATAATGTATAATGAGGTTAATATTAAAAAACCAATTGTATTTCTAATACTATCAATGAATGACCCAAAAATGAAATTAAGAAAACACAAACACAGTTCTGGTCACAACAGCATCAACAACAATAAGATACTTAGGAAAACATTTAATCAAATAAGTGCAGAACTTGCAGAATTTGTCTACTAAAAACTACAAAATAGGCCAAGCATGTGGCTCCCAGCACTTTGGGAGGCTGAGGCAGGAGAACTGCTTGAGCCCAGGAGCTCAAGACCAACCTGGGCAACAGAGCAAGACCCCATTGCTATTAAAAACAAAACAAAAGCTACAAAACTTTGCTAAGGGAAACTAAAGTATTGAAATAAATGAAAAGACATTCCATATTCAGATGTTGGAAGACACAATATTATCAGATGGCACTTCTCCCCAAAGTGATGTATAAATTCAACATGTGCTTATCAAAATTCTAACAGGTTTTTTTTTTGTGGAAATTAACAAACTGATTCTAAAATTTATATGAAAATGCAACAGATTTAGAATAGCCAACACAGTTTGAAAAAGAACAAAATTAGAAGACTTATATCACCCATTTTCAAACTTAATATAAAGCTACATTAACCAAGACATTGTTTTATTAACACAAGAATAGGCAAATAAGTCAACAGAATGGAACTGATAATTCAGAAATAAATTTTTATATTGATAGTAAATTGATTTTTGATGAAGGTGCTAAGACAATTCAATGTGGGAAGGAATAGTCTTTTCAACAAATGGTGCTAGGCTAATTACATATCCATATACACAAAAAAAGTACTTAGATCATTACCTCATTCCATACATAAATATTAACTCAAAATGGATCATAGACCTAAATGTAAGAGCTGAATCTATAAAACTCCTAGAATAAAACATAGGATAAAATCTTTGTGACTTTGGAATGAACAAAGAGTTCTTAGGTATGCATAGAAAACCTGATCCATAAAAGAAAAAGTTTCATGCCTGTAATCCCAGGACTTTGGGAGGCTGAGGCAGGCGGATCACTTGAGGTCAGGAGTTCGAGACTAGCCTGGCCAACATGGTGAAACCCTGTCTCTACCAAAAAATACAAAAATTAGTTGAGTGTGGTGGTGCATGCTTGTAATCCCAGCTACTTGGGAGGCTGAGGTGGGAGAATCACTTGAACCCAGGAGGTGGAGGTTGCAATGAGCTAAGATTGTGCCATTGCACTCCAGCCTGGGCAACAGAGGGAGACTGTTTCAAAAAAAAAAAAAAAGAAGAAGGAAAAAGTTGATAATTGCACTTAATCAAAATTAAAAACTTTTGCTCCTCAAAAACATCATTAAGAAAATGAAAGGCAATTCATAGACTGAGAGAAAATATTTTGAAATCATCTATCAGATGAAGAACTTGTATCCAGAATATACAAATAATCCTTACAATGCAATAAGAAGAAAAAACCCAATTGAAAAATGGTCAATGCCGGGCACAGTGCCTCACGCCTGTAACCCCAGCACTTTGGTGGGCCGAGGTGGGTGGATCACCTGAGGTCAGGAGTTCCAGACCAGCCTGGCTAACATGGTGAAACCCCATCTCTACTAAAAATACAAAAATTGGCTGGGCATGGTGGTGCGTGCCTGTAATGCCAGCTACTTGGGAGGCTGAGGCAGGAGAATCACTTGAGCCTGGGAGGCAGAGGTTGCAGTGAGCCAAGATTGTGCCACTGCACTCCAGCCTGGGGGCCAGAGTAAGACTCCATCTCAAAAAAAAAAAAAAAAAAAAGCAAAACAAAACAAAAAAAACTACAAATACTCTGTGACTCTGCCCTGGAGTTGGCCCCATGCTACAATATGGATGAAACTGAAAAATGTTACGCTAAGTGAAAGAAGCCAGACACAAAAGACTATATGTTGTAAGATTCCATTTATATGAAATGCCTAAGATGAATGTGTATAGACTAAAAACAGATAATGGTTGCCTAGAGCTGGGAGTAGGAACAGGGAATGACTGCAAATGGGCGAGGGGGTATTTTTTAGGGTAATGGAAATGTTCTGAAACTGGATTGTGGTGATGGTTACACGACTCTATACAATCTACTGAAAGTGTTGAAACTGTGGTTTCAACATAATCCACCATAAAATCCACAATGGTGGATTTTATAAAACAATAAACAATTTATATAGAATTGTTTATATAAAATATATATAAAACAAAACAATTATAAAACAATAAAATCCACAATGGTGGATTTTATTGTTCTAAATGATACTCAATAAAGCTGTTTAGAAAAGGCCTCACACTGAGATCACCTTCATAGGGCACTCACATACCAGCTGGGTTAAGCTCTACCTTGCTGCTTTGGCCTTGACTGCAGGGTGGCAATGGTGCTCACTTACCTTCGAATCTCCTGAGGGGCTGCTGCAGTTCTTGGGTACCAGGCAGTGCGTGACAAGAATCCTAGGGTCTTTGGTGGTGATGGACAGCCCCTTTTGCAGAATTTGAACCAGTCGGATCCAGAAGTGGAAGACAGTCTCAGGATGGTCAGGATGGAGCTTTAGGTAATAAATCTTCTCAGTGACTGTCCTCAACTGCAGGATGCGTTGATAGTGGTCACATACCTGGAGCTCCACAAACCTCAATGGGAGAATCCTGAAGCCACCAGGGAAGACACACACTGACAACCCTATTGCATCCAATCTGACCCTGTCTTCGTTAAAATGAGGCAGGTCTCCTTTAGGACTAAGGCTTTTGGAGGTAGAAAAGAGGGTGCTTTAGCACAGTGCTGCTCAATTGTTGGGGAGACCAAATACACCTGCTGAGCTTGTTTAAAATGCAGACACCTGAAGACACCACTGAAGATTCAGATTCAGTAGGAATTGGGTGTGGCCCTGGAATTTGCATTGTAACTTCCACCTACCCTGCCATGATTCTCGTGTGCCCTAGACCCTATTTGAGAGAGACAGCCTAGGAGGTAAGGTGGCTAGTCATAGGATTTTACAATTTCTTTCTGTTTTTCTTTTCTTTCTTTCTTTTTTTTTTTTTTTTCTGAGGCAAAGTTTTGCTCTTGTTGCCCAGGCTGGAGTGCAATGGCACGATCTTGGCTCACTGCAACCTCCGCCTCCTAGGTTCAAGCGATTCTCCTGCCCTAGCCTCCTCAGTAGCTGGGATTACAGGCATGTGCCACCAGGCCCGTCTAATTTTTTATTTTTGGTAGAGACGAGGTTTCATCATGTTGGTCAGGCTGGTCTCGAACTCCTGACCTTAGGCGATCCACCTGCCTCTGCCTCCCAAAGTGCTGGGATTACAGGCACGAGCCACCGCGCCCAGCCAAAATTTCTTTCTTGAAAGCACCAAAGGAGCTTGCCCCACTGTCTGGCTTGTGCATTTATTGAGTTTAATGCCACAGTTAGTCTTCCCAAGGGAGTTAAAGTTCAAGGATCTGGCTTTGGATCTAATATTAGTCAGCTGGGACTGGGTGGTACTTGCTAGAGGTACACCAAGAACATCATGGAGAGGTGTGTCACTGAGGTAGCATGGAGAAATGAAGGGTTTTCTTGGACTTTTGGGAATTTCTAGAGATTCTTGAGATATCCTACAGATTATTTAAAGAGGCCCCAAAATTTAAAAAGGCTACTTCGTCCCAGACAAGCATGATGTCACTATATGCTACAGCTCTAAGTGAGACTTAGTCCCATTTATTTTACTGATTAAAAAAAAAAAACAAAAAAAACCTGGCCGGGCACAGTGGCTCACGCCCGTAATCCCAGCACTTTGGGAGGCTGAGGAGGGTGGGTCACCTGAGGTCAGGAGTTCAAGACCAGCCTGGCCAACATGGTGAAACCCTGTCTCTATTAAAAATACAAAAATTATCCAGGTGTGGTGGCAGGCACCTATAATCCCAGCTACTCGGGAGGCTGAGGCAGGAGAATCACTTAAACCTGTGAGGCAGAGGTTGCAGTGAGCCAAGATCCCACCATTGTACTCCAGCCTGGGCGATAGTCTTTTTTGAGACTCAGTCTCAAAAAAAAAAAAAAAGAAAGAAAGAAAAAGAAAAAGACAAAGAAAACTGAGGAGCAGCAAATAACTTGTGATTTTAAAAATTGAGTCCAGTTAGTTGTACACCAAGAACTAGAAATAATCTCCTTTCCCCAACCAGTGCTCCATCTGCCAGACTCACTGCCTCCTTGCCCTTGGGCCCAATGCTGAGAGATTTCCTATGAATTCAGTGGCGTCTGTGCAGCGAGAAAGAAAGTGGGCAGGTAGACTAGCCCCTGACTCCTGTCCACATGACATCTCCCTTTGTCCCACTTGGCCTCTGTCCTTCCAGTGCAACACCTGTCTTAGGATACTCTGTTGTCTAAAAAAATCAATGTCACTGCTGATGACATCTCTATCTTCTCCTTGAGTTTAGTAGTCAAGCAACCTCCACTTTGCATCCACCCCTCACCCCTCTTGTCCTCCATTCTCATCTGCATTGCTCACCTCTTCAGGAAGATGTTGGGGGCTATGGATGGTCTGTTCCATGTCTGGTTCTGCCCCTGGTGCCATTTGACACTGGCCATGAGTAGGATGTTGGGGAGGGGCAGGCAGGGTACCGAGGAGGTCACCCCCAGGGCCATGGTGTTGGAAGCTTTGTAGACGTCTCTCCAATTCCTGCCCCTTTTGACCTGCAACACAGCCCCCAGGCACAACCTGAGCATTTGGCAAAAGCTGCAGTCTGTTTCAGCCCAGGGTTTCTCAACCTCGACACTATTAATGTTTTGGGTTGGATATTCTTTGTTGAGGGTAGGATACTGCCCTGCACACTAAAGAATGCTTAGTAGCATCCTTGACCTCTACCTACTAGTTCTAGTAGCACTACCAGCCAAATCGTGACAATAAAAAATGTCTCCAGACATCGTCAAATGTTCCCTGGCAGTTGGGGCCAAAAATCAATTCTTGTTGATAGCCACTATATTGATTAAACAACTACTAGTATTTAAACAATATTTCAACCACCCATTTGTTAACAATTGCCCACAGGAATTACAACCCAGGAGTTCCCTGCCATCTGTCATTTCTGCCAATCCTCCCTGGACTGTTTCCTGGCCTTCTTTGAAAAATGTATCCTCTTGGTCCTTCCCCGAGGTGCCCTATTATCTCCTGCACCTTCACTGAACAGGAAGGTCCTCTCTAACTCCAAAGTGCTGTTCATTCTCGCTTCCATCCAACCAGAGGAGAGCCCAGGCAAGGAGACGAACGTGCACCGAGTGCCTGTTAGACAAGGTACTTTTCTTGCTGTATTTGCATTTCATCCTCAGGTCAGTTCAACCCTTTTACAATCAAGGGGCCAGATTCAGGCTGCACAGGTTACTTGCACAGTCACCTCCCAAGGAGAAGGCAGAGGACTGGAATCTGAGCCCAGCTGTCTCTGGGACCCCAGGTGCTGTTCTTTCGCCAATCCGCATTATTGTTCTCAAGAAGCGTCTCTTTTTACTGCCTCTTTGTTCATCTACTTCAGGTGACAGCCTGGGGGCTGAAGTAAACTGGGGGATTAGATACCAAATTCTCCACTCAGAGCAGAGGACCCCTGACCTTTCTCCCTGGGTGACAGCTGTCTGTAGGAGAAGCCCCGTCTGGGGCTCAGCAAAGCCCAGGTCAGTGAGGGTGGCCTTGCATTCCAGGTCCACTAGCTTCTCCTTGCCTCAATTCTCACTCTGCCCCAGTTTCAGGGATGGACTCTCTCAGTCATATCTTGGGAACAGGTTTCGAAGAATCAAAGAGTGCTATTCTGCGCCACCCAAGAATACCTGGATGAAGTTGCTTTCAAACACCACGGAGTCAAGAAACAGGTTGAATTCTGGAGAATGAACCACCCGGCAGAGCAGTCCCTCCTCCACACCTAGGCCCGCTCCAGGGTTCGGCTCTCCATCCACAGGCAAGAGGCCCCTGAATTCTTCCCAGGCATTCAGGGAAGGGAAGGTTGGATAGGATCTTGTGACTTTTACTGTCTTCTTTGATTTCCTCCAAGTCTTTCTATGTGGAAATGATGACAACATTTCTACACATGCTCAGGGGCCTGCTGCACATTTGTCCTGGGATCTCTGTCTCCCCTCCTGGCCTTGGGCAGCTGGCCAAGCCCTGGGACCACCAGTCAGCTCACAATGATGAATGGATGACATCATGAAAAACCAGGACAGACCTGCAGGAAGGGGAAGTGCAAAGGAGCCTCCCTTTTCCTCCAGAGAGCTTGTGTGCCTTATCCGTGCCTGGACATTCCCCAGCCCTTTTCGGAACCCCAGGACATAGTCCTCCCGGAACTTGCTGAGAAAGCAGTGAGCCAGGCAGAAAGCAAGCAAGGAGGGCTGTCAGGAAGATCCTTCCACTGCTAAGAGGAAAATGCCCTTCCTGCCTTTCAACCCTTCCTTACTCTGAATGCAACCTATCTCACACAACTTTAAAAGCTGCATGTCCATTGAAAACCCCATCTTCCTAAGCTTTGCAGCATGTGGGCCCCCGACACCCTGGTGGATCTGCAGGTTATGGAAGCAGTTGCAGGGCAGTTGGTGCCTGCTCTGCATTCTGCCGCGGCAGGCTGGTTACTTCTGCAGGACTTACTTCCCTTAGGAGGTCAAACTGAAGAAGCAGGAGAAGTAATTAGTTTCTTATCCAGAGGCTGGCTTTGTCAGGGCGCTGGCTGGGAGGAATAGAACCCCGATGAGCAGCTCTGCTAGGTCCCAAGCTGTTCCCCCTCTTGGAGAGTGACAGCATCCCTCACCCCTGAACCAGAGGAGGAAAGAGCCCAAATCATGGGCTGCTAGGTCAGGAAGAAAGAACCAAGCAGGCTGACCACTATTCAAGGCCATTCCTGGGAGAAACTGTTTTCTAATTTGGACCAAATTCTAAATTTTTTTTTTTTTTGAGATGGAGTCTCGCTCTTGTTGCTCAGGCTGGAGTACAATGTGCGCGATCTCGGCTCACCACAACCTCTGCCTCCCGAGTTCAAGCGATTCTCCTGCCTCAGCCTCCCGAGTAGCTGGGATTACAGGCATGTGCCATCACGCCTGGCTAATTTTTTGTATTTTTAGTAGAGACAGGGTTTCTCCATGTTGGTCAGGCTGGTCTCGAACTCCTGACCTCAGATGATCCGCCCACCTCGACCTCCCAAAGTGCTGGGATTACAGGCATGAGCCACTGTGTCTGTCCCAAATTCTGAACTTATTACATAATGAATTAACCATCAAGGTCAAATGTAACACATATAGACAGAGTTTGACAATCATTACACACAAAGGACAAGCATGGAGGCTGACTTTTGTATTTCATTATAAAGTCAGGGAGAAGCCTAAAGGGCCTGGAGGCTCTCACCATCCAATTCCATCAGTCCTTCCCTCTGGTCATTCAGATCACACCCCTGCTCCAGCACCTGTTATAGCTCCTGGCTCAGTAAACCAACTTCCAACCTCACTTTTCTCATTATCTTTTGTTTACCAGGTAGGAAAAGTGTCTTCATGGTCACATTCTCTAAGGATTAGATCAGAGACCACATCCTTTGGTTTGCATTTCCCTGGAAATAACCTAGAAAGGGAACACACAGCACAAAAGCGTAGTAATTAATAAATTGATACGTTGCTGTTCACAGTTAAAGCTTAACCACAACAATAAAGCTCATTGGTTTAGATATACAATTTGAGTATACTTGGCCACTGAGACATCCAAGAGTCAGTTGGGGAGATGACTTCTTCTCTTTTCCATACAAGTCTGTTAAGCCCACTTCTATGGTGTTCAACCCTCAGAGGAAGAAGGCTTGGGTGCCCAGTCTAGAAAGCTGATTGTGAGCAAAGGATTTTTTAGCTCTAAACAAGATGCTAAGCAGTTTTGTAAATGGTGCTTTAAGGTGGCTCACATCTGTAATTCTAGTGCTTTGGGAAGCCTAGGCTCCTGGGAGGATCACTCTAGGACAGGAGTTCAAGGCTACAGTGAGCTGTGATCTTGCCACTGCACTCAAGCCTGCACGAGAGAATGAGATCCTGTCTCTATTAAACAAAAAAATGATGTGCACCCCTTCCTACTTCCCCTGCAAACCTCAAAAACAAGCATATTGAATCTTTTTAGAAACCATGTGACAGATACTTAGTTGTCTATTAGTTGTCTGTCCCAACACCCATTCTGTTTCTTTCTTTTTTTTCTTTTTGAAATAAGGTCTCACTCTGTGGCCCAGGCTGGAGTGCAGTGGCACAGTCTTGGCTCACTGCAACCTCCATGTCCCGAGTTCAAGCAATTCTCCTGCCTCAGCCTCCCGAGTAACTGGGATTACAAACGTGCAGCACCATGCCTGGCTAATTTTTGTATTTTTAGTAGAGATGGGGTTTCACCATCTCTACTAAAGGCTGGTCTCGAACTCCTGGCCCTAAGTAATCCAACCGCCTTGACCTCCCAAAGTGCTGGATTACAGGCCTGAGCCACCATGCCCGGCCCATTCTGATTTTTTAGTAATAGAATACTTGATCATTAGTTGGGCACAGGTCTCCTGTAAGAAAGATTACATTTCCTGGCCTCCCTTGCAGCTAGGTAAGACCATGTGACTACCTTCTGGAAAAGGAGATGTAAAATTATTTACCAATAACTTTAAGCAGTGAAGAAAATAGGGTTAATTTACAGGAAATTAGGACTGTAGAAATTACAAACTTGTAGCTTCTGGGGAAAGTTATATAGATGTAGGTTCCAATAACTTGAGAAAACATTGCTTTTTCCTCCTTGTGTATTCAGTAATATTGATGCTGCCACAATCACTACTGTTTGCACTTTTAGTGATGAAAACTTTGGTGACAGCCTCAACCATGCTGACTGTCCTTTGGTTTGAGGCTAAAGCCACTTTGGCAGTGCAAGGTATCATTTCGTAGCTTGCACAGGAATTACCAGGACATCTGGTTGTCAGTTGGGGCTGGACCCAGGTTTTGTGAAGCCAAGAGTTTATACAATTTTGGAAACTCTTAAAAATAAAAAGACTGGATGGAGGGGGTCATAGGGAGTTATTGTTTAATGGGTGCAGAGTTTCAGTTAGGGAAGATGAAAAAGTTCTGGAGATGGATGGTGGTGATGGTTGCAAAACAGTGAGAATGTACTTCATGCCACTGAACTGCATACCTAAAATGGTTAAAATGGTACATTTTATGTTGTGTGTATTTTACCACAGTGAAAATATGCTAGAACTTAACAAATAAAATTAAAACCCCTACAAAAGTATGATACAAAATTGCTAGAGGTCCTCCTAGGGCCTCATAAGGCCCATATGAATTAGAGGCCCTGAAGCTTTAAGTTTTATTATCTTTGTGGTAAGTCTGTCCCATTTAAATCTATGTCACTATTTAAAACACTTTATTATTGCATAAGCAGTGCAAAGCTTTGTAGAATATTGGAAAATACAGCAAGGTTTTTTTTGTTTTTGTTTTTGTTTTTTGAGGCGGAGTCTCGCTCTGTCATCCAGGCTGGAGTGCAATGGTATGGTCTTGGCTCACTGCAACCTCCGCCTCCCAGGTTCAAGTGATTCTCCTGCCTCAGCCTCCCGAGTAGCTGGGATCGCAGGCACCTGCCAACATGCCTGGCTACTTTTTGTATTTTTAGTAGAGACGGGGTTTCACCATGTTGGTCAGGCTGGTCTTGAACTCCTAACCTCAAGCAATCCACGCACCTTGGCCTCCCAAAGTGTTGGGATTACAGGCATGAGCCACCACGGCCAGCAATACAGCAAGTGTTTAATAAAACTCAGCATAGTCCTGCCTCCTGGAGAACATCACTGTAAGTGTGTGTGTGTGTGTGTGTGTGTGTGTGTGTGTGTGTGTCTGTAAAACCAAAATGAGATCATACTTTAAATATTGTTTTATAACTTTTTAACAACCTGGTTCATTTAGTTGATACTCTCTGCCTTTGAGTTTCCCTATATTTTCATCTTACCTAATTTTCAGGCCATATTATACTTTCTCCAATTAACCAAAATTATTACTACAGCTGGCTTATCCAAGTCAGTACCCAATACAGGACCAAGCATGTTCCCTTAGCTTATTTTAATCTAGTATATTCCCCTTTTTAGGACACTTATTAGTGAGAGCAGTTGAGTGAGTTGTCCCACACCACGTCCTACCTTCTAGGTTTGTCTGGTTGCTTCTATGGGGTGATGTTTAGCTTGATTCTCTAGCTACTCATTTCCTGTGAAATAGAAGCTCTATCTAAAGGGTTACTGGATTCAAGGTAAACTTTTTTTTTTAATTAAAATAGTCACTATTTCTTAGTAAAGCTCTATCACGAGATCTCCGTAAGATGCTACTCTTCTCTCCCAAAGCATGCCAGGAGGAAAGTACACATGACGACTGCATATCAAAAGAATAATGATCCCAGGAAGTGGAAGAAAATATTTGACAAGACTCTTCTCTGCACTCTCAAGGAAATTAAATATAATATGGACCCTCTGAAACAAAAATATAGAGATACCAAAATAAGATGAAATTAAGACCGAAAGAGGTAAGCAAAGAAACAAGAAAAACCAGGCCAGGCGCAGTGGCTCACGCCTGTAATCTCAGCACTTTGGAAGGCTGAGGCGGGCGGATCACCTGAGGTTGGGAGTTCGAGACCAGCCTGACCAACATGGAGAAACCCCGTCTCTTCTCTACTAAAAATACAAAATTAGCTGGGCGTGGTGGCACATGGCTGTAATCCCAACTACTCAGGGAGGCGGAGGTTGCGGTGAGCCCAGATTGCGTCATTGCACTCCAGCTTGGGCAACAAGACCAAAACTCTGTCTCAAAAAAAAAAAGGAAAAGAAAAGAAAAAAAGAAACAAGAAAAACTCACTAAAGATCTGGAAGTCATGTTAGAAGCCATAAGAAGTAGAGCTGGCATGACAGAAAACTGAGTCAGCAACATGGATGACAGGCTTGAGAATATGACACAATAAAGCTGGGATAAATATCATACAATAAAGCTGGGGAGAGAGATGAACTGACTGGGGAGAAATGAGAGATATAGAAAATAGTTATGTTGATCCAACATACAGATTGAGTCCTTAGTGACTAGGGAACAAATGAAATTCAAAAAAGTAATGAAAAACATAAAAAGAAACAGCCATTTCTGAAACAAACCAAAAAAAGTCCTGATTTAGCAAAAGAACAGAATGTACTATATTGCAGGTAAAGTGAGCAAAGAAGCCACTGGCTCTTGTGAAGTTCCTAAATCTTAGGCATAAAGAATGCACTAGCTAAGTGTTACTGCTCTTTTAGAATTTGTCTAGCAGGGCTGGGTGTGGTGGCTCACACCTGTAATCCCAGCACTTTGGGAGGCTGAGGCGGGCAGATCACTTGAGGCCAGTTTGAGACCAGCCTGGCCAACATGACAAAACCCTGTCTCTACAAACAATACAAAAATTAGCCAGGTGTAGTGGCAGGCAACTGTAGTCCCAGCTACTCAGGAGATTGAGGCAGGAGAATTGCTTGAACCCAGGAGATGGAGGCGGGTGGATCATGAGGTTAGGAGTTCGAGACCAGCCTGGCCAACATGGTGAAACCCCATCTTTACTAAAGATACTAAAAATTAGCCGGGCGTGGTGGCACACGCCTGTAATCCCAGCTACTCAGGAGGCTGAGGCAGGAGAATCGCTTGAACCCAGGAGGCAGAGGTTGCAGTGAGCTGAGATCACGCCATTGCACTCCAGCCTGGGTGACAGGGTGAGACTCCGTCTAAAAAAAAAAAAAAAAAAAAGAGAGAGAGAGAGAGAGAGAGAATTTGTCTAGCATGTTTTCTGGTTTCCACTGGAAAACCCCATATTAAAACAACAACAACAACAACATTATACTACAAACATCCAGAAAGAAGAAGCAGACAGTCTACCCAGGGGATAAAAGGATACTGGCCTCAGACCTCTTTCCAGCAAGTTTAGATGGCATAGGACAATGAAACAATGGAGAAAGAATGTTGAGAAGAAAAGTATGTGACCCCATGATTCTATAAATGGCTTAAAATTCATTCAAATATAACAAAAATAATCTCAAAACACTAAGCACACTAAAATAAATCCATAAGCTGGTTCTTTGAAAAAAATTAGTTGGACCACTAAACATTTTACTTTGTAAAAACATGGACATAAAACATGAAATAAGAAAACATAAGTATGTGCAAATAAAGGAGAGGTACAGGCTTCTGGGTGCAGGTAGTGGCATGAAGCTGTACTACTTAAGATGTAGTCCAGGTAGTCAAAGACCCCAAAGTATTGTGACTTAAAATAGAATTTTGATTTTCTCTTACATAATAGTTCAAAGGTCAGCAGTCCAGAGTGGATACAGTTATCTCTGCCCTTCTCAACATGTGGCTTTGAGCTCTGGGTCCTCAGGTGGCTGCTCCAGCTCCTGCCATCATTATGTCTGCATCCTGGCCGGTGAGAAGGGGGAAAAGAATGGGGAGTTCACACTCATTCCTTTTAAGGCTATGACCTGAAAATGGCATAATCACTTTTGCTCACATCCCATTGGTCGGAATTCAAACACAGGGCCACACCCAGATACAAGGGAAGCTGGGAAATGTAGCTTTTCACTGGGTGGCCATGAGCCCACCTACAACTGGAGAATTATTTATTATTTAAGGATGAGGGATATTGATGGACAATTAGCAACCCGTGGGAAGAAGCTATGTCACAGAATGACTCCCCTTGCCATACGCATTAAGTATGTAGTTTATTTAAAAAACAAAAGATTAACTATTGATAACCTAACAAAGAAAGAGGTTAAGTCAGGTGGCCAAAGGGTAGAAAAGACATAAAATCTGGAGATAGCCTGATAATAAAGAATGCTAATTAATAATATTGTCCGTGTTCTCACAAATTACTCCCTCCCTCTCCCCAAATTGGAGAAGAGCAGTCTGAGGGAGTGAGAAATCAGCTCAGGAAAACAATTCAAGAAAACCCTTCAAGAGTAGAAGAAAACAATTCAAGAAAAACCTTCAGAAATCCCCTATCAGTCACAGCACTGTCTCATTAGAGACAGAAAAGCCCAGCTGGGTTCACCATTGTTCAGTTCTTCAGGCTGATTTGACGAAGGATTACCTCATGAGAATAGGATACACCTCCAAATAGAAAAGAGAGCTTTTTAAAATTTTTCAGGAGACACTCAGCCTTAAAAAAGAAAGAAATTGGCCCGGTGCAATGACTCACACCTATAATCCCAACACTTTCAGAGGCCGAGGTGGGAGAACTGTTTGAGCTCAGGAGTTTGAGATCAGCCTGGGCAACATAGTGAGAACTTGTCTCTACTAAAAATTAAAAAAAAAAAAAAAAAAAATTGTCCAGGTGCAGTGGCATGTGCCTGTAGCCCCAGCTACCTGAGAGGCTGAGGCAAAAGGATCGCTTGAGCCTGGGAAAGCAAGGCTGCAGTGAGCCATGACATACCATTGCACTCTTGCCTAGGCCACAGAGATCCTGGAAAGAGGGAAATAAAAGAAAACAAAAGAAAAGAAGGAGAGAAAGGAAGGAGAAAGAGAGAGAGAGAAATAAAGGAGGAAGGAAGTAAGGAAGGGAGAAGGGAAGGGAAGGAAGGAAAGGAAGGAAGGAAGGAAGAAAAAGCAAGAAAGGAAGGAAGGAAGGAAAAGAAAGAAAGGAAGAAAGGAAATCCTGCCATAGGCAAGAGCATGCATGGACCTAATGAAATAAACCAGACACAAAAAGACAAATACTGTATGATGTCACTTATACACAGAATCAAAAATATTTGGCCGGGCAGGGTGCTCACATCTGTAATCCCAGTACTTTGGGAGGCCAAGGCGGGAGGATCATTTGAACCCAGGAGTTCAAGACTAGCCTGGGCAACATAGTGAGACCCCATCTCTAAAAATAAAATATAGTAATAATAAAAATTAGCAGGGCCTGTGTTCCCAGGCTGAGGTGGGAGGATTGCTTGAAGCCAGGAGATTGAGGCTGCAGTGAGCCATGATGGTGCCACACTGTACTCCAGCCTGGGTGACAGAGAAAGACCCTTTCTCAAAGAAAAGAAATTAGTCAAACTCATAGAAGCAGAGTGTAGAACAGTGATTGCCAGGGGCTGGGTAGGGAGGTGAAGATGAGGAGATGATGGTCAAAGAGTACAAAGTTTCAGTTGTAGGATAGATGAATGAGTTCTAGAGATTTACTATGAGGCATCATGCCTACCACTAACAATGCTGTACTATATAGTTAAAATTTCCCAAGAGGGTAGATCTTATATTGAACATTCTTCACACACACACACACACACACACACACACATACATACACACAATAATAATAATAATAGGGCAGAAGGAAAATTCGGGAGGTGATGGGTATGTCTATGGCCTTGATGGTAGTAAGGTTGGCTTCACAGGTATATACCTAACCCACATTCATCAAGTTGTATACATTAAATATATACAGCTTTTTACATCTCAATCATACCTCAATAAAATGGTTAAAAAAAAAAACTTTTAGGAGAGAGCATACCCCATGTCCTCTGACAAAGGCTACAGACAGGCCCCTGAGTCCTCATCACCCCAGGATCTTCAGCCTATGGAAGAGTGAATGTCAATAATACAACCTGCAGCCTTCCAACCCCATTGTAGCCCTTTGCATTTCCCAGAGTCCCACGAGGAGCTGCCTTACTGCCTGCTGTGTGACAGCAAGCAGGGAAGGAGACAGAGGTGAGCCCACCAGGCTCTGGGATCGCAGGATGCCCAGGGATGAAGGATGAGGCAGATCAGAGAACTTCTCAAAGACAGAGGGCTTGCTCAGTAGGGGCGGTGGCGGGTGAGGGAGTCAGCCAGTGTGATTGGGAGACTAGTTACATGAGCAAATAAGTAAACATACTGAGGATAATGGTAGCCAGGTTTCTCACTGTGGGAGGAGGTCCTTGTAAGCATGGCAAGCTTGGGAAGGCTAGAAAGAACCCTGAGGTGGTAGACTGAAACTGGAGATATCAAAATGAACTCAGTTTAAAATATATAAATAAATAGAGAGAGAGAGAGATGGAGATATATAGTTATAGGTGCATGAGTGTATAAAAATGTCTGTGCATATATGGATGTGTGTGCGTG
Organism: Homo sapiens; assembly: GCF_000001405.40. Lineage (NCBI taxonomy): Eukaryota > Metazoa > Chordata > Mammalia > Primates > Hominidae > Homo > Homo sapiens. The sequence goes on along the minus strand of NC_000007.14, from coordinate 128,706,417 downwards.
TGTGTGTTTTTCTAAATCTGTCCATTGAGAGGGCCTACAAGCAGTGACACCACAGTAGGAAGAAGCACGCTAAGTATGTAGATTGGTTTCCAAATACCATCTTCCACTCTAAAGAACCGGGATTTCTTGGAGGAATGGCTGATTCCAAGATTGGGGCAGGAAAAGTACAAGATAAGAGTAGGGCCTCTTGTTTGCCAGAAAGGAAGGAAGTGCTCAAAGAATGATGCAGACAAGTCAAAAGAATGCAGAAGACAGCCTGGAGGTGCTCCTGCAGGCCAAATTTGGGACTGTTTGAATGTCAAAGCAGATAATGACAGTAATGAGTTACAAACTCTTGAATAAAATTGGAACCTATGAGTCATACTGATGAGAGAGAGAGGGAGAGAGAGAGGAACCTCTTCCTTATAGTAGAATGCCAACTCTTAATTGTAGAAGGGATAATGGAAGCAGAAAATCACTATTTGGCAGGGCGCCATGGCTCACACCTGTAATCCCAACACTTTGGGAGACCGAAGTGGGTGGATCACTTGAGCATGAAGTTTGAGGCCAGCCTGGGTAACACAGCGAGACCCTGTCTCTACAAAAATTAGCTGGGCGTAGTGGCACGCGCCTGTGGTCCCAGCTATTTGGGAGGCTGAGGTGGGAGGATCACCTGAGCCCGGGAGGTGGAGGTTGCAGTGAGCTATTATCATGCCATTGCACCCCAGCCTGGGCGACAGAGTGAGATCCTGTCTCAAAAAAAAAAAAAAAAAAAAAAAAAAACACCAAAAAAATCACCATTTGGCGCCATCAGTGTTGCGGCTGATTCAGGCAGAAGTTTTCAATAGAGGCTAAGGCTGGTGAGTAGAGGAAGTTTGATGAAGAAATGGTATCAATGCAATCTTGGGATATATTTTTGGAAAACCTTCTGAATTATAGAAGGGGAAGTGATAATGTTATGGTAGAAAAATCTGGCAGACAACAAAATCAGTCCCCCGATGTGCAGCTGTGAGAACGGCACGGCTCCATCCCCAGGGCACTCCTGCCGAGAAAACAAGACCCAAGTTTGACCATGATGAAACACCAGACAGACCCACCTGAAAAGGTAAAGCCTGTGCCGTCTAAGACAGTTGAGAACAAGAAAGACAAGGAAAGGACAAGAAACTGTTCCCGATTGGGGGATGGGGTGGAAGGATCATACTGACAACACATGGAAACCAAATTCCATGTATGTTCATGAGGGAAATGTTTCTAGCAGCTTTATCACCCAAACTGGAAATGACCCAGATGTCCTTCAGCAGGTGAGTTGATAAACAAACCGCGTTACATCCGCACAGTGGAATACCATTCAGCAACAAAAAGGAACAGACTGTTGACTCATGCAAGAGTAAGGCTAAGTGAAAGAAGACAGAAAGCTCCATATTGTAGGATTCCATTGACCTATTTTGAACTCCTTCCTCTGACAGTGAGAAAGCTGGCTCTCATGATGGTTCCTTATTTGTTCAGTCCTAATATGCTGAACATTATAATGTAATGTAGTTTCAGAATTGCTAACCCATATTGTGTAAGAAGCAAATTTACCCACTAAAGCAGGGGTCCCCAGCCCCCAGGCTGCTGCAGACTGTTAGGAACCCGGGTCGCACAGCAGGAGGTGAGTGGCCGGCAGTGAGTGAAGCTTCATCTGTATTTACAGCCTCTGCCCATTGCTTACATTATCACCCAAGTTCGGCCTCCTGTCAGATCAGCGGCGGCGTTAGATTCTCATAGGCGTGCGAACCCTATTGTGAACTGCACATGTGAGTGATCTAGGTTGCACGCTCCTTGTAAGACTCTAGGCTGGAAGCGGTGGCTCATGCCTGTAATCCCAGCACTTTGGGAGGCTGAGGTAGACAGATTACCTGAAGTCAGGAGTTTGAGACCAGCCTGGCCAACATGGTGAAACCCCGTCTGTACTAAAAATACAAAAATTAGCCAGGTGTGGTGGCACATGCCTGTAATCCCAGCTACTTGGGAGGCTCAGGCAAGAGAACTGCTTGAGCCTGGGAGATGGAGGTTGCAGTGAGCCGAGATGGTGCCACTGCACTCCAGCCTAGGTGACAGAGCAAGACTCTGTTTCAAAAAAAAAAAAAAGGTTACTCTAACTAATAATGCCTGATGATCTAAGGTGGAACAGTTTCATCCCGAAACTATCATCATCATCCCCGCCCCCCCACCCTCCATCTGTGGAAAGACTGTCTTCCAAGAAACCAGTTCCTGGTGCCAAAAAGGTTGGGGACCACTGAACTAAAGCACAGCTTTTATGCACTTCTTTTGGTCTTTAGCCAATCAGTATAGTTTCCCAAAGCAACTGAGTGAGCTCTTTCTTCTCCATTCCCTTCAATACAGTACAGTTAGATTCATTTGTCACAGTCTGCATTCCAACCTGGGTTCCCCTGACATTCAGTTGATTTTTTTCCTTTGCATACAGTGAAACTCACTCTTTGTGGCATACCTTTTAACAAATGCACAGGGTAATGCATCCTCCAACGTCGAGTCACCTCTCGTGCTGTTCCTCTGTAGTGAAATCTTCCCCCAAGCCCTAATTGGCCCCACTGAATTGTTTACTAATCTGCCAAGCACTGATTTGGCAGCATCTGCACTTTCTTTTTCTTTTTTTTTTTTTGAGACAGGATGTCGCTCTGTCATCCACACTGGAGTGCAGTGGCAAGATCATAGTTCACTGCAGCCTTGAACTCCTCTGCTCAAGCGATCCTCCTGCCTCAGCCTCACGAGTCAGTAGGACTATAAGCTGCTCCACCATGCCCAGCTAATTTTTAAAATTTGTTGTAGAGACGGGATCTCTCTATGTTGCCCAGGCTGGTCTCAAGTGATCCTTCTGCCTTGGCCTCCCAAAGCGCTGGGATTATAGGCATGAGCCACTGTGCCCTGCCCTGTACATTTTGATATGCCGTATTTTTGTTTTCATTCAGCTGGGCGCAAACTGTTTTAAAATTTCCCTTTAGTCCTCTTTGATCCATGGGTTATGTAGAAGTGTGTAGTTTATATTTTGGGATTTCCCAGAAATCTTTCTTTTACTATTTACAGTTTAATTTTGTCGTGGTCTGATTATACACTTTGCATGAAATTTGTTGAGGTTTATTTTATGGCCCAAAATGTGGTCTCTCTTAATAAACATTCCATGTGTACCTGAAAAGAAAGTGCATTGTACTACTATTGAATAGCATGTTCAATAAATGCCAATTAAGTCTAGTTGTTTGATAGTGTTGTTTACATTTTCTGTATTTTTACTGATTTTTATGGCCTATTTTATCAACTTACTGAGAGAAGAATATTGAAGACTTGATCTATAATTGTGAACTTGTCTTTTATTTTTCTGTTCTAACAATTTTTGTCTCAAGTATTTTGAAGCTCTATTTTTACATGCTTGCACATTCAAAACTATTTTATCTTTTTGGAGAATTGATCCCTTTATCACTATATAATGCCCTCCTTATGGCTGCTAATATTCCTTGCCTGGGAGTCTGCTTCATCTGATATTAAAATAGCTACTCCAGCTTTCTTTTGGTGTGCGTTACATAGCTTTCTCTGTCCTTTTACTTTTAACCTTTCTGTCTTTACATTTTTAAAAAAGATTTCTTGTAGATTGCATACAGTTTGGTCCATTTTTAAAGCTGATCTGACAATCTCTGACTTTTAACTGATGTGTTTAGACTGACTGTCCACATTTACTGTGATTATTACTGTAGCTGCATTAACATCTACCATATTGATCACTGTTTTCTATTTGTTCCATCTGTTCTCTGCATCTTTCCTTCATTTATTCTGCCTTTTGGGGGGGTTATTGATCATTTTTTATGATTCAATTTTATCATCTCTATTATCTTATACATATATCTCATATTTATAATGTATAAAAACATATTTTCAAGAAATTTTAGTGGTTGCCCTAATAGTCATAATATGCTTCTACAGTTAACTGAAATCCAACTGCAAATAACATTATACTGCTTTGTGTGTAGTGTAAGGATCTTACAACAGGTCTTTCCAATATCTCCCTCCTGTCTTTTCTGATATTGTTGTCATACAGTTTACTTTTATATATGTTACAAACCTATAATATATTGCCACTATTTTTGCTTTACCTTTTAGAGAAACTAAAATTTTTTTAAAAATTGATTCTGTCTTATCTTCTTTATTCCATTTCCAGTGTGCTTCATTTCTTTGTGCAGATTCAAGTTTCAGTCTGCTATCACATTCCTTCTGCTTGGAGAATATTCTTTAACATTTCTTGTAGAGCTGGTCTGCTGGCAATGCATTCCTTCAGTTTTCATTTGTCTGGGAAAGGTTTTTTACCTCTTTTGTATTGTGAAGGATATTTTCACTGAGTATAGAATTTTGGATTGCCAGAGATTTTTGTCTTGATTTGCTTCATTTTCACTTTAAAGAAGGTCAGACCATTTTCTTTTGGCTTCTGTGGTTTCTGATGAGAAGTTTACTGTAATTCTTATTTTTGTGTAGGATATAATAAATTCCTCTTCAAAGCCTTAAGCCTGTTAACTTCCTTTAAAATTCAAGAGGGAGAAAATTGTTAAGTACAATGAGTTCTGAGTTCCTCTCCAAAGAACCAATGTATCAGTATGTTCAGCTCCCCTGTTCTTTGTTCTCTGTTTTAAACTTTAATTTCCTCGTTCTTTACGTCTCCTTGCCCCTAGTTTCAGTGAACAACCCCCTCCTAGCCTCTATCACCTGCTCTGTTTTTAGTCACCTGCTTTGTCCTTAGTCATCCTTAGTCACCTGCTCTGCAACCATCCCTCCTGCCAAAACTACTCACCCTGCCACTCTGGCTCATACCTTCTCGCTCTTTAAAATAGCCAATCAGAATTAGCTTAGACTGTGCGATCCAATCCCAGCCAATAGGGGAAAGACACAGCAGTAGGGACAAGCTACATTAGGAATAAGACCCCCTTCCCTTCCCTTCCCTTCCCTTCCCTCCCCTCCCCTCCCCTCCCCTTCCCCTCTCCTCCCCTTCCCTTCCCCTTCCCCTCCCCTCCCCTCTCCCTCCCCTTCCCCTCCCCTCCCCTTCCCCTCCCCTCCCCCTCCCCTCCCCTCCCCCTCCCCTATAGATGTACCCTTCTATAGAAGTAAACTGCCTTGCTGAGAAAACTTTTGCCTGAGTGCTATTTTCACTTGGTGGAAGCGAGCATTTACTTCTAACATTTGTTTCCCTCTATGGAATACAGTTGACCCTGGAACAACATGGGGCTGAACTTTGAGGGTCCACTTACACCTGGATTTTAAAAATACACTCAGTTTACTCTCCATATGGGTGGGTTCCACGTCCAGAACCAAATGCATTATGTGAAATATGGTACTGGCTGCATGTGAAGCCCGTCTAGATGGAGGGCTCACATTTCCTATCAGTTGGTTCCACCAGGACTTAGGACTGTGTAGATTTGGTATCTGTGGGGGAGCCAAGCCCCTGTGGATATTGAGGGACAACTGTGTTTCTTTCTTCTCTTGCTCCTTCAAGATGTCTTCTTTTTGTTTTGTTTTCAGCAGTAGGAACTTAAAATGTGTAGGTAGTGCATCGTGTGTGTGTGTGCTCATGTTAGTACATCCTGCTTTCTGCTCTCTGAGCTTCTTGGATCTGAGGTTTGATGGCTGTCATGAATTCTGAGAAATTCTTGGCCATTATTTCCTCAAATATTTCTTCTATCTCATTTCTTCCCTTCTCCTGGGATTCCAGCTATGTATGTATGCATGTTTCAAGCTCATATTTTAATATTGATTTTAACATCTAAATAAAATGGCAGCAAATAGAATCTATCTTGTATTAAAAGAATAATAAAACCTTACTAAGGCCGGGCACCGTGGCTCACTCCTGTAATCCCAGCACTTGGGGAGGCTGAGGTGAGCAGATCACCTGAGGTCAGGTGTTTGAGACCAGCCTGGCCAACATAGTGAAACCCCATCTCTACTAAAAATACAAAATTAGCCACGTGTGGTGGTGCATGCCTGTAATCTGAGCTACTTGGGAGGCTGAGGCAGGAGAATGGCTTGAACCCTGGTGGCACAGGTTGCAGTGAGCTGAGATCGTGCCACTGCACTGCAGCCTGGGTGACAGAGAGAGACTCCGTTTCAAAAAAAAAAAAAACAAAATACAAAACAAAACAAAACAAACCTTACTAAATGTCAGTACTAAAGAAAGCAAGAATAATTGAAGATTACAAATTATATAACTACAATTCACATGCTAATTAGTCAAGAGGAAAATAGCCTATGATGCACCACTGCACTCCAGCCTGGGTGACAGGAGAGACCCCATTTCAAAAAGAGAAAGGAAAACAAAAGTATAAAGAAAGCTTGAAAGTAAAAGAATGAAAGAGAAATACACTATGTAAGTACTAACAAAAGAAAGCTGGTGAGCTATATTAATGTTAGTCAAATGGACTTTAAACCAAAAACTGTTGCTAAAAAGACAAAGGACCACTGTGGAATGATAAAACGTTCAATTCACCAGGAACATAAAAAAAAATAAAACTCAAAAATATAATAGTCTCAAGCTATATAAAGCGAAATTGACAGAACTGCATATGGACAAAGTAATAATCACAGAAGGTGATTTTAATGCCTTTCTGTAATTGATATAGCATGCAGACCAGATCAGTAAGGATATAGAATATTTAAACATGATTAACAAACTTGATTTAATAGACCATAGGCAGAGAACACTACACCCAACAATTGCAGAATATGCTTTAATTTTAAGTACATAGGGAAATTTATAAGTAAAAAATGGCCAGATTATGAGCAATAAAGCAAGTTTCAGCAAATTTTAATCACTGAATTGCATATAGCAATATTCATATCTGGATCGCAATGCACTTAAGCTATAAATCAAACGAAAAATCACTAGGCTGTGGGATTCAGTGAGATTCAGACATCAAAGTGATTATAAATCAGGAGAGTGCAAGCATCCCCGAAAATCTTCAGGCATGACAGGAGTAGCCTAGAGGCTTGAGTCACTTCATTTAGATAATAAAAGAAAGAGTGACCTTAGAAGGTTACAGAACTTGACACCCTGAGATTACACAAGAACAAATGAATTGTTAAATAAGAAGCAGTTGAAGTGCTTGTTTCAATGAAGTTGGTTGTTTTTGGTGGTGGGGGGGGGGGGGCAGCAGGTATGGACAGACAGGCCCCAAAATTACTTTAGTTCTGTATTATTGGAATCTTTATGAACAATATTTTTGTAATACATATTTAAAATTTTTTATTAAAAATTCATTTAAATGTTCATTAAGTTTAATTCAGTTGGTGCCTTGTTAAATATAAGAGACAAAGAGTTAGAGATGACTATAAGGACTTGAACCTGGCTGCCCTGGAATACTATAGTGATAAGGACAGAAACCAGGACTTCAGTAGCAAGAGCCCTCACGAGAAGTCAATAAGTTAGCTGACACAGGATGTTCCCCTATTCCCTGACATGACCATGGTAGGGAACCTCCAGGGCTCAGCTGGCTGGAGCAGAGGCTATATAATGAGGGGCATTGGCCGGGCGCGGTGGCTCACGCCTGTAATCCCAACACTTTGAGAGACTGAGGGGGGCGGATCACTTGAGGTCAGGAGTTCGAGACCAGCCTGCCCCCCAACACAGCAAAACCCCGTCTCTACCAAAAACACAAAAATTAGCCAAGTGTGGTGGCAGCTACTTGGGAGGCTGAGGCAGAAGAATTGCTTGACCTCAGTAGGAAGAGGTTGCAGTGAGCCAAGATCGGGCCACTGCACTCCAGTCTAGGCGGCAGAGTGAGACTCCATCTCTAAATAAATAAATAAAATCAAACAAATACAAATGAGGGAGATTTGGAACCTGATTTTATGGACAGAACAGGTATCTAGGCAGGAACCCTCCCTCCCACAGACAGCCCAGAAGAGATTGAAGATTATAGGACCTAGCTGGAGTCGGGGTGGCATGGGTTAAGGAGGGGCAGGAGAGACTCTGAGGCGTGGGTGATGGCATGGCTGGGATTGAACCAGGGAGCAGGAGAGGCTGCCCAGGACTCGCTGACCTGAGGGCTGAGGAGAAGGTGTGGGAAGAGCAGAGCAGAGGAGCCTAGAGAAGCAGCCCCAGTGTGGGGTGTGGGCAAGAGAAGGCAGAGATGGTGCAGGAGCTGTCTAAGTGCCACCAAAGTCAACAGAGAAGCACTGGGGAGGTCAACACTCCTCCAGTGTTGTGGTTCTCAACCCTGTCAGACCCAAGTCCTCTTTTTACGACAAATATTTTGTCACACCGTTTCACCAGCCTGAAATAAAATTAATAATGATTGTAACCTACCTATACATACAAATTTTAAAAATTGATATCCTGCCCCAACTGTAATATACAAGGAAAATATAAAACAATGCATAAGTCAATATGTAAATGCTTGTGCACGACTTCATTCGAAGCCATGAAATAGAATCAGAAGCTTGTACCCAGAATGCAGTAGTTACAAAAATAGACCCATAAAGGTGTATTGAATTTACTACTCCAAAACAGTAAAGATCCACTACAGATTGGCAAATGGGGCTCAAAATAGTCAGTCGGGGTGGGGTGGCGTTATTGTGAATCAATGAAATGCTAGGGTTAGTCCGCTCCGCCAGGGGGCTGGGAGAGGCACAGCCAAGCCGGTGGGGTCCTAAATGCGGCCACATCTTAGCTTCCGAGATCAGACGAGATCGGGCGCGTTCAGGGTGGTATGGCAGTGGCGCCTGGTGCTGCAGTGGCGGACCCCCACCAGGAGGTCCCGGGCTGCGACGGAGTAAAAGGGGGAGCAGAGTTAGGGGGCGGTTGAAAAGCGCGGCGACAAAAGGGGGAAAGAGAGAGGGAGCGGGAAGCCAAAAACCTACAGCACCCGGTATTTCCAGGCGATCTCCCATCCAAGTACTAACCAGGCCCGACCCTGCTTAGCTTCCGAGATGAGACCAGATCGGGCGCGTTCAGGGTGCGTAGATGCCGGCAGTGGCGCCGGGCTGCCCCAAGAACCCCGCCCAGCCACGCCCTCAGAGTTGTCCGCTCTGCTTACATGGCCGGGTGAAGAAATTGAGGTCTTGAGGCTGGCTGTGATTCACGGGACCACTGGCAATGACTCCAGCAGTCTCTGGTTACTTGGCGCCCATTTCCTTGGCTTGATCTGGGGAGACCTGTAGGGAGAATTCTGGACCCAGGAGAGCTGCCCTGCAGGAGCCGCCTGTCTTTTCCTGCTGGCTTTACCCTTCCCTCCAAGCCCCACTCAGAGTGAATCCCAACTAAAACCAAGGTTGTGTAGGGGATCTGAACCCCACTTATTAAATAGGTTTTACTGTCCTAGGAGCAACTTTGTAATGATTTTCCAAACTGTGAACAACTTTTGGTTAAGCACCAAGAACAAACAAACAAAACACACACACAAACCCCAAAGTACCATCTTCCCTTGATTTACATGATGGTTAACTTCCTGGAAAATTCTGTGTATATTAAAATTGGGTGAGTGGGTTGGGGGAGTTAGGGTCTAGACTCAAGTAGTTGTAAACATGTTCTTCACCTGCCAGAATGGTCAGAGTGGCATAAGAAGATCATTATTTATTCTCTGTAGGGCTTCCAGCATCATGGCCCTCAACTGCCAGAATGCCGTTAGTGCCCTCCAGCCATGGTGACTCCCCAAACACCCCATCATTTAAGAACTTCCAAACACCTTCTGTGGTGGAGTTCTGCCCACTGGGACTCATTGACCTAGAATCCTTTTTCTTTTTTTTGAGACAGGGTCTTGTTCTATTGCCCAGGAGGCTGGTTTTGAACTCCTGACCTCGAGTGATCCTCCTGCCTCAGCCTCCCAGAGTGCTAGGATTATAGGCGTGAGCCACCACACCTGGCCTGACTTAGAATGTTAGACCTGAAAAAAGTTAATAATCTTGTTACACATCTCAGTCCAGACAAAAAACTGTGTTGACAGAAAGACTAGAGAAAGTTGATACAAAGACATCTAAAATGGCCAAGAGGACATAGAGATTATGGGACAGATTAGAAAAATGAGACACAGAGGGGCAGTGGGCAGTTTCAAAACACAATGGACAAAAAGGTGTATAGAAGTTCCACAGAAGCAGCCAGGCACAGGGGCTCACGCTTGTAATTCCAGCAACTTGGGAGGCTGAGGCAGGAGGATCACTTTGAGCCCAGGAGTTCGAGACCAGCTTGGGCAATATAGCAAGACCTCACCTCTACAAATAATAATATTTTTAAAAATTAGCCAGGCATCGTTGCTCACCTGCAGTCCCAGCTACGTAGGAGGCTGAGGTGGGAGAATAGCTGCAGCCCAGGCATTCAAGACTGCAGTGAGCCATGATTGTGCCACTGCACTCCAGCCTGGGTGATAGAGTGAGACCTTGTCAAAAAAAAAAAAAAAAAAAAAAAAGGAAGTTAGGAAGGCAGGGAGGGAGGAAGGGAGGGAAATTCCACACAAGCATCTACACTTCCTTGGGAATGTCTTAAAACCTGAAAAATATTATTTTGCACAATGTGTAGTATAGGTATGGAATTTATTCTACTGGAGGAAAAGGAAATAAATAAAATAATATATGGCTGGGCATGGTGGCTCACACCTGTAATCTCAACACTTTGGGAGGCCGAGGCGGACAGATCACTTGAGGCCAGGTGTTCAAGACCAGCTTGGCCAACATGATGAAACCCTGTCTCTACAAAAGAATCTACAAAAATTAGCCAGGCATGGTGGCCCACACCTGTAATCACAGCTACTGGGATGGCTGAGGCATAAGAATCACTTGAACCTGGGAGGACGAGGCTGCAGTGAGGCGAGATCACACCACCGCACTCCAGCCTGGGCAACAGAGCAAGACTCCCGTCTCAAAGAAAAAAAATAAAAATAAAATTTAAAAATGTTCAGGTGGACTTGGGCAGTGGTGTAATCTATACTTCTCCTTGTGGTGACCATGAAGATGCTGTATTCAGACCTCCAGCTGCAGGGAGACCCCATTCCGGGGAGATGCAGATTCCTCTAACGTGCACTGAATTTAAGGGTTCATTGTCAGTCTGCTGAAACTTTCTTGGAACTGTGCTGCAGCCTGAGACTCTCCTACCCAGTCCTCCTTGATTTCCCACTGGTCAAATCCAACCAAAGCCGGACAGCATGCGCCTCCCTTGATACAGTCCATAGAGGTTCCCAGCCTCTGGGGCAGAGAGCAGGATGGTGGAGGGTGGACAGTGGCTTGGCCTGGCCTGGGGTGGGATGGGAGCAGGAGCTTAGAGAAGATACCCAGCGTATTACCAAAGACTTGGTTTGGCCTGCAAAGATAGTAACATCTTTTTCTTTAAAGGTTAGACATAGTGAATAGAGTTCCTTAAGCCCTTGTTGATTGGCTTCTCATTGTTTGCAGCTAAACGTGAGACTGGTATAGACCTTAAAGCAAGAAGGCAACTTGCTATAGAGATAATGTCAGTACACAAAGACCAACGGAACTAGGAAGAAAGGAGTCCAGAAAAGAGCTGAGCAAAGCAAATTTCAGTCTTTAGTGAAGAAGGCTGGAAGTTCAGCCTTCAGAACTCCATGCATGATATTCACAGTTGAGTGACTATATTTATGCCTAAATTAACTGCCTTGCAAAATATATTTAGTCTTCATTTCAGTTTGTGAGTTTAGTCATTCTCCACAAACCCTTTTCCTGTGCTTATAACCTCCCAAAGTATTGTTATATATAGATGCATGGACTGGGTGGACTGAATTCTTATGCTCAGAGAGGAAAAATTCTTGTGACCAGTACCCCTTATAGAATTGTCCTATCAAAGTTTACTTACATTATCATGGGTTATATGTTACACGTGGACTAAAGTCCATGTGCTGGTTTTTTTCTTTCTTTCTTTCTTTTTTTTTTTGAGACAGAGTCTCACTCTCTTGCCCAGGCTGGAGTCCAGTGGCACAATCTCGACTCACTGCAACCTCTACCTCCCGGGTTCAAGCAATTGTCCCTGCCTCAGCCTCCCGAGTAGTTGGGATTACAGGCACCCACCACCATGCCTGGCTAATTTTTGTATTTTTTAGTAGAGACGGGGTTTCACCATGTTGGCTAGGCTAGTCTTGAACTCCTGACCTCAAGTGATCCGCCCGCCTCAGCCTCCCAAAGTGCTGGGATTACAGGCGTGAGCCACCATGCTCGGCCAGAGTTCTTGCTTTTACACTAAAAAGTTTCCAACACAAGAAGCTAACAATTCTACAGTGCAGCACCAAACCACTTTTCACTGTCTCCCAAGGCACAGTCATTTAATAATCAGTAGTCCAAGTACTAAGAATACTAAGAAAATTTCCTTGAAAACAGGCACCACGCCCTCTCCCCTCCTTGGCTCTGTGCATGGCCTGCCATTGAGGAACCTAAGAAACTACAACCTGCTGACACTCTTGTGGGGAGCGCCCTTATAGAATCTCCAGCATTGGTTGTCGTATCTGTAAAAGACAGGCAGCCGTGGAGACTAGGAGACCAGCTAGGCTTCCAGATCGAAGTCATTGCACTCCCCGTTGTATGATGGCATGTGTTGCTTGATCTTGGATGAGCCGACCCAGGTGACAAAGTCCTCCATGCGGCATGTGACAAAGAAAGGTGGAGTCGGTAACCACATCCAGGGCCTACAAGCACATGGCTTTGCTCCATGAAGGCCCTGCAGCCTGAGGAGAATGGTAGGGAGGAGGCAGCAGCGACAACGACAAGGACAAGGCCTGGACAAAGCCCTGACAATGTCGCAGAGTTCGAGCAAGCCATGTGTGGGCACCAGGCCCAGAGCATACAGCTTGTGCAGCAGTGTTTGGGCAGCTCTGGCATGCAAGGCTCCGCTGGCTGCAGCACGGGTCGGCCTCCCTCTGCAGCCAGGGAGGCAGCCCGTGGAGGCTGTGGTCCGTGACCTCCCATTTCAGGAAGTCCACCTGCTCCAGCAGCTTCTGCTCATGGAACTTAAGCTTCAGCACCACGATGACTACAGACAGAGTGGCAGGACCCCAAAACACCACATTCCTCTTGCATCCAGATATGGCCCTTGAACGGAGTGAGAGGAGGGATGGAGGTCACAGACATTTCTTTCCTTCCTTGTCCAAGGCAGTGTACTTAATTTGGAGACTTTAGAAAGATTATAAAAGCAACTTAGAATACTCTAACTGTGACTATTTCTTTGCATGTAATGGATATATGGTGTGTTTCTGGCTGCTGTTGCAATTATTAACACCACAAAACAATGTTTTCTTTGGACATAATTTAAAAATTCAGTGATAGTTTACTAAAAGAAAATTATCTGTATCCCCAATGGGGAAATAAATCGATTTGTTCTAAATCAGGCAGGAATCAGAGACAGAGCAAAATCCAGAACCGCCTTCTCTTAGACTATCTGTAGATTGTGGTAATTCTGGTGGTTTCAAGTTACAGCTTCTGTAAATGGCCTCAGCCTTAATAACTCTAAATATTCATTTTAAATTATGAAGCTTTACCACTCTCAGTGATTGGAACCACTTTTGAAGCCATGGTCTTGGATTTCTCGAGATGAGCCCCTTGTGTTTTGTTTTCTCTAAATTGATGACCTGTGTTTCTGGGAGGTCACTAATGAACCCAGAACCACGCGTTTCTATACATTCATGCTCCCAGCTTCTCTGCTTCCCTGCCGGCTGCCTCACCTACAACAGTAAAGCCCTAATTAACCCGCTGCTTATTTTTCTCAAGACTTACAAAGGCATTTATGAAGCTTCCATATAATTTCCACCACATCTTTTAAGAGGGTCCATTTGGGTGTTATTCCTTGAGGACATTTTCTCTTTTCTCTGAATTCCATGTCAGAAACTTTAAGATGCATTTTTACATTGTCTTGGGGATTGTTTTTGCAGATGCCATGTCCTGGTGGAGCATAATTAACTCCGGATAACAATGTTTTGTTTCTTTTCTCTTTTAAATGGTGTGTGTATTGGCCATTAGAAATTTCACCAATCCGTGTGGTGTTTTCATCTAAGAAATAGATTCTGAGAAATCAACTTCAAGGATGAGCCCAGTCAGCAAGGGCTGTTGTTTCTTCCCTCATTTTGAAGGAGAAACAATGTGGAGCAGCCACAGCTGGCTATGGCAGAAAGGGATTTATTTAACAAGAAATAGACACTTTAACTGGGTCAGTCTAGTAGGACCCAGGCACTGGCAGGTACACACATATGGCTGGCACGTTTCCCTACGCAGCTTCCATGTTTCTGGGCACAGAACCACATCAATTAGACTTCATGGGTGTACACGTAGAAAACATGCAGCCAACCCAAGCCGAAGGGAATTTATTGGAAGACTATTGGGGAGCTCTTCATACCAACTGAAGGTTAAAAGAACCAGGCATGGAGAATAGGCCAGAACCAAAAAGCAGTAAGCTGGAGGGAAGCCCAGCGACTGTCTCATGGCCGGGACTGCCTGGCCAGGATGGTGGCCCCACTGCGACAACGCCTGCATGGAGATGAGTGATGTTCCTGCTCACGTTACACAATTCAGGAAGGGGGCATCAAGCTAGCTAAGTCCATACCAGGGATCTGAAGGATGAAGGGAGGGAGTGGTTACTGGATACAGGAGAGTCTAGTAGAGGAAGCCACCACGAGAGGAGCAGTTTTGTTACCGGAAAGGGGTCCCGATCCAGACCCCAAGAGAGGGTTCTTGGACCTGGTACAAGAAGAACTCAGGGTCAGTCCATAAAGTGAAAGCAAGTTTATTAGAGAATAGCAGCCCTTTCGCATGCTAATGCATTATAATGAGCATATAATGAGCAGTGGGGACGACCAGAGGTCCCTTTTATCACCATCTTAGTGTTGGTGGGTCTTGGCCAGTGGTGTCTTTGTGACCTGTATCTTGTGCCAACCTCTTATCTCATCCTTTGACTAAGAATGCCTAGCCTCCTAGGAATGGAGCCCAGTAGGTCTCAGCCTTATTTTACCCAGCCCCCATTCAAGATGGAGTTGCTCTGGTTCAAATACTTCTGACAGTTTCCCTCTGTTAACAGCCTACCTTATGTCACCACAAGGGAGGAAATAGTTGTCCTGACCCCATTCTCCTCATCCTCTCTGATCTCCTGCCTGGGTTTCCCACTGGCCAAACCCACCTGGAAACCAGACGTGATGAGCTCTTAGATGTAGATCAGCTTGGAGAACATGCAGGAACCAAGGGAATTCTGGGGCACAGAACTTCCAGCCATGGAAGGGAAGGGTTTAATCTTCACCTTTTTTCCCTTCCCCTTTCCCCCATCCCCCAAATTGAGCTTCAACCATCCTCTGCTTTGATTCAATCTATATTCGATGTGTACAGTATTATGAATAGTCAAAGATATAGTACATACTTGAATTATATTTCTTTTTTTGTACAACTTCTTCCTCTCAGAGTTAATATTTATATTATTTTTTGTTTGCTTGGCTTAATAGTCCTATTCCTAACACACCCCTAAACTTTGCCATAAGCGTAAGTCTCTCAGTGCATTCAAACACATCAGGTATTCCATCAATTTGATCTTTGCGGAGATGTATTTAGCAGAGTCCTCTCTCCTGCTCCAGTAAGAGCTGACTGCTTTCTGGGGCTGCTGTTCTCCTGTCATTCTGGACTCTCTCTTCATCTCTCTTCACCTGGATATTGCCTTCACTTTTTTCCTACATTGAACCCACCACTTTCCTGGAGCCGTGTTTTTCTGAGTTGACTTCATTTTAATTGCGTACATCCTCTAGGAGTTTCTTAAGGAAGAGTTGTATGAAAAATTGCATAGAACATGTGGAAAAAGATTTTTTAAAAATAAAAAATAATTTTTAATTGCATGTATGAAGTTTGGAGATTTTAATACCTAAGGGTGAAAGTGATTTCACCAGGTGCACAAAAATCATTCCACCAACTGAAAACTGAACTGCGGCTGCCATTTTTGTCTCCTCCTACCATTAGGAGAGCATGGTGTTATGTGTAGAAGGGGGTTTTGGAGTTGTTAGAGTGGATTGACCGTTATTATTATTATTATTTATTTATTTATTTTTATTGATCATTCTTGGGTGTTTCTCACAGAGGGGGATTTGGCAGGGTCATAGGACAATAGTAGAGGGAAGGTCAGCAGATAAACAAGTGAACAAAGGTCTGGTTTTCCTAGGCAGAGGACCCTGCGGCCTTCCGCAGTGTTTGTGTCCCTGAGTACTTGAGATTAGGGAGTGGTGATGACTCTTAACGAGCATGCTGCCTTCAAGCATCTGTTTAACAAAGCACATCTTGCACTGCCCTTAATCCATTTAACCCTGAGTGGACACAGCACATGTTTCAGAGAGCATGGGGTTGGGGGTAAGGTCATAGATCAACAGCATCCCAAGGCAGAAGAATTTTTCTTAGTACAGAACAAAATGAAGTCTCCCATGTCTACTTCTTTCTGCACAGACACAGCAACAATCTGATTTCTCTAACTTTTCCCCACCTTTCCCCCTTTTCTATTCCACAAAACCGCCATCGTCATCATGGCCCGTTCTCAATGAGCTGTTGGGTACACCTCCCAGACGGGGTGGTGGCCGGGCAGAGGGGCTCCTCACTTCCTAGTAGGGGCGGCCGGGCAGAGGTGCCCCCCACCTCCCGGACGGGGCGGCTGGCTGGGCGGGGGCTGACCCCCCACCTCCCTCCCGGACGGGGTGGCTGGCCGGCGGGGGCTGACCCCCACCTCCCTCCCGGACGGGGTGGCTGCCGGGCGGGGACGCTCCTCACTTCCCAGACGGGGCGGCTGTCGGGCGGAGGGGCTCCTCACTTCCCAGACGGGGTGGCTGCCGGGCGGAGGGGCTCCTCACTTCTCAGACGGGGCGGCTGCCGGGCGGAGGGGCTCCTCACTTCTCAGACGGGGCGGCTGCCGGGCGGAGGGGCTCCTCACTTCTCAGACGGGGCGGCTGCCGGGCGGAGGGGCTCCTCACTTCTCAGATGGGGCGGCCAGGCAGAGACGCTCCTCACCTCCCAGTCGGGGTCACGGCCGGGCAGAGGCGCTCCTCACATCCCAGACGGGGCAGAGGCGCTCCCCACATCTCAGACGATGGGCGGCCGGGCAGAGATGCTCCTCAGTTCCTAGATGGGATGGCGGCCGGTAAGAGGTGCTCCTCACTTCCCAGACTGGGCAGCCGGGCAGAGGGGCTCCTCGCATCCCAGACGATGGGCGGCTAGGCAGAGACGCTTCTCACTTCCCAGACGGGGTGGCGGCTGGGCAGAAGCTGCAATCTCGGCACTTTGGAAGGCCAAGGTAGGCGGCTGGGAGGTGGAGGTTGTAGCGAGCCGAGATCACGCCACTGCACTCCAGCCTGGGCAACATTGAGCACTGAGTGAACAAGACTCCATCTGCAATCCCGGCACCTCGGGAGGCTGAGGCTGGCGGATCACTCGAGGTTAGGAGCTGGAGACCAGCCCGGCCAACACAGCGAAACCCCGTCTCCACCAAAAAAATACGAAAACCAGTCAGGCGTGGTGGCGCGCGCCTGCAATCGCAGGCACTCGGCAGGCTGAGGCAGGAGAATCAGGCAGGGAGGTTGCAGTGAGCAGAGATGGCGGCAGCACAGTCCAGCTTCGGCTCGGCATCAGAGGGAGACGGTGGAAAGAGAGGGAGAGGGAGACTGTGGGGAGAGGGAGGGGGGAGGGGGAGGGGGAGGGGAGGGGGAGGGGGGACCGTTATTATTAAAAGCAAAAAGATGGTTCTACAGAATGGGGGCAGAGAGGAGTAGGAATGGTACTCAGAGGAAACTGAGATGCCTCTTTACAGCTCTTGCCCAGTCAAAAGAAGATCACACAACTCTACATGTGCAAAACCATCAAGGGCTTAGGATTTTCAGGAGTGAAAGTTTGTGGACTCCCTACCAGGGAATGAACCCAGTCAAAGCAAGAGGTACCTGGAATGGTAGTATAGGAGGGAAGTAAGAAATGACAACTACTACTGACTTGTAACCAAGAAGCAGAAAGAACTAAAACTTCCACCTGTATTTCTTTCTTTGCAGTGATGTATGTTATTTAAATTAAATCCTTCTCTCATTTTGTGCATAGGGTATGCTTGTGGCGTTTATATTTACTGTTTGGTCTAGAAGTTTTGTGATACAAAGGTAAGGAAGAAACCAGGGGGGCCAGGCGCGGTGGCTCACGCCTGTAATCCCAGCACTTTGGGAGGCCGAGGTGGGCAGATCATGAGGTCAGGAGATCGAGACCATCCTGGCCAACCTAGTGAAACCCCATCTCTACTAAAAATACAAAAATTAGCTGGATGTGGTGGCGCGTGCCTTTAATCCCAGCTACTCGGGAGGCTAAGGCAGGAGAATTGCTTGAACCTGGGAGGTGGAGGTTGCAGTGAGCCGAGATCACTGCACTCCAGCCTGGGCGACAGAGCAAGACTTCATCTCCAAAAAAAAAAAAGATTGTATGTGGGTTTGGACAGTGTCCGAGAAGAATCTAGGTCTCATAGAGGATGTCAAGGCGTAACAATACTCTAAAAAAATGACTAGGCAAGCAAGCAGGTTGATTTACCATGATCACATAGGTGCCCAAAGTAGACAGAGATTCAATGAACCAAAACAGAATAGTTTATTGCCAACAGCAAACAGCCAGAGCACCAGCATGGCAGTACCAGTTGCTCTGTCCCCCAGCAATACAAGGGGCTTTGCATACAGCTGAGGCACCCATGGTGAAGGGCTCAGTAATTTTTACAACAAACAGTAACCAAACCTGTCTCCTCCTCCAGAGACAGAGGACAGTTAGGACTTGAAATTTGACACGCTTAGCAAGGATGTGTAGAGATGCTCAAGGCCCATGGTGGAGTACCTCTTCCAACAGAGAGCAAAGAGACTGCCATGGAAATTTGTTATTATCAGCCACCAGATAACCGTTCCCCTAATGGTCTTCTTGTAACACTCCTCAATTTCCTTTGGGGAAACCACCTAGCTTGCTGCAGCATTTGATGAAATGGTCAATTCACTACCCCTATCTGAATTCACAGAGCTGTTCTGGTGTCAGAGCATTCCAAGATCGGCTCCGCAGTTGTCCCTTTGATTTTGTGAGCCAACCCACATCCGTCCAATGAATTCCTTTTGGTTTAGATTAGAGTCAGCTTCTCTTACTGGCAACCAAAGAAGTCTAACTGACATAAAATGGCATCTGTTATGACAGAGTTCACAGTTCCACCAAGGAGACAGACATGTAAACAAATAGCCACAATTGGGTGAGAAATGCTATAAAAATGCTATAATACAAGGCACATGTAAGGCACAATAGTAGCATTGAAGAAATCCATCAATAAGGATAAGTGTCATGAGGGCAATATGTGGAGAAAGTAAGCAAATGTATCTCAGGTAGAACAAAAGTATATACAATGTCCTCAAAGTATCTTCAAACATGGCGCATTTAGGGAACCACAAGAAATTTGGCATGGTGGGAGCATAAGATTCTATGGCAGCAGTGGCCAGTGGAGAGGCTGGAGAGAGAGGCAGGGGTCTAGTCATTTCATGTCAAAGGGTCTGGTTTTATTAAGGAGGAAACTCAGTCAGATATATTTTTTTTTTTTTTGAGATGGAATCTTGCTCTGTTGCCCAGGCTAGAGCGCAGTGGAGTGATCTCGGCTCACTGCAACCTCTGCCTCCCCAGTTCAAGAGATTCTCCTGCCTCAGCCTCCTGAGTAGCTGGGACTACAGACGCGCACCACCACACCTGGCTAATTTTCACATTTTTAGTAGAGACAGGGTTTCACCATGTTGGCCAGGCTGGTCTCAAACTTCTGACTTCAAGTGATCTGCCCACCTTGGCCTTCCAAAGTGCTGGGATTACAGGTATGAGCCACCGTGCCTGGTCCTTTCTGTCAGATTTATGTGTCAAAAAGTTGCTCTGTTAGAGGTATGAAAAGGGAATGAGTTGGGAAGACATTGGAGAGGCATCAAGAGTAATTTGGATTTTGGAGTTAGACAGACTGGCTTCAAGTCCTGGCTCTGCTACTTACTACCTGTGTGACCTTAAGCAAGTTCTTGAACCTCTCTGTGGCTCCGGTTTATCATTTATAAAATGTAATAATAAGATCTACTTCTCAATGGCTTGTGGTGTGGTTTATGTGATCTTTGTAAAGTCAGCATAGTGCTTAGAAGATAGCAAATTTCTAAAGATGTTAGCTATTATGATGATGATGATGATAAAGTCTGGGAGACCAATTGGGGTTACTATTTTACTTTATTTTATTTTGAGACGGAATCTGGCTCTGTCGCCCAGGCTGGAGTGCGGTGGCGCCATCTCTGCTCACTGTAACCTCCACCTCCCAGGTTCAAGAGATTCTTCTGTCTCAGCCTCCCGAGTAGCTGGGACTACAGGTGTGCGCCACCATGCCCAGCTAATTTTTGTATTTTTAGTAGAGATGGGGTTTCACCATATTGGCCAGGCTGGTCTCAAACTTCTGACCTCGTGATCTGCCCGCCTCAGCCTCCCAAAGTGCTGGGATTACAGGCCTGAGCCACCATGCCTGGCCTGGGGTTACTATTAATACAATAGTCTAGGTGAGGGCTGATGAAGGCTTAAACCAAGACAAAGAAGTGGGGATGACAAGCCTTTCAATGTTTATAAGTATGCCATATAGATAGGATGGCCACATGATTTGTGATTCACTGAGGGACACTTCTCAGAGTGAAATGGGTATGTATTAATAATGATACCAGGACAACAGGCATGCATTTGGAAGTACAATCACCCTGCACATTAGTCTTTTCTAAGTTCAGCTTCTAGATGTCCCTCACCAGCACCAACAATGCTCAGCTTATTTGATTGTAACATACTGAAAGGAAACTTGTTTTTAATTTTACTGGAGGCAAGACAAAACCAACAAGCATCAGGCATCCTCTTAACTCAGATGTCTTTTCTGACTCAATTCAGCCAGATTTGACTGCTCAGCCCAACTGAGCATGCACAAGAGGAGGGCAACCATGTTCTTTCTTTCTGCACCACATAGGATGTGAACCACACATGCTGGAAAGCAGGGCCTCCAGCTTTCATTTGCAGACTGGGTGGCTCAGACATCAGGTCAACATTAATGGCTTCACTATGTCTCCAAAATAGGACTTGGCATCTCTCCCAGACCCTCCCTCAAGGCAGGTAACTTGTCCGTCTGTCTTGTTCTCTCCAATATACTTAGCGTCAAACGCAGTGTCTAGCACCTAGCAGGAGCCTGACAAATACTTATTAAATATTGGAGTGGGCGTGGTGGGGCTGGGCGTGGTGGCTCATGCCTGTAATCCCAGCACTTTGGGAGGCCGAGGAGGGTGGATAACCTGAGGTCAGGAGATCAAAACCAGCCTGGCCAACATGGAGAAACCCTGTGTCTGCTAAAAATACAAAAATTAGCCGGACTGGTGGTTCACACCTGTAATCCCAGCTACTTGGGAGGCTGAGGCACAAGAATCGCTTGAACCTGAGAGGTGGAGGTTGCAGTGAGCTGAGATCACACCACTGCACTCCAGCCTAGGCAACAGAACAAGACTGTCTCAAAAAAAAAAAAAAAGGAGTCATGGTATTTTCCTTGTAAGTATTCCCTATGTGTATAAAGGTTGGCCAAAGCTCCTACCCCATTCCCAATACTCAAAGATGCCATGTCTTCCAGTTCACTTTCATTAGGTTCTGGGTAAGAAACAGTCAAATTAATCAGAATTTCTGGTGATGGGCAGTCAATATCTTCCTCACCATGTTTTCATTAGCAATGAAATGTTGTATGAGCCAGGGGAGCCTTCATAGCTTTACACTAACACAGGGCAATGAAGACCTAATTTATTCTTTTTTTTTTTTTTTTTTTTTTTGAGATGGAGTCTGGCTCTGTCACCCAGGCTGGAGCACAGTGGCATGATCCCAGCTCACTGCAAGCTCTGCCTCCTGGTTCAAGCAATTCTCCTGCCTCAACCTCCTGAGTAGCTGGGACTACAGGTGTGCACCACCACATCCAGCTAATTTTTGTATTTTGGGTAGAGACAGGGCTTTGCCATGTTGGCCAGGCTGGTCTCGAAGTCCTGACCTCAAGTGATCTGCACACCTTAGCCTCCCAAAGTGCTGGGATTACAGGCAAGAGCCACCGCGCCCAGCCAAAGACTCAATTTCTTGCTTGATATAGTGGAGCAACACAAAGGAATCTTCCAGCTGGTTACCATCCTTCTCAGGATTTCTTTTATTTTGGGCTTGCAGTAGCTCAACCTCTATTTCCCCCTGCCCCTTTGAAAGTTGATTTCTCCTCAGAGGCCCTTTCCAAGCCAGCCTTGGACTGGCTTTCTTGGCTTTGCTTGGCTATTGTGTGGTTTCAACTGAGCAGACTGATATATGATTTGGATCTGTCTCCCTGCCCAAATCTCATGTTGAATTTAATCCCCAGTGTTGGAGGAGGTGCCTGGTGGGAGGTGATTGGATCATGGGGGTGGATTTCCTCCTTGCTGTTCTCATGATAGTGAGTTCTCACGAGATTTGGTTGTTTAAAAGTGCATAGCACCTCCCACTTCTTTCTTTCTCCTGCTCCAGACTCGTAGGACAGGTCTGCTTCTCTTTTGCCTTCTGCCTTGATTGTAAGTTTCCTGAGGCCTCCCCAGTCATGCTTCCTGTACAGCCTGGGGAACCATGAGCCAATTAAACCTCTTTTCTTTATAAATTACCCAGACTCGAGGCTGGGCCTGGTGGCTCACGCCTGTAATCCTAACCCTTTGAGAGGCCAATGTGACTGGATGGCCTGAGCTCAGGAGCTGGAGACCAGCCTGGGCAACGTGGTGAAACCCCATCTCTACTAAAATATAAAAACTTAGCCAGGTGTAGTGTGTGCCTGTAGTCCCAGCTACTTGGGAGGCTGAGGCTGGAGAATTGCTTGAACCCAGGAGGTGGAGGTTGCAGTGAGCCATGATCGCACCACTGTACTCCAGCCTGGAGACAGAGCAAGACTCTATCTCCAAAATAAATAAATAAATAAATAAATAAATAAATAAAATTACCCAGTCTCAGGTAGTTCTCTGTACACACAGACAGTAACTTTTCCCACCTATTTTTCCAAAAACTGCTCCTGTTCTCAGTCAGTCCTTTCCCAAACTGGAGCCTCCCTATAGCCCAACCTGCAAAAATTAGGGACTCACTTGGAAGTTTATTGGTGGAAGTAGAGAAGCACCTTGTTGGAAACACCATCTTACCTCTCCCAAGGTCACTTGGCTCACAGTGGAAAAGGAGCATTATAAGAGGTGGTAGCAAGTACACGTATGCAAGGAAGAGCATGTTTTGCCTAGGTGTCAGGCTCCCAAGAAGTGCTCTCCTAGGTAACTGGCTATATGAACTTGTAGAAGGTGCTCATTCCAGTCCTCTTGTTCCCAGAGGCTGTGGCTCAAGGCAGCTCTCATGGGTATATTCAAATTGATTGGAGATGCCACTGGAGAGGGTATCTTGTAGCTGCTGCAGTTGTCTATTTCAATGGCAGTGTCATTGTTCCTGTAGGAGCCCAGGGAATTTTGGGGTTATTGAAAGCAATAGAAGAAAAAGAAAACATTGTTAAAATTTAACTTAAAAACCACTTTCAGCTGGGTGCAGTGGCTCACACCTGTAATCCTAGCACTTTGGGAGGCCGAGGTGGGCGGATCACTTGAGGTCAGGAGTTCAAGACCAGCCTGGCCAACATGGTGAAACCCCGTCTGTACTAAAAATACAAAAATTAGCCAGGCATGTGGCACACGCCTGTAATTCCAGCTACTCGGGAGGCTGAGGCATGAGAATTGCTTGAACCCAGGAGGCGGAGCTTGCAGTGAGCAGAGATGGCACCACTTCCAGCCTACGTGACAGAGTGAGACTCCTTCTCAAAAAACAACACAAAACAAAAAAAACCAACTCACTTTCTAATCATGCCTTTTTCCAGCTCCAGTGCTTTAAGGACATGTAGAAATATGGAAATGTGGGGCAGTGACAATATGCACACATGCAATAATGTTAAGGGCAACCCGAGGAGAGAAAGCCACAGAGGAGGAGGAGGGAGCCTGGAGCTAAGGCCTGCCCTGTGGAGGAACAAACAACTCTTCAAACCTTAAGTACTGCTTTGATGTGTTGAGAATATAATGTATTATGACTCAAAGACAAAATCCCGGGGACTAAAAATTTAAGATCAGAGAAGTGAGAGTGAGCTGGGCTGCCTGAAGGGATTGCCAGCCTTGGTAACCAAGGGCTTGGGTTGTCACGTGGGGAGAGAGTCCTTTGTAAAGAGTTGCTGGCTCCTTTTCCTTAAGCTGAAAGAGAGAGCCTTCCTTGGACAACCCAGGGGGCTTGAGCTGTGGCTCTAGGACTCTGGGAGAAGAGTTGTTTCTGTGCCTAGGAAGCAAGGTCCTCCTCTCCAATGGCTGGTCAAAATATGAGAGGATGATTCCTGAGGACCAGATG
Organism: Homo sapiens; assembly: GCF_000001405.40. NCBI lineage: Eukaryota > Metazoa > Chordata > Mammalia > Primates > Hominidae > Homo > Homo sapiens. Next base: position 128,682,027 of record NC_000007.14, on the reverse strand, counting down.
TGGACTGTATGAGAGAGAGCAAGCAAGTGTACACCAGCCTGGAGCCACTGTAAGCCTTACCCAGGAGGACTCCTTAAAGGGGATAGCTAGTGCCTGGGGGAGCATGGTCCCTGCAGAGCCATGGCCAGGGGGGTTGTGGGGGGGGGTGCAGTGTGGCCAGATGAAAGGGAGGTGTTGCAGTTGAGGGGCCAGAAAGGAGATTTCAAAGAACCCAAGAAAGCTCCTGGCCAGCTGTGATGGCTCATGACTGTAATCCCAGCACTTTAGGAGGTCAAGGTAGGAGGACTGCTTGGGCTGAGGAGTTTGAGACCAGCCTGGGCAACATAGCAAGACCTTGTCTCTACTAAAAATTTAAAAAATTAGCCAGGCATGGTGGTGCATGCCTGTAGCCCCAGTTACTTGGGAGGCTGAGGTGGGAGGATTGCTTGACCCCAGGAGATTGAGGCTGTAGTGAGCCAAGATCATGGCACTGCACTCCAGCCTGGGCAACAGAGTGAGACACTGTTGGAAAGGAGAGGAGAGGAAAGGAGAGGAGAGCAGAGGAAAGGAGGAGAGGAGAGGGGAGGGGAGGGGAGGGGAGAGGAGGGGAGGGGGAAATAAAAGAGAAAGAAAGAAACGAGAGAAAGAAGGAAAAAGAAAAAAGAAAGAAAGCTCCTAAGAGAAAAAAGGTAGCTTTAAATATTAGGAAACAGAAAGAGAAGAGTGACAACCCAGTTCCCCCCTAGGAAAGGTCACCTTGATAGGGAGCCAGACTGAGGGTAAGAAGATGTGATAAGTTCAGGGTTTTGATAGTTTTCAGACATTAGATATTTTAATTTCAGAATTGAGGCTGCTTTTGCAATTTAAATGGACCAAAGGACCTTTTATATTCTCAGAGAGAGCCCATATGCTATGTGGCCTGCCCAGAAAGCCAGCTTTTATCCAGGGGCAAGAGGAAACCTTCTCCCACTGAAAAAGTTATGAAGGGCAGACAAAATAAATTTGCATTTTGATGATACCCTACAAGTTGCACTTGTGCAGCATATTGGTTGCACTATCTTGCTTTGAGTTTCTATTACTTGTTACAGAAAGAATCTAATACAATTATTAGTAAATTAATGAGACTTTGGAGCTACTGGTTGTTTCCCTTATTCTGTCCATTTTGCAGAAGAGGCTGGTGAGGACCAGGCGCAGTGGCTCACATCTGTAATCCCAGCACTTTGGGAGGCCAAGGTGGGTGGATCACCTGAGGTCAGGAGTTCGAGACCAGCCTGGCCAACATGGTGAAACCCTGTCTCTACTAAAAATAACAAAAAATTAGCCGGGTGTGGTGGCGGTCGCCTGTAATCCCAGCTACTTGGGAGGCTGAGGCAAGAGAATCGCTTGAACCCAGGAGGTGGAGTTTGCAGTGAGCTGACATCACGCCATTGCACTCCAGCCTGGGCAACAAGAGTGAAACTCTGTCTCCAAAAAAAAAATAAAAAGAAAGAAAGAAAGGAAAAAGAAAACTAAAAAAGAAGAGGCAGATGAGGCAAAGAGAACTAGGGTTTTACCCCAGGGATCCTTGTGAGCTTGGATTGGAAATAGTCAATAGCTAACTCCACCATGAGCCTGCTTTGTTAGCTTACACTTCTTTGAATTAATTTTCTCATCCCTCATTCCTTTTATTGAACACCTGTCATTAGAAAACACTGGAGTTTGCCTAAGAAGTGAATATTCAGATCAAAGGGCCAAAGACCTTGTTTTCAAAGGCAGGCTTACAATAAAATTGACAGAAAAAGCCATGTGCATGACTATCTAAAATACAAAGAATACAAAGAAGGAACTGAGATAGGTTCGTTGACCCCATGACTTCACACTGGAGGAAGGGATCTGGAGCTGACCCCACAGAGGACCCACCTGTCTGCTGTGAGCTGGGGCTTTCCTGAGAGCTGTGAGAAACTGCCACTGGTCTGCTCAGCCGCCAGCAGCACGAGGGGCTCGCTGGGCTGGGGGGATGACAGGAGGCTGTTTTCAGGCTGGATGGAGAAATTTAGCGTCAGATGGCTAGGTCTGCTCAGAGAGTTCTTGGCCTCCTCGGGGTAGAACTTTGAAGGGGTTTGTGATATTACAGTTGAGTTTCACACCCTAACCCTGGGAACCTGTTCCTTCAGCATTAAGTCCCGAGAATCATCCAACAAGAAATGAGACCCCTGGCAGGGTCACACCTGCTCCCTGGTCAACTGCAGTGGCTGCTCTGTCCTGAGTGCAGATCTGAACGTTCAGAGGCAGGGCTGTCAGGCTGTAAAACTGCTGACCTTCAGAGTCAATAACATACTTGAAGCACAGAACTTAAGTGAGAGGAGGAAAGCATTTAGATTCTGAAATCTGAAGGTTTTGAACAGTCCAATCTATTGGCCTTCCTTCCTGTGCTTCTACACCAAGCAGGACCTGGAAAGGCCTTATGTGTATCAAAGACGTACCCTAAATAAACCAAAGAGGAAGGGCAAATACTTGAGGAAATATTTGTAAAAATTTGTAAGGGTCCAAAATCCCAATGTATAAAAAGTTTTATTTTAGGCTGGGCGCAGTGGCTCACACCTGTAATCCCAGCACTTTAGGAGGCCAAGGTGGTTGGATCACGAGATCAAGAGATCGAGACCATCCTGGCCAACATGGTGAAACCCCGTCTCTACTGAAAATACAAAAATTAGCTGGGCGTGGTGGCGCACACTTGTAGTCCCAGCTACTCGGAAGGCTGAGGCAGGAGAATCGCTTGAACCTGGGAGGCGGAGGTTTCAGTGAGCCAAGATTACACCACTGCACTCTAGCCTGGTGACAGAGTGAGATTCCATCTCAAAAAAAAAAAAGTTTAATTTTACAAATCAATTTAGAGAAACACAAGATTGCCAATAGAAAAATGGCCAAAGAACACAACAGACAATGCCATATATATGGCATTAATATATATATATATAAAAACAATCTTGTGTTATATATAACTACAAATACATAACAATGTAACGATTGTTACATACGTATATATGTAACAATCGTTACATAAGTATATATGTATGTAACAATCGTTACATATGTATATATGTATGTAACGATTGTTACATATGTATATATGTATGCAACAATGCTGAAACTCATTGAAAATCAGAGATGCCACTTCTTTACCTATTATACTAGGAAATGCATTAAAACATTTACTTCTTAATTGTAATAAGATACACAGTAACATACTAATCTTTTTTTTTTTTTTTTGAGATGGAGTTTCACTCTTTCGCCCAGGCTGGAGTAAAGTGGCATAATTTCAGCTCACTGCAACCTTTGCTTCCTGAGTTTAAGCAATTCTCCTGCCTCAGCTTCCTGAGTAGTATTATAGGGGCCTGCCACCATGCCTGGCTAATTTTTGTATTTTTAGTAGAGACAGGGTTTCACCATGTTGGGCAGGCTGGTCTCGAACTCCTGACCTGAGGTGATCCACCTGCCTCGGCCTCCCAAAGTGTTAGGATTACAGGCGTGAGCCACTGCATCCAGACTACAGACACTCATATGATTGGTGAGAGTATAATTTGGTATGATATTTATGGAAATAATCTGGCAATATGTGTTAAGAGCCTTGAAAATGTTCATGCTGTTTGAATTCTACTTCTAAAAACCTAACTGAGAATATAATCAGAAATGTAGATCATACATATAAATGCTTGTTTTAGCATTATTTACAATAATAAACAAATACAGGCCAGGCACAGAGGTTCACACCTGCAATCCCAGCACTTTGGGAGGCCAAGGTGGGTGGATCACTTGAGGACAGGAGTTCAAGACCAGCTTGGCCAACATGGTGAAACCCCATCTCTACTAAAAATACAAAAATTAGCCAGGCATGGTGGCACACACCTGTAATCCCAGCTACTCTGGAGGCTGAGGCACAAGAATCGCTTGAATTTGGGAGGTGGAAGCTGCAGTGAGCCGAGATCGCGCCATTGCACTCCAGCCTGGGTGACAGGGCATGGCTCTGTCTCAAAAAAAAAAAAAAAAAAAAAAAGAAACATTTCTAAATGTCTTAATATTAGGGACTGGTCAAATAAATTTTAATTCATTCATACTACTGAATAGAAATTATCAAAATGATATTTACAAAGAGCTTTTAAAAGACATGGAAACAAGTCTATATATATACACAGACACTTACATATATACTTATATATACTTATTTCTCGACAGGTCCCGGAAGGAGGCCCACTTACTGTTGTTTCTGTGGAGTTGGTGGGCATCTTGGGCACCAGGCAGTGAGTGAATTTGATTCTCGGGTCTTTGGTGGTGATGGACAGGCCTTTCTGCAGAATTTTCACCAAGCGGACCCAGAATTGAAACACAATCTCTGGGTGTTTTTCGTGGAGCTTCAGATAGTAGATCTTTTCGGTCACTGTCCTAACCCTCAGGATGCGCTGGAGCCGGTCGTAGATTCGTAGCTCCACGTACTTCAGGGGGAGAAGCCTGGACATAATCAGGACATTTCCATGGGAGAGCCCGTGGTTTCTTTTTTTTTTTTTTTTGAGACGGAGTCTCGCTGCCGCCGAGGCTAGAGTGCAGTGGCGCGATCTCGGCTCACTGCAGGCTCTGCCCCCGGGGTTCACGCCATTCTCCCACCTCAGCCTCCTGAGTAGCTGGGACTACAGGCGCCCGCCACCACGCCCGGCTAATTTTTTATATTTTTAGTAGAGACGGGGTTTCACTGTGTTAGCCAGGATGGTCTCGATCTCCTGACCTCGTGATCCGCCCGCCTCGGCCTCCCAAAGTGCTGGGATTACAGGCGTGAGCCACCACGCCCGGCTGAGCCCGTGGTTTCAATCGACCATGTGGGTGCCCACCTAGAGGTGGCTCAGCGACACTGGCCTCCTACCTCTCTGCTTGGGGGATGCTGAAGGGAGAAAGCTCATGTAATGAAAGTGGGGGTGATTACTAAGACTGACTCTTCTCCAATTTCCAGGACTTTAGTAGGAATACAGGTGTATGCCAGTACACCCACCTAATTTTTTTGGTATTTTTTGGTAGTAACAGGATCTCCCTATGTTGCCCAGGTTGGTCTTGAACTCCTGGCTTCAAGCGATCCTCCCACCTCAGCCTCCCAAAGAGCTAGGATTACAGATGTGAGCCACTGTGCCCTGCCAAGATAAGTATGATTAATTCCGCTTTACAGATTTCGAGGCTGAGGCTTAGAGAGGCTAAGTGATTTGCCCAAGTTTAGATCTTATTAAGTGTGACCTGGAACTAAGGTTTCCTGACTCAGTTTCTAGGACTCTTTCTCCCTATATCCTGACTTACTGTGTCGAAAGGGCAAGGAAAAGGATAGCTGTCTCCTGTATATCTAGTATTTTTTTTTCAATCTCAGCATTTCATAGTCGTGTTTGACTTTTGTATCCCCACCTTTTCCTTGGAAACCCCCTCTATCTATATTGACAAAGAAACATTTCTAAATGTCTAATATTAGGGACTTGTCAAGTGAATTTTAATTCACTCATATTACTAAAGAAATTATCGAAATGATATTTACAAAAAGATTTTAAAAGACATGGAAACGTGTCTATATATACACACACACACATATATACACACACACTTACACACACACACACATTTACAGAAAAGGAAGCCAAGATTCTCAAAAACCAGGCTCGAGACAAGGACTGGGTACTGCCCTATCCCAGCACGAAGCACAGTGCTTGGTAAATATAGATACTAAATAAATAAGGTCAGGCGCGGTGGCTCACGCCTGTAATCCCAGCACTTTGGGAGGCCGAGGCAGGTGGATCACGAGATCAGGAGATCGAGACCATCCTGGCTAACACAGTGAAACCCCATCTCTACTAAAAATCCAAAAAAAAAAATTAGCTGGGCATGGTGGCAGGCGCCTGTAGTCCCAGCTACTCGGTGAATGGCGTGAACCCGGGAGGCGGGGCTTGCAGTGAGCCGAGATCCCGCCACTGCACTCCAGCCTGGGCAACAGAGCGAGACTCTGTCTCAAAAAAAAAAAAAAAAAAGATACTAAATAAATCGTTGCTAAACAAATGAATGAATGAGTTCTACAGGGTTTATGCACTAAAGAACGCTATCTTTTCTTTTGATCTAAAATCCAGCTACAAAGCAATGCATATCCCAGTCAATCATTCCATCCCTTCCCGCCCTCCCTCAAGCCTTTACCTGCTGAGGTTGATGACTGGGGCGTCACCAGGTGTGCTCCAGGTGGTAAATGGACCCTGGGGCCAGGTAACATTGGCCATCAGGAGGACATTGGGGAGTGGCAGGGAGGGCACCGAGGAGGTGACCCCGAGGATCACGGTGGCAGACCCTTCACAGACATCTCTCCAGTTCCCGGGCTTAGTGACCTGGAAATCAGCCTCAGGTACATGGGTCAGAAAGGAGCAGAAAACAAGGGGTGGAATACAGATGCTGGAAAGTGGCACATCATCTTGGGGGCAGGTGTGCACACACTGGGCTGGGCCCTGACCTGCTATTGATCCTTTTCATTGGCCTCCCCAAATACACTTTAAGGTCATTGGCTGCAGGAACCCTGTGTCATTCTTCTCTGGGTCCTCTGTTTTATCTAACTAAAAAGATAACTGTTTTATCTAACTAAAAAGATGCACTAGCAAGAAAAAGCTGAGTGGCACTGAAGTTTTCATTCCCCCATCTTTGGGCAGGAGAAGCCAGCACTGGTTTCTAGTGGCCCAAAAGGGAGATTGTGTGAAGAAAGTCCCAGAAGGAGAGGAAAGTGAGGAAAAAGCTGTTGAATGGGGAAGACCCAGACAGCTTGAGTTGAGGGAGGTTTGGAGCACTTCTCCCAGGATGATGGAGGGGCTATCTTGTTGCTGGGTCTTGAGTGGAATGAGGACCTATTCTCTTGAAGCAGAAGGCGGCCATCACAGGACAGAAAGACTGGATGCCCACCACTGGGCACTGTGTCTCAGCTAAGACACCCCCCACCTCACTGTGCACGGCTGGCAGAAAAGCACCAGAGCTGTGGCCACTTAGGAGCCACAGGGACCTGGATAAGGAACATATGAGGAGGGACGCCTATGTTCCCAAGGCCAGAGGGCCTTCTCCCAATGCTCTACACTTTTTTTAGAAAATAGAGATGGGGTCTCACTATGTTGCCCAGACTGGTGTCAAACTCCTGGGCTCAAGTGATCTTCCCTTCTCAGCCTCCCAAAGTGCTGGGATCACAGGCATGAGCCACTATGCCCAGCCAATGTTCTAGACTTTGTAAAACTATCGACACCATTGCCCAGTCCTTGGTGGAACTGGGGATGAGGGAAAGCCCCAGGGATGACTGAAATGTAATTTCCCACCAGCCTGACCAGATGGTGTTCCCAGAAAAGTGAATTTTGATTTTGAAAAAAAAAAGTGACACTTCTTGGAGCCCTTGTTGAGGAATGAAATTCATATCCTCTGCAAAACACAAAGGGTTGTACACATTGAGAGTAAGTGCTCAATAAATGTTTGTGGGTAATGCTGCTTTGAGATGATGATAGTGATGGTGATGTGCAGGAAGGGGGAGAGAGGAAGCAGTGTAACTGTACTATAACAACTATAACTATAACTAATATGTGGGTTGCATCACTTCAAGTAAACTTTGGACTGTGTGCGGTCATTCATGCCTATAATCCCAGCACTTTGGGAGTCCAAAGCCGGAGTATCACTTGAAGCCAGGAGTTCAAGACCAGCCTGGGCAACATAGTGAGACCCTGTCTCTATCAAAAATTTTTTTTTAAAAAATCAAACTTTGAACTTTTCTGTGCGGGTCAGCCTCTCCCTAGCACATTCTAAGTTTGCTGCTACCCAGGTCACTTAGTGTCCATTCAGAGAATCTAAACAGTTTTAATATTAGGCCAAAGAAAACAGCACTTTGGGAGGCCAAGGCGGGCAGATCATGAGGTCAAGAGATCAAGACCATCTTGGCCAACATGGTGAAACCCCATCTCTACTAAAACACAAAAAAATTAGCTGGGCGAGGTGGTGCACGCCTGTGGTCCTAGCTACTCGGGAGGCTGAGATAGGAGAATTGCTTGAACCCAGGAGGCAGAGGTTGCAGTGAGCCTAGACCATGCCAGGGCAACGGAGTGAGACTCCATCTCAAAAAAAAAGCACACATTAAGAGAAGAAATTTGCAGCTGAATCATTACACCCAAATAGAAATGACTAGAAATTGGATCCTGAGACTGGACTTCCCATGTTATTGCTCTGTCTCCACCAAGGGTATGTTAGGAATGAGCTCGCCTCAGGTTTGCCAGCTGATCACCCAACTACACATCTCCTGGGGCACAGTAAAGGGACCGTGGAGCGGCAGGAGCCATAAACACAGCTCTCCAAAATCCGGGGACTCCATTAGGGAGCAGCTCGCTGCTCTGTGAAGAGTCTCCAAATTAAGCCCAAGACCCACCTCAAACTGTTCCCACCTTCTCTCCTATAACCCCTGGCTACTTTCCCATTCCATTTGAATGGGTCTGTGTCTTGCAGACCTTGCATTCCAGCCTCCCTGCCTTTCCTTAGGTACTTTGAAGCCCCTCTGTCTGGGATATCCTCCCCGCTGCTCTTCCACTTACCAAAATCTCAGCAGTCTCTCAAAGAATGGCTTAAGACCCTTCTGGAAAGCCTTCTTCAACTGCCAAAGTCCAGAGAGAATGCCTTGAATGAATGCCCCCAGCACCTGCTCTCTGCAGTCATGCCTGGTGCATCAGCTGGCCCAAGCTCTCTGACATAGAGCTTGCTTAGACAGTTACCAAATAACAGGTAAACCAAACTCATAGGCTTCCTGGCCAGGGACACTCTGATTTTTCTCTGCACCTCCTGCCCTGCACTCAGTAGATGTTTAGTGTGTGCTTACTGGCTGATTAACTGGTTATGCTCTCCTGCGCAGGAGCATGGGTTCAGGCTAGACCGCTAGAGGGAGGCAGGCAGCACCCGCGTTAAGACTTGATACTTACGAAAACGACCACCTTCCACTCCCAGTGGCCCCATCCCAGGCTCACTTCCATTGGTCATGTCACCACCATCCTTTTAGGGAATGGTAGGATCTGGGCAACACCTATTTACCCAGTGTCTTTGCTTTCAAACAAGGCTGTTTCTAAACCATCCCAGACTGAGGAGGATGGATTTCAGAGCAGAGTTTCTAACAGCAACCTTCATTCCCTGTAACCATCCACTTTGGACAAGTGGCCCAGAAAGGGCCTGTGAACCCTGCCTGGAGACTGAGCTCTGATCTCTCATTTGTAAAGCATAAATCAATTTCCCTAGAACAGATGACCTGCAGGTAGCTCTATCATACGGTAGGCACAAATGGAGGTGAACTTGGGACCCAGACCTTCTGGTTTTCTCTAGCTTTGGTGGCTTCTTTGTCCCCCCGCCCCCCCCTCCCCCAGGGCTTTAAAAGGCCACAGCATCTCCTAACCAACCCCTAGGAACAGGTTTTGGAAACAGAAAGACAGCTGGCCCTGAGCTCCACGAGGGTACCTGGATAAAGTTGCTTTCAAACACCACCGAGTTGGAGAACAAATTGAATTCTGGAGAATGAATCAGTTGACAAAGAAGGCCATTTTCCACCCCAAGTTCCACTCCAGGGCCTGGTTCCCTGACCTCAGGTGGGAGGCCCCTGATTTTACTCATTGGTTCTTGGTAAGAATGGGCTTGGGAACATTTCTGGGGCTCCACGCCGACCCAGCCCAATGCCAGGATGTTGATGTGATCTGCCCCCACCTCCCCAGCATTTCCTCCCCATTTACTTACGGGCTGTCCACCAGGGCTGGGAGGGCCTGTCAGCTCACAATGGCAGGAATGACATCAAGGAATGTGATGGTGACAACAGAAAAGGGAAAAAAAAAAGAAGAGGAAGGACAGAGGATGTGCCAGGCTCTTTTCTCCCTCTTTCCACCAACTACAAACCAGCAGTAATGCAGCCTATTCCACTTTGTAAACATTCAGCCTTACCCCACATGGAAAAAATGACCCTCCCAAAGTTATGCCAAGGCAGCAGTGAGCTGGCCAGATGCAAGGAAGGCTCTCGGGAACATACAGGCTTTAATCCTCTTGGCTCCCCTTGAAGCCCCTCACCAAACTTCCATGGGACTTGTTCACCTGCCCAGGGAAGTCTAAGGATAGGAAAAAGGGAGTTCATCTTCCCTACCCCATCTCATGGGAGAAAAGGAGATTTTTTTTTTTTTTTAAAGAAATGGACACCTGTTAACTAAACTGAGAAGCTTATTTATTTGGAAACAGTGGGCAAAGGAGAAGGCAGTGGCACAGTTGTATGCTGGAGCCAGACCAAAACAGGTCACGAGAGCTGGTTGTTACATTTTCAGGAATGCTACAAACCAGTTGTTAAACACAGCAATTATTAAAACTTTTTTTTTTTTTTTTTTGAGACAGAGTTTTGCTCTTGTTGCCCAGGCTAGAGTGCAGTGGCGTGATCTCGGCTCACCACAACCTCCGCCTCCCATCTTCAAGCAATTCTCCTGCCTCAGCCTCCCGAGTAGCTGGGATTACAGGCATGCACCACCACACCCGGATAATTTTGTATTTTTAGTAGAGACAGGGTTTCTCCATGTTGGTCAGGCTGGTCTGGAACACCTGACCTCAGGCGATCCACCCACCTCGGCCTCCCAAAGTGCTGGGATTACAGTCATGAGCCACCAAGCCCAGCCTTTAAAACTTAAATGATATAAACTTGGCTGGGCTTGGTGGCTCATGACTGTAATCCCAGCACTTTGGGAGGCCGAGGTGGGTGGATCGCCTGAGGTCAGGTGTTCGAGACTAGCCTGGTCAACGGGTGAAACCCCGTCTCAACTAAAACTACAAAAATTAGCCGGGTGTGGTGTGGGTACCTGTAGTCCAGCTACTTGGGAGGCTGGGGCAGGGCGATCGCTTGAATCTGGGAGGTGGAGGTTGTGATGAGCCAAGATGGTGCCACTGCACTCCAGCCTAAGCGACAAAGCAAGACTCTGTCTCAAAAAAAAGAAAAGAAAAGAAACAGTATACAGTGGTGGGCTGCTGCATATCTCTTCCCAGGGTGTGTTCAGGAACTTCATCTTGTTAGCTAGCTTGAAATCAGCAAGTGCTACAAATCAGGGTTTGATTTATTGTTCTGTTGATTGTCTAAACTAAAGTGATAGAGAAAATGTTAATTATGCAGATTAAACTTAAAGATGTGTCTGTAGCTATTATATTTTGGGCATAGAAAAATCTGAGAAAATAGCCTTCCAGTATTTGAAGACTTACCTAATTTAGCGAAGAAGTTGCCCACGTCATTGACAAATGAGTAAAGTTCCAATACACAACTTTGTTATTTCACTTTTGCCTTGCTCATTAATGTAAATCAAAATATCAACCAATATTCATGTCAGAACTATACTTGCTTGTCAGTTGCAATCATAGGTTGGCTAGAAATATCAGCGTTTGACAAAAATCAACAAAAGCTTTTGGTAAGAATCAACTGGTCATATGAAATTTACAATAAAGAGTATTATAAGGCCAGGTGCAGTGGCTCACGCCTGTAATCCCAGCACTTCAGGAGGCCAAGGTGGGTGGATTGTTTGAACTTAGGAGTTCAAGATCAGCCTGGGCAACATGGTAAAACCTCGTCTCTACAAAAAATACAAAAATTACCCGGGTGTGGTGGCACGCCCTGTGGTCCCAGCTATTTGGGAGGCTGAGGTGGGAGGATCACTTGAGTCCAGAAGGCAGAGGTTGCAGTGAGCAGAGATTGTGCCACTGCGCTCCAGCTTGGGTGACAGAATGAGACTCCCATCTCAAAAAAAAAAAAAAAAGGGATCCTAAAATTGTATATTTAAAAAGAGAAAAAGGGCTAGGTGCAGTGGTTCACACCTGTAATCCCAGCACTTTGGAAGGCCGAGGCGGGTGGATCACCTGAGGTCAGGAGTTGGAGACCAGCCTGACCAACATGGTGAAACCCCATCTCTACTAAAAATATAAAAAATTAGCCGGGCGTGGTGGCAGGCATCTGTAATCCCAGCTACTCGGGAGGCTGAGGTAGGAGAATCACTTGAACCTGGGAGGTGGAAGTTGCAGTGAGCTGAGATCACACCATTATTGCACTCCAGCATGGACAACAAGAACAAAACTCCACCTAAAAAAAAAAAAGAAAGAAAAAAGAATCCAACATCAGATCACTTCCCAGTTGGATGTATGAAAATTGGCACTTCTGGCTGGGTGTGGTGGCTTACACCTTTAATCCCAGTACTTTGGGAGGCCAAGGAGGGAGGATCACGAGGTCACGAGTTTGAAACCAGTCTGGCCGATATGGTGAAACCCTGTCTCTACTAAAAATACAAAAATTAGCTGGGTGTGGTGGCATGCGCCTGTATTCCCAGCTACTCAGGAGGCTGTGGCAAAAGAACCATTTGAACCCGGGAGGCGGAGGTTGCAGTGAGCCAAGATTGTGCCACTGTACTCCAGCCTGGGCCACACAGTGAATCTCTGTCTAAAAAAAAAAAAAGAAAGAAAGAAAAAGAAAATCGGCACTTCTTTTTCCATTCCAGGCATCAGCGAGGTAGGTGTAAGAGCTGGTGTTCAGGGCCGGGCGCGGTGGCTCACGCCTGTAATCCCAGCACTTTGGGAGGCCGAGGCGGGCGGATCACGAGGTCAGGAGATCGAGACCATCCCGGCTAAAACGGTGAAACCCCGTCTCTACTAAAAATACAAAAAATTAGCCGGGCGTAGTGGCGGGCGCCTGTAGTCCCAGCTACTTGGGAGGCTGAGGCAGGAGAATGGCGTGAACCCGGGAGGCGGAGCTGGCAGTGAGCCGAGATCCCGCCACTGCACTCCAGCCTGGGCGACAGAGCGAGACTCCGTCTCAAAAAAAAAAAAAAAAAAAAAAAGAGCTGGTGTTCAACAGTGACCCTATTGTTTTTGTGGTGGGGGCCTTTGCCTAGAGCAAGGTCAGTGTGGAATATACAGAGAAGGATGGTGTCTAGCAGCAACTACCTCCTTTCTGCTGCCCTCATCTGTGCAAAACTTATCACAGCCTTTGAAGAAATGGTGGGGGGTGCCACTTGACAGTAATAGGACATTATTCTGAAGCCAGAAGCTGTAGACATCATGTCCCTTGAGGCTATTCTGAGCTGACTGCTGAAGATGACCTTCCTGCACTGAGATTGTAGGATTTGGGGAAACCAAGGCTGTATATTTGCTATTGTTTATCCCATACTGTTCTTGCAAACAAAACAAAACAAAATAAAAATTTACTGGGACACCATTGCCATGGTACCAACTTGTTCCCTTTACCTGCTATCTCCTATCTTTGGTACCGGACAAGAAACTTTCACCCAAGGACTTGCTCTTCAGGTTGCATCAAGTTGAAGAGGGATGAAGTATTAGTTATCCTTCTCAGAATGTCCTTCCTAGACTATGCAGGACAACTACCAGGCTCTCTTGCCTTGGTGCTTATTCAGCGAGCAAGCCAATGGGTCAAATCATTCTTTCACATCTTTTAAACTCTCAAGACACACACCGTGGCTGTCAAGACACACATCTGCCTGTGACTGAGGCTCAATCTCCTAGCACTTCTCTTCTCATCAGGGGAGACACGTGCTTCTCACTGGTGTTTCCCTGAAGCTGTACCATCAGAAGCAGCTTATATCTTATTGGCTTATATCTTCCTAAGACTTGATCATTAGAAGTGGAAACTAACATTTATCTTTTTAGCATACAAAGTTTGTAACACCAGAAATTCAAACCTTCAAAGTTGTTACTTTTGCTTTCTTATAATAGTACTCCCTATTCTTGACATGTTTTTCTCTTTTCCTTGTAAAAGAAATAGGAAATTTCTTTGACAATGTTTGCAGCATATAAACCAAAAATTTAGATGACAAGAACATCAGCATGACCCCAAGTGCTAGAGTACCTCATTTATTTATATGTTTATTAATTTTTAATTCTTAACCTCCTAAAGTCCATCATTTACTTTTAAAATAGGTTTTTAAGTAAGTAAGACATTTACTTTTATTTTACATTTTACTTTACTGCAACATTATTTGCAATAGCAAAAGACCAGACGACTTGAATATCCACCAACAGGGCACCACTTAATTAAATTATGATACATCTGTATGATGTAATGTTAGGCCATTCATAAAAAGCCCACTTTATATGTACTGATATAGAATGATCGCCAAGATTATTAAACTTTAAAAAGATGCAGAACAGTGTATATAGTATGCTAGCACAAGGATATATATCCATATATACTTGAACATGCACAGACAATTTTGGGAGGAGAAAAAAGGAAATGCTAACAGTGATGGCCTTAGGACGGGGAGGGGGCAGGGATTGGTATCTTTGGTGAAACAAAGACTTACTTTTCACAGAATACCTCCTTTTTTGTACTATTTGAAATATTTTTGTACTATTTGAAATATTTACCATGGGCATGTATTTCTTATTTAAATAAATAAACTTTAAAGGTGTTAAAGAAATTCCCTATGTGCAGCTCTACAAATATTTACTGAGGAGTAAATATACACAAAGTATGGTAGGTATTAAAATAATCATTACTGGCTCTAAGAGTGGTCTGATCAGAGTTGTGGACATGTAGATGACGCTCATTTGGAGATAACTGTACTTCTTGAGATAGAAACGTATTTAAAGAAATAATGGCTTAAAAATTTCCAACTGTAGTGACAACTATAAATGTACAAGTCCACAAAGCTCAATAAACCCCAAGCAGGATAAACACAAATAAATCCTTATGAGGCACATCGTAATCAAATTGCTGATAGAAAGAAAACCTTAAAAATATCCAGAGGAACCAAGATAAGAATTACAGCAATCTTCTTGCTCCAACTGTTGAAGCCAGAAGGCATAAACATCTTAAGATTGCTGAAAGAAAAAACTGCCAACTCAGAGAATTTTATGTTCAGTAAAAATGTCCTTTAAAAATAAAGATGAATGTCTGGGTGTGGTGGCTCACACCTGTAATCCCAGCACTTTGGGAGGCTGACGCAGATGGATCACTTGAGGCTAGGAGTTCAAGACCACCCTGGCCAATATGGTGAAACCCCGTCTCTACTAAAAAATACTAATAAAGGAGAAAGTTTATTTTAAATTAGTAGTTCATGGTGCATCCCTATAGTTCCAGCTACTTGGGAAGCTGACGTGGGAGGATTGCTTGAGTCCAGAAGTTCAAGTCCCACCTGGCCTGGGCACCATGTTGAGATTCCCATCTCTAAAAAAAAAAAAAAAAATTTGAGGGGAACTAAAGAATTTTTCAGCTGGGTGCGGTGGCTCATGCCTGTAATCCCAGCACTTTGGGAGGCCGAGGTGGGTGGATCATAAGGTCAGGGGTTCGAGACCAGCCTGACCAACACGATGAAACCCCATCTCTACTAAAAATACAAAAATTAGCCGGGTGTGGTGGCGCGTGCCTGTAATCCCAGCTACTCAGGAGGCTGAGGCAGGAGAATCGCTTGAACCCGGGAGGCGGAGGTTGCAGTGAGCCAAAATCGCGCCACTGCACTCCAGCCTGGGTGACAGAGGGAGACTCCATCTCAAAAAAAAAAAAAAAAAAAGAATTTTTCAGACAAATAAAAGCTGAGAAAAATTGTTTCCAGTAGACCCGAACTACGAGAAACACTAAGAGTTCTTCAGGAGGAAGAAAACCACCACCAGATGGCAGCTTAGATGTACACTGATGTAACGACTAATGGCACTATTTTTTTTTCAACTTGCTCTTTTCTCTTAAACATATTTTTGAGATACTTTTTTAAGGATAGTCTTTCCATGGCACTAGTGAGACATTTTTAAAAGCCCTTTGTAATTTTAAGCCATTGATGTTTTGAGATTGTTTATTACCTCAACTTAACCTAGCTAATCCTGTCTGGTAACAAGAAAAAATTCTTGAAAGTAGAATTGCTGTGTGAAAGGATGTATATGAGTTGGGTGTGGTGGCTCACGCCTATAATCCCAGCACTTTGGGAGACTGAGGTGAGATTGCTTGAGTCCAGGAGTTTGAGACCAGCCTGGGCAACACAGTGAAACTCCATCTTTATAAAAAATACAAAAAATTAGTTAGGCATGGTGGTGCATGCCTTTGGTCCCAGCTTCTCAAGAGGTTGAGGTGGGAGGATCACTTGAGCCTGGGAGGCAGAGGTTGCAGTGAGCCAAGATCACGCCACTGCACTCCAACCTGGGCAACAGAGTGAGACCCTGTCTCAAAACAAATAAATATTTTTTTTAAAAGAAGAGTGTATATGCTGATGGATACTACTGTGATGAACTTCATAACAAGTATACAAATTTAAATTTCCACCAACAATGTTTGAGAGTTTGTGCTTCTCATAAATCCACCATCTCAGTATGTCATAAAGCTTTTGAACTTATCAGGCTGAAAGTTTTTAAAATGATATCTCAATGTAATTTTAATTGGGCATCTCTTCATTTATCTCATTGGTTTTTATTCTATGAATTTTTAATTCATAACATTTGCCAATTTTTCTATTAGGCTATTAGTCTTTTTCTTATCTATTTTATAGGCAATCTTTTTATATTGCAAAGACTGAGTTGTCATTTTTTCCTAGTTTTTTATTTGTCTTTGAATATGTTTACTGTGTTGTTGCCTTGTGGAATTTCTTTTGGTAGTTAAATTTATCAATATTTTCATTTATGGCTTTTGGATTTTTGTATGATATTTTGACAAAGTTTCCCCATTCCAAGGTTATACAATCATTTCCCCATGGTTTCCTGAATGACTTTTACGGTTGTTATCTTTCTATTTAAGCCTTTAATCCATCTAGATTTTTTCCTGGTGTGTGATGTAAAGTCTAGAACCAATGTGGTTGTCTGTATTTCCCCAGATGGCTATCAATTGTCCAGTGTCACTTATTGTATAGGATGTTACATCTTTCACCACTGATTTGAGATTCATTCATTTAACAAATGTTTATCAAGTATCTACTATATATGGTAGGCACTTTCCTAGATGCTTGGGATAGATCAGTGAACAAAATAAAAAGGCTACGTTTATGCGAGGGGATTCCAACAATTAAAAAAACACAATAAATAATCGCATAGTGTGTTAGGAGGTGGTCAGTGCTATAGAAAGAAAAGAAGAACAGGATGAGGGGGACCAGGAATGTTGGGGATGGATGTGGTGGAAGGCTGTGCTATTAAATAGGCTGGTCAGTTTAAGCCTCATTGAGATTCATGAGGACAATACCACCTTTCTCATAATCAAAAGTCTTAACTATAATAGGCCAATTTCAGAATTTATTTTACATTGCTTTCATCTGTCTATTCACACTCTGGTACTACACTGTTTTAAATATTGAGGATTTATAGTATTTCCAAACTTTACCAGGTTAGTTTGAAGGAAATAATGTTTTCTTTTTTTTTTCTTTCCACAGGTGTTATCTCATAAAGGAGATAATTTTTAAGGTATGAAATTTGAAATTTTTTTTTCTTTTGGGGCACAGTGGCTCACTACTATAATCCCAGCACTTGGGGAGGCCAAGGTGGGTGGATCACCTGAGGTCAGGAGTTCAAAACCAGCCTGGCCAACATGGTGAAACCCTGTCTCTACTAAAAATACAAAAATTAGCTGGGCATGGTGGCGCAGGCCTGTAATCCCAGCTACTCTTAGGAGAATCGCTTGAAGCCGGGAGGTGGAGTTTGCAGTGAGCCAGGATGGTGCCACTGCATTCTAACCTGGGCAACAGAGTAAGACTCCATCTCAAAAAAACAAAAACAAAAACAAAAAAACTATGGAGTTAAACCAATGAATTTTTTTTCTTTTGAATAGCAAGGCATTGCATATTTGGCAGGTTTTTAAAAATTGTTTGCAGCAATAGAAGTAATTGTTTACAATTGGTTCCTGTTTCTGACTGGATAAAACTCATAGTAGCAAAAAAACTTTCACAATAACAGCTCCTGAAAAGTTGAAGTTGGTCATAAAATAAATTACTAATTTTAAATTCATAAAAGAAGTACCTGACTATAACTGCCAAACATGAAGGTATCAAAGTACTAATGTACTCATGTCCTTGTACAACTGACCTGTATCAGAGTGCCTCATTTTCAAAATTAGGACTCTCTCATATTTCTACAATTTCCAAATGCATTATCAATTTTTTCATTGTTTTTGAAATCCGAAGAATTTTTAACATGACTGTAAAAGTATTTAAGGATATTTATATCTTCAAATGTTACAAAATTATTATTATTAAAAACAAACATAAAATAAGGTAAAAAGGAAATGAATAACATTAATATCCATATCTAATCACTGGGATTATACATTCACAGTGCAGGCCAGGTGCGGTGGCTCATGCCTGTAATCCCAGCACTTTGGGAGGCCGAGGCAGGTGGATCACTTGAGGCAGAAGTTCAAGACCAGCCTGGCCAACATGGTAAAACCCTGTTTCTACCAAAAATACAAAAATTAGCCAGGCATGGTAGTCCACACCTGTAGTCCCAGCTACCTGGAAGGTTAAGGCATGAGAATTGCTTGAACCCCAGGAGGCAGAGTGCATTAGTCTGTTTTCACGCTGCTGATAAAGACGTACCCAAGACTGGATAATTTACAAAGAAAAGAGGTTTAATTGGACTTACAGTTCCACGTGGCTGGGGAAGCCTCACATCATGGCAGATGGCAAGGAGGAGCAAGTCACATCTTACAGGGATGGCAGCAGGCAAAGAGAGAGAGCTTGAGCAGGGAAACTCCTCTTTTTAAAACCATCAGATCTCATGAGACTTATTCACTATCACAAGAACAGTACAGAAAAGACTTGCCCCCATCATTCAATGACCTCCCACCTGTCCCTCCCACAACACACAGAAATTCAAGATGAGATTCGGATGGGGACACAGCCAAACCATATCATTCTGCCCCTGGCCCCTCCCAAATCTCATGATCTCGCATTTCAAAACCAATCATGCCTTTCTAACAGTCCCCCAAAGTCTTAACTCATTTCAGCATTAACTCAAAAGTCCACAGTCTAAAGTCTCATCTGAGACAAGGCAAGTCCCTTCCACCTATGAGCCTGTAAAATCAAAAGCAGGTTAGTTACTTCCTGGATACAATGGGGGTATAGGCATTGGGTAAATATAGCCATTCCAAATGGGAGAAACTGGCCAAAACAAAGGGGCTACAGGCCCCATGCAAGTCCAAAATCCAGCAGGGCAGTCAAATCTTAGAGCTCCAAAATGTTCTCCTTTGACTCCATGTCTCACATCCAGGTCATGCTGATACAAGAGGTAGGTTCCCATGGTCTTGAGCAGCTCTGCCCCTGTGGCTTTGCAGGGTACAGTCTCCCTCCTGGTTGCTTTCATAGGCTGGCATTGAGTGTCTGTGGCTTTTCCAGGCACACAGTGCAAGCTGTCAGTGGATCTACCATTCTGGGTCTGGAGGACAGTGCCCCAGTAGGGACTCTGTGTGGGGGATCCGACCCCACATTTCCCTTCTGCACTGCCCTAGCAGAGGTTCTCCATGAGAGCCCCACCCTTGCAGCAAATTTCTGCCTGGGCATCCAGGCATTTCCATACATCTTCTGAAATCTAGGTGGAGGTTCCAAAACCTCAATTCTTGACTTCTGTGCACCTGCAGGCTCAACACCACATGGAAGCTCAACACCACAAGGCATGGGGCTTGCACCATCTAAAGCCAGGGCCCGAGCTCTACATTGTCCCCTTTCAGCCACAGCTGGGGCAGCTGGGATGCAGTGGACCAAACCCCAGGCTGCACATAGCTTGGGGACCCTGGGCCCAGCCCATGAAACCACTTTTTCCTCCTAGGCTTCTGGGCCTGTGATGGGAGGGACTGCCGTGAAGGCCTCTGACATGGCCTGGAGACATTTTCCCCATTGTCTTGGGGATTAACATTTGGCTCCTCCTTCCTTATGCAAATTTCTGCAGCTGGCTTGAATTTCTATTCAGAAAATGCAATTTTCTATCGCATTGCCAGGCTGCAAATTTTTCAAACTTCTATCCTCTGTTTTCCTTTTAAAACTGAATGCTTTCAACAGCACCCAAGTCACCTCTTGAATGCTTTGCTGCTTAGAAATTTCTTCTGCCAGATACCCTAAATCATCTCTCTCAAGTTCAAAGTTCCACACATCTCTAGGGCAGGGGCAAAATGCTGCCAGTCGCTTTGCTAAAACATAACAAGAGTCACCTTTGCTCCAGTTCCCAGTAAGTTCCTCAGCTCCATCGGAGACCACGTCAGCCTGGGTCTTATTGTCCATATCATTATCAGCATTTTTGGCAAAGCCATTCAACAAGTCTCTAGAAAGTTCCAAGCTTTTCCACATTTTCCTGTCTTTTTCTGAGCCCTCAAAACTGTTCCAACCTCTGCCTATTACCCAGTTCCAAAGTCGTTTCCACATTTTCAGATATCTTTTCAGAACATCCCACTCCTGGTACCAATTTACTGTATTAGTCCGTTTTCATGCTGCCGATAAAGACATACCCGAGACTGGGTAATTTACAAAGAAAAGAAGTTTAATTGAACTTACAATTCCATATGGCTGGGGAAGCTTCACAGTCATGATGGAAGGCAAGAAGGAGCAAGTCACATCTTACATAAATGGTAGCAGGCAAAAAGTGAGATCTCATGCAGGGGAGCTCCTCTTTTTAAAACCATCAGATCTCAGCTGGGCACAGTGGCTCACGCCTGTAATCCCAGCACTTTGGGAAGCTGAGACAGGCAGATTATCTGAAGTCAGGACTTCAAGGCCAGCCTGGCCAACATGGTGAAATCCCCTCTCTACTAAAAATACAAAAATTAGCCAGGCATGGTGGCAGGCAACTGTAATCCCAACTACTTGGGAGGCTGAGACAGGAGAATCACTTGAACCCGGGAGGCAGAGGCTGCAGTGAGCTGAGATTGTACCACTTCACACCAGCCTGGGTGACAGAGTGAGACTCTGTCTTGGAAAAAAAAAAAAAAAAAAAAAAAAAAAAAATCAGATCTTGTGAGACTTATTTACTATCATAAGAACAGCACAGGAAAGAATTGATTGCCCCCATCATTCATGGACCTTCCACCAGGTCCCTCCCACAACACATAGGAATTCAAGATGAGATTTGGGTGGGGACACAGCTAAACCATATCAGAGGTTGCAGTGAGCTGAGATCGCACCACTGCACACCAGTCTGCACGACAGAGCAAGATTCCATCTCAAAATAAATAAATAAATTCACAGTGCATTAATACTATATCAATATCACAAACATACCATTTGGTATAAAAATATAATTGCTGATTCATCATTTGCAGATTTGTACTCTATTACCACTCATTTTTTAAAATCTTTAATATTTCCATTTTTATAGTAACAAAAACCCAAACAGTAATATAATTGGCCCCAAATCTATCCTTCCTGTTTCCTTTTAACATTGTAATTGGTTCTCGTTTTTTTTCTAAACTTTTAAAAATTAAAAAGAAATAAAATCATAATTGGTACTCTGAAATGAATATGCAAAACTAAATAATTTTTAGACTCCTATATATTTGCTTTCTTGATTTGGTAAAGTTCTTGTAACTATTAAGGCCCCAGGAACATTTTATCTTCAGGAAATCTTGTTAGCCACAGTTAAACCTCTCAAACTTTCTAGATAATATTACTTTAGGAAGATTTTCAGGTCACTCTTTTACTTCTCCCTAATGCATATTCATACATGTGCACAGGCAGACTTTTAAGTGTTCTATCACATGAAATTCTGATTCCTTCCTTTCCATTCCAATTTAACACTGTATAACTGTCTTGGCAGTGATGTGTTATTGTTTTATTGTAGAGGTTTGTATAATAAAGGCCTGTACAACATGTACCCTTTGATTATGCCCACATCCACCTCCATAGCAACAAAGACCCTTGTAAGTGACCTGAAAAGGAAAAGGCAACTGTGGTGGCCAGTCTCCCAGAGGACCCCAGTGATCGTCACCTCCTGGTCTTTGGAGCAGTCTCCAAGTCCCTATCCATAACATATCAGGGTTGGTCTGTGTGACTGAAAGGATAAGGCACAAGTAGTGATATGTCCCTTCCAAGATTAGGTTATAAAAGGCACTGCAGCTTTCATCTTGGTAGTTTTTTCTCTCTCCGTACCACCCTCACCTTGGCCCTCGCCCTCCTGTCATTCCACCCAAGGGGAAGCCATCTGCCATGTCATGAGCAGCCTTGTGGAGAATCCTCACAGCTAAATTTTATTTTAAGTAAAATAAAATTTAGTAATTTCTATTTTAAGAAGCGTGTGTGAATACTCTCCCTTTCATCTCTGTATTACTCTAGCTACCTATGTCTTTAAAAAATAAATAAATAAAAATAAAAAATAAAAAACAGGGTCTCACACTGTTGTTCAGGCTGGAGTGCAGTGGTGCGATCATGGCTCACTGCAGCTGTGACTTCCCGGGCTCAAGTGATCCTCCCACCTCAGCATCCCAGGTAGCTGGGACTACAGGTGCGTGCCACCATGCTCAGCTAATTTTTGCATTTTTTGTAGAGATGGTGTCTCATTATGTTACCCAGGCTGGTCTTGAACTCCTGGGCTCAAGCGATCCTGAAACCTTGGCCTCCCAGAGTGCTGGGATTATAGGTATGAGCCACCACTAGGTCTACTTTAAAAGAAATGCTTAATGGAGTTTTTCAAGTAAAAATGAAAGAAAGCAGCTGGGTGTGGTGGCTCATGCCTGTAATCCCAGCATTTTGGGAGGCCAAGGAGGGTGGATCACTTGAGGTCAGGAGGTCAAGTCCAGCCAGGCCAACATGGCAAAAACCCACGCCTTCTAAAAATGCAAAAAATTAACCAGGTGTGGTGGCGGGTGCCTGTAATCCCAACTACTCAGGGGGCTGAGGCAGGAGAATCAATTAAACCATGAAGCAGAGGTTGCAGTGAGCCGAGATCACACCACTGCCCTCCAGCCTGGGCGACAGCAACACTCTGTCTCAAAAAGAAAAAAAAAAAGAATGCTAATCAATCACATGAAAGCATAAGAAAATATATAATATTCAGCAGTAAAGGTGCATATACATGGGAGGCTGAGGCCGGAGAATTGCTTGAACCCAGGAAGTGGAGGTTTCAGTGAGCTGAGATCGCACCACTGCACTCCAGCCTGCCAAACTGCATCTCAAAAAAAAAAAAAACAAAAACAAAAACTTGAGGCCTGGCCTCATGCTCCCCTTCCATCCCCACTTCCGTGGGTCCAAGCTGCCTTGGCTGAGGAGGGGGCTGAGGAGGTGTGAGCCCCTGCCAGGAACCCCCTGCCCAGACCATGTACTTGGCCCACAGGCCCCTGATGTCTGCGTCCAGCGAGGCCTCCAGTGGCGTCAGCATGTTTGTGTGGAGGAACGTGGAACCTTGCTCTGTGGCTGTGTTCTCCTGGTACTCTGTCCCCTTCCTGACCCCTCCCTGCAGCTATGTGAGGTCCAGCAACCTGCCAGTCACTCAGTGGCCTCCAACCAGAGCAAAGAACCTGCCAAGTCAGCAGCTGTTGCTCATGAGTGTCCACCAGGTGGGACAGGGAGTGCTGACCCTGGGTGGCCCCCTGGAGCCACCTGCCCTGAAAGCCCAGGGCCCGCAACCCCACACACTTTGGGGGTGGTGGAACCTGGTAAAAGCTCACCTCCCACCATGGAGGAGGAGCCCTGGGCCCCTCAGGGGAGTCCCTGCTGGACAGTGAGACAGAGAATGACCATGATGATGCTTTCCTCTCCATCATGTCTCCTGACACCCAGTTGCCTCTACCAGCCAGATGATGTCAGGCCCAGTCCCTCAGTGCCCTGCGCAAGGAACAGGACTCATCTTCTGAGAAGGATGGATGCAGCCCCAACAAATGGGACAAGGACCACATCCGGTGGCCCATGAGTGGCGGTCATGATCTTCAGCAAGCGGCACCAGGCCCTGGCAGGGCGCACCAGGGTCACCCCAACCAGGACAACCGGACCGTCAGCCAGATGCTGAGCAAGCGGTGGTACACCCTGGGGCCCAATGAGACGCAGAAATACCACGACCTGGCCTTCCAGGTGAAGGTGGCCCACTTGCAACAAGGACCGAAAGAAGTCCAGCTCAGAGGCCAAGCCCACAAGCCAGGGGCTAGCAGGAGTGTAACAAGGGCTCGTGGGAGCGGAGAATATCAGAGACGGGCACTGCCACTGCCCCTGGGGTGTCCTCTGAACTCCTGTCAGTTGCAGCCCAAACACTCCAGAGCTCGGATACCAAGGAGCAGCTTCTGTGGGGCAGAATGGCTGCACACAGTCAGGGAACCTGGCTTAGCCTGGCCCAAGCCTTCTCCCACAGTGGGGTACACAGCCTGGACGGCAGGGAAATAGACCGTCAGGCACTACGGGAACTGACACAGGTGGTGTCTGGCACTGCATCATACTCTGGCCCAAAGCCTTCTACTCAGTATGGAGCTCCAGGCCACTTTGCAGCCCCTGGTGAGGGAGGTGACCAGTGGGCAGCCCTGCTGCTGCCCACCTGAGCTGCTCATTCCCAGCACATGGCCAGTGAGGACATAGCAAGTGACGAGGAGCACACGGTCATCCATGAGGAGGAGGGGGTGATGATGTCATTGCTGATGATGGCTTTAGCACCACTGACACCGATCTCAAGTTCAAGGAGTGGGTGACCGACTGAGAGTGGGGACAACTCTGGGGAGGAGCCAGAGGGCAACAAGGGCTTTGGTGGGAAGGTATTTGCACCTGTCATTCCTTCCTCCTTTACTCCTGCCGCCCCTTGCTGGATCCTGAGCCCCCAGGGTCCCCCGATCCACCTGCAGCTTTTGGCAAAGTCTATGGTCCCACCTTGTCCTCCTCCTACACATACTCGGATGCTTCCTCCTCAACCTTGGCACCCACCTCCTTCTTACTGGGCCCAGGAGCCTTCAATGCCCAGGAGTCTGGTCAAGGCAGCAGAGCGGGCCCCCTACGGCCCCTACCCCTGGGGATGGGGGCCCAGGGACGCCTTCCAAGGTGACCTGTTTCCTCCCAATGGATCCTGCCACCTTCTGGTGCAAGAGACCTGAAAGTGTGGGCGACCTGGAGCTACCAGGCTCCTCAGTCATCAGGGTCCCTCCCAACACTAAGGCTTTCCTAGGCAGGAGCTGGGCTGAGCCACCCGGGGGGCAGAGCCTGAAGAGAAACTGACTGGGCTTTCGGGGTCGGGGCAGAGGGAACCCCACGGACATGGATCCCACACTGGAGGACCCCACCACGCCCAAATGCAAGATGAGAAGATGCTCCAGCTGCAGTCCAAAGCCCAACACCCCCAAGTGTGCCATGTGTGATGGGGACAGCTTCCCCTTTGCCTGTACAGGTGGAGAAGCCAAGGACAGGCTCAGGGAACCGGAGACCGAGAAGGCGCTGTCCTCTTCACTGCACGTGCCCTGGACCAGTGCCGGCCCTGATCATGCAGCTCTTCCAGGCCCACTGCTTCTTCCTGTCCACTAGGCCACAGCCGCCCTCCAGGCCCACTATGCACACATCTTCCCCTCCAAGGTTTGTTCTGCCCCTGCCCTGACTCCCAGCCCTGTGGGGGTCCTGACCGCACCTCACCTGGCTCAGACTCTTGACGCTGCCCTGGCTGCCCCACCACTGCCTCTGCCCGAGAGTCACGTGAGGCTGAGAGTAGGGGCAGGGGCAGCAGTGGTGCCAGTTGGGGGGCGGTCCAGTGGGAGGAGCCTCAGCCTCACGGGCTGCTCCGTGGGACTGATGACTGCATGATCTTCTGGGCACCTCACGGATCTTCAACTGCAGGTGAAACGGATGCTGGTGGTGGGTGCAGGGCCGCTGGGAGCTGCTGCATGGTTCCCAGAGGCTGGACTGGGGCAGGTGCCAACTGAAGCTGCTGGGGCAGCATGGGCAGGATGTTCTGCACACAAACCTTGGAGAAGACGATGTGTGCATAGCGGGTCCACTGCTGCTGCCCCTGCCCTGACTCCCAGCCCTGCCTGACCCCACCTCAACCTGCTCAGGCTCTGGCGCAACCCTGGCTGCCCTGCCACTGCCTCTGCCCCAGAGTTGGGGCCTTGACAGCCTGGTTGGAAGGGGACACCCCAGCCCTGCCTAAACACCTGGGGGGTCTCCATAACTACCACAGGCAGGTGGGCAACCCCAAAGATCCCAGGACTCACAGTACCCCCTGAGAACATGGACAGTATGTGGGGGTAGCAATGGAGGGCAGGATGGTTATCTTCTCCCAGGTAAAGCCATTTAATCCTTTCAGTTTGGGACGGAGTAAGGCCTGCCTTTTTTTTTTTTTTTTTTTTTTTTTGAGACCGAGTCTTGCTCTGTCGCCCAGGCTGGAGTGCAGTGGTGCGATCTTGGCTCACTGCAAACTCTTCCCACCGGGTTCACGCCATTCTCCTGCCTCAGCCTTCCGGGTAGCTAGGATTACAGGTGCACGCTACCACGTCCGGCTAATTTTTGTATTTTTAGTACAGACGGGGCTTCATCATCTTGGCCAGGCTGATTTCGATCTCCTGACATCGTGATCTGCCTGCCTCCCCCTCCCAAAGTGCTGGGATTACAGGCGTGAGCCACCACGCCTGGCCAAGGCCTGCTCCTCTTATCTATACCCCCTACCCCTGCAGCTGTGCCGGGGGAAAGCTGGGCAGTTTCCCTCCTCCGAGCCCCTGTACATACCATGAATTGTGGGACCTTCAGAGCTTTTCACTTTTCGGAAAATAGCTCCTGCTGGGGCTACAAGATGGAGTGTGAAGAGGGCCTTGGGCCACAGGGAGGCGCCTGTGGACTAAGGGGAGTTCATGCACCCCTTCTTTCCCCAGAGGGGCTGGACTCAGGTGAGTATGGGGGTGGGGGCTCCTGCACTTCGACACAGGCAGCGGAAGGGTTTTCTCCCCATTCCCTCTGCACTCCCAACTTGAGCTATACTTTTTAAGAAAGTGATTCACCCTGCCTTTGCCCCCTTCCCCAGAACAGAACACGTTGATCATGGGCGATATTTTTCATTGTGCCAAAAAGTTGCCATGACCGTCATTAAACCTGTTTAACACCAAATAATAAGGAAAATAAAACAAAAAGTTCGGGCATGGTGCAGAAACTCACTCCAAATAAATTACCTACCAAAATATATAATGGTGGAAATATTCCAAAATTCCATATTTTGGGATTTATACACAAAAGATAAACAAATTAGAGGCCAAGAGGCTGCCGGAAGGGAAAAACGGGGCCTGGAAAGGCCGTTGTGAGGAATGAGCTTGGCCTAAAGAGGCCACTGGCAGGCAGTAGCTGGACCTGCCGAAGTGGCCGAAAGGCAGGAGCTTTGGACGGGGGAGGCCGCAGTGAGGCGAGAGCTAGCTGGGCGTGGAGAGTCCACTGTGAGGCCAAGGCCAAGGCCAGGCCCGTGCAGGCCTTTGAGAGGCAGGAGGCCGGGCCTGCAAAGGCCGACTGGAGATCAAGTTCTGCGCCTGAAGAGGCTGCCAAAAGTCAAAAGCGGGGCCTGGGAAGGCCGCCGAGAGCCATGAACTGGGCTGGGCCGAAAGAGGCCACTGGGAGGCAGGAAGAGCTGGGCCTGGAGAGGCTGACTCGAGGAAGTTTTGCACCTGGAGAGGCCGCCGAGAGGACGGAGCTGGGCCCGGGGAGGCCGACTTGCTGCTCTTCCAGGCCCACTTCCAGGCCGACTTGAGGACGACTTGGGCCTGCAGAGGCCGCTGGGAGGCCGGAGCTGGGCCTGGAGAGGCCGACTTCGGGACGATTTGGGCCTGCAGAGGCCACCGGGAGGCCCAAGCTGGGCCTAGAGAAGCCCACCAACCGGAGGCCGTTTGGGGCCTGCAGATGCCATCGGAGGGCAGGAGCTGAGCCTGGAGAGGCCACCGTGAGGCCTGAGCTGGGCCTGGGGAGCTTGGCTTAGGGAAGTTGTGGGCCTACCAGGGCCTCTGGGAGCTGGGCAGGAGCTGAGTCCAAAGACGTTGTTGGGACCTGGAGTCGGGCCAGAGTCCGGCCTGGAGACGCAGCCGGGAGGAAGAGCTGGGCCCGGAGAGGACGCTGGGAGGCTGCAAGTGGGTCTGAGAGGCCGACTTGAGGAGGCCCGGCCTCTGCCTCCCGCATGGCCCAGCTGTTCCTCCTGGCTGCATCTCCCGCCTCCCAGCAAACAAGCTCTTTTGGCTCAGCTCCCGCCGGCCTTTGTAGACCCCGAAGTTTCTGCAACCAAGCTCTTCAGACCCACATCCCTTCTCCCAGTGACTGAACAGTCCCAGCTCCAGCTGGAGAAGGGTGTCTGCAGACCCCGCTGTTGCCTCCCAGGGGAGTCTCCAGGCCCAGCTCTCGCCCCACCGCGACCTCCCAGGCCCAAGTCCCTGCCTACCTCCCAGCAGCCCGCGTGCGACCCTGCTCCTCCCTCACGGTGGCCTGTTGAGGCAGGGGCTCACACTGACCTCTCTCAGCGTGGGAGGGGCCGGTGTGAGGCAAGGGGCTCAGGCTGACCTCTGTCCGCGTGGGAGGGGCCGGTGTGAGGCAAGGGGCTCAGGCTGACCTCTGTCCGCGTGGGAGGGTGGGCATCAACAGGCCACCGTGAGAGAGGAGCTGGGCCGCACGTGGGCTGCTGGGAGGCAGGCAGGGACTTGGCCCCGGGAGGCCGCCGTGGGGGCAAGAGCTGCGCCTGGAGAGGCCCCTGGTAGGCAAGGGCGGGGCCTGCAGAGGCTGTTCTCCAACCAGTGCTGGGCCTGTACAGGCCACCAGGAGGCAGGAGGTGGGCCCTCAGAGCTTGGCTGGAGAAAGTTCGGGGCCTAGAAAGGCGGTTGGGAGCTGGGCAGGAGTTGAGCCAAAAGAGCTTGCTTACTTGCTGGGAGGCAGGGCCAGGAGAGGCCGACTTCAGGACAACTTGGGCCTGCAGCGGTCGCCGGGAGGCCCAAGCTTGGCGTGGAGGAGCCCACCGACCGGAGACCATTTGGGGCCTGGAGATGCCATCGGAGGGCAGGAGCTCATCCTGGAGAGGCCACCGTGAGGCCTGACCTGGGCCTGGGGAGCTTGGCTTGAGGAAGCTGTGGGCCGACCAATGCCGCCAGGAGATGGGTAGGCACTGAGTCCAAAGAGGTTGTTGAGAGGCAGGAGTCGGGCCTGGAGACGCAACCAGGAAGAAGAGCTGGGCCCGGAGAGGACGCCCGGAGGGTGCAAGTGGCTCTGGAGAGGCCGACTTGAGGAGGTTCTGGGCCCGGAGAGGCCGCCGGAAGGGAAAAACTGGGCCTGGAAAGGCCGTTGTGAGGAACGAGCCCCATGGGCCTGAAGAGGCCACTGGCAGGTGGGAGCTGGGCCTGCCGAAGCGGCCGAGAGGCAGGAGCTTTGGACTCGGGAGGCCGCAATGAGGCGACAGCTAGCTGGGCGTGGAGAGTCCGCTGTGAGGCAGAGGCTGGGCCTGTGCAGGCCTTCGGGAGGCAGGAGGCTGGGCCTTGTCGAGGCCTGCAGAGGCCACCGAAAGTCAAAAGCGGGGCTTGGGAAGGCCGCCGGGAGGCATGAGCTGGGCTGGGCCGAAAGAGGCCACTGGGAGGCAGGAGGAGCTGGGCCTGGAGAGGCTGCCGAAAGGCAGGAGCTTCGACTGAGGATGCCACAGTGAGACACCATCTGGGTCTGGAGGGTCCACTGTGAGGCAGAGGCTGGCCTGTAGAGTCCGACAGTAGACAGAAGTTGGGCAAAAGGCTGATTTGAGGAAGTTTTGGGCTTCAAGAGTCAGCCACGAGGCAGGCACTAGGCCTGGAAATGGCCCGACAGTCATGAGTTGGGCCTAAATGGGCCACTGTGAGGGAGGAGCTATGCCTGTTGAGGCTGCTGGCAGGCAGGCAGAAATTTGGCCTGGGGCAGCTGCCATGAGGCAAGAGCTGGGCCTGGAAAAAGCCCCTGGGAGGCAAGAGCAGGGCCTGCAGAGGCTGTTCTCAAGTCAAAGCTGGGCCTGTTCATGCCACTGGGAAGCAGAAGGTGGGCCTGGAGAGTTTGACTTGAGGAAGTTTTGGGCCTACATTGGCCGCCATGAGCTGGACAGGAACTGGGCCAAAAAAGGCTGTTGTGAGGCAGCAGTTGTGCCTGTAGACCCAGCCAAGAGGAAGAGGTGGGCCTGGAGAAGCCCCCATGACGTAGAGGTTGGGCCTGTAGACGCTGACAGGAGGCAGGAGCTGGGCCTGGAAAGGTCAACTTGAGGAGATTTTGGGCCTTCATAGGCCACCAGGAGGCAGCAGTTGGGACTACAGAGTCTGACTTGAGTAAGTTTTGGGCCCGGAGATGACGTCCTGGGACAGGAGTTGGGCCTGGAGAGGCCACCGTGAGGCATAAGCTGCATGTAGAGAGGCCCTGGGCCTGTCTAGGCTGCTGGGAGACAGGCAGGAATCTGGCCAGGGAAGGTTGCCATGAGACAAAAGTTGGGCCTGGAAAGGCCCTTGTGAAGCATGAGCTTGGCCTAAAGAGGCCACTGGGTGGCAGGAGCTGGGTGTGTAGAAGCTGCTGAAAGGTTGGGAGCTTGGCTTGGGGGGTCCACAGTGAGGCAGATGCTGGGCGTGAAGAATCTGCTGTGAGGCAGATGTTGGGACTGTAGAGGCCGACGGGAGGCAGAGGCTGGGCCTGGAGGGGCCACCAAGATGCAGGAGCTGGGCCTGGAGAGGCTGCAAAGAAGCATGAGCTGGGCCTGGTGAGGTCGACTTGAGAAAGTTCAGGGCCTGGAGAGAAGGCTGGGAGGCAGGAGCTGGGTCTAAAGAGGCCATTGTAACGATGGAGCTGTGCCTGTGGAGGCTGTTGTGGGGCAGTAGGCTCATCTGCGGAGACTGCCGTGACGTAGGGTATGGGCCTAAATAGGCCATTGTGAGTCATGAGCTTGGTCTGTAGAGGCTGATTGGAGAAAGTTCTGGGCCTGGAGAGGCTGCCGGGAGGTAGGAGCTGGGCCAAAAGATGTAAGCACATTTGCATTTATTAGGCACTTTATTTCCATTATTACACTGTAATATATAATAAAATAATTATAGAACTCACCATAATGTAGAATCAGTGGGCGTCTTAAGCTTGTTTTCCTGCAACTGGATGGTCCCACCTGAGCGTGATGGGAGAAAGTGACAGATCAATAGGTATTAGATTCTCATAAGGACAGCGCAACCTAGATCTCTCACATGCACAGTTCACAACAGGGTGCGTTCTCCTATGAGAATCTAATGCTGCTGCTGATCTGAGAAGGTGGAGCTCAGGCGGGAATGTGAGCAAAGGGGAGTGGCTGTAAATACAGACGAAGCTTCCCTCACTCCCTCACTCGACACCACTCACCTCCTGCTGTGTGGTTCCTTGTGGCTCCATGGCTCAGGGGTTGGGGACCCCTGCTCAAGTGCATCCAAAACGACCCTTCCCACACCAGTCTTCACAGTGGTCAAGTGCAGCAACCACTTAGCTCCCAAGGCATGTGCCTCAGCTGGCATTTCGTCACAATCAACAGTAAGTGGTAGCTTGAGTCACTGTGAGGTCACCTACTGGAAATCACCAGCATCCCATTTCCCACTGGCAAAGAGCTCAGCACTGCCCCCTGGGAAACCAAACCTATGCCCAAATCCCATCTGTGTGGGTTTATCTCCTGGGACCCTTCCTAACATATTAGTCAGAGTCCAATCAGGAAGCATAAACCACTCAAAAGTTTAAAGTGGTAAAATTTAATATGGAGAATTATTCATTATAACAGGTGAACAGCATAATGAGAGATTGGCTAGCACAAAGTAAAGAGAACTCTAGAGAATATAGGACTAGCCCAGGCCAGGCATGGTGGCTCATGCCTGAAATTCCAGCAATTTGAGAAGCTAATGCAGGAGGATTGCTTAAGGCCAGGAGCTAGAGACCGGTCTGGACAACACAGTGAGACCCTGTCTCTATCCAAAAGAAGAAAAAAGTTAGCTGGGGGTGGTGGTGCACACTTGTAGTCCCAGCTACTCGGAATGCGAAGTTTGAGCCTGGGAGGTCAAGGCTGCAGTGTGGCATGATTATGCCACTACAGTCCAGCCTGGTGACAGAGCAAGACCCTGTCTCAAAGAACCAAACAACAACAACCATTTACAGACAGAAAAGAAATAGAGCTAATAAGCTGAGGAAAGATGTTGAAATGTGACAAGTAAAGTAATATGAGTTCTTTTATCTATGTAAAATAATCAAACAAAAAATGACTTACTAAATTATAATACCCTGTGCTGGCAAAGGTGCAGTGAAATGGGCACTTTCTTATACTATGAGGGGTGTTTAAATTGTGTATAAGCCTTCCAGGGTAAAGCCTGTCAATTTTTTAAAATAATGGAGACAGGGTCTCACCATACTGCCATACTGCCTCCTCCAACTCTTGGCCTCAAGCAATCCTCCTCTCTTAGCCTCCCAAAGTGCTAAGATTATAGCTGGGAGGCACCCAAAACCCTGTCAATTTACATCAAGGGTAATGAGAATGTCCATTCACCATGACTCACAGTAATCTTACTTCTGGGGAGACAATTCAATCTAAACAAAAGGTCATCTGTACACACACAGTAAAAATCTGGGAGTAACTGAAGACAGAGTTGGTAAGTGAAATAAGAAACAGTTATAAGAAATTAAACTATGGTATCAATAGGCACCTGGTAAAAGGTCAGTTGATATTAGCTGCTACTTTTTTGTTGTTTTGAGACAGGGTCTCACTCTGTCACCCAGGCTGGAGTGCAGAGGCCTGATCATGACTCACTGCGGTCTCAGCCTCCCTGGGCTCAAGTGATCCTCCCACCTCAGCCTCCCAAGTAGCTGGGACTACAGGAACATGCCACCACACTAGGCTAATTCATGTATTTTTCTGTAGGGATGGTGACTCCCTTTGTTTCCAAGGCCTATCGCAAACTCTTGGCCTCAAGCCATCCTCCTGCCTCAGCCTCCCAAAGTGTTGCGATTACCAGTGTGAGCCACCACACCTGGCCAGCTGCTACTTTTATCAATATTATTATTATTCCACTCAATTAAAAATTATTATTTTCAAGGCTATGCAACAGTATGTATCCTACAGCGTAATTGTAAAAACATATACAGTCGTCCCTCAGTATACAGAATTAGTTCCAGCCCCCCATCTCTGCATATACCAAAATCCATGCTTACTCACGTTTCACTGTCACCCCTCTGGAATCCACGTATACGAAAATTCCAAATATTAGTTGGGCATAGTGGCAAGCACCTGTAGTCTCAGCCACGTGGGAGGTTGAGATGGGAGGATCGCTTCAGCCTGGAAGGTTGAGGCTGCAGTCAGCTGTGATAGCACTACTACACTCCAGCCTTGGACAACAGATGGAGACCCTGTCTCAGAAAAAAAACAAAATAAAACAGGTTAGAAATTGTAATGAGGTCTGCTGGGCAAAATTCCATATAAGCAAAGTATAAATTAATAAAGCAAATCGTGACAAATTAGTACGATTGACTTTCTGGAGTTTCTGACAATAAAAGTAAGGAAAATGCAGAACACAAAGACAGAGAGTAAAAAGAGAAATTAGGAAAGCATTCTACATGTTGAATAGGAAGACACTGGCCATGTTCGTGCAGCGGCAGTATGTCGTGACATGACATACCTTGGAGAGAAGTTAACAGATGAGGAAGTTGATAAAAATCATCAGAGAAGCAAAATACTGGTAGCGACACTCAAGTAAAACATGAAATTTCCATAACTTATGTCAGCAAAGTGGGAATATTGTACAGTGTGTGTTGAAGTTCCTATACAACATTGTTTATCTGCCTTTTGTTTGTTTGTAAGGAATGTATATACTAAAAGTTCTTCTTGCTGTCAAAAGAATATGTGTGAATAAGTCATTTTAACTTATTCTTCTGCTTTTCTTTTATCTTCCTGCCATCATCCCACAGCCTTACTTTAGAAATTTTTTTTTTAGAAAATTGAACAAGTGCTCCTTGTGGTGGCACATGCCTCGAGGATGGGAGGCAGGGGTGGAAGGGTCACTTGAGGCCATTAGTTTGACACCAGCCTGGCCAACAAAGTGAGACCCCATGTCTACAAAACAATTTAAAAATTAGCCAAGTATCGTCATGTATACCTACAGTCCTAGCTACTCAGGAGGCTCAGGTAGGAGGATCCTTAGCCCAGGAGTTCAAGGCTGCAGTGAGCTGTGATAGCACTACTGTAGTCAAGCCTGGGTGACAGGGTGAGACCCCATCTCCTAAAATAAAAAACAAAGAAAAAAAATAGTTCAAGTAGCAAGTTGTATGTGGCTTACTCTGAATATTTCTAAACTAGAAATTCTCAGTCTTTCGGGGTCTAACATCCCTTTACATTTTTTAACTTTATTGAAGATCTCTAAGACTATTTCTTTCTGTAGATAATTATATTAAAACTAGAAAATAAGACACAAGTTTTTAAATATTATTCATCACATATTAAAGCCATTACATGTTGATATAATACAAGATTTTAAAAATATTTAATATTCATTACATATTAATAATAAAACCATTACATGTTGATATAATACTTTTTTTTTTTCTTTGAGACAAAGTCTTGTTCTTTTGCCCAGGCTGGAGTGAAGTGGCGCAATCTCAGCTCATTGCAACCTCCGCCCCGCAGGTTCAAGCGATTCTCCTACCTCAGCCTCCCAAGTAGCTGGGATTACAGGCGCCCACTACCATGTCCAGCTAATTATTGTATTTTCTTAGTAGAGAAGGAGTTTCGCCATGTTGGCAAG
This sequence comes from Homo sapiens, assembly GCF_000001405.40. NCBI lineage: Eukaryota > Metazoa > Chordata > Mammalia > Primates > Hominidae > Homo > Homo sapiens. The sequence continues at coordinate 128,647,400 of NC_000007.14, read as the reverse complement.
GCTGGTCTTGAACTCTTGACCTCAGGTGATCCACCCGCCTGGGTCTCCCTAAGTGCTGGGATTACAGGTGTGAGCCACCACACCCACCCCGATTAATATATGTTTTAAAGCACTGATTAGTCAGGCAACAACACCGGGCAGGGGTCTCCTCATTCCCAGCGATGCAAACCCCACTGCACGGCTAAGGGGTTGCAAGGGCTGCAGAGCCAAAAGGCTCTGACTTGAGATATTATTTCACTTGTATTTTTATTTGTATTGTGAGACAGGTCCCGCTCTGTCACCCAGACTGGAGTGCAGCTGTGCACTTACAGCTCGCTGCAGCCTCGACCTCCTGGGCTCAAGCCAGCTTCCTGCCTCAGCTCCCCAGTAGCTGGTAGTACAGTTGAGTGTCACCATGCCTGGTTATTTTTTTAATTTTTTTGTAGAGTGAGGGGTATTGCTGTGTTGCCCAAGCTGGCCTCAAACTCCTGACCTCAAGAGATCTGCCCACTTCAGCCTCCTGAGTAGCTGAAACTACAAGTACACATCACCATGCCTAGCTACATTTATTTAATTTTGAAAAATATTTTTGTAAAGAGCAGATCTTGCTGTGTTGTCCAGGCTGGTCTTGAACACCTGCCCTTAAAAGATACTCCCACCTCTGCTTACCAAACAGCTGGGACTACAGGCATGAGCCACTGCAATGAGCCTGAAGAAATTTCTTTAATCTAGCATCCCATACTTGGTAGGATTGGGAAAGGCAGTAGTGTTTTTTAAAATTACTTAATAATTTCAGTAACAATCAAACTCAACCTTGACCCCTGCCTTCTCTCACACCCCATATCCAGTCTGTCAGGAAATCCTGTTGACTGTCTTCGACATGTACTAAAGATCCCCACCCAGCAACTCCCTGGCCTCCTCCCCTACTTCTCCCCTCTGACCATCTCTCAACACCACCATGACCCTGGTCAGGACCACCATCATCTCCCGCCTGGATGTTGCCAAAGCTTGGCCCCCATGCTTCTACCCACATCTTCCCGTAGTCTTTCTCAACTCAGCAGCCAGAGAATGCTTTTAAATCGGGAGACAGATCATGTCGCCTCTCTGCTCAGAACCCTCCTGCAGTTCCCATCTGAGTCAGAGTAAAAGCCAAAGCCCCAGTAATAACCTCCCAGGGCTTATGTGATCTGTACTGATCCCCACCCAGCAACTCCCTGGCCCCCTCCCCTAATTCTCTCCCTCTCTCTGTCTGCTCCATGGGCCTCCTTCCAGAGCCTCAGACACACCTCAGACACTTTATTCTATTATTTCTGCCTACAATCCTCTTCCCTCAGCACCTCGGCCAGCTCCTTCCCCTCCTTCAAGTCTTTACTCAATTTTCACTTAGGAGGCCATCCCCGACCATTCTATTTAACATTGCCATCTGTCCCCATGCCCACCATGCTCATTTCTTCTTTCTTTACTTTATTCTTTCTTTTTTTCAAGATCTCACTGTCACCAAGGCTGGAGTGCAGTGGCGCAATCACAGCTCACTGCAACCTCAAATTTCCAGGCTCAAGCGATCCTCCCACCTCAGCCTCCCAAGTAGCTGGGACTCCAGGTTCATGCCACCATGCCTGGCTAAATTTTTTAGTATTTTATTTTATTTTATTTTGAGACAGAGTTTCACTCTTCTTGCCCAGGCTGTAGTGTAATGGTGCGATCCCAGCTCACTGCAACCTCCCAGATTCAAGTGATTCTCCTGCCTCAGCCTTCCAAGTAGCTGGGGTTACAGGTGTGTGCCACCACGCCCAGCTAATTTTTGTATTTTTAGTAGAGCCGGGGTTTCGCAATGTTGGCCAGGCTGGTCTTGAACTCCTGACCTCAGGTAATCTGCCCGCTTCGGCCTCCCAAAGTGCTGGAATTACAGGTGTGAGCCACCACGCCTGGCCAATTTTTTCATTTTTTGTAGAGATAAGGTCTTACTATGTTGCCCAGACTGGTCTTGGACTCCTGGCCTCAAGTGATCCTCCTGCCTAAATTCCTAAAGTGCTGGGATTACTGGCATGAGCCATCATGCCTGGCTTCATGTTCATTTCTTCTTGCTGCTGCAATATAGTTTGCAGTTTCCCATATTTAGTGGCTTAAAACACCACAAATCTACCATCTTACAGTTCTAGGGGCCAGAAACCCAAACTAGGTCTATTAAGGCTAAAGTCAAAGTGTCAGCAGGGCTGCATTCCTTCTGGAGACTCTAAAGTGTTCCCTTGGCTTTTCCAGCTTCTAGAAGCCACCCCCATTCCTTGGATCATGGCCCCTGACTCCATCTTCAAAGCCAAAAGTGAAGCATCTTCAAATCTCCCTCTCTTACCTCTGCTTTCATCACCACATCTCCCGCTACAATTCTGAATCTCCTACTCTCTTTCTTTTATAAAGACCCTTGTGATTGCTGGGCATGGTGGCTCCCACCCAGAATCCCAACACTTTGGGAGGTCAAGGCAGGAGGAATACTTGAGGCCCAAAGTTTGAAACTAGCATGAACAACACAGTGAGACCCCCACCTCTAGAAAAAAATAAAAATAAATATTAGCCCGACATGGTGGTATGCGCCTGTAGTCCCAGCTACTTGAGAGGCTGAGGTAAGACAATCGATTTAGCCCAGGAGTTTGAGATCAGCCTGGACGACATAACTAAATCTCATCTCTACAAGGACGAGGTGGGAGGATCACTTGAGCCCAGGAATTTGTGGCCAGCCTGGGCAACAAAAGAAGACCCCATCTGGCCAACATGGCCAACCTGGCCACCATGGTGAAACTCTGACTCTACAAAAATGAGCTGGGCATGGGTGACATGCCTGTGTAGTCCTAGCTACTTGGGAGGTTGAGATGGGAGGATCGCTTGATCTCAGAAGGCCAAAGCTATAGTGAGCTATGATCACATCACTGCACTCCAGCCTGGATGACACAGGGAGATTCTGTCTCAAAAAAAAGAAAAGAAATATATATTTAATCTCTGTCCCTGGTTCCTGGCACAGAGCTTCTAAAGCTCTTACAAAGACCTCAGTGATAGATGTGACAGGAACATCTTTTGTTTTAATATTTGGTCTTGGTCCCAGGTTTCTAACACAAGAGCCTCTGAGAACTTTGGGATCTCCAGCATGGTAAGAATGCATTTGGGGATGTTGTTGAGATGACTGGGTGTGGCAAGCTCCTAAATTTCTTCAAGAGGAGGGCTGATTACCATGCAACCACATGGTAAGAGGCGTGGAACTTTCAGCCTCATGCACTGAACTCCAGGAGGAAGAGGGGCTGGAGACTGACTTAATCACCAACAGCCAAATATTTTATCAATCATGCTTGCATAATAAAGCCTCCATGAACACCCTGAACGGGGTTTGCAGAGCTTTCAGGGTTGCTGGACACAGGAGATGCTGGGAGAGTCGCATGTTCAACAGAGGGCATGGGAGCTCTGTGCCCCTCCGAACTTAACTTGCCCTGGGTATCTTTCTTTTTTTTGAGACAGGATCAGGCTCTTTTGTCCAAGCTAGAGTGCAGTGGCACAATCTCAGCTTACTGTAACCTAAGCCTCCTCAGTCCCCAGCTCAAGGCATCCTCTCATCTCAGCTTCCCTAGTAGGTGGAACTCTAGGGGCACAACACCACACCGGTTATTATTATTATTTTTAAATTTTTTATAGAGACAGGTTTTCACCATGTTGCCCAGGCTGGTCTCAAACTCCTGAGTTTAAGCGATCTTCCCACCTTGGCCTCCCAAAGTGCTGAAATTACAGGCATGAGCCGCTGCATCAAGCATGCACGTCTCTTTCATTGACTGTTTCTGAGATGTATCCTTCACAATGAACCAGTAATAGGAAATGAACTGGCCAGATGTGGTGGCTCACATCTGTAATCCCAGCACTTTCAGAGGCTGAGGTGGGAGGATCACTTGAGACCAGGAATTTGTGGCCAGCCTGGCCAACACAACAAGACCCCATCCATACAAAAAATAAAAGAAACTAGCCACATGTGGTGGTGCAGGCATGTAGTCTCAGCTACTAGGGAGGCTGAGGTGGGAGAACCACTGGAGCCCAGACAATCAAGGCTGCAATGAGCTATGACTGCACCATTGCACACCAGCCTGGGCAACAAAATAAGACCCTCTCTCTCAGAAAAAAAGAAAATAAACTGTTTTTCTGAGTTCCGTAAACTGTTCTAGCAAATTATTAAACCCAAGAAGACAGTTATGGGAACCCCTGATTTGTAACAGGTCGGTCAAAAGTACAGGTGACAACTTAGGACTTGCCATTGGCATCTGAAGTGAGGATGGTCTCGTGGGACTGAGCCCCTAACTTGTGGGGTCTGTGCTAACTCGAGATAGTGTCAGAATAAAGTCATGGGATACCCAGTTAATATCCAGAGCACTGAAGAATCTGGTGTAGAAACTCCATACACACATTCAGTCGGAAGTGTGTGAGTAGAGACAAACATGGGCTTTTCTGTCACCTGTCTACCTGCTTAACTGCATAGGAGAGGCAATACGTGGTGCTCATGAACAAAGCAAACATTAAAGTCAGACCAGACCCAACATCTGACTCAGTCTTAATATCCAGGTGAGCTTGGGCAAATCATTCATTATTCCTAAGGCTTCATCACTCCATTCATAAAATGGGGATAACTGTGGCACCTACCTGTGATTCTGTGAGAATTAATGAAATATTATGCTTGGGGTTATTGTGATCATTATACCTATTCCAAACTATTTGACAAGGACAGTGATGGATGATGACATCAAAAAATCAGAAACTGCAATGAGGTCTCTCAGGCAAAATTCCACACAAGCAAATTACTGTCTCTACAAAGCATTCCTGCCACACTTAATTCACCATTCCCTGAACAAAATATGCCATCTTCGTTGTTCAGGTCTGTACAGTGCTGGTTTCCCTTCCCGGGCAGTTTGCTCCATCCCATCCCAGCCCATTCCCCATCCCTCCACCTCCCCCTTCCCTCCCCACTCTCATACAACTCTTCCTCATCTTTCAGGACTTGGCTTCAATGTCACCTTAACTGGAAGCTTCTCTCACTCTCCAGAAGAGCTTCCCATTGCACTTGATGCATGCACTATTATTTGATCATTTTTGAGTTACAGTCCAAATCTTTTTGTACCTGAATAACATGTTGCTCAGTCAGTCTCTCTTCCTGGATTCAGAGGTCTTTCATGGTAGATCCAGCTGGAAGTGACAAAAAGACATCTTTTGACATAAAGGGATGACACAGACAGACATAAGTTCTTAAACATCTTAAATGTTATGTGAAAATTAAACAGAATTCAAAGACTTAGGAGGGAAAGTTACTGCGAATGTCATAAAGGGTTAATTTGCATTTTATTTTATTTTATTTTTTGAGACAGTCTCATTCTGTCACCTAGGCTGGAGTGCAGTGGTGCAATCAGGCTCACTGCAGCCTTGACCACCTGGGCTCAAGTAATCTCACTTAATTTTTTTTTGGTTTAAGAAAGTCTTGGTTGAGGGTGGTGGCTTATGCCTGTAATCTCAGCACTTTGGGAGGCTGAGAGAGGTATATTACTTGAGGCCAAGAGTTTGAGATCAGCCTGGGCAATATATTAAGACCCTGCCTCTACCAAAAAACAGAGTGAATGTGTGGAAGACAATTTTTCCACAGACTGGGAGTGAGGGAATAATTTCAGGATGATTCAAGTGCATTACATATATTGTGCACTTTATTTCTATTATTACTACATAGTAATATATAATGAAATGATTCTACAACTCACTATAACGTAGACTCAGTGGGATCTCTGAGCTTGTTTTCCTGCAACTAGACTGTCCATCTGGGGTGATGGGAAACAGTAACAGAATATCAGGCATTAGATTCTCATAAGGAGTACACAACCTAGATCCCTCACATGCACACTTCACAACAGTTTGTGCTTCTATGAGAATAATGCTGCTGCTGATCTGACAGGACATGGAGCTCAGGTGGTCATGCAAGCGATGGGAGGGGCTAGAAATACAGATGAAGTTTCCCTTCACTCGCCTGCTGCTCACCTCCAGCTCTGTGGCCCTGTGGTTGGAGACCGCTGCTCAAGTGCATTCGAAAGGATCCATCCCATGCCATTCTTCAGAGTCATCTTTACTGCTGCAGTGGTCAACTTGTAGCACCCCTAAGCTCGCAGGACAGGTGCTTCAACTGGCATTTCATCACAATCAACAGTATGTGGTAGCCTGAGTAATTTTGAGGTCACTTACTGGAAATCACCAGCATCCCATATCCCATTAGCAAGGAGCTCAGCACTGCTCCTTGGATAACCAAACCTATTCCCAAATCCCATCTGTGTGCGTCTATCTCCTGGTACCCTTCCTAGCATCAATTCTGTATTTGCAGGAGTCCAATCAGGAGACACAAACCACTCCAAAGTTTAAACTAGAATGAGCAAGGTGGCTCACACCTGTAATCCCAGCACTTTGGGAGGCCAAGGTGGGTGGACTGCTTTGAGCTCAGGAGTTTGAGAACAGTCTGGGAAACATGGCGAAACCTCGTCTCTACAAAAAACACAAAAATCAGCTGGGTGTGGTGGCACTTACCTGTAATCCCAGCTACTCGGGAGGCTGAGGCAGGAGAATTGCTTGAGCCTGGCAGGTGGAGGCTGCAGTGAGCAGAGGTTATGCCACTGTACTCCAGCCTGGGTGACAGTGTGAGACCCGGTATCAAAAAGAAAAAAATGTATATATATGTAAATTTAATATAAAAAGTATTAATTTTGGCCAGGCACAATGGCTCATGCCTGTAATCCCAGCACTTTGGGAGGCCAAGGCAGATCACCTGAGGTCAGGAGTTTGAGACCAGCCTGACCAGCATGGAGAAACCCCATCTCTACTAAAAATACAAAATTAGCTGGGCATGGTGGCACATGCCTGTAATCCCAATTACTCGGGAGGCTGAGGCAGGAGAATCGCTTGAACCCGGCAGGTGGAGGTTGCGCTGAGCCGAGATAGCGCCATTGCACTCCAGCCTGGGCAACAAGAGTGAAACTCCATCTCGAAAAGAAAAAAAGGTATTAATTTTTACAGAGGATTAGCACAATGAGGGACACGCTAGCACAAAGTAAAGACAACTCTAGAGAATACAGAACTAGCAGAGGCCAGGCATTATGGCTCATGCCTGTAATCCCAGCAATTTGGGAAGCCTAGGCAGGAGGATCGCTTGAGGCCAGGAGTTGGAGACCAATCAGCGCAAAATAGTGAGACTCTGTGTCTACCAAAAAAAGAAACATTAGCCAGGTGTGGTGGTGGTGCACACCCGTAGTTCCAGCTACTTGGGAGTCTGGGGTGGGAGAATCCCTTGAGCCTGGGAAGCCTACACTACAGTGAGCCAAGATTGTGCCACTGCACTCCAGCCTGGACGACAGAGTGAGACCCTGTCTTAGAAAGAAAAAAGAAAAGAAAGTGTTAATCCCCCTATGGGAATCTCCTCTTCTCCTGCCCTCTCTGGAACCTCACTTGTCAGTTCTTCCTCCCACTTTCCTGTATCTTTAACCTATCCCCTACTTTTAGCTCCTTCCCATCATCATTTAAATTACTCAAACTTCTTCTGTTTTAAAAACCTCTCCCTAAACTCAGTGAGAGGTCTCCTACACACCCATTGAGCCATCTGCTCTCCCTGGTGCCTTCTCTACAGCAGCCTGAGCCATGTCTCTAATCCATTAATCTCATCATGTTACTCCCCCATTTACATCACTTCTCCTTGCCTCAGGGATTAAGTCCAAACCCTTCAACAGCCCCTGCTCTGCCCTGCCTTGCAAGGCAGCCTCATTGCTTGCCCCTCTCCATTTCATCTGCTATGGAGTCCAACTGAGCCTCATCTGCCCTTTGAACACACACTCTTTCTCCTCTGGGAGTCTCTGAAGTGGGTGATATCCTCTGCTTATAATACGCTTCCCCTTAAACCTCTACTCTCTTCCTAGCTAGCTTCGACTCTGTCACTTGTCCGCTTTGGCATCACCTCCTCATGGAAGACTTCTTTGACTCCCCAGATTCTCAGGAGCATGGCAGGTGAGGTGCTCCTCCCATGAATGGATGGAGATTAGGGAGTGTGTGTTATTCATGCTTAATTCACCAGTGCTTAGCTGAGTACCTGGCATAAAATACTGTGGTGGCCAAAGTAATAACCCCCACCCCCACCAATTGCTCATGTCCTATGTTACACAGCACAATTACATAGGAAGGGGGAATTAAGAGTGCAGATAAAATTAATGTTGCTCATCAGCTGACCTTAAAACAAGATTATCCTGGAGTATCTAGGAGAGCCCATGTAATTACAAGCATTCTTTAAAACTGGAAGAGGGAAGTAGAAGGTTAAGAACCAGAGACGGTGGGCACAATGGCTCATGCCTGTAATACCAATACTTTGGGAGGCCAGGGCAGGAAAATCCCTTGAGTGCAGGAGTTCAAGGTCAGCCGTGGCAACATACTGAGGCCCCATCTCTACAAAAAAATAAAAACAAAATTCACTGAGTGTCACGATGCTTACCTGTGGTCCCAGCTACTGGGAAGGCTGACATGGTAGGACTGCTTGAGCCTGGGAGTTTGAGGCTACAATGAGCCATAATTGGACCACTGAACTCCATCCTGAGTGACAGGGCAAGGTCCTGTTTCTAAAGAAAAAAAGGACATTGGAATCAGGGTCCTCTCCATCCTGAGGTGCCTACAAGGCATCTCTCTCTGCAAACGAGCAAACATCACCCTCTAACTCCTTACAGAGTGGAGCAGCAGGAAAACTCCTTCGCCTCATTTCTGTGCTGCTTGGGAGGCCTGGACAGCCCAATAACCAGCTCCTTGCTGATGAAGCAATCAGGAAATGGCTCGAGTTGAGCTAAGGAGAATTTGGATCCTTCTTTTGGTTCTCAATAGGCAGGGTAGGGGCCAGGCATGGTGGCTCATACCTGTAATCCTTGCACTGTGGGGGGCCAAGGTGAGAGGATTGCTTGAGGCCAGGAGCTCAAGACCAGCCTGGGCAACATAGCAAGACCTGGGTGGCATACACCTGTGGTCCCTACTACTTGGTAGGATGAGGTGGGAGGATTGATCACTTGATCCCAGGAGTTTCAGGCTGCAGTGAGCCATGATCACACCACTGCACTTCAGCCTGGGTGACAGGAGCCAGACCATGTCACAAAAAGTTACAAAAAGAAAAAAAAAACAGAGAGGGAGAGAGACTATACACAGGCACCACCACATTTGGCTAATTTTTAAATATTCTGTAGAGACAAGGTCTTGCTAGGTTGCCCAGGCTAGTCTAAAACTCCTGGCATCAGGCTGGGCATGGTGGCTCATGCTTGTAATCCCAGCACTTTGGGAGGCTGAGGCAGGCAAATCACCTGAAGTCTGAAGTTCAAGACCAGCCTGGCCAACATGGTGAAACTCTGACTCTACCAAAAATACAAAAATTAGCTGGGCAGTAGTGGCGTGTACCTGTAGTCTCAGCTACTCGGGAGGCTGAGGCAGGAGAATCACTTCAATCTGGGAGGCGGAGGTTGCAGTGGACCCCATCACTGCACTCCACCCTGGGTGACAGAGCGAGACTCTGTCAAAAACAACAACAACAACAACAACAAAAACAACAACAACAGAAACTCCTGGCATCAAGACATCTTCCTGTCTTAGCCTCCCAATGCCCTGGGATTATACTCTTTCCTATAATTGAAGACACTTGTTCTTACACTGCTTTAAGGTATAAAGGAAAAAAAAAAACAGATAATGGCAAATGTTGGTGAAGGCCGGGCATGGTGGCAGCCTGTAATTCCAGAACTTAGGGAGGCTGAGGTGGGCAGATCACTTGAGGCCAGGAGTATGAGACCAGCCTGGGCAACATGGTAAAATCCCATCACTACAAAAAAAATATAAAAATTAGCCAGGCATGGTGGCATACACCTGCAATTTTCAGCTACTCAGGAGGCTGAGATGAGAGAATCACTTGTGCCTGGGAGGTCAAGGCTGCAGTGAACTGTGATGGCATCATTGCACTGCAGCCTGAGAGACAGAGCAAGCCCCTATCTAGAAAAAAAAAAAAGTCAGTGAAGATGTGGAGGAATTGGAACCCACATACATTACTGGTGGGAACATATAATCGTGTAACCATTTTGTTTGGGTATTTCTTTTCTTGTCATTTTAATTGGATTTTTTAAAAATCAAGACAGGGTTTCACTATCTTGCCCAGGCTGGTCTTGAATTCATGGGCTCAAGCCATCCTCCTAGCTGAGCCTCCTGAGTAGCTGGGATTACAGGTGTGAGCCATTGCACTCAACTGGTGTAGCCACTTTAGAAAACAGTCTGGCAGTTTCTCAAAAGGCTAAATGTACAGTCATCCTATAATGCAACAATTTCACTCCTAGGCATATATCCCAGAAAAATAAATGTCCACACAAAAACTTGTACAACAATCTTCATAGCAGCATTATTCATAATGACCAATACATGGAATACATGGAAACAACCCAAATATCCACCAACTGATGAACAGATAAACAAAATGCAGTGTGTCTCTACCATGGAATACTGCCATAGAAGGAATGAAATATTGATACACACTATGACATAAAGGAACTTTGAAAACACTGTGCTAAGAGGGAAAAAAAGCCACAAAAGATCACATATTGTACAATTCTATTTGTCCAGATTAGGCAAATCTATAGTGACAAAAAAATTAATCAATGGTTGCCTAAGGCTGGGGGCGAAGGTAGGTGGGGAGAGTAGGAGGTAGTGGCTAAGGGGTATGGATTTCTCTATAGGGTAATGAAAGGTTCTAAAAGTGACTGTGGTGATCGATGCACAGCTCTGTGAATATTCTAAAACCTACTGAATTGCAGATTTCAATAAATAAAGTGAATGGTATGTGAATCATATTTTAATAAAGCTATTATTTAAAATAATGATAATAGGGGGCTGGGCACAGGTGGTCATGCCTGCCTGTAATCCCAGCACTTTGGGAGGCTGAGGCAGGAGGATCACTTGAGGTCAGGAGTTTTGAGCCCAGTCTGAGCAACCTGGCAAGATCCCGTCTCTATGATAAAAAATGAAAACACTAGCTGGACATGGTGGCACATGTCTGTAGTCCTAGCTACTTGGGAGACTGAAGTGAGAGAACTGCTTGAGCCCAGGAGTTTGAGGCTACAGTGAACCATGATCATGTCACTGTACTGTAGCCTGAGCAACAGAGCAAGACCCTGTCTCTGAAAAGGAAAGAAAACAAATGCAAGTTTTTATCACTTTGTGAGTGTAGCCAAGTTGGAGGAGAAATAGACAATAATAAAAGAGCACTGAATAATGAGGCTGAGTGGCTGGTTAGGCTCAGTTGCTAGCTAAATGGCTTCTAAAAAATTCATTAACAAAGTTACAGCTCTGGGGACAGTCATGTAGTCAAAGAATGAATGCTAAATTCATTACAAATGCCCATGGTCTTTCTTTACATGCCTTCTAGTGAAAAATTCCTAAGTGCCTAAATAGCAAGTCTGCAATGATAACAGCTGTTTATTAAAGACTACAAAAAAGAAATGGAGGCCAGGCGTGGTTGCTCACATCTGTACTCCTTGCATTTTGGGAGGCTGAGGCAGGCAGATTGCCTGAGGTCAGGAGCTCCAGAGGAGCCTGGCCAACATGGTGAAACCCCATCTCTACTAAAAATACAAAAATTGGCTGGGTGTGGTGGCGGGCGCCTGTAATCCCAGCTACTCGGGAGGCTGAGGCAGGAGAATTGCTTGAACCCAGAAGGTGAAGGTTGCAGTGAGCCAAAATCGCACCACTGCACTCCAGCCTGGGTGACAAAAGAAAGACTCTATCTTAAAAAAAAAAAAAGAAAAAAAAGAAATGGCATCTTCTTCAAGAATTACATAGTGTTTCATGATAAAGAAGCTCTAATTTTGCATTTGTTCAAGTATTGATGAGATTTAGCCAATACGACACCCATCTTGGATAAAATGCAAACAACACAATTTTATTTTCTCATTAACAAAACCGATTAGGTAGTCTAATATCAATTCTGATCTTATTAAAAACTGATCAGATTTAAAAAATTATGGAATTATGGAGCCAATAAGATGTTACAACCTGTTCCAAGGGGAATTCCAAAATCCACACATATCTGAGACCATCAAGTATGATGAAATATATTTGATTACTATATTGAAAAATAAACTGATTACATAGCCAACAATTGGACAGGGGTCTCCTCATCCATAGCCACACAAACCCGATCATGCAGCTATGTGGTTACAAGGCCTACATAGCCTAGAAGGGACTGGTCTGACTTGAGATTTCATTTGTATTTGTATTTTGAGACAGGGTCCCACTCTGTCACCCAGGATGGAGTGCAGTGGTATAATCATAGCTCACTGCAACCTTGACCAACTGGACTCAAGAGATGCTCCTGCCTCAGCCGCCCCCATACCTGGGAATACAGGCAAGTACCACCATGTCAGGCATTTTTTTCATTTTTGTAGAGAGAGAAGTCTTGCTATGTTGCCCAAGCTGGCCTCAAACTCCTAGAATCAAGAGATCTGCCCATCTCAGCCACATGAGTAACTGGGGCCATAGGTACATACCATCATGCCTGGCTATATTTATTTTATTTTATTAAATTTATTTTTTTTATTTTTGTAGAGAGGAGGTCTTGCTATGTTGCCCAGGCTGCTCTCAAACTCATGGCCTTAAAACATACTCCCATCTCTGCCTCTCAAACTGTTGGAACTATAGGTGTGAGCCACTGCACCTGGCCTGACTTGAGATTTCTTTTATCTAGCATCCTTTACTCGGTAGGATTGAGAAAGGCAGTAGTGTTTTTTAAAATTACTTAATAATTCAATTAGAATCAAACTCAACCTTGACCACTGCCTTCTCTCACAGCTCACATCCAGTCTGTCAGGAAATCCTACTGACTGACTTCAACACGTATCCAGGCTCTGACCATCTCTCACCACCACCATGAATCCGGTCAGGATCACTATCATCTCCCACCAGGATATTGCCACAGCTTGGCCCCCATGCTTCTACCCAAATCTTCCCATAGTCTTTCTCAACTTGGCAGCCAGGTCGTGCTTTTAAATCAGGAGACAGATCATGTCACCTCTCTGCTCAGAAGCCCTCGGTGGTTCCCATTTTAGTCAGAGTAAAAGCCAAAGCCCCAGCAATAGCGTCCCAGGGCTTACACAATCTGTACCGATCCCAGCCCAGCAACTCCCTGGCCTCCTCACTGACTTTGCTCCCTCTATCTCTTTGCTCCACTGGCCTCCTTCCAGAGCCTCAGACACACCAGAGAGTTTCCTCCTTTATCCAACAGGATAAAGATCCTGTTGACTCAGCATACAATGCTCTTCCCTCAGCACCTTGGCCAGCTCCATCACCTGCTTCAAACTTTTGCTCAATATTCACTTATGAGGCCAACCCTGACCACTCTACTTAACATTGCCATCTGTCCCCATTCCCACCATGCTCATTTCTTTCTTTCTTTTTGAAACAAGGTCTTGCTTTATTGCCCAGGCTGGAGTACACTGGTGCAATCACAGCTCACAGCAACTTCAACCTCCCAGGCTTAAACAATCCTCCCGCCTCAGCCTCCCTAGGAACTGAGACTACAGCTGCATGCCACAACACCTGGTTTTTTTTTTTTTTTTTTTTTTTTTTTGAGACGGAGTCTTGGTCACCCAGGCTGAAGTGTAAGGGTGTGATCTTGGCTCACTGCAATGTCTGCCTTTTGGGTTCAAGTGATTCTCTGCCTCAGCCTCCCGAGTAGCTGGGATTACAGGTACCCACCACCACACCTGGCTAATGTTTGTATTTTTAGTAGAGATGGAGTTTCACCATCTTGGCTAGGCTGGTCTTGAACTTCTGACCTCGTGATCCACCCTCCTCGGCCTCCCAAAGTGCTGGGATTACGAATGTGAGCCACTGCACCTGGCCTTTAAAAAAAATTTTTTTTAGACATGAGGTCTCATTATGTTGCCCAGGCTGGTCTTAAACTCCTGGGCTTAAGCGATCCTCCTACCTCAGCCTCCTAAAGTTCTGGGATTACAGGCGTGAGCAACTGTAACATGAGGTCCCAGTTTCATGTTCATTTTTTGTTGTTGCTACAACAAAGTACCCTACATTTAGTGGCTTCAAACACCACAAATCTACCATCTTACAGTTCTGGGGGCCAGAAGCCCAACTAGGTCTATTAAGGCTAAAGTCAAGGTGTCAGAGGGGCTGCATTCCTTCTGGGGGAGGCTCTAGACAGAATGTGCTCCTTTGCCTTTTCTAGCTTCTAGAAGCCACCCCCATTCCTTGACTTACCTCGTGATTCCATATTCAAGGCCAGAAGTGCAGCATCTTCAAATCTCCCTCTCTGACCTCTTCTTCCATTACCACATCACTTTCTCTAATTCTGACTCTCCTACCTCCTTCTCTTATAAGATCCTTGTGATTGGTGGGTATGGGGGCTCCCATCTGTAATCCCAACATTTTGGGAGGCCAAAGAGGAAGGATTGCTTGAGGCCAAGAGTTAGAGATCAGCCTGGGGAAAATAGGAAGACCCTGCCTTTACAAAATTAAAATTAAAATCAGCTGGACATGGTGATGCACGCCTGTAGTTCCAGCTACTGGAGAGGCTAAGGTGGGAGGATCGCTTTAGCCTAGGAGGTCATGGCTGCAGTGAGCTATGATCACATCACTGCACTCCAGCCTCAGTGGCAGAGTGAGACTCTGTCTCAAATATAAGAAAAGAAATATACATTTGGTCTCTGCCCCTGGTTCCTGGCATAAAGCTTCCAAAGCTCTTATAAAGCCCTTCGTGACAGAGGTAATAGGAGCATTTTCTGTTTTGATAGTTAGTCTTAGTCCCAGGTTCCTGACACAAGGGCCTCTAAGGTCTTTCAGATCTGCAGCATGGTAAGAATGCATGTGGGATGCTGTTGAGCTAACAGGGTGGCTGCAAGCTCCTAGACTGCTTCAGGAGGAGGGCTAGCTGCCAGAGAAAGCAACCACTTTTTTTTAAAGCAACCGTTTTTTTTTTTAAACGGAGTCTGGCTCTTATAGCCCAGGCTGGAGTGCAATGGCACAATCTCAGCTCACTGCAACCTCCACCTCCCGGGTTCAAGCAATTCTCCTGCCTCAGCCTCCCGAGTAGCTGGAATTACAGGGATGTGCCACAACGCCTAGCTAATTGTTGTTATTTTTAGTAGAAACGGGGTTTCACCATGTTGGTCAGGCTGGTCTCAAACTCCTGACCTCAAGTAGTCCATGTGCGTCAGCCTTCCAAACTGCTAGGATTACAGGAGTGAGCCACCACACCTGGCCCCAACTACATTTTTTGAGGCTTGGAACTTTCAGCCTCACCTGCTGAACTCCAAGAGGCAAAAGGAACTGGAGATTGACTTAACTACCAATGGCCAATGATTTTATCAATCATGCTTCCATAAAAACCCAAACAGCAGGGTTTGGAGAGCTTCTGTGTTGCTAAACATAAGGAGGTCCTGGGAGGGTAGTGTGCCCAACAGAGGGCATGGAAGCTCTGTGCCCTTCCCCACTTACCTTGTCCTGTGCATCTCTTTCATTGGCTGTTCCTGAGATGGAGCCATTACATTGAGCCAGTAATAGAAAATAAGGTGGCCAGATGCGCTGGCTCATGACTGTAATCCCAGCACTTTGGGAGGCAGAGGTGGGCGGAATCACTTGAGCCTAGGAATTTGAGACCAGCCTGGGCAACATAAGAAGACCCCATCTATACAAAAAATAAAAGAAATTAGCCAGATGTGGTGGTGGGAACCCTGTAATTTCAGCTACTTGAGAGGCTGAAGCAGGAGAATCACTTGAGCCCTGGAGGTTGAGGCTTCAATGAGCTATGATTGCACCACTGCACACCAGCCTGGACAACAGAGCGAGGCCCTGTCTCTTAAAAAGAAAAGAAAAAAACCTGTTTTTCTAAGTTCTGTGAGTTGTTCTAGTAAATAACTAAACTCAAGAAGAGGGTCATGGGAAACCCTGATTTCTAACTGGTTGGTCAAAATACAGGTGACAACCTAGGACTTGCAACTGGCATCTGAAGTGAGGGTGGTCTTGCGGGACTGAGCCCCTAACCTGTGGGTTCTGCGCTAACTCTAGGCAGTGTCAGAATGGAATTGTGGGATATGCGGTTGGTATCCAGAGAGTTGGAGAATTGGTGTAGAAACTCCGCACACACATTTGGTCAGAAGTCTGTGAGTAGAGAGAAACGTGTTGCGGGAAGTCAGGGACCCTGAACAGAGGGACCGGCTGAAGCCACAGCAGAAGAACATAAATTGTGAAGATTTCATGGACATTTATTAGTTCCCCAAATTAATACTTCTATAATTTCTTATGCCTGTCTTTACTGCAATCTCTGAACATAAATTGTGAAGATTTCATGGACACTTATCACTTCCCCAATCAATACCCCTGTGATTTCCTATGCCTGTCTTTAATCTCTTAATCCGGTCATCTTCGTAAGCCGAGGATGAATGTCCCCCCAGGACTCTGTGATAATTGCGTTAACTGCACAAGTTGTTTAAACAATATGAAACCTGGGCACCTTGAAAAAAGAACAGGGTAACAGCAATTTCAGGGAACAAGGGAGATAACCTTAAACTCTGGCTGCCTGTGGGCCGGGTGGAACAGAGCCATATTTCTCTTCTTTCAAAAGCAAATAGGAGAAATATTGCTGAATTCTTTTTCTCAGCAAAGAACATCCCTGAGAAAGAGAATGCACCCCTAAGGGGAGGCCTCTGAAATGGCCGCTTTGGGGACGGCTGTCTTTTATAGTCATAGATAAGGGATGAAATAAGCCCTGGGCTCGCGTGGCGCTCCCAGGCTTATCAGGACGAGGAAATTCCCGCCTAATAAATTTTGGTCAGATGGGTTGTCTGCTCTCAACCCCTTTCTCCTGATAAGATGTTATCAATGACAATGCGTGCCCGAAACTTCATTAGCAATTTTAATTTCGCCCTGGTCCTGTGGTCCTGTGATCTTGCCCTGCCTCCATTTGCCTTGTGATATTTTATTACCTTGTGAAGCATGTGATCTCTGTGACCCACACCCTATTCGTACACTCCCTCCCCTTTTGAAAATCACTAATAAAAACTTGTTGGTTTTGCGGCTTGGGGGGCATCACGGAACCTGCTGACATGTGATGTCTCCCCTGGACACCCAGTTTTAAAATTTCTCTCTTTTGTACTCTTTCCTTTTATTTCTCAGACCGGCCGACACTCAGGGAAAATAGAAAAGAACCTACATGAAATATTGGGGTGAATTTCCCCCGATATCACATGGGCTCTTCTCTCACCTGTCTACCTGCTTAACTGCATAGGAGAGGCAATGCATGGTGCTCATTAACACAGCAAGCATTAAAGTCAGACCAGACTAACATTTGACTCAGTCTTAATATTCAGGTGAGCTTGGGCAAATCGCTCATTAACCCCAAGTCTTCATCATTTTGTGCATATAATGGGGATAACTGTGGCACCCACCTGTTTTTGTGAGAATCAATGAAATATTATGCTTGATGTTACTGTGATCATGATACTATCTGACAAGGGCAGTGATGCATGATAACATCAAAAAATTAGGAACTGTAATGAGGTCTCTTGGGCAAAATTCCATACAAGCAAATGACCGTCTCTCCAAAGCATTCCTGCCACACTTAATTCACCATTCCCTGAACAAAATGTGCCATCTTCATTGTTCAGGTCTGTATAGTGCTGGTTTACCTGACTGGGCAGCTCACTCCATCCCATCCCAGCCCAATCCCCATCCCTCCACCTCCCCCTTCCCTCCCCACTCTCATACAACTCTTCCTCATCTTACAGGACTTGGCTTCAATGTCACCTTAACTGGAAGCTTCTCTCACTCTCCAGAAGAGCTTCCCATTGCACTTGATGCATGCACTATTATTTGACCATTTTTGAGTTACAGTCCAAGTCTTTTTGTACCTGAATAACATGTTTCCCAGTCAGTCTCTCTTCCTGGATTCAGAAGTCTTTCATGGTAGGTCCAGCTAGAAGTAACAAAAAGACATTCTAAGAAAAAAAAAAAAAAAAAAAAGAGGGATGACACAGACAGACATCAGCACTTAAAAGTTTTAAATGGTATGTGAAAAACAAAATTTAAGCGCTTCTAGGAGAAACGTAGGAGAGAAGGTGTTACTGGAAATATGATAGAAGGTTAATTTTTATTTTATTTTATTTTATTTTTAGAGAAAGGGTCTTGCTCTATCGCCTAGGCTGGACTGCAGTGGTGCAATCACAGTTAACTGCAGCCTCAACCTCCAGGGCTTAAGCAATATTCCCATCTAATTTTTATTTTGTTTAAGAAATGCAGTCTTGCTCTTAGCAAAGCTAAAGTGCAATGGTGTGATCATAGCTTACTGCAGCCTCAACCTTCTAGACTCAAGTGATCCTCCAGTCTTAGCCTCCCCAGTAGCTGGGACTACAGGTGTGCACTGCAACGTGTAGCTCATTTTTTTTTTTTTTAATTTTTAGTACAGACAAAGTGTCGCTATGTTGACCAGGTTGGTGGTGATCTCCTACACTCAGGCAGTTCTCTCACCTCAGTCTTCCAAAGTGCTGGGATTTACAGGTATGAGCTGCCACACCTGGCTGAGGGGGTTAATTTTTAATTATATAAAGAGCTCAAAGCAAATATCAGAAGGAGCCTAAATGCCTCCAGCAGTTGACTGGTACTGGTAAATTGTGATACATCCATATAATAAAATATCATGCAACCATGAAAAGGATTAAGATAGATCAATAGGTATTGGCACAAATGTCCATGAAATATGAAAATGTGAAACGATGTTCAATCACCATGTTACATATCTTGAAGGATATGGCCCATTTTCTCAATAGCAATTATTTCCTGAGATAAGATTATGGGTCTAAAGAGTGAAGGACATTTTTCACTTATTTAAAAGTATTTACTATTTTTATAATTTAATAAAAGATTAAACAGATCATCGAATTAGTAAAAGACAAAGTAACTCTATAAATAAATGGAAAAGACACAGATACCCCAGGCATGTTGGCTTATGCTTATAATACCAGTACTTTGGGAGGGGGTGGTGGGGGCATTGCTTGAGGCCAGGAGTTCCAGACCAGCCTAAGAAACAAAGCAAGACCTCGTCTCTAGTAAAAATAAAAAAATAAAAATAATTGGCCAGGCATAGTGGCATGTACCTATAGTCCCAATTACTGAGGTGGAAGGATCACCTGAGCCTAGGAGGTCAAGGCTGCAGTGAGTTGAGACTGTGCCACTACACTCAAGCCTAGGAGACACAGCGAGACTTCATCTCAAAAAAAAAAAAAAAAAGGACAATAAAGAAATAAAGCTAATAAGCTAACATAAGGAAAGATAAAATATATGACAAATAGGCTGGGCGCATAGCTCACAGCTGTAATCAAGCACTTTGGGAGGCCGAGGCGGGTAGATCACGAGGTCAGGAGTTCGAGACCAGCCTGATCAACATGGTGAAACCCCATTTCTACTAAAAATACAAAAATTAGCTGGGCATGGTGGCATGTGCCTGTAATCCCAGCTACTCAGGAGGCTGAGGCAGGAGAATTGCTTGAACCTGGGAGGCAGAGGTTGCAGTGAGCCGAGATCACAACACTGCACTCCAGCCTGGTCGACAGAGCGAGACTGCGTCTCAAAAAAAAAAAAAAAAAAAAAAAAAGGTGACAAAGTAATAATATGAGGTCTTTCATTTATCACACAGAAAATAACTTGTTAAATTATAATACCTGTGTGGGCGAAGGTACAGTGAAATGGCCATTTTCTTGTAGTATTAGTGGTGTTTAAAATGTATATAAGCCTTCCAGGATAAAGCTTGGAAATTTTTTTTAAATCATACAGACAGTGACTCATTATACTGCCTCCTCCAACTCCTGGCCTCAAGCAATCCTCCCACCTCAGCCTCCCAAAGTGCTGGAATTACAGGCTGACAGCCACCATGCCTGAAAGCTTTGCAATTTACATCAAGGGTAGTAAGAATGCTCATGCCCTGTGACTCACAGTAATCTCACTTCTGGAAATTTCATCTTTGGATATAATTCAAACTAAACAAAAGGTCATATGCACAAACACAGTGAAAATCTGGGAGTAATTTTTTTCTTTTTTAAAAAATACGGAATGCTTCACAAATTTGCACGTCATTCTTTCACAGAGGCCATGCCAATCTCTCTATTGTTCCAACTTAAGTATGTGTGCTACTGAGGCAAGCATGAGTAATTTAAGATAGAGTGGTTAAGTGAAATAAGGAAGAATTATGGAGAATTTAAAAATCTATGCTATTTATAGGCACCTAGTAACAGCTCAGTAAATATTAGCTGCTACTATTATTATTTTTATGGTAATTTCACTCAATTAAAAATTGTCATTAAAAATTACCATTGTCATGGAACATAATGTCTCCTACAGTATAATTGTACAATACAGATACAAACAGATACAATTTGTCCCTTGGTATATGGGGGGATTAGTTCCAGCTCTCCCATTTCTGTGTATACCAAAATCCATGCATACTCAAGTTTTCGAAGTCAGTCCTGTGGAATCCACATATAACACAAATGGGAAAATTAGTGAGGTGTGGTGACAAGCACCTGTAGTCCCAGCTACTTGTGAGGCTGAGGCAGGAGGATTACTTGAGCCCAGGAGGTTGAGGCTGCAGTGAGCCATAATTGCACCACTGCACTCCAGTCTGGGCAACAGAGTGAGACAGAAGGTTGACTTTTTAATAGAATTTTTCTGTTCACTTGAAGATATGGTCAGGATTGTGGCATATGAAAATTCTTCATAAAATAACTATCTAATCCAATTAATGCTGGAATTGGGAACAGCAGAAGTGTCATCTCAGAGCTACTCACAATGAAAGGTGATGTCTGGGGCTCAGGTGTGTTGAGGTCCCCATGCCTGGACTATGGGTGCTGAGTGGGATTTACTTGTCCATCCATTTTCTATATTCCAGCACTGGGAAACTAGGGTTTATCCATCTTGATAAGATGTCATTTAAATTCCACTTCGCAAGAACCACAAATGGAAGAAAGGCCATGAAACCACAGGACAGTACTTGTTCTCAAGGGAATCTTCAGCTCAGGTGGCTCTGTAAAAGAGAAATTACATTGTTGAAAAATCGTTGCAGGTCAGGTGAGGTGGCTCATACCTATAATCCCAGCCCACTGGGAGACTAAGGCAGGAGGATCCCGTGAGGCCAGGAGTTCAAGACCAGCCTGAGCAACAGAGTGAAACCTCATCTCTACAAAAAATTAGAAAATGAACTGGGTGCGGTAAAACATTTGTATAGTCCCAGCTACTCTGGAGGCTGAAATAGGAGGATCACTTGAGCCCAGGAAGTGGAAGCTGCAGTGAGCTCTGATCTCACCACTGTACTCCAGCCTGGGTGACAGAGTGAGACCCTGTCTCAAGACACACACACACACACTTAGAGGCATACTATTTCATGTGGAAGCTACCATTAAATCAATGTTAAGTGTTAATTACTTCACATAATCTTCTAATCTGACTTAAGACTGAAGACGTACCTCATGAAGCTGATTTATCAAGTTGTAAATCTTCACCTGTTGAATTCATAAGTTCACGTCTGAAAGGTGAGAATAAATACTTAATATTCACTAGGCAATATTCAGCAAAGTAATATCCACTAGTACATATTTAATATTTCATCATGAACTGTGGGTGTGAAGAGAAAAGACAGGCTGGGCACAGTGGCTCACACCTGTAATCCCAGCAGTTTGGGAGGCCGAGGCAGGCAGATCATGAGGTCGGGAGTTCGAGACCAGCCTGGCCAACATGGTAAAACCCCGTCTGTACTAAAAATACAATAATTAGCTGGGCATGGTGGCAGGCACCTGTAATCCCAGCTACTCAGCAGGCTGAGGCAGGAGAATTGCCTGAACCCAGGAGGTGGAGGTTGCAGAAACCACGATCACGCCACCGCATTCCAGCCTGGGCAAAAGAGCAAGATTCTGTCTCAATCAATCAATCAATAAAAATATAAGGAGGAAGCATTTACTGTGTATTTATATGTCTGGTATTATGTGAAGCACTTTACTATCTTATCAAATCTTCGGGACAGATCTTCAGTTCTCATGACCACAAAAGAGGATACTAAAGCTCAGACAGGAGAAGAGACATGGCCAGCCTGTGTCCCCAGGGCCTATGGTCTTACCACTAGGTTACAGTGTTTCCAGGTATCACATGTTGTGAGATTTTTGCTTTAAAATGAACCAAAAAAAAACCAAAGGCGAAAAAGGCATAAGCTATTAAAAAGTGGGAGAAACACTAAGAGAAACTTAAGCATGTAACTAAAAATATTATGGAAATGTTATTGAACTCATTAGCAAATTTAATGCTAGGTTTTCATTGAGAAGTAGGTTATATTACTCACAACGAAGAAAAATGTTCATTTTAAGTATATTAACATAAATACCATCAATATGGTTTGTCATGTTTAAATGTTCACTTAAAGCAATTCAGTTAAAATTCTGCATATCATACAATTTTATAGTTTGCTAGTAGGTTACAAGTAAATAGTCATCCAAATAAAAACATCATGTGTTTTCCACTGGTTGTTGCTCTTTTTAGGTGAGCATTTGATGTACACCAACAGAGAGAGGATAATAACAAATGGCTAATTTCTTTCATCATTATATAAAGGTGGCTACAGGATAGAATAGTATAAGGGCAATGATGAATTTGAAATCTAACATCAATTCAGTGATGCATCAAGATAAAAGTAGAGACAATAGGGGCACCTTGGTGAGTACTGAACATTTTACTTATTTATTTATTTTGAGATGGAGTTTTGCTCTTTTTGCCCAGGCTAGAGTGCAATGGTGCAACCTCGGCTCACCACAACCTCTGCCTCCTGGGTTCAAGTGATTCTCCTGCCTTGCCCTCCCGAATAGCTGGGATTACAGACATGCGCCACCACGCCCGTCTAATTTTGTATTTTTAGTAGAGACGGGTTTCTCCATGTTGGTCAGGCTGGTCTCGAACTCCCGACCTAGATATCTGCCTGCCTTGGCCTCCCAAAGTGCTGGGATTACAGGTGTAAGCCACCGCGCCCATATGAATTCCAAATTTAACAAAGTAGACTAAGAGAAACAATTCATTTAAAAAAATAATATTTGGCCAGGCATGGCAGCTCACACCTGTAATCCCAGCACTTTGGGAAGCTGAGGTGAGTGGATCAGGAGGTCAGCAGTTCAAGACCAGCCTAGCCAAGATCATGAAACCCCGTCTCTATTAAAAATACAAAAATCAGCCAGGCGTGGTGGCTGGCGCCTGTAATCCCAGCTGCTCAGGAGGCTGAGGCAGAGAACTGCTTGAACCCGGGAGGCAGAGGTTGCAGTGAGCCGAGATTGTGCCACTGCACTCCAGCCTGGGCGACAGAGTGAGACTCCGTCTCAAAAAAAATAAATAAATAATTCAATGAAATCCCTAAGATCCAGGGCTTTGCAATAAATATGTAAATAAATTTCCAATCTCCATACTGAAAGTTTAAAAGAAATGCTAACTAATAATTAAAGAAATACAACTTTTCCTCAGCTTTGCAGCAATCTAGAAACAAAGTGTGTAGACACTACAAAGCACCTTCCAAGGAGAAACGTGTAAGGATGGCATGACTCGCCGGCAGCTCTGGGCTTGTCCACGGTACCCCCATGATGAACAGTAACTCCATTGTGTAAAAGCCCATGAACATAAGATTACAGGACTTTTCCAGTTTAGACATAACATATTTTCTTTCAGACAATTCTTCAATTTGTTTACGTAGATCAGCGATACGATTATTCCATTTCTCTGAAAATCAAGCAAAAGTTGATTCTCAATAATACGTCCCTATGTCAGAGCAGCACTAACATATAATGACTTATTTCATGTATTTTACATTCTAACAGTCCATATCATTTTACTGCTTTCAAAAAAAATTTCCCTTTTTTGGTGGTTCTTAGAATTGGTTTAATGGGAGACTATTAGAGAAGCTGAAAAGCAGGAGGGCAGAAAAGTTCAATCAAATTAAACACAATAACAGGGAGGTCACAACGAGGAGGTCTCCAGGGGTCTTTTAGCAAACTTCCTAAAACACGTCTCAGCTGTGTGAAATAAGACTTTACAGCAGCCAGGTGCAGTGGTGCAGGCTGTAATCCCAGCACTTTGGCAGCAGAGGCAGGCAGATCGCTTTGAGCTCAGGGCAACATAGCCAAAACCCCCCTCCCTAGCCCCACCCCCACCCCGTCCCTACCAAAAATACAAAACAGCAGGGCATGGTGGCAGGCGCCTGTAGTCCCAGCTACTCAGGAGGCTGAGGCAGGAGAATCACTTGAACCCAGGAGGCAGACGTTGCAGTGAGCCAAGACCACGCCACTGCCAGCCTGGATGACAGAGCAAGACTCCACCTCAAAAAAACAAAAACAAAAACACAAGGTTAAGAGGGACCCCAGACCTTACAGATACAAGGTTAAGAGGGACCCCTAAGCAAAAAATGCCAACCCTTTTTCTCCCAATCATTGAAACACCAGGAGGGTGTAATAGTTTTGCAGCCTAGCTGTAGCAGGCTGATGCCCCCAAGATGCCCATATCCTAATCCCGGGAACTGGTGAACATGACCTTATATGGCAAAAGGGGCTTTGCAAATATAATGAAGTTAAGGGTCTTTGGCTTTTGGGGTTGATGTACTCACTCGGATCCTTATAAGAGCAGAGCAGGTGATGGAGAGGGTGGGAGGTGTAGTGACAGAAGCAGGAAACTCCAGTCATTCGAGACGGGCAGCACAAGCTGAGGAGTGCAGGCCACCTCCACGGCCAGGAAACGGATTCTCCCGCAGAGCCTCGGAAGCCACTGACCCTGCTCCCACCTTGACTGAGTAGGACTTACTGTAGAATTCTGGCCTTCAGACCTGTAAGGGAATGCATTTTGGTTGTTTTAAGTCACTAAGTGTGTGGTAATTTGTTGCAGCAGCCACAGGAAACTAGTATTGTAGTGGAGCCCCAAAACCCCCCTGAAGGGGCTGGGCTCAGTGGCTCATGCCTGTAATCCCGGCACTTTGGGAGGCCGAGGAGGGTGGATCACTTGAGGTCAGGAGTTCGAGACCAGCCTGGCCAACATGGCAAAATGCCATCTATACAAAAAATACAAAAATTAGCCGGGCATGGTGGCACATGCCTGTAATCTCAGCTACTCAGGTGGCTGAGACAGGAGAATTGTTTGAACCCGGGGGGCGGAGGTTGCAGTGAACTGAGATTCCACCACTGCACTCCAGCCTGGGTAACAGAGCGACGCTCCATCTCGAAAACAAAACAAAACAAAAAAAACCCACCTGAAGGTTTCCAGTTCTGCCAGCGGTCTCCCACCCAACCCCCAGAAGCAGACATTCCATTGCTGTGGGCCATGGACAGGCAGAAGGAAGTGCCTCCTCATGGCAGAGGCCTACCCAGGAGAAACCCAAGGGAAGGCACTGCCGGGCTGGCCCCTCTCTGCCAAGGCCATATTCTTTTTTTTTTTTTTTTTGAGGCCCAGTTTCACTCTGTCTCCCAGACTGGAGTGCAGGGGCACAATCTCAGCTCACTTCGACCTCTGCCTCCCCAGTTCAAGTGATTTCTCCTGCCTCAGCCTCCTGAGTAGCTGGGATTACAGGAGTGTAGCATGCCTAGCTAATTTTTGTATTTCTAGTAGAGATGGGGTTTTGCCATGTTGCCCAGGCTGGACTCGAACTCCTTGCCTCAAGTAGTCCACCTGTCTCAGCCCCCCAAAGTGCTGGGATTACAGGAGTGAGCCACTGCACCCAGCATTTGCCAAGACCTTTGATGACCGGCTTTTTCCAGGTGATCAGTCCTTGTCTGGTCTGCCTCTGCCCCACTCTTCTTCTCACCTAGTTGGAATCTCTAGCTACTTTTCAGTAGAGGAGAGTGTGTACCCTAATCTCAGCTTGGTTCAGATCTGCATTTAACTCATGGAACCTGGCTGCTCCCCAGGTCCTGAAGAAAAAAAGGGTCTCTCTGTGGGTATGATAAAGGATGGGCCTGTCCCCAGGACCCTGTGAGAGGGAAGCCCAATGTCCCACCAGGTTGGCAGGGCTGGGGAAGGGCAAGTGTTATGGTAGCCCCAAGAAAAAAAAGAGGCAGCAGAGGGAGCAGGCCAGCGCTCACATGGAACTCATGCCACTGCCTGAGTGACGGGAGGGAGGAGTGCATGCCAGTGACATCAGGGGGCAGAGAGGCGCAGTTCCAGGGCGGCTTTCCCCCTCACTTCCTGCCATGTTACTCTGATCGCCTCCAGGTGAGCCTGCCCACTTTGTGCCCAGGGGCCTGTAGAAAACCACAGCTCCCCATGGTTACAGCCCCAGGAGTGGGGCAGAGCAGGGAGGAGTCCTGGACAGAGGAGAGGCAGGGGCAGGAGGGAGTGGGCCTCAAACTCCAGGAGGGGGCCCTTCTCATGGGTCCTGCTTTCTGGCTTCTCCTTCCTTACCCCTGGGCTGATCACTCAGGGAAGAACTGAGACAAAGTTTCTCACCCTCAGGCCCAGGGGGTTTAATTACTGGGCCCTTAGGGAGGTGTGAGCCCCCTGAAAGGATGCAAGGTTTTGTTTTGTTTTGTTTTTTGAGACAGAGTTTTGCTCCTGTTGCCCAGGCTGGAGTGCAGTGGCGTGATCTCACCACACTACAACCTGCGCCTCCCGGGTTCAAGTGATTCTCCTGCCTCAGCCTCCGGAGGAGCTGGGATTACAGGTGGCTCCCACCACGCCTGGCTAATTTTTTGTATTTTTAGTAGAGACAGGGTTTCGCCATGTTGGGCAGGCTGGTCTTGAACTCCTGACCTCAGGTGATCCGACTGGCTCCGCCTCCCAAAGTTCTGGGATTACATGAGCCACTGTGCTTGGCCATGATGAAAGGTTTTGTGTGGAGAGCATGTACATGCCTTTCTGGGAAAACAGTCCACAGCTCTTATTCTCAGCAGGCTTCATGGTCAAAAAAGGTTAGAACTCTTGCTACAGAGCTGTGGAAGCAGCTAGGTGAGGGGCCTGCCAAGGGCACTCTGGGCACTACCTGGGCACTCTCGAGCCCATCATCCCCTCGGCAGGTTGCACTGCTTGGTATTTGCAGAGCTGAGGGGGTGGGGCATGTGGGGACTGTGAAATCACCCTGAGATGACCCACAGTCCTCAGCTGGGAAGTGAGCGGTGCATCTCCTGCAGCATCCTCCGTCCCTAGAGCCATGGGGCCAGGAGAACTGGCCCTTGCAGCAAGTGAAAAGCCTATTATTGACTCCCTCCCTAGCCATGTAGACAGTGAACCAAGACACTCATATCAGGTAAATGCCTTGGTCTCTGTCACCAAGGTGACCAGTAGGGCCTTCCCAGATACAGTGAAGGTCCTCACACCAAGATATGCACCTGGCCACCTGAGGAAAGAGAAAGGACTATCTGAGGGGATGGGGCTGAGCTGGGTGTGGAGTGGTCCTTGTGGGTCTTGGTGAGTGGGAGGGGGAGTAGCATGAGCCGGGCCTCGAGGCAGAAGGACAACCAGGAGACAGCCTGGAAAAAGTGCCAGACCCACAAGGGCTCAAGGCTGGCCAAAGGGGAGGTGGGATAGGCTGCAAAGTCCTGAGGTCTGAAGATTGGCCCTGGCAGGAAGAAACCAGGTAAGGTGGGGTGTTACCTACACCCTCGGGGCCAAATGCAGGTCAGAGCCAGCCAATTACCAGGCCCTTAGGGAGGTGTGAGCCCCTTGAAATGATGCAAGGTTTTTTGTTTTGTTTTGGAGACAGAGTTACGCTCTTGTCGCACAGGCTGGCACCTTTGCCCAGAGCAGGCACCAAGATTTCTGGCTCTGGGTGTGAGCTCAGTCTGGGGAAAAGCCCCAGCCCCCACCAGGACCACCTACCCCCTAGACTACTTCAGGTGCTGAGCCCAAGCCAGGGGCAGGAAGCTAGACTGATGCCTAGGGTAATCCCAACAAAGTCCCTGGTTCCCCGCAGCTATGGGGCTGATGGGGAATTACAGCCCAAACCCCAGATACTGGCTCTCAAACTAACACTGAGCCCTCAGTGCCCACAGGGAGATACAATCAGCGCACTTTCCAGATGGGGAAATGGGCTCAGAGAAGTGCAACAGCCTTGCCCAATGCCCCAGACCAGGGCTCCAGGCCCAGAGTGTTCTTTTGTCACTGTGTCCAGAGGGCAGCAGCTGCTGTGATGTACCCACCTGAGCCTGGCAGCTTTCTCCAACTTTGGAAGCCCAGGAGCATGGCCCCTGTCCACAGATGCACCTGGCATGAGGCGTGCCCAGAGGGACAGAGGCAGCTGAGTTTCGTCTCCTCCACTGGATTGTGAGGGCCTAGAAGGAGACAAGCGTCTGCTTGAGAAGGCAGTGAATAGTGAGCAAACTGAGGCAGTGCCCCTCTGGATGGATCCGCAGTGCCTGGATGGAACGTGGCTCAGACAGAGCTCAGTTCTGCAGGTCCCTGACACATGGAGAGTTCACAGCTACCAAGTGTAGGAGTCTGGATTCAAAGCCAACAGCGTGACTCCAAAGTCCTTGCCCTAGCCCCTGGACCACCCTTGCAGGCCCATCAGATGCCCAGGCCAGCAGCACAGCCGGCCAAGACCAGGGAAACTAGGGGAGCCTCAGAGCACCCCCAGGTATTCCAACCTAATCCTGGTACCCCTGCCTCTCACCACACTTCTTCCTGCTTTAACCTCAACCCCTACACAAAGCCTGGGCCACTTAATGTGGCATCAAACAGATGCCTCAATAAATCAGAGTCTAATCTTGAAAAAAAAAAGACTTAACAGATATACAATTGCACGTTAGAATGCTAAAGACCATAAACATATAAAAACTTAAAGTACATATAAATTCAATATATATCCAATCATTGTGACTATGACACAGTAGAATACTAAAATACTATTTTCAAAATGTATACAAGCTTAATGTTCTATGTATTCAAACTATTTATTCAAAATACAAATCATCAACATAATTTGCCACTAATATTCAGTCCCTTCACAGGACACATGATTCACTGGGAGTTAATAAATTAGCAGCCGGCAGGCAGTGACACACAGCAAAAATGAAAACCAAGAGGTGAAATAGTTCTGAAATAAAGGTTTTAAAGCTAACAGAAATCACTGAATTACTAAGTCATTAGCACTAATTTTGAGCCAACTAACTAATTAATATGAGATGATACAATGTCCTATACTTTGGTAAATACAGACTATGTTTAAACAATGTCTGTAACGTGACTTTCAAAATGCTCCTGGCTTTACAAAGATGTGATTAAGATGTAGTAACACATGCTAAATCATTTCCCCCTGCAGAGCATGTGGTAACTTTCATCAGTCACATTGAGAGTCCAGAAGATAAAGGAAAAGGTTGTGGATTTCGCTGAGAACTTACCAGAGTTGAACTCCCTCATTTTCCGTTCCCCAGCATTGGCGGGTTCTGGGACCGGTGGCTGTGGTGGCTCGTTGGTCTTTGTCTCTTAGAAGGTGGGGAATAATCATCATCTTGAAAAAGAAAAAATGGTCATTACTGAAGGAACCATCTTAGGTTACAGCTACCTCTGGGTCAATTCCCAACATTCAAAAGCTGAGCAGGGCTTTAAAGCTATCTTATTAATAATTATTTCTGTATTGCGAACTTCAGCATACTTTCTTCTAGTTACATTTGAAATGTTATTCTTTTGGGATGTGCTCAAGTGAATACTGCTTTTTCCTCCGTCTTGCTTCATTACTTTTTAGTTTACTTCATTTGAATCATCATTGTAAGTCTCCCCTTCTCCTCAAAAAACTTTCAAATTGCTGCCAAGAACTATGTTCTATTTTAAGGCTTTTGAGAAAAAACTTCCAATGAAGATAGCTACCTAAAGTTATACAAATATAGAAGAAACGGGATAAAATAAAGCTTAGATTGGAAAAAATATTTAAGATTATACAAAATTCAAGCATAAACAAGGGAAGCTGAGTAATTGTATGTTCAAATACTTTTAACAAGTGCAAAACATGTAGGCTTAAAGAAATAGAGCTGGCCAGGCATGGTGGTTCACGCCTGTAATCCCAGCACTTTGGGAGGCCGAGATGGGTGGATCACTTGAGGTCAGAAGTTCAAGACCAGCCTGGCCAACATGGCGAAACCCCGCAATTCCTCAGGGATCTTGAACTAGAAATACCATTTGACCCAGCAATCCCATTACTGGGTATATACCCAAAGGATTATAAATCATGCTGCTATAAAGACACATGCACATGTATGTTTATTGTGGCACTATTCACAATAGCAAAGACTTGGAACCAATCCAAATGTTCAACAATGATAGACTGGATTAAGAAAATGTGGCACATATATACCATGGAACACTATGCAGCCATAAAAAATGATGAGTTCATGTCCTTTGTAGGGACATGGATGAAGCTGGAAACCATCATTCGCAGCAAACTATCGCAAGGACAAAAAAACCAAACACCGCATGTTCTCACTCATAGGTGGGAATTGAACAATGAGAACACATGGACACAGGAAAGGGAACATCACACACCGGGGCCTGTTGTGGGGTGGGGGGAGTGGGGAGGCATAGCATTAGGAGATACACCTAACGTTAAATGACGAGTTGATGGATGCAGCACACCAACATGGCACATGTGTACATATGTAACTAACCTGCATGTTGTACACATATACCCTAAAACTTAAAGTATAAAAAAAAAAAAATACAAAAATTGGCTGGGCATGGTGGCACACGCCTGTAAACCCAGCTACTCAGGAGGCTGAGGCAGGAGAATCGCTTGAATCTGGGAGGCGAAGGCTACAGTGCGCTGAGATCATGCCACTGCACTCCAGCCTGGACGAGACTCAGCCTCAAAAAAAAAAACTTCTAATAGTTACTAATACCTATTAACAGAGGTAAGTGATAATCAACCAATGAATATAATAAACAGGACATCAGCCAGTTAAGTAATCATATACAGGTATATGACAACTTTAATTTTTTAATGCACAAAGCATTAATTATCACATTATTATATACATAAGTTATTCTAAATGCCATCTCTGAAACAAAAATGCAACTATTGTTAATGATTCTAATAGTAATAGGATACTCACTTCAATTGATAGAATGAATATAAGAATTTAGGAGAGCAATACCCCAAATAAATTCAACTAGGACAAGCTGTCTCTGTTCAATATCACACTCAAAGCAATGCACAACAACAAAGCGTATCCCAAATTAACACTCTGGATGCTTGGTCTGGTGTCCACGCAAGGAAAAAATTCTAATTGTCAAATCATGTTCCTAAAAAGCTCTAATTTTAAATATTTTCATCTCAAGTAAGGAATAAGAAGCCACACAATGACACACATTGAGTATCTTGGGATACAGAGTTTAGACCAACATTATTCACTGACCTTTTCTATAAGGAGTTTCTTGCTCATTGTCACACATCTATTTAATTGTTCCTTGTATTTCTCTAGCATCTTTTGCTGTTCATCAATCTGCCGTCTCAAATCACAGTTGGCCTTCAATGAGAAAAAAATTTTTAATTAGCTCCAAGGAAGAAGATTAATGGAAAAGCAGTTTCTAGGGAGAGAAAAAAAAAATCATTTCTATATGTTGTTTTATCAAAAGCAAAATTAAAGTTCAAACAGGTAAGAAGTAACTATGTCTTAGAAAAAGTAAATAATTCATTCCTTTATTCTCTCATAACATATCATCTATTTATAAATGATAAACTGAATTACTAACTTGGGCATCTTTTTCTACTGATCATATTTTGCTCCTGCCAATAACCAGTTACAGCTACTCTTGTCATCACAAACACCTAAGCTATCACAAAATAATAATTTAAAAAATGTTAAAGCTGGGAATCGTGGTTCATGCGTGCAATCCTAGCACTTTGGGAGGCCAAAGCAGGCAGATGACTTGAGGTCGGGAGTTCAAGACCAGCCTGGCCTGCGTGGTCAAACCCCATCTCTACTAAATATAAAAAAATTAGCCACACGTGGTGGCGGGAGCCTGTAATTCCAGCTACTCAGGAGGCTGAGGCGGGAGAATCGCTTGAACCCAAAGGCGAGGGTTGTAGTGAGCCAAGATCACGCCACCGCACTCCAGCCTAGGTGACAGAGTGAGACTTCATCTCAAAAAATAAAATAATAAAAAAATAAACTACAATGAATGTTTAAAATACAAAGAGTGATTAAGCACATACAAAAAAATTACTGAATTTTATGTTTGCTTTGTTCTTTTTCTAGTGGTATTTAAGAAAGATAAATTTGCATAAATGTTCCTCACCAGAGAAGCCAGGCACGCCCATGCCCACAAAAGACAGAACAAACAAACAAGGTCCTGGTTCAAGAATGCCAGAATGTAAATACACAGCTAATTTAGCTGTGGTCAGAAGCCTACAGTGTGGACTAAAAACTTGAAGCCTCCTGCAATAACAGAGAAGGAAAGAACCACTAACCCAAGGACGAATTTGACTAGCAAGTCCTGAATTTAGTCCTTTTGTGTTAAAAAAAAAAAAAAAAAAAAGATCTCAGCTCTTCTAGCAAATAATGTTACCTCATAAAAACTCACTTAAATTATGAAAAAGAAAAACCTGTTAGGTGTTTCTAAAATACTAAAAACCACAAACAGAAGATATCACACGATACTCAATTTTTGAGACTTTGTAGCTTCATTAAAAATTTTTATCATTTCTTTTGTATAATATAGCATCATTTTTAAAGTAACCCATGAGAAACAGCTTCTGTCTCCAAATGTTTCTCCTCTCCCCATAGCATAATGTCTTCCTGTTAGTTTTTGTACAGAACCATATTATCAAAGGCAGAGTGTAACTACATTTGGGTAAGTGTGATTACCAAATTCATACTAAAGAATCTACCAAGCAAAGATCATTTAATGTTTATGGAAAACCCAGTCTACTCATAAGGTGAGTGTTCCCTTGAAATCTATAATCAAATGTATGAAATCAATCAACCTCTTGGCAGTTATTTAAAATTTTAAGAATTCTAAGTTTTTGTGGCTTCTGACGCTAATGTCTTCGAGGAGTTCATGTTTAAAGTAACAGCTGGTGGCTGGTGCGCGTGGATCATGCCTATAATCCCAGCACTCTGGGAGGCCGAGGCAGGAGCATCACTTGAGCCCAGGAGTTCAAGACCAGCCTCGGCAACATGGCAAAACCTTGTCTCTATAAAATTTTGAAAATTAGCCGTGTGTGGTGGCATGCGCCTCTGATGCCAGCTGTTCGGGAGGCTGAGGATTGCTTGAGCCTGGGAGGTCGAGGCTGCAGTGAGCTGTGATTGCACCACAGCACTCCAGCCTGGGAGACAGAGCAAGACACTGTGTCCTTTTTTTTAAATTAAAAAAAAAAAGAAAAAAAAAAGCAGATGGCTAGTAGCCCCCAATGCAGCCATACCCAACATCTTACTAAAATGGCAAAATTCAATGAATGATGTCTGAAAGAATATACAAGACATGCAGTCTTTCCCTCACTATTGATCCTCTAGATCTTCTAGAAGCACAAGTTCTAATCAACCTAAAAACAAGGCAGCTGCCCTCGGTGTCTTCCTTTTTTATTTATCTACTCCTTTAGTACTGCTCTACATACAAATAAAGACTGCAACAGTCTGAAGACGACAGAGTAGAAGGGGCAGTGGTGAGTGAAGGAAACATATTGCTTCTTAGAAAACATAAGCAAACATTTTTTTAAAACTCCTAAAGCAGTACCAGGTTAGGATTCAAGTTTTTCTCATACTCTGTCATCTCAATCTTAAAGAGTCAGATGATGGAGAAAGGCACGCCCACAATTATTTCTCAGTACAGCAGAGCTTCTCTGTACAAAACCCTGACAGATACTGGAATTTGGCAAGGAGCTTTTTACACCCACAAACCATTTCATTATAAATCTTTGATGGCAATTCAACCAGCACCCAAATGAATAAAAACAGGAATAAGAGCAACTCCATGCAAGTATACATATCCGAACAATGAAAAATACAACACAGTGCTGAGACTACATATGGGTCTCCTCATTCAAAGATGGAGAAAAGGAAATAAAAATAACAATAGTAAATAAAAACAACAACAACAAAAATAGGCCCAAGGAATACAGAAAATCAGCTTGAAAACAATGAAAATTATCACCCACAGAAATCAAAAGAACATTTTAGAATACTTCTTGTCATATTTCATAAAATGCAAAAAGACATGATATCTAGGAAATAGGAACCAAAAACCCTAGAGAATATACAGGATGGGGTAAGAAAGTATATTAGATGAGGGAAAAAAGCAGGGAAATTTAAAATGTAAATAATAGGCCTGTCACGGTGACTCACGTCTGTTATCCCAGTACTTTGGGAGGCCAAGGTAGGAGGATTGCTTGAACCCAAGAGTTCAAGACCAGCCTGGGCAACATAGTGAGACCCTGTTCCTACAAAAAATAAAAAAATTAGCCAAGCACAGTGGCACATGCCTGTAGTCCCAGCTATTCAGGAGGCTGAAGTGAGAGGACTACTTGAGCCTGGGAGATGAAGGCTGCAGTGAGCCATGACGGTGCCACTGCACCCAGCCTGGGCGACAGCAAGACACTGTCTCAAAAAATAAAAATGTAAACAATAAAATCAAAATTCACATGAGCTGCAGTAAATGCCAGAAATATATGGAAGACAGTGTTTAATGAGACTCAGAAGAAAGGGGCAATCATATTAAAATGAGACATAACATGTTAGAAATAAAGGAGAGAAATCAGAGATTCAAGCTAAGAGTCAAGAAGAAACCAATATAAACAGGGATAAAAGCATAGTTAGACATAATCACACATTTTCCAAATAAAAATATATAAACCCACATATAGATACACCCTGGGGTAATATTTAACAAATTATGGTGTTTGCTGCTTTGGTCATGAACCTCTCTGAAATACAAAATGCTTGAAAAACTGAAGGAGAAACAGAGAGAGAGAATGTGTGTTATATTTGAGAAGCAGAACAAACAGAACAAGGGGTTATGACACAAAAATCCTGCACACAGTGTTGTCTTTCCATGGGAGGGCAAAAGAGAGAATTCTCAGGTCTGCAAGGCAGAGAAAATTTAACACTGACAAATCCTTGCTGAAAAATAATCACTTAAAAATGTACCACCATCAACAGATAAAACAAGAACTATAAATAAAAAAAAATACTGTTGATAAGCCTTGAAATCAGTTGAATAAACCAGTCTAACAATGACTATGAATTTGGTCATAAAGCTGCCTCTGCCTATACTCTATACATAAGAACTTAGTGTCATATATAGCAGTAAAAATGGTAATTTAAT
Source organism: Homo sapiens (assembly GCF_000001405.40). Classification (NCBI taxonomy): domain Eukaryota; kingdom Metazoa; phylum Chordata; class Mammalia; order Primates; family Hominidae; genus Homo; species Homo sapiens. The sequence goes on along the minus strand of NC_000007.14, from coordinate 128,612,063 downwards.
AATAATAATATAGGCCGAGCGCAGTGACTCACGCCTGCAATCCCAGCACTTTGGCAGACCAAGGCAGGCTGATCACTGCAGGTCAGGAGTTCGAGACCAGCGTGGCCAATGTGGCAAAAACCCATCTCTATTAAAAATACAAAAATTAGCCAGGCATTGTGGTGCATGCCTGTAATCCCAGCTACTTGGGAGGCAGAGGCAGGAGAATCACTTGAACCTGGGTGACAAAGTGAGACTCTGTCTCAAAAAATTAATTGATTAATAATATAAACAGCCAAATGTAGTGGCACATGCCTATAGTCCCAGCTACTTGGGAGGCCGAGGTGGGAGGATCACATCGGGTGGGGACTGGGGAGGGCACAGCTTGCAAGACTGCGCCACCGCACTCCAGCCTGGGTGACAGAGTGAGATCCTGTCTCAAAATAAATATATAAAATTAATAATAATAGCTGGACGCGGTGGCTCACGCCTGTAATCCCAGCACTTTGGGAGGCCGAGGTGGGTGGATCACAAGGTCAGGGGTTCGAGACCAGCCTGACCAACATGGTGAAACACCATCTCTACTAAAAATGCAAAAATTAGCTGGGCATGGTGGCGGGCACCTGTAATCCCAGCTACTCAGGAGGCTGAGGTAGGAGAATTGCTTGACCCTGGGAGGCGGAGGTTGCAGTGAGCTGAGATCACGCCACTGCACTTCAGTCTGGGCAACAGAGCAAGACTCTGTCTCAAAAAAAAAAAAATTAATAATAATATAAACACACCAGACTTTACTAATAAAGGCCAGACTTAGTTTAGCTATGTGCTGAATTCCAGGTTTTATATAAAAAGGAGTCAAAATACACTATTTTACCTTATGTTTTTATTAAGTACAGAAATATAATACAAGTAAAAAAATTTTGGAGGTCAGATCATCATGAGTACAGTGACTTTTATAATCTGTATTATTAAACATATATTCAAACAAAATTGTACCCAAAGCCTAATAAGAAAGACTGACAAAGGCAAGGTTGCCGATCCCCATCTTGCTGTGTCACAGTAGCCCTGGAGGTTTCAGGACCCTGAAGAGTCAGATTAACTACCACATTAGCAGAAATAAGGATCAAACCTATACCTTCTAAATCACTAGAGAAGAGAAAAATGCTAGCCAATGTTATTCGTAAATCAGTAACATTTATGTATATATTCATTTGTGTGTGTGTGTGTATATATATATATACACACACATATCTACTTCAAACAGCTCAAAATTACTGAAAAAAAAAATGTACCAAATGTTTAATCCCAATTAATGGAATTATGAGTGACATATTTTTCTGTATTTTGTAAAGAGCATGTATAATGGTTTTTTTTTTTTGAGACAGGGTCTTGCTCTGTTGTCCAGGCTGGAGCGCAGCAGCGTGAACTTGGCTCACTGTAGCCTAGAGGTCCTGGGCTCAAGCATCTTCCCACCTCAGGCTCCCAGTAGCTGGGACCACAGACACACCACCATGCCTGGCAAATTTTGTATTCTTTTATAGAAATGGGGTCTTGCTGTGTCATGCATGCTGGTCTCAAACTCCTGATCTCAAGCAATCCTCCTGCCTCAGCCTCCCAAAGTGGCAGGTATGGGCCACCATGCCCGGTCCTTTTTACTTTCTTATTTTTTTCTTGACACGAAGTATCACTCTGTCGCCCAGGCTGGAATGCAGTGGCGCAATCTCGGCTCACTGCAACCTCCGCCTCCCAGGCTCAAGCAATTCCCCTGTCTCAGCCTCCCAAGTAGCTGGGACTACAGCCGCTTGCCACCACACCAGGATAATGTTTTATATTTTTTTAGTAGAGACAGGGTTTCTTTTCAACATGTTGGCCAGGGTGGTCTCAAACTCCTGACCTCAAGTGATCCACCTGCGTTGGCCTCCCAAAGTGCTGGGATTACAGGTGTGAACCACCATGTCCGGCCCTTTTTACTCTTTAAAAACTATGAGTCAGTCATGCCAAATTGCATGTTCAAAATATATTGATAAAGTATTTTCTAGTGATATCTATTTAATTCCAGATGAAGCATTTTAAAGGTTTCTTTTGTAAGCACAAAAAAGTTTGGGTGAGTAGGTTATAAAAGGTACAAAAAGCAAAATGGGCTAAAAAGTCCTTTGAAATAGCTTATAAAATTCAACAATATTAAAATAATTTCTCTGGAATGGGAAAACAACACTTTATACTTATTCCCACAGTTCTAGATGAAATATAACACTCCACATATCTATTTCTCCAATATAAATTCAATCATTAAAATACTACAGTATAAGATTTCCAATTTAAAGGTAGTGTTTAGAATGCAGGAACCTGGTTCCTACTCAGATTCCCTCAATTAAAGAAAAATACCCAAATGTTTATTATTTCATTGTTATTTGGCTATAGTAATTACTTCTATGATATGTACATAATCCAAATATATATAACAAATGGTGCTTGCTATAAAATATCTTACCAAATTTTAATACTTACTCTTAATAAATCATCTATTCTTCCCTCCCTCTTCTCTAGGTCAGAATTCTTACTGTTTTCTAGTGCAGATATTTTTTCTATTGTGAGGTTGGACTACAGAGACAAAGGTAAAACAAATTTAGGATTAGTCTCAACATGTTATATGTCATCACACTCTTCTCGTTACCTTTCTTGGGGGGAAAAAAAAGCACTTGCTCACACAAATGGCCTAGAATCACATGGCTTAAGAAATGAAATCTGCTTGTCTCATCTCATTGTTCAAGTCCTCTGCTGGGTTCCTTACGTCCCACTACACCTACACTTCAAATACATGTTAATTCTGGAATCAAATGTATGAATTCTCACTACTGTGCACTGAACAATGTAGAAACACGTTACTCCAGAAATGAAACTAACTTTGAATAGAAAACGATCTCACAGGAGACTTGACACAACTCTCTAAGGAACAAATGCGCCATCTGGTGGAAACAGAGAGCAATCAGAAGGGAAGAGAAGAAGCTACCTGAGTGCTCAACTATCTAACTGAACTGTACAAGAGCTGGTGATTTAGATAAAATTCAAATGTGCTCCAGGGAGTTGTATACCTCTTGAGATTTAAGAAATTCTCCTAGATTGCCAACGATCCTGTCTTGAAGATAATATATACAGTATCAAAAGAGGCTTCAAGAAAACCCAGTATACTCAAAACTACAAAATGGAAGCTATAGCCACCATCCTTTGCAGATACAATCCTCAAATGTTCAGAACACTCCCTAAATTAAAGAGTTTCTGAACACAATTTAAGGAGTAAACCATGTTGGTATCTCACATCTGAGAGAAGTTTAGCCAGGTATAAATAAGTAAGCAGGAAAAGGAATACATTAACTACTTTCATAAATTAGGGAATTAACATTTATTGAAAGCCTACTACAAGTACACTACTAATAAACATTTCGTATACACTGTCTGAGATCATGAGAATCAACCACATTTTCACAGATGATTTGTACTAAGAAAAACTGAGGCCCAGGCCAGAATCTGAACTTAGGCCACAGTGCCAGAATCTGAACTTAGAGGCCTTCAAAGTGTAGGTACTTTTCTTCTGTGGAATACTGTAGGAAAAAAAAAAAAAAGTGTGCACTTTCCTTAACACCATGCTTTAGCATAAGCATTTCTGCTACAATACACCAGAAGAGTAAAGAAAAGCCTCAAAAAGTTAAAGCACCTTCCAAAGGACTTTAAATACCCATAATGCAAGTTCTGAATATAATACACACAAATAATGAGGTGGTCAGAGAAGTCAGAGAAGAATGACAGACTACACAGGTTAGCCCTTATTCCTACACAGCAGGTATCCCCCTCAATTGATTATCGATCACCAACCTACCTGGGTCTGTCTGTGCTGGATGGAGATCTGTTTTTGGGAGCTGCAGGAATGCTCTGTGTTGCCAGATCCCGTAGATGAGGGACTGTTTTGCTGAGCCTACAATAAAGGTGCATTACCAATCACAGGAAAGTTTGGCATCTTTTTCCACAAACACTTGTATTAATGCAAACAACTCCATAATTTGTATCTCCACAATACAAACCCCTTCTTATGAAAGTGAGAAGTCAGGGCCACGTGGCCAAGAAGAAAGTAAAACAATTCAAATATGAGACAAAGGGCTAGACATGGTGGTTTATACCAAGTTCCTGTAAACAGGTTTAAAGTATCAAATGCTTACAAATGAATTTTTAAAATATGAAAATTAGAGAAAATGAAAAGTTATTCCTGTAATAACTTGCCTTTTTCACTTGTATTTTCATATGCTTTAGTCAGAAAAGGCTAGTGAAGCATCCAATGCACAAGGGGATGCACGTAAAGGACTGTGAAACACTATTCAGAATAGTCTCCTAAACACACAAACATTATCCATGAACACACAGCGGTCTAAAATCCAGGTTGATTTCTAATACTGTCACTTGCTGACTGGGCATTCTAAGGCATTTTAAATTTATATGGTTTAGGTTCCATAATATAATTAACCTATTCAGGTTATTAACCTATTCAGGTTAATTATATTATATTCTCAATAGTACTTTTTTTTTTTTTTTGAGACAGAGTCTCGCTCTGTCACCCAGGCTGGAGTGCAGTGGCGCGATCTGGGCTCACTGCAAGCTCTGCCTCCCGGGTTTATGCCATTCTCCTGCCTCAGCCTCCCAAGTAGCTGGGATTACAGGCACCCGCCACCATGCCTGGCTAATTTTTTGTATGTTTAGTGGAGACGGGGTTTCACTGTGTTAGCCAGGATGGTCTTGATCTCCTGACCTCATGATCCGCCCGCCTCGGCCTCCCAAAGTGCTGGGATTACAGGCGTGAGCCACCACGCCTAGCCTAATAGTACTTTTTAAAACAAGGTAAAACTGCAGCTAACAAAGTATGACCCATCACAGACGTAAGTAGAAAATATTCAATATTCTGAGGATCATGGAATAGTAAAAATACAGTACGACTATCTCATCAGAGAATACAGCATTTCCACAAGTGAATTTCTTCTGATACTTTCTACATATTCTTTTGATTACTGTTCTTACTCATTATTAACAATGGTATAACCACCATCTATTCAACAAGTTACTGTAACCTAAATGTTTCACTGTCATTGTCACAGGTTAATTCTTACAAAATCCTATAAGGAGGCTGGGTCAGGTGGCTCACCTGTAATCCTAGCACTTTGGGAGGCTAAATCAGGTGGATCACTTGAGGCCAGAAGCTTGAGACCAGCCTGGCCAACATGGCAAAACCCCATCTTACTAAAAATACAAAAATTAGCTAGGCACGGTGGTGCACACCTGTAATCCCAGCTCCTCAGGAGGCTGAGGCAGGAGAATTGCTTGAGCCTGGGAGGCGGAGGTTGCAGTGAGACGAGATCACACCACTGCACTCCAGCCTGGGTGACAGAGCCAAGACTCTGTCCTATAAGGTGGTTGTAATTATTAGTTCCATTTTACAGATAAATAAAATAAAAATCAGAGATATTAAGTACCTATGTGGGTTCACAGAGCTAGTGGGTGGGGTGACAAGAACTGTGGGTTGTGTCCACAATAACTGCTCTCAATGACCACAGTAGACTGTTACCACCAACCTGTGAGCAAACTAGCACTTCCTACACACGATTTCATTGAAGGCTCACAACAGCCTTATCAGATAGGCAGCATTATTAACGCCATTTTAATGTATCCATTCAATGACTATTTATTAAGTACTCCCTATGTCTAAGCACTGTGCTAGGTGCTAGGTGCACATGGCCAGGAGAAACCACAGACTCAGTCCTTACTCTGCCTTAATGAAGCTTACAATCCAAAAGAAGATTTACTAAACACTTGGTAAATATTTGTTGAAAGAAACTGTTGAATAAACAATCATATAATAAATACACAATCACAATTAGGAGAAGTGCTAAAAGAGCATATAACAAGGCACATAACCTAATTTAGAGGGTCAGGGATAAACCTTTAAAAAGTTTATGATTTGAGGCTGAGCACAGTGGCTCATGCCTGTAATCCTAGCACTTTGGGAGGCCGAGGCGGGTGGATGACCTGAGGTCAGGAATTCAAGACCAGCCTGGCCAACATGGTGAAATCCCATCTCTACTGGAAATACAAAAAATTAGCCAGGCACAGTGGTGCACGCCTGTAATCCCGGCTACTGGGGAGGCTGAGGCAGGAGAATCGCTTGAACCTGGGAAGCGGAGCTTGCAGTGAGCCAAGATTGTGTCACTTCACTCCAGCCTGGGCAACAGAGCGAGACTTTGTCTCAAAAAAAAAAAAAAAAAAAAAGTTTATCATTTGAGGCTGGGTGCGGTGGCTCAGGCGTATAATCCCAGCACTTTGGGAGGCTGAGGCAGGTGGATCAGCTAAGGTCAGAAGTTGAAGACCAGCCTGGCCAACATGGTGAAATCTCATCTCTACTAAAAAAAAAAAAAAAAAAAACAATACAAAACAAAAAAAATTAGCCGGGCATGGTGGTGGGCGCCTGTAATCCCAGCTACTTAGGAGGCTGGGGCAGGAGAATCGCTTCAGCCTGGGAGGTGGAGGTTGCGATGAGCTGAGATCACACCACTGCACTCCAGCCTGGGTGACAGAGCAAGACTCCATCTTGCGGTGGGGGTCTCGGGGGGAGTGCCAAGTCTATATAATTCCAAATAACTAAAAATGTTCTCTACTCTAGGATGCAGCAAATCCAATCTTTCCTTACTAATTAAGGGTCATCATTATGAACCTCAAGTATTATAATGCACTAGGATACGAGCATTCTTTCCTTCAGTTATCATTTGATTGCTTTTACAATCCTCTCCTTTTACAATGTGTTTCTATTTTTTTATTTTTTATTTTTACTTTTTTTTTTTTTTGAGATGGAGTCTTGCTCTGTTGCTCAGGCTGGAGTGCAGTGGCACGATCTCGGCTCACTGCAAGCTCTGCCTCCCAGGTTCACACCATCTCCTGACTCAGCCTCCTGAGTAGCTGGGACTACAGGCGCCCGCCACCACTCCCGGCTAATTTTTTGAATTTTTTTTTTTAGTAGAGATGGTGTTTTCACCGTGTTAGCCAGGATGGTCTCGATCTCCTGACCTCATGATCCGCCCACCTCAGCCTCCCAAAGTGCTGGGATTACAGGCGTGAGCCACCACGCCCGGCCCTACAATGTGTTTCTATACAAATGACTGTCTGAACTATATTTATAATAAGAGCCAATAAGAATCAAATGATTAGACTGGGTGCAGTGGCTCACGACTGTAATCCCAGCACTTTGGGAGGCTAAGGTGGGCGGATCATGAGGTCAGGAGTTCAAGACCAGCCTGGCCAACATGGTGAAACCCCGTCTCTACTAAACATACAAAAAAAATAATCTGGGCGTGGGGGCAGGTACCTATAATCCCAGCTACTCGGGAGGCTGAGGCAGGAGAATTGCTTTAACCCAGGAGGCAGAGGTTGCAGTGAGCAGAGATCATGCCACCGCACTCCAGCCTGGGTGACAGAGCAAGACTCCGTCTCAAAAAATAAAAAATAAAAAAAATAAAAAAAAGAATCAAATGATTAAAAAACACTTCTACAGATTTCTAGATATATGGTATATTGGTTTAAATATGCTTATATCTGATTCTAAGTTTTCTTCCAGCAAACTGAGGGTGTTAGAAAGTGATTTAGTGAGATATTTCTAAATTAAAGCTCACATAGGGCCGGGTGCAGTGGCTCATGCCTGTAATCCTGTCACTTTGGGAGGCCAGGGCAGGCAGATCACGAGGTCAGGAGTTCAAGACCAGCCTGGCCAATATGGTGAAACCTCATCTCTACTAAAAATATAAAAAATTAGCCAGGTGTGGTGGTGCATGCCTGTAGTCCCAGCTACTTGGGAGGCTGAGGCAGGAGAATCGCTTGAACCTGGAAGGCAGAGGATGCAGTGAGTCGAGATCGTACCACTGCACTCCAGCCTGGATGACAGAGTGAGACTCTGACTCAAAAAAAATAAAAATAAAAATAAAAAAGACACACACACACACACACACACACACACATATATATATGGCCCAATGATAAGTAAAATGCAAAAGTAAACTGAGGAAGTAGGCAGTTAGGAAGTTCAAAGTGTGTGCACTTAATTTCCGTGGAATACCATAAACAAAAAACAGTGTGCGCACTTTCCTTAACACCATGCTGCAGTATAAGCATTTCTACTCCAATACACTAGAAGGGTAAAGAAAAGCCTCAAAAACTTAAAGCACGTTCCAAAGGACTTTAATTACCCATAATGCAAGTTCTGAATATAATACAAACAATGAGATACCAACAGAGAAATAGAGAAGACAAAGGGGAATCATAGACTATCTAAGGTTAGCATTTATTCCTATGCAGCAAATATACCCCTCCACTGGTTATTGATCATCAGCCTACCCGGGTCTGTCTGTGCTGGATAGAGATTTGCTTTTGGGAGTTGTAGGAATGGCTCTGTGTTGCCAGATCCCATAGAAGAGGGATCTAAAAGGCCCTTTACAGATTTCTTGATATATGGTATATGGGTTTAAATATGCTTATTTCTGATTCTAAGTTGTCTTCCAGCAAACTAAGGGCCCTTTACAGATTTCTTGATATATGGTATATGGGTTTAAATATGCTTATTTCTGATTCTAAGTTGTCTTCCAGCAAACTAAGGGTGTTAGAAAGTGATTCAGTGTGATGTTTCCAAATTAAAGCTTTCTGTAAAAATACACATATAAATAGCTCATTGATAAGTAAAAATGCAAAAGTTAACTGAGGACGTAGGCAGTTAGGAAATTCCTTAGTCGGGAAGCAGAAAATCCTCATGAAAATGAAAACAATGTTTTCAAAAGGTAAAAGGTACTACACAATATAGGGATCTCATGTGACAATGCTCAGATCCGTTAGAGAAAAAAATGCTGTAACTGATCATTCATTCAACATTAAATGTGACCCTCTGTGCCTGGTCCTGTGTTAAAATCTAGAAATGCAAAACTGGAAAACAAAGAGACTATGTTACCAAAAAGAAAAAAAAAAAATCCATGCCAACAACCTATACTAATCACTCTAATCCCTCATTCCGCTAAGCTAAATACATTTTCAAGACAACCCCAACAGCACAAAAGGAAAAATCCAAGACAAAAAAACAATACCTACTCATAAGAGTTAACAGATAATTCAATAAACAACTTTAAAACTAAAGTATCAGTTTAGCACTTGATTTTCAATATTTTATAGTATGAAATGACAAACTGCTTTGGTTCATTTCATAAACTGAAACTCTGCATTTAGATAACTGTATTAAAGGTTCTTAAGATGAAAAAAATAAAATAGGTCCAGAGAGGATCAAAAAGATACTGTAGCTACAAAAATTAAAAAAGTAAAGAACACGAATAATCAAATTGACAAAATATGATTATCAAAGTTTAAAAATTTAATAGGTGGGTTAAATATCAAAATGGACACAGCTGAATACACAGCCAGTAACCTAAAAGAGAATGTCAAGAAAATCTCCCAGAAGAGGCCAGGTGCAGTGTCTCACGCCTGTAATCCCAGCACTTTGGGAGGCGAGACGGGTGGATCACCTGAGGTCAGGAGTTCGAGACCAGCCTGGCCAATACGGTGAAACGCCGTCTCTACTAAAAATGTTTTTAAAAATTAGCTGGGTGTGGTGGTATGTGCCTATAGTCCCAGTTACTCAGGAGGCTGAGGCAGAAGAATCACTTGAACCTGGGTGGCAGAGGTTGCAGTGAGCCAAGATCGCGCCACTGCACTCCAGCCTGGGTGACAGGGCGAGACTCAGTCTCAAAAAAAAAAAAGAAAGAAAAGAAAATAAGAAAATCTCCCAGAAGATAAAACAAAAGGTTAAATGGAGCACAAAAGAAAAGAAACATGAATAGCACAGAGACCCTGAAACTATCTAATGGCTTTCTAGAGAAAAGAACAGAGGAAATGAAATAATCAAAGAAACAGTAAAACAAAATTTCTCTGAAATAAAAAACTCTTTTCATTATGTAAAAAAAAAAAAAAAAAAAACAATCAACAAACTCAGAATAGGGAACTTTCTCAGCCGGGTGCAGTGGCTCATGCCTATAATCGCAGTACTTTGGGAGGCCAAGGTGAGCTGATAGCTTGAGCTCAGGAGTTCCAGACCAGCCTGGCCAAAATGGCAAAACCCTGTCTCTACAAAAGAAATCAGGGCATGGTGTGGTGGCTCATGCCTGTAATCCCAGCATTCTGGGAGGCCAAGGCGGGCAGATCACTTGAGGTCAGGAGTTCAAGACCAGCCTGGCCAACATGGTAAAACTCCGTCTCTACTAAAGATACAAAAATTAGCCAGGCACAGTGGTGTGCACCTGTAATCCTAGCTACTCAGAAGGCTGAGGCAGGAGAATTGCTTAATCCGGGAAGCAGAGGTTGCACTGAACCGAGATCCATGCCACTGCACTCCAGCCTCAGTGACAAAGGAAGACTTTGCTCAACAAACAAACAAACAAACAAACAAAAAATCAGCCGGGTGTGGTGGCATACACCTATAGTCCCAGCTATTTGGGGAGGCTGAGGTGGGAGGATGGCTTGAGCCCAAGCAGTTGAGGCTGTAGTGAGCCACAATTAGGCCACTGCACTCCAACAGCCTGGGTGACAAAATGAGACCCTGTCTTTAAAAAACAACAAAACAAAACAAAAAAAAAAAAAAAAAAAGAGAGGAACTTTCTTAACCTAAAAAATGACCACCTCTAAAAAGCATACAGTAAACATACTTTTTCTCTTTTTTTTGAGACAGTCTCTCGCGCTGTCACCCAGGCTGGAGTGCAGTGGCACAATCTCAGTTCACTGCAACCTCCATCTCCTGGGTTCAAGCAATTCTCCTGCCTCAGCCTCCCAAATAACTGGGATTACAGGTGCACACCACCATGCCTGGCTAATGTAATATTTATTTTTAAAGACCTCATATTTTCCTTTAAAAATCATGAACAAGAAAGACAAGGATGTCCCAGAAAAACTGGATGATACCTTTTTAACTTTAGCTAATATGTTTACACACAGAATTTTCTTTACAATTAACGTTTTAAAACTTGCTTAAACCTTTAAAACAATCCCAGCACTTTGGGAAGCTGAGGTGAGTGAATCACAAGATCAGGAGTTCGAGACCAGCCTGGTCAACATGGTGAAACCCCATCTCTACTAAAAATACAAAAAATTAGTTGGGCGTAGTGGCAGGCACCTATAATCCCAGCTACTCGGGAGGCTGAGGCAGGAGAATCGCTTGAACCCGGGAGGTGGAGGTTGCAGTGAGCTGAGATCACACCACTGCACTCCAGCCTAGGTGAAAGAGCAAGACTCCATCATGATAGATCAACATACAAAAATCAGTTGTATTTCTATACTCTAGCAGCGAGCAATCTGAAAATAAAACTAAGAAAACTATTCCATTTGCAATAGTGTAAAAAGAATAAATACTTAGGAATAATTTTAACAAAAGAAATATAGGACTATATATTGCAAGTTGCAAAACATTGTTGAAAGAAATCAAAGGGTCCTAAATAGATATTTTGTGTTCATGGATTGAAAGACTTAATACTGTTAAAAAGGCAATACTTCTCAAATTGATCTATGGATTCAACACAATTGCTATCAAATCCTATCTGGTTTATTTATAGAAACTGAAAGGATGATCTTAAAAATCACAGGGAAATGCAACAGATCCCAAACAGCCAATACAATCTTGAAACCCAACAAAGTTGGAAGGTTCGCACTTCCCAATTTCAAGACTTATTACAAAGCTACAGTTATTCAGACAGTGTGGTCCTGGCATAAAGACAGGTGATATGGTTTTTTCTGTGTCCCCACCCAAATCTCATGTCGAATTGTACTCCTCATATATCAGGGGAAGGGTCTGGTGGGAGCTGATTGGATCATGAGGGCATATTTCCCCCTTGCTGTTCTCATGATAGTGAGTGAGTTCTCACGAGATCTGATGGTTTAAAACTGCATGGCACTTTCCCCTTCACTCTCTCACTCTCTTTCCTGAGAAGAAGGTGCTTGCTTCTCCTTCACCTTCTCCCATGATTGTAAGTTTCCTGAGGCCTCCCAGTCATGCTTCCTGTTAAGCCTGCAGAACTATGAGTTAATTAAACTTCTTTTCTTCATAAATTACCCAGTCTCAGGTAGTTCTTTGTAGCAGTGTGAGAATGGGCTAATATAACAAACATATAGATGGAGCAGGATTTAGAGTCCATAAATAAACCTCTTGCTGTAAGTCAGTTCATTTTTGAAAATGGTGCCGACAGTTCAATGGTTAAAGCACAGTATTTTCAACAAATGGTGCTGGGACAATAGGATATACACAGGCAAAAAAAATGAAGTTGGAACTCCTTCCTCTACCACACACAAAAATTAACACAAGATGGAAAAAAGACCTAAATGTAAGAGCTAAAAGTATAAAACACATAGAAGAAAATATAAGAGTAAATTTTCTTGACTTTAGGTTAGGTAAAGCCTTGGCTACAACACTAAAAGCATAAGCAACAAAAGAAAAAAAACAGATAAATTGAACTTTTCTCAAAATTAAAAACTTCTGTGCTTCACAGGACACCATCAAGAAGTAAACTGACCACCCACAGAATAGAAAACCTCTGCCAATCATATAGTTGACAAAGATCTAATATTCAGAATATATAAAGAATGCTTAGAAATTAACAATAAAGGCAACACTATTTAAAAATGTGTAAAGGATTTGAATAGTGATCTCTCCAAAGAAGATGCACAAAAGCCCAATTAGCAAATGAAAAAATGTGCAACATCACCAGTTTTTTGGGGAATGCAAATCAAAACCACAATGAGATGCCACTTTACACCCACTAGGATGGCTATAATGAAAAAGAGAGACAATAGCAAGTACTGACAAGGACATGGAGAAATTGGAATGTACTGCTGCGGGGAATGTAAAACGGTGCAGCTGCTGTGGAAGAGTCTGGCAGTTCCTCAAAAACAGTTACCATATGACCTGGCAATTTCACTCTCCAGCATATATCCAAAAGAAACTAAAACGTATGTCTACACAAAGTCTTATACATGAATGTTCATAGCAACATCATTCATAATAGCCAAGAAGTGGAAACAACCTAAATGTCCGTCGACTGGTAAAAGGGTAAAGCCGTGACCAACTGGCACCAAAAAAGAATGATTCTATTTACTGATGTACACCCATGAAAATCCATGAAGCCATGATAATCAAAGAAGAGAAAGCTATTTGTCACCATTTGGCACAGCGATCGAACAACTCCCTACTTTAAAAGTTAAAAAAAAATGTAAAAGCCTCATTAGTAATTAAAAGGAAAGAACTAAGCATTTAGCCTGTCTTTCTAGTAGAACTGTATGTCAGTGTAGAGCAACAGGCACAGATGATGAGAAGAAAGTTCTATCTTATAGATGCTAATAAATACGTTATAATGCTAATTTTGCTATCTAGCAAAATGTTAACATGTTTTTTTAAAATGCCTATTTAACTATTTAGAGATAGGAGGTCAAGATTTCTGAATTGTATTTTAAAATACTTTGGCATAAAAAAAGGAAACTACCTTTTTAAAAAATCAAGTTTTGAAGAACATCTGCATAATGTTAAAAGACACAAGTTTTAAGGAAACAACAGACTTGCCATTAAGGGAAAAAAAGATCCAGTAGACCTTGACGACTAGAACTGTTACAATCTAAACTAATTCAATGTCTCTTTTCTTTTCAGTGAGTCCAATAAAATCATTTGGTTTTGCAATGCCCAACAATGAAACAATCATAATATTGTACATGTTCCTTGTTTTCAAGTCTTAGAATAATTTACAAAGCAGAAAAGACTCAATTGTAGTTAAAATAACAAACTAAATATCAAACACTCATACTGTAACAATAACTAAACAACTGAAAAAGAAAGAAAGACTGGGTGAAAGTTATGTTAAATTTGTCCTTCACAACAAGGAGTAAATAGATCTTACTTAAAGTTGATTAAATAAGGCCAGGTACAGTGGCTCAAGCCTGTAATCCCCACACTTTGAGAGGCCAAGGCAGGAGGATGGTTCAAGACCAGCCTAGGCAACACAGTGGGACCCTGTCTCCACCAACAAACAAATCAATCAATAAATAAGATTAAATAAGGAACACATTATTTGACATTAAAATGGTAATCCTTAGAAAATCCAAAACACAAACTGTTAACAGTAGTTATCTCTCTGAGAAATCCAAGGGAAGAATTTTACTCTTCTCCATCTCCTCAATTTCTTGCGGGTCACGTACATGTTCTATTTTCATAATTTAGGAAACTATTTGCTTATGATTTTCCCTGACAACATTCTCACCAATAGAAGAGGAAATGACCTTTTTCTAATCCCTCTACATCTCCCTTCTTCCTGGATCTTTATGTATGTTGTAATGTCATAAAGTTAAAAGTGAGAGGTCAGCTCAGATATCTTATTCTCTAGCCTGATATATATTGTCTTTGTACAAACAGATAGTCTTCATACTGGGAGCTAGTGTGGTGGTATAGAATGAGCACTAGACTGTGAGGCCAAATACTAATTTTTTTTTTCTTTGAGACTGAGTCTCACTTTGTCACCCAGGCTGGAGTGCAGTGGTGCAATCTCTAGTTGCAGCTACTGTGGTGCAATCTCTAGTTGCAGCTACTCTGGAAACTGAGGCAAGAGAATTGCTTGAACCCAGAAGTTCCAAGGCTATAGTATGCTATAATGCTATGATTGCACCTGTGAATAGCCACCGTACCCCAGCCTGGGCAACATAGCGAGACCTCTCTCTTAAAAATAAAACCTCAAATTTCCTATGTTAAAACACACAATTATGTAATAATTTTAAACATTTAAAAGATCAAATTCTTAATATTCTGCCACCTATTTTTATCAACACATATTTAGAAACCTTTCATTGGTGTATATACAGCTACCTCACTTCTTTTGTCAGCTGTATAGCATTCCACTGTACAAATGTATTAGAATTCATTTAACCAGTCCCTCTATAAAGAATGCTTTTACTAACTCATGCAACATATAATTACACTGAGTGTCTATTAGAGCAGGTCCCGTTCTGGGCATTGCAGATACACAAGTGAACAAAGTAAAGTCCTTGACCTGATGGAGCTTACATTCCAGTGGGGGGAAGTCAGACAAAAGTCCATCATAGTACGTCAGCTGGTGTAGACTAAGGAGAAAAACAACGCAGGGCCTAGGAGCTCAATAACAGGTGGGGTGGGTGGGGAGAAGTTGCTATTTTATAGTGTAGCCAAGGTAGGCCTCTCTCATAGAGTAAATATAAGCAGAAACCAGAGGGAACTGAGAGAGCGGGGCATGATGATATATGGGTGAAGAATGTTAGGGCAAAGGCAACAGCCAACGCAAAGGCCCCGAGGTGAGAGCATCACTGAGAGAGAGTATTTGAGAAAACAAGGTGGCTAGCGTGCATGGAATCTGATGAGAAAGGGAGATAGTAGTAAAACATGTCAGGGTGGAGGAAAACAAACCATGCAGGGCCACTTTAAGGACTTTTCGACAGGGGAGTGGCATGACTGGACTTATGCTTCAACACAATCACTCTGCTTTGTTAAGAACAGATTAAAAGAAAACAAAGGTCAAAGCAATGGGTCCAGTTATCTCAGTGGGAGACAATGGTTTAAGTTGGAGTGGCAGCAGTGAAGAGAATTAGAAGTGGTAAAATTCTGAACATAGGCCAGATGCAGTGGCTCATGCCTGTAATCCCAGCACTTTGGGAGGCCAAGGCGGGTGGATCACCTGAGGTTAGGAGTTCAAGACCAGCCTGGCCAACATGGTGAAACCCTATCTCTACTAAAAATACAAAAATCAGCTGGGTATGGTGGTACGTGCCTGTAATCCCAGTTACTTGGGAGGCTGAGGCAGGAGAACCGGCTTGAACCTGGGAGGTGGAAGTTGCAGTGAGCCCAGATTGCACCACTGCACTCCAGCCTGGGTAACAAAGCAAGACTCTATCTCAAAAAAAAAAAAAAAAAAAAAAATTCTGAACATATTTTGAAGGTAAAATCAATAAGCTTTACTGATAGATTTGGATTTAGCATATAATATAAAAAGAAGAGAAAGACAAGAATGACTCCAAGGATTTTAGCTGTAAAAATTAGAAGGAGAAAAGTTGACAGTTATTGAGATGTAGAAGGCTGTGGAGGTCAGGCACGGTGGCCCACATCTAAAATCCCAGCACTTTGGTAGGTCAAAGTGGGAGGATTACTTGAGTTCAGGTGTTCAAGAACAGCCTAGGTAATACACTAATACTCTGTCTCTATTTAAAAAAAAAAAAAAGAAAGAAAGAAGAAAGGTGAAAGAAGAAGAAGAGGAAGAGGAGGAGAAGGAGGAGGAGGAGGAGGAGGAGGAGAAAGGCGGCCGTAGGAGAAATGGGTTTCGGGTGGGGAACAGAAGGAAGAGTTCAGTTTTGAACATGTTACATTTGATATGTTTGTTAGACATAAAAAGGAAATGACTGGAGGCAACTGACACAGGCCTGAAATTCAGGGCAGAGCTCTGGGCTGGACGCATAAACTTGGAAATCCTCTGCACATAGGAGTTAAGTTTTAGTAACAAAGGAACTAGATGAGATTAAGAAGGCTGGGTGTGGTGGCTCCCGTCTGTAATCCCAGAACTTTGGGGGAGGCCGAGGCGGGAGGACCACTTGAGGTCAGGAGTTTGAGACCAGCCTGGCCAACATGGCAATACTCTGTCTCTACTAAAAAATCAGCCAGGCGTGGTAGCAGACGCCTGTACTCCCAGCTACTTGGGAGGCTGAGGTGGGGAAATCGCTTGAGCCCAGGAGATGGAGGTTGGAGTGAGCTGAGATTGCACCACTGCACTCCAGCCTGGGCAACAGAGTGAGACCCTGTCTCAATTGAAAAAAAAAAAAAAAAAAAGAGAGAGAGAGGGAGGTTAAGAAGAAAATGAAGGTAGATAAATGAATCTGAAGACAGAGCCCTGGAACACTCTAATGTTCAGAGATAGAGGATGTGAGGAAAAATCAAGAGTGGAAGCCGAGTGAAGACCGTATGCTTAGAGAAGAAAGAAGTGATCAACAGTCGCTAATGAATTACGTCAGATGAGTTCTGATGCGAAGGTCATATCCTCTGAAATACTGGAAGGGAAACTGCTTCCAGATTTTTTGCAACGATAAACAATACCTCAATAAATATCTTTGTGTAATTTTATGGGAATGGAATTTCTGGACCCAAGGATATGTAAACTTAACATTGAGATACATTACCAAGTTGTCCACATGACTTCAACAATTTATAGACAGAATAAAACTGAATGTATCTCTAAACTATCACCTACACCAAGAACTATCAAACTTATTAATCCTTGCCAATTTGCTAGGTCAAAAATGTTATCTTGTTTTATTTTGCACTTCTCTATGGCCAAAATTGAGTGGTATTTCATGTTATTAGCCGCTTGCCTTCTTTTCAAAAACAGTCTTTGCCTACTTTTCTAGGAATCTGCTTTCCTTTGCTGATTTACACTTGTATATTAATACTAACCCTTTTCCTATTTTCTTTCCTTATACTACTAAGCTTATATGCTGGCTGGTACTGCTGAGAAGCAAAGAGAAACAAAACTGTACCAGAGCATTCAGACTTTTGGTTTTCATACTGTTTCCATGTTCCTTCTTCATACATGATCATTTTGTTACTCGTCTCTGCCACCTCTTTCCACATGAGAACAACGTGGCTACAGCATCTGCTACTCCTCTGATAATGGAGTGCGTCAGCTGATAGGACTGAGTAGGTGGTCCTTCATGTGCATCCACCACAAGCTTACATAACCATACTTTTTACAGAAGATGGAAAGGGGAACAAGTTCTTGCTGACCAAATCTTGTGTATTTAACTATGCGCTCATTACACGGTGGGCACTCAGTACGTATTTGTGGAGTAAACAAAGGGAACTCCTCTCAAGTGAAAAAGAGGTCATTTTAATGCCTTAAAAATGACCAAAAGACAAATAACTCCCTAATTATCAAAGGTTTTTCCTGGAAAAGTAAGATCCAAGATAAAGATTTAACAAAGGCCAGGCATGGTGGCTCATGCCTGTAATCCCAGCACTTTGGGAGGCTGAGGCGGGCGGATCACAAGGTCAGGAAATCGAGACCATCCTGGCTAACATGGTGAAACCCCATCTCTAATAAAAATACAAAAAATTAGCCAGGCGTGGTGGCGGGTGCCTGTAGTCCCAGCTACTCGGGAGGCTGAGGCAGGAGAATGGCGTGAACCCGGGAGGCAGAGCTTGCAGTGAGCCAAGATCACGCCACTGCACTCCAGCCTGGGCGACAGAACCAGACTCCGTCTCAAAAAAAAAAAACAAAGATTTAACAAACATAAGTGTATGATAAACATTAACAATCTCGAAATGTGTGAATGACACACATACATTCTTTAGAACAATACTATAGCATACTGCATTCTCAAAGGAACTATTCCATACTGCTGTCAGTTCCTCTCACAATATTATACAGGTCAATTCTCCCATTTTTAAAGTATGTATATTTCCTTTGTTACCTGGGGATAGGACTATACTGTCTTCACACAAGAAGTTTCCCCATTCCTTTGATGATTAAAGATCAAAACACTTCTAACATTAAACACTGAAATAAAAGTAAGCTGTACATACATTTAAGTAAGATTCATAAAAACAAATAAGACAATGATTTATCTGTTTATTCCAGTACAGAGTGGTGAATAGCCAGAGCCTATCCCAGGCAGCTCAGGGTGCAAGCAGAAACCAAACCTGGACAGGAAGCCATTCTGTTGCACACACACACCCACACTCACTCAGACTGGGACTCCATAGACACACCAATGAACCTAATGCACACATCTCTGGGATATGGGAGGAAACCAGAGTGCCCTAAGAAAACCCAAACAGACATGGAGAAAACATGCAAACTCCACACAGACAGTGGCGTCAACTCACAATGTCTAATTAGCACTATCACGAAACCATGTTGAATGAAATGATGTTATTCAAGGAGCGTTGTATCTCTTTCTTAAGGTAAAGCTATCATAACTATAAGAAAACATTCCATATCATGCACAATAGCTTCCTATCTGGTTAACTGTTTTATTATTTCTATTTCCTTTCCTTAAGACACCCACCATTTTCAGCACCTTTTTGAACACAGTTGGTGGAGTGTGGATTGAAGACTTATAGATACCATAGGGCAAATAAACAGGAAACTTAAACTATAACTGGACAAAATGAACCAGTAAGAGGGACAAAATTTGGATGAGTGGTGACTTAGTTCTGAAAGATGCCCCTGAAAGTGGAATAGGAATAGGGCGATGGGGCTTTCTGTTACTCTGGCACCCTTGGCAACAAACAGGTGACCCGGTAGGGCCCAGAAACCAGGAAAAGTAACATTTGGTTCAAATTGCACTCACAGCGCCTTATGAAATGAGGTCAAACTTTCATAATACTCAAATTCTTGTTCTTCAAAGATAGAGAAAGAAGTAAGCTGAAAGGAGAGAACAGGTAGCCAAATATTCCTGAGAAAGGTTAAGTGTACCAACACTCTGAAGGGGTGAGAAAGCAAGCGTGTACATAGCCCAAATACTACACGGGGTAAATGACCAGTAACTTGCTGTGAGAATGCCTGCCTACATACTAAAACTGTACTGACTTGAGTATTAACTTACATAGATGATGGCTGGAACTCGGAGACTCTATTTTTAATTATATCTTGGTTACTAATGGAATTTGATCTGTATTTTCTTCTTTGTCAATCTAAGATTATGCTTTCCTTCCTTCCCATTGTGGGTTCAGGCTTTGACAAAGCAGTCTCCCTCAGGAGCTTGAACCAAGGGAGACTGGGAAAAACACAATATATTTAGAAGTGATGTAGAATTAGACACGTTTGGGAATGATGATAAGGGGAGATCACATTTAAAAAAAAAGTATTAGAAATGTCCTTATCTCTCTATCAAAATAATTAATCCAACCTCATCAAGGAGCGCTAGGGCAATGGAAAGGATCTGAATTAACTTAGGCTTTGTACTCACTGAAACAAAAGTGAAGCAGAGGCCAGCTCTCCTTTACGCCAGCTGCTCTGTGTCAAGCCGAGGTTTTGCTAGCATCACTGACGTGAGGATTGGCAGAGCAGACTGCTCCTCTGTTGCCTCCTTTGCAGCACTGCCATCTAAACCATAGAGGGGCTGTGCTACTCGTCACTGGAAAACAGTAAAGAAACACACAAATGACATGAGACAGATAATCTGATACTGCCCAAACATGCAATGGGTTAAAAACAGTTATCAAACATAAGATGAATGGTTTCTTTAAAAAGGCCTCTCTAAAAATAATTATGGAGAGCATACCAACATTATCATTGTATTATAACCTATCTAAAAATGTGACTATCTTACTCAAATTCTTTGACATTATATTTTAATGGTTCTATATTTATGAGAGTCTGAATTTACATGTTACTTTGTAGAATTCTACAAATCAACTTCATAATGCCCTCAACCCTACACAGGAAATATTATTTCTATCCTGTAGGTAAATGAAAATTAAGACATTGTCCCATGACTTTCTTTTCTTTTTTTTTTTTTTTTTTTTGAGATAGTGTTTCATTCTTGTTGCCCAGGCTGGAGTGCAATGGAGAGTCTCTGCTCTCATTGCATGCAACCTCTGCCTCCTGAGTTCAAGCGATTCTCCTGTCTCAGCCTCCCAAATAGCTGGGATTACAGGTGCCTGCCACCACACCTGGCTAATTTTTTTGTATTTTTAGTAGAGACGGGGTTTCACCATGTTGGCCAGGCTGATCTCGAACTCCTGACCTCAGGTGATCTGCCCGCCTCAGCCTCCCAAAGTGCTGGGATTACAGGCATGAGCCACCGTGCCTGGCCTGTCACGTGACTTTATAGGTGAAGCTTATTTCACTCTCAATTCTATTCTCACTGTACTATATTTAGATGCAAAAATCTAAAATAAATGCAAGCAAAACAAGTTCCACAGTATAGTAAAAGGATAATACACCACAATTACGCATAACTTACTCCAGAAACCTAAAAATGATTCAACATTAGCAAATCTACTAATGTAATTCATTACATTAACCTTAGGGAAGGGATAAATTAAGATTCTTCCTGTTGGATACCAAAAAGGATACGCACACTGTTAGGCAACTCTTAAAAGACTGGAATTGGCAAGGCACGATGGCTTATGCCTGTAATCCCAGTACTTTGGGAGGCCAAGGCAGGCGGATCACTTGAGGTCAGGAGTTCAAGACCAGCCTGGCCAACGTGGTGAAACCCATCTCTACTAAAAATACAAAAATTATCCAGGCGTGGTGGTGGGCACCTGTAATCCAAGATACTCGGGAGGCTAAGGCAGGAGAATCGCTTAAACCCAGGAGGCGGAAGTTGCAGTGAGCCCAGATTGCACCACTGCACTCCAGCCTGGGTAACAGAGCGCGACTCTATCTCAAAAAAAAAAAAAAAAAAAGACTGGAATTATCCACTTTTAATGCAATGAAGAGTATGTTTTTCAAAAATTAAAATATCATAATTAATGGTGCTAAGACTGGAGACCCTTTCATTAAAGCTAGAAAACAAGACAAAAGTAACACATTCTCATATTAAACGTTATTATGAAAGTTTCAGCCAATGTAAAAAAGAAAAAAAAGACGTAAAAATATTACAAATTAAAGATTTTTAGTGTCATTTTTGGATGATATAACCATTCACAAAGGAAACCAAGCAAATCAATGGAAAAATTACTATAACAATTAAAAGGAGTTCAGTAAGATGGCCAAATACAAAATAAATACACTAAAATTGATAGCTTCCCCAACTGATTTTAATCAGAGCATGTAGCAGAAGGAAAAGCAGATTCAAAGTAGCAAACAAAAATCTGTAAAATACTTGAAAGCAAACTTAAGAAACATGCAGAACACCTATGAAGAAAAACTATACAGCTTCACAGATGAATATAAAAGATGATCTAAGTTAAACGGTAATATCATGTTCCTGGGTTCAGATTCTACAAACATCAAATTTCTCTAAAACCCAAGTTTAATGTTTTTAATTTTGTGTTTGGCCTTTTTCTCTTCCAAGGGATAGTCTTATGGTGGTATAGTGGTCATCTAGGTTCTCTCTCATGCTTTCTTGGGCAGTTGTTTTCGGAGAATTTCACAATAAATTCTAAGGTTCACTTAAAAAAATAATCATAATCAGCCACATAATTTTTCAGAAAAAGTATCAGGGAAACTTGACCAGATATTGAAACATACTACAATGTTACATTAACTAAAACAGTATCATACAGATACAGAAGCAGACAGATTGACCAGTGGCACAGAATACAGAATTCAGAAACAGATCTATATAATATAGATACATAAGTTGTGATTAATGTGCATTTCATATTAGCGGGAACTTATTAAAAAGATGGTAGGACATTTGTGCAGATATTAGAAAAAAAGGGAAAAGTAGATTCCTACCTTTTATTACATATAAAAAATTACAAGAAGAAAAAATAAACAAATGCTTTTAGAATTTTCCAGTGGTAAAGGACTTTTTAAACATGACATTAAAAATATAAACCATGGGCGGGGCACAGTGGCTCATGCCTGTAATCCCAGCACTTTGGGAGGCCGTGATGGGCAAATCACTTGAGGTCAGGAGTTTGAGACCAGCCTGGCCAACGTGGCAAAACCCTGTCTCTACTAAAAATACAAAAATTAGCTGGGCATGGTGGCACATGCCTGTAGTCCCAGCTACTCGGGAAGCTGAGGCATGAGAATCACTTGAACCCGGGAGGCAGAGGCTGGCAGTGAACCAAGATCACATCACTGCACTCCAGCCTGGGCTACACAGCAAGATCCTGTCTCAAAAAAAAATTACACAAACACACACACACACACACACACACACACACACACACACCCACCCCATATAGGAATACACCATATGGGAACATCTAAGAATAAGACAAATCCCATAAGTCATAAAGGAAAAACACTGATAAATTTAACTACTTCAATTTTTTTATATCTGAATGGTAAAAGTCAAGATAAAGTTAAAAGACAAGATTACAAACAAGCAAAAATATTTACAATATAACAAATTAATAATATAAATAATTTATTAAATCTTAATAAATAATGCTTTACCTAACAGTAAAACAAAAACCAAAACACACAAGTATTTCAAAAGAGACATATGCAAAGGACCTGAACAAGCATTAAAAGAGAAATCCAAAAGGCCATTAAACATATGATGTTTAATATATATAACTAATGAACAAACGCAAGTTAAAACAAGGTATTTTTCTTTATGCCAAAGGTTACAATGATAAAATTCAGTATTAGCAGGGTGTGAAAAAATTGGTACTCTCAAACTGCTAATAACCTTCTAGCAATTTATGTGATGACATTTTTAAATGATCATATTCTGACCTGGGAATTATAATTAGGGGGTTTATCTGGGAAAAATGCATAAGTTAGTAAGTATGTATAAGGATGTTCATTACAGCACTATTTATAGAATACAAATGCTTACAAGATACTGGTTAAATAATCTAATACAATGGAAATAAGAAAACCTATTATATAAACATACATGTATATCTCAAAAAGTCTAGAAATATTTGCCCACCATACTCCCTAATAACAGTTCTTTTGGAGGGAATTTTTTATTTCACCATTTCTGAATTGTTGAACTTTCATAATCCGCATGAATAAAGGAAATAATTTTCCTTAATCAGGAATAGTTCTTTAACGTTTTCATGTCAAAAAAAAAAAGTAAAATGATCCTGACAAAGAAATTAGGTTTTGAATCTATGAGTAGAGTCCTACCCCAGCAAATGTAACAGTTTAAACCCAGGCTCCAGAACACCTGTGATACTCATTGATGACAACATTCTCACTGCATGGGAGAATGAGCTGCAACAGTAAAATTAAACCTTCTGCCATATATTCAATAAATACCTGCCAAGGATTGAAAGATTTTAAAAACATTTCTGTAAATATCCTATGTAGGCTATAGCCTTTCCTGTTTGAACCAACCTCTCCCTGGGGGGGGGACTATACAGATAGGATAAAATATGGGCGAACAACAACAACAAAAAAAAAACATTAAAAGCACTGAAGAGTTGATAAAGTATTAGGGATCTGCCACGGCAAAATCTAAGGGAAATTAGGAACATAAGACAGGTAAAAGAAGCACCAAAGCCACATATGGCCTAAGGGCACCTGCAGATCTTGAATTTCCATTTTCAGGGCAACATGGTATCAAGCAGATAGTCACAGACCAAAGCCCACCCAAGGGAGAGGGTTCAATAGGAAACCCTTCCCACTTCAAGCTGGGCCTCCAGAGCTACCTACATTCTCAAGGAAAGGGTAAACCAGAACAAAAATTACCCCCACCCTCAGATGGCTGCCAGGAAGTTGCCTTGGCAGTGTAAGAGTTGGGGGTTCTCTTGAGAAATGTTGACACAATCCAAATCAATTTTCCTAGTAGTTGAAATAAGCAAACAAAATAAACAAACTAAATATAAGCCATAAATTCACTAAAGTGGTATATAAAAGAGGTAAAATCTCTAGGTACTCGGAAGGAGCAAATAAAAATTTTCCCTGGAGTAACACATCTTCATTCATCCTAGATCTTGAAGAAACCCCCCCAAAAATTTTTCAAGAACAATGAGGAGTACACAGTTAAAAAACAAAGCATAAAAGAAATAAAGCCATGAACAACAACTAAGAAAAACAAGAGACACCAGAAACAGATTCATAAAAGCTTCAGATGCTAGAATTATCAAACAGATTATAAAATAATTGTGTCTACCATATTTTAAAAAATAAAAGACAGGCTTGAAAATATCTGCAGGAAATGTAATTCTTTTTCTTCAAAAGGTAGTAACCAATTCATTAGGGCTAATAGCAAATTAGAAACAATAAAACAGGATCTGGGAACTGAAAGGCAAGAAGAAATTATCCATGATGGAGTATATAAAGACAAGAAGAACAAAAATACAAAAAAAGAAGTCAAAAGCCATGGTAATAAAATTAGGAAGTATAATGTATGGTTAATTAGAATTTCATAAGAGAAGGAAAAAAAGAACAAGTCAGAGATAATATTCAAAGAGACAATGGCTAATTATTCAGAACTGATGAAAGACACCAACCCACAAATTTCAGAAGTCCAAGAAATCACAAGCAAGAGAAATGAAATGACACATCATCATAAAACTACAGAACACCATAGCTAAAGACTTTTAAAGCAGCCAGGGGAAAAAAAGCAGATACCTTCAAAGAAACAACAGGTAAATGACAGCTGATTTCTTAATAGTAACAATGGAGGGTTAGAACATGGTAATGAATTACTGCTCAATTGTGTTAAAAGAAAAAAAAAAAGAAAGTGAACCTAAAAATATACACAGCCAAAAATACCTTTCAGGAATAAGAGCAAAATAAAGTTATTTCAGTAAACAAAAACCTAGAGAGTTAATCCCTAGCAGATATATTCTAGAAGAATACTAAAGGAATACTTAGGCAGAAGGAAAGTGACCCCAGGTGGAAGGTGTAGGATGCAAAAAGGAAAGAAGTACAAAGAGGTAAATATACAGATAAACCTAAACGAACACTGATAGCACTGAACAATAATATTTTATGAGACCAAAAAAAGGCAAAATAAAAACATACACCACTACCACCAAATCAGTAGCAGAGTAAACAGTGTTCTGGGGACATGATTTTATTTGGTAGAGGATGAAGAAACAACTGACTTCAAATTTTGGCATGTGGTAATTTATTTTTATTTTTTCTTTTCTGGGGGTTTTGAGACAGGGTCTCACTCTATGCTCCAGGATGGAGCGCAGTGGTGTGATCATGGCTCGCTCCAGCCTCAACCTCCTAGGCTCAAGGAATCCTCTCGCCTCAGCCACCTGAGTAGCTGGGACTACAAGGTGCATGCCACCAAGCCTGGCTAATTTTTAAATGCTGTTTTTTGTTTGTTTGTTTGTTTCTGAGACGGAGTCTCGCACTGTCACCCAGGCTAGAGTGCAGTGGTGCGATCTCGGTTCGCTGCAACCTCTGACTCCTGGGTTCAAGAGATTCTCCTGCCTCAGCCTCCTGAGTGGCAGGGATTACAGGCACCTGCCACCAAGCCCAGCTAAGTTTTTGTATTTTTAGTAGAGACAGGGTTTCACCACGTTGGCCAGGCTGGTCTCGAACTCCTGACCTCATGATTTGCCTGCCTTGTACAGACAGGTATCTCACTATATTGCTTAGGCTGGTCTCGAACTCCTGAGCTCGAGTAATCCTCACATGTGGGTCCCCAGGTCTCCCAAAGTGCTAGGATTACAGGTGTGAGACACCACGCCTGGCCGTATGTGGTACTTTCTAAAAGAAACACCAAAGACAGCCTAGCTACTAGCAGAGGAGGAAAATAGAAAATGACTTAAAAAAAAAAATTCAATCTAAACGAAAGCAAGAAATTAAAGAAAAAGGAACACAGAACAGGCAGGATAAATAAAAAACACATTAAACAATGATATATCTAAACTGAATGTAGTGGTAATTATATTGAATGTAAATAGGATAATAAAAAATTTTAGACTTAAGAGAAAAAAATCTAATTATATGGTATTTGCCAAAGATAGAAAACATAACAATGCAAATTTGACAGTATTAAGAATGGAAATAGTTATACCTCACAATGGTTTGGATATATTAAATATCAGATAAACCACATTTAAAGCAAAGGGCTTCAGCCAGGCTCGGGGGCTCACACCTGTAATCCCAATACTTTGGGAGGCCAAGGCAGGCAGATCACTTGAGGCCAGGAGTTCCAGACCAGCCTGGCCAACATGGAGAAAACCCAACTAAAAATACAAAAAGATTATCTAGGCATGGTGATGCATGCTTGTAATCCCAGGTATTTGGGAGGCTTAGGCACAAGAATCACTTGAACCCAGGAGGCGGAGGTTGTAGTGACCCGAGATCGTGCACTGAATTCCAGCCTGGGCAACAGAGCGAGAACCTGTCTCAAAAATAAAAATTAAAATTAAAAAATAAAGCAAAGAGCTTTAAAGAGATGAAGAGTCATAATACATAAAACAAAATTTAATATAAATATAAGAAGAAACAGCCAACTCCCACAATCACAGCAAGAAATACGAATATACACACCGCTCTTAATAATTGATAGAACAGCCAAAAATAAAAATACCTAAGATTTAAACACTGAGTTTACCTACTGGCAAAACTAAACTATTTTGTTTATGGATTCATACATGGATAGTTTAAACTACATGAAAACGAAAATGATTACCACAAAAACTAGCCAAGTGATCACTTCTAGGGTAGTGGGAGTTGTGATCAGGGAACAGCATGTAGGTTTCCAGCTGCTGGAAATAGTCTACCTTCCTATGTAACAATTATATAGAGTTAACTTTATAGTGATTTTCTGGGAGCTTTTTTGTGAAGGACCAGATAGAAATATTTTAGGTTTTGCAGGCCACATCAGTCTCTGTCATATATCCTTCGTTTCTAAAACCTTTTAAAAATCTAAAAATCATTCCGAGCTTGCCAGGCGCCGTGGCTCACGCCTGTAATTCCAGCACTTTGGGAGGCTGACACGGGTGGATTACTTGAAGTCAGGAGTTAGAGGCCAGCCTGGCCAACATGGCGAAACCTCGTCTCTACTAAAAACACAAAAATTAGCCAGGCATGGTGGTGCACACCTGTAATCCCAGCTACTTGGGAGGCTGAGGCAGGAGAATCGCCTGAACCAGGGAGGCTGAGGTTGCAGTGAGCCAAGATTGCACCACTGCACTCCAGCCTGGGGGATAGAGTGAGACTTATTATATTGTCTCCAAAAATAAAATAAATTAAAATGAAATCAATTTAAAAAAATAAAAATCATTCCTAGCTTGCCAGCTGTGACCTGTCTTTTGCCAACTCCTGCATGAAAACTTTCATGTTTTACATACTTTATTTTTTATATTTAACACAAATACAAAATAATCTTTTATAGGAAAAAAGGTGAAAACAACTTTTTATCCATCTATTCTTCCCTGTCAGCACAATTTTGAACACCTATTGTGTCCCAAGTACTGTTCTGGATGCTGGAGACTGAAAATGAAATAAGACATTATTGCTTACATGTCAAGTGGGGGAAATTAGTTTAAAAATTACACCTTTATGTAACAAGAGACAGCAGTAAACAAAGCAAAGCAAAATCCCCATTCTTATGAGATTAACATTCTAGGCTGGGCGCGGTGACTCATGCCTGTAATCCCAACACTTTGGGAGGCCGAGGTGGGCAGATCACGAGGTCAAGAGATCGAGACCATCCTGGCCAACATGGTGAAACCCCGTCTCTACTAAAAATACAAAAATTAGCTGGGCTTGGTGGCGTCTGTCTGTAGTCCCCAGCTACTCGGGAGGCTGAGGCAGGAGAATCGCTTGCAACTGAAAGGCGGAGGTTGCAGTGAACCAAGATCGCACCACTGCACTCCAGCCTGGGCAACAAAAGCGAAACTCCGTCTCAAAAAAAAAAAAAAAAATCTAGTCGGAAGATGGGCAATTAACTAATTATATAGTTCAAAATTAAAATATATAAATTATTAAATGAAAATTAAACTTATAACACACCAATGAAAATAAATGACCTACAAAATACACAATGAAATGGATAAACCTCACAAAAGTAATGTGCAACAAAAGGAGCTAGACACAAGAGTATACACTGAATGTCTTTTACACAAGATACAAAAAAAAATTCATCTGTGTTGTTAGAGGTCAGGCTAGTGGCTATCCACAGCGGCAGGGAGGGGGTTAGTAACTGAAAGGGAACTCAGGGGGACTTCTGCAGCACTGGTAATATTTCTTGTGCTTGTAGAGTTTGTGAAAATTCATGTGAACTGTAGACTTACAATGTGTACTCTTCTGTATGTATAAATATGAATCAACAAAAAAATTTAAATATATATTAAAATGTATGTACATGGGTGTGTCAGGTGCCAATAACTTAGAATTAAAATAAAGTACAGTTAGGAACAAATTGACAAGGTATGAGGGACTGCTATTTTAGAGAAGTTGGCTAAGGGAGACCGCTTGGCTAAGGTCATTTTTGAGCAACAACCTGATGAAGAGATTGCTGATATCTGAGAAAAGAATGTTCCTGGAAGAGGGAATAACAAGTACAAAGACCCTATAGCAAAAGCATTTTTCACAGAGCTCAAGGAGGCCAGTGTGGCTGCAGTGGCATGAAGAAGAGGGAGAATGGCTGCAGATGTCAGAATCAGGTGGACGATGGGGAGCACAGATCACGCAGGAGCTTTTAGGTCACATAAAGACTTCAGTCTAGGAAGTGTTGAGCAGAGGAGTGCCGGGATGTATCTGAACATTTTAACAATTACTCGGGCTATTACATTAAGACTAGGTGAAACAAGGGCAAAAACAAGGAGACTACTTTGAAAGCTAATGCAGTGAACTGGAAAAATAGAAAAGTGGTCATATTCTAATACACTTTAAAGGAAAAACAGGATTTTCTCATGGATTACATTTGGGGCATGAGGCTGTGACCTGAAAAACCAGATGGTGTAACCTGTCATTTACCAGGACAAGGCAGATTACAGGAAGAGCAGTTCAATGTTATTGTTATGGTAGGGAAGGGAAAGCAAGAGTTCCTTTTTGGACACGCTCAAGCAGTACAAGTGGAAATGTCAAGTAGACAGCTGGATACATAATTATTGGGGAGACCAGACCCATGTGAAGGGCTAGCAAGTTCATTCATCTCAAAGGCAGATGGATGTGGGTACTGATGCAAGGAGCTTGGCAAATCTGCAGTAGGAGCATGTGGAAATGCTCTTCTGATTGTTTCTATTTTCTCAGTAACATAAAAAAGGAAGGCCATCAGTTAGCAGAAGAATTGCTGGAGGTTTGCAGGAGATGACAAAAATAGGACATATTCATGGAGGAAAGGGAACTAAGTAGAAATACAGTAGGACTGGCAGGCAGTGAGAGGTACACATGAGGCCAGTGCTCATGACCAGATCAGTCAGTCACCTTGGTGTATGTGTTTTCCTCCAACCATGCTGAGTTGCCTAGAGGCAGGCAAGGAAAAGGTGGAGGATTAAGCTTTGGTTTCTATTTTAACACCTCATCTATACTCGGATTTGCATGATGATGAGGCTCAGCCACATTCATATAGCTGGCAAAAATGTCTACAGATCATTGAGTTTATCTCTTTTGTCTTCAGGTAAGATTCAACCTAAACTGACACATGAGAGATGGGTGGTCACACCATTAAAAACCAAATGAAAAAGGCATTTCAGGAAGAAAAGAGTGATAGACAACACCGAGAAATTCTACAAAACGTATCTGTCCCAAATAGATAATCTGCAATCTCATTTAATATCTTTTAGACTTTAATTGGTTTGAAACTTAAGAAAAACAGAGATACAGGCCTCTTCAACAGTTAACTAACAAACCTCAACCTGCCCAAATTGGATCTATCATCAAACATTTCTAACATTTTAAACTATGGCCAAGGATGGTCTGACACAATGGCTAATGCCTGTAATCTCAACACTTTGGGAGGTGGAGGCAGGCAGACCACATGATCTCAGGAGTTTGAGACCAGCCTGGGCAATATGGTGAAACCACGCCTCTACAAAAAAATACAAAAATTAGCCGGGCGTAGTGGTACATGCCTGTAGTATGAGCTACTCAGGAAGCTGATTTGGGAGAATCACTTGAGCCTAGGAGGCAGAGGTTGCAGTGAGTCATGATCGTACCACTGCACTCTAGCCTGAGTGACACAGCAAGACTGTCTCAAAAAAAAAAAAAAAAATTATATATATATGGCAAGGATGGCACAGTAATAGCCAAAACTTCTTAGTTGTTTTCGTAAGTTTAACTTATGTTTTCATAAGTGCTTTAATAATCACAATAATCCTAATGAAGGTTTTTACGAGACAGTAGAGGGGGAGAAAGTACATTTTAAAATACTTTAACAATACAGAAGCCTAAATCGCTTAGGAAATGAGTACTATTACACAACTCTACCAAGGCAAAGAAAAACAACTTTCCTAAAAATCAGTGACCTAAAATAAAAACTTCTGTCCCAGAGACCCTGTCTCCCAAGATCCCAGAGGCAATACCTAAGGCATTAGGGGATAGAGCACACTCTTGAGTAAGAGGTCTTACACAGTATCAACAAATAATGCGAAGACACTGGAGCAAATAAACATAATCCTACGTTAGCTTACTCAGGAATTCTCAACCTTGGCACCACTGATATTTTGGACCAGGTAATTCTTTTTTGCAGGGAGGCTGTCCTAACATTACAGAATGTTTACCAGCATCCCTGACTTCTGCCCAGTAGATGCCTATAGTGTCATCCCCATAACTCCGAGCAGTGACAACCAATAATGACTCCAGTTATTGACAAATGTCCCTGAGGGGCAAAACTGCCACCAACTGAGAACCATTTACTTAGGTATAATGTTTTTAAGACCTTCAGATCTCTCTTACAGGCTGGAAACATACCTATCACAAATCTGTATAGCATTAGTTTTTCTAGTACATTACTGAGTAAGCTCTGGAGATAACTCAATTATGCCAGAAGCTGGTCAAATTTTAAAATAAAAATAAACCCTACAGGAACATACAAATTTGGCAAGGGAAAAAACCTAATGTTTCGATTGGAATCAATTCTTTGATAGACTACTAAGCTGTAGGATTAGAGGTAATTTATTATATAGAGATAATAGGATTGGCTCTTCTGTAAAAAGCTAATTTACTGATAACAGATTTGAATCAAAGTAAGGGATTCATAGGTAAAACTATGAACTTTTCTCCCTAATGCTTCATTCCCTGTGGGTAATTAATGAAAGAGAAACTTTGCTTGAGTGTTTCTGGGCATCTTGTCTCCTACAACAGGTGTCAAATTTCTCCAGGTGAATGCTTACCGGTAAGGGATTGGATAAGGAATGTTGCGGTGAGGATCGTGCAACTGGTGGAACACTTCTGCCAGGGCTGGTTCCTGGCCCGCTTCCCCCAGCAAACTGGCCAACAGGGAAAAACAGATATGAATAATTCAAAACAGTACTATGCTTCAGATAAGGAGAGTAAAAGATTAATACACAAACAGATCTTAATTATATGGCCCCTTTAAGTTAACACATCTTACTCTAGAGAGAAAATGCCACACAAGTCAAATTCTGCTAATTTTTAATGAGATTTTTAAGAAGGAGCTCCAGCAGAAATATACCAAGATATAAAGAAAACATGGCTAGAAAGCTGAAGGTATACATGATTTTGAAAGGACATGAGAGAAGAATGTTTTCCCTTCTTGTCTCAAAATACACAAAGCAGAAATGCAGTAGTGCAGTGGATGTTAGTGTCTTTAGTAACCACTAACGATGGGTCAGGGAACTCACTACATGTTCCACTGGACTAAAGGGAGGAGGATAAAAGAAGAGTCCAAGTCATTCCACCTCAATCTTTGTAAGACACAAAACCTCGTCTGGCCAAGAGAAAAATCACCTCATTTGTGAATTCTTATATCATCACAGACAAGACACATAATAAATTTAAATTTAGGAAGGCAGCAGCAGTTTTCTCTTATTGAGAGATGGGGCAGCATTAACTGATGAAGATGGGGAGAAAGGGAAGAAGAGTACAGTAAAGGCAAAACATTACTTTCTTTCTTTCTTTTTTTCTTTTTTTTGGAGACAGGGTCTCACTGTCACCCAGGCTGGAGTGCAGTAGATCATGGCTCACTGCAGCCTCGACTTCTCAAGCTCAAGTGATCCTCCCACCTCAGCCTCCCAAGTAGCCAGGACTATAAGTGTGTGCCACCACACCTGGCTAATTTTTTCTGTTTTTTGTAGAGACAGGGTTTCCCCATGTTGCCCAGGTTGGTCTCGAACTCCTGGGTTCAAGCGATCCTCCCATCTCGGCCTCCCAAAGTGCTGGGATTACAAGCATAAGCCACCTTGCCTGGCCAAAATATTACTTTCTAAAGCCTCAAATGAACACAAGGATTTAGGGTTTTTAAAAAAAATCACTATAGAGTTTTTTTGTTTTGTTTTGTTTTTTTGTTTGTTTTTTCAAAAAATGTAACTTACCTCAAAGTAATCACTAATTTTATGTCCCCTAGGAGTGCCTTTCCCTGAAAATGAAACCAAAGTAAATACAGTTTTTCCAATACACATATAAACCATCATTCACTAAAATGTACTATACATTCAGTAACTACATACATTGCTATAAACCCAAGTGTCAGCTTTACTTGTAACAAATGAGCCAAAATACCTTAGCCTAAGAACAGACTATTTCCTCCATAAAATAAAGGACTGAACAAGCAGTGAAAGGAAGAATTTTTCACAGGTTTAAGATTCTGTAATTTTTCTTGTCACTTTGGGAGAATTTTGCTCCCAAAGACAAAATGAATTATCTGTAGATTTTAAAAGATAAGAAGGATGCAACAAGACTGGGCTTTCTATTCCTTAGAATGGGAGAAAAAAAGCCAAGCCATTTTTTCTTTCTTTGATTATATAAAGATATTTGGCATTATAACCATCATGTTTACAGATTTATCCCAGTGGGTTCCAATATTCAACTAAACAACTGCCATGGAAGAGCAGTAGGCAGAAAGGACAGTAATGTAAATGAAGCACTTTCAGCCGGCTGTCATTAACAAATCACTGATCTAACAAAAGACAGAGTTAAAACTCTGACATAACCTCTATTTGTACAATATATGCTTGGTGTAAAGAAAAACCTGTGGTTAAGAAGATTGTTAGCTTACAACAGGGAAAACAAAGAGTCCCCGAAGAACTAACACTGTTTTGTCAGGTATATATCAAATGGCAAGTCTGTAATAAACAGTCTGATATTCCCTTAAGATACACAAACCTCCTTTATCAGGAATCCCTGTGTACAAACTAATTATTTAGTATGAGTTAGAAAATTCTATCTAAGTACATTAGAATTGAGTACTTTTGTTGATACGAAATTATTACTACCTTGGCTAGTTTCATATGGTTCAGCTTTTCTTTTCCGATTTCGCTGATCATTCTGCTTTTTGTCGGGAGTCTGTTAAATACCTTATAAGTCACAATTAGCATTTTGGTAAATTTTTCACGTTAGGAAAAGCAGTGAGTATACACAAAATATTGAATATATAAACAGATATAACTGGCCCAGACAACTCCTGAATCACTGTCTTCCTCTTAAAACTGAGTATAACAAAGAGTATTGACTCCCCACAAGAACTGGCCTTTAGCTCTCCCTCTCCCTCTCCCTCTCCCCCTTCTCCCTCTCCCTCTCCCTCTCCCCCCTCTCCCTCTCCCCACGGTCTCCCTCTCCCTCTCTTTCCACGGTCTCCCACTGATGCCGAGCCAAAGCTGGACTGTACTGCTGCCATCTCGGCTCACTGCAGCCTCCCTGCCTGATTCTCCTGCCTCAGCCTGCCGAGTGCCTGCGATTGCAGGCGCGCGCCACCACGCCTGACTGGTTTTCGTATTTTTTTGGTGGAGACGGGGTTTCGCTGTGTTGGCCGGGCTGGTCTCCAGCTCCTAACTGCAAGTGATCCGCCAGCCTCGGCCTCCTGAGGTGCCGGGATTGCAGACGGAGTCTGGTTCACTCAGTGCTCAATGGTGCCCAGGCTAGAGTGCAGTGGCGTGATCTCGGCTCGCTACAACCTCCACCTCCCAGCCGCCTGCCTTGGCCTCCCAAAGTGCCAAGATTGCAGCCTCTGCCCG
Source organism: Homo sapiens (assembly GCF_000001405.40). Taxonomy (NCBI): domain Eukaryota; kingdom Metazoa; phylum Chordata; class Mammalia; order Primates; family Hominidae; genus Homo; species Homo sapiens. The sequence continues at coordinate 128,577,295 of NC_000007.14, read as the reverse complement.
GCCGCCACCCCGTCTGAGAAGTGAGGAGACCCTCCGCCTGGCAACCGCCCCATATGAGAAGTGAGGAGCCCCTCCGCCCGGCAGCCACCCCGTCTGGGAAGTGAGGAGCGTCTCTGCCCGGCACCCACCCCATCCGGGAGGGAGGTGGGGGGATCAGCCCCCCGCCCGGCCAGCCGCCCCGTCTGGGAGGGAGGTGGGGGGGTCAGCCCCCTGCCCGGCCAGCCACCCCGTCCGGGAGGTGAGGGGCGCCTCTGCCCGGCCGCCCCTACTGGGAAGTGAGGATCCCCTCTGCCCGGCCAGCCGCCCCGTCCGGGAAGGAGGTGGGGGGGTCAGCCCCCCGCCCGGCCAGCCGCCCCATCCGGGAGGAAGATGGGGGGGTCAGCCCCCCACCCGGCCAGCCACCCCGTCCGGGAGGGAGGTGGGGGGGTCAGCTCCCCGCCCGGCCAGCCGCCCCGTCCGGGAGGTGAGGGGCGCCTCTGCCCGGCCGCCCCTACTGGGAAGTAAGGAGCCCCTCTGCCCGGCCAGCCGCCCAGTCCGGGAGGGAGGTGGGGGGTCAGCCCCCCACCCGGCCAGCCGCCCCGTCCAGGAGGGAGGTGGGGGGGGTCAGCCCCCCACCCAGCCAGCCGCCCCGTCCAGGAGGGAGGTGGGGGGGTCAGCCCCCCGCCCGGCCAGCCGCCCGGTCCGGGAGGTGAGGGGCGCCTCTGCCCGGCTGCCCCTACTGGGAAGTGAGGAGCCCCTCTGCCCAGCCACCACCCCGTCTGGGAGGTGTACCCAACAGCTCATTGAGAACGGGCCATGATGACAATGGCGGTTTTGTGGAATAGAAAGGGGGGAAAGGCGGGGAAAGGATTGAGAAATCGGGTGGTTGCCATGTCTGTGTAGAAAGAGGTAGACACGGGAGACTTTTCATTTTGTTCTGTACTAAGAAAAATTCTTCTGCCTTGTGATCCTGTTGATCGGTGACCCTACCCCCAACCCTGTGCTCTCTGAAACATGTGCTGTGTCCACTCAGGGTTAAATGGATTAAGAGTGGTGCAAGATGTGCTTTGTTAAACAGATGCTTGAAGGCAGCATGCTCGTTAAGAGTCATCACCACTCCCTAATCTCAAGTACCCAGGGACACAAACACTGCGGAAGGCCGCAGGGTCCTCTGCATAGGAAAACCAGAGACCTTTGTTCACTTGTTTATCTGCTGACCCTCCCTCCACTATTGTCCTATGACCCTGCCAAATCCCCCTCTGTGAGAAACACCCAAGAATGATCAATAAAAAAAAATTTAAAAAAAACAAAAAAAAAAACAAAGAGTATTAGGGTCTAGAATCAAACCATCCACATAATTTTTGGCAAACTGCTTAAAATATCAGAGCTTGAGTTTATTCATCTGTAAATCAGAGCTGCTACAAAACTTTCATAAGATATTTAATAGAGCACAAATGTAGGACAAATGTCCACCATATGTTAAGTTCTCAGAAAACTGCTGTTACACTACTTCTACTTTAAATCCAATCTTTTTTCCAAAAAGGAGAGATCTGCAAAGTACAAAGTAGGTGGCTACAGACTTACACTTAGACCCATCTACAGGCAGCTAGGTTATATGCCAAATAAAAAAAAAAATCTCATGCATGAGGGCTGTGAATAGTTAAGCAAATGAACAAAAAATCTTCACCAGGCACTGTGGCTCATGTCTGTAATCCCAGCACTTTGGAGGCTGAGGTGGGAGGATGGCTTGAGTTCCAGACCAGCCTGGGCAACACAGCGAGGCCCCGCCTCCAAAAATATTTATAAAAATTAGCCAGGCATAGTAGCACCTAGCTACTCAGGAGGCTGAGACAGGAGGACTGCTTGAGTTCAGGAGTGTCAGGTTACAATGAGCTATGATTGCACCACTGCACTCCAGCCTGCATGACAGAGCGAGGCCATGTCTCAAAAAAAGTTGTAAAAGTAAAATCAGTCAATCAATTTTATCTTCCATTTAAACAGGAACAATATTGCAAATTTCTGTCCTTTACTGATGGCAACTATGCAAAAATTTTAAGACATGTAAGATCCACACATGATTATAATAAAAACCTGTGAGGGCCACATCATAACCGTACGTATGCAAAGAGCACACAACTCAAAGGGGAGCAATTTACACAGAGTCTAACAGCACCCAGGGAGTTAATTAAGCAGTGCTATCTTTTCTGTGAGATGGGGGTCTCACTCTGTCGCCCAGGATGGAGTGCAATGGTGCCATCACAGCTCACTGCAGCCTCATTCTCTTGGGTGCAAACGATCTTCCCACCTCCAAGTAGCTGGGGCCACAGGTGTGGCACCACCACGCCCTGCTAAGTTTTTTTGTAGAAACGAGTTCTCACTATGTTGCCCAGGCTGGTCTCCAACTCCCAGCCTCAAGCTATCTGCCCGCCTCAGCCTCCCAAAGTGCTGGGATTATAGCCTTGAGCCACCAAACCTGGCCCAAAAGTACAAGTATGAAAAGTCCTGCCATGAACATAGCTTCTTACCTCTACTCCTTTATCACTCAAGGATCTGACGCTACACAAGCTCTGGTTGGAAGACTCACTATTAAGTGGTCCCTGAAAGAAAAAAAAAATCATAAATAAATAAATTTTAATCCTAAGAGGATAGCAAAACTGAAGAAGCAGCCTGATGATTTTTTTTTTTTTTTTTTTTTTTTTTTTAGACAGAGTTTCACTGTTGTCACCCCGGCTGGAATGCAATGGCGTGATCTCGGCTCACTGCAACCTCTGCCTCCTGGGTTCAAGTGATTCTCCCACCTCAGACTCTCGAGTAGCTGGGATTACAGATGCCCACCACCACGCCCGGCTGATTTTTGTATTTTTAGTAAAGATGGGGTTTCACCATGTTGGCCAGGCTGGTCTCGATCTCCTGACCTCAGGTGATCCGCCTGTCTCGACCTCCCAAAGTGCTGGGATTACAGTTGTGAGCCACCGCGCCCATCCCTGAGGGTTCTCTTTATTCCTGGGAAGAATGCGACTTCGCGTTTCTCATCTTCCCCTGACTTTTCTGTTGCTGAGGCTGTCTCAGGCAAGTACTCTCAGAGGCAGGGGCTCCCTTCTTCTGCTCAATCCCTACTTGTGGAAAAGGGGCTCTTTCATAGGCATGACACACTGAGAATACTGGGAATCCAACGACCCTTTCCACCAGCTCATGGGACAGTGGTTCCACAACTGGAGAGACAAGCCAAGAGGACCCCAGGCTGCTGACCTGCCCCATACCCTCCTAGAGCTGGGGTAGCATTCACAGAAAAGCTTGCCATTGTCCCCACCTAGTTTACCACTAGAACCCTGGCTCAGATACTTTGCCTAAGGGAAGAAGCAGGAACACAGAGTATCTCAAAGGACCTAACTTCACTTGCAAGAGTGTGACAAGTTTCAGTCTAAGGGTGTTCCCAAAAACAATAGGGGTTGTGGTACTAGGCAAGTGGAAAGAGGTTCCTGGATGTAATGAAGATACAGCCTGGACTGTAGACTGGCTAGTTTGTAGGAGAGACCCAGGGCATAAAACAGCCACAAGGAGCCTTCCTTTTATAACTGACTAGTTCAGCAAGGTTGTAGAATACAAGACTGATAGACAAAAATCCATTTTTTTATACTTGCAATGAACAATCTGAAAATGAAGAAAATAATTCCATACACAGAAGCATCAAGAGGAAGAAATAATTTTGTATTATAAACAATAATAATTTATTATTGTTTTGCCATGTTGGCCAGGCTGGTCTTGAACCCCTGACCTCAGGTGATCCACCCGCCTCCGCCTCCCAAAGTGCTGGGATTAAAGATGTGAGCCACCGCACCCGGCCCCAGCTGACTTCTTTGTAGAAATTGGTAGGCAAATTCTAACATGCATATGGAATTGCTAGGAACCAATCCTGAAAAAGTAGGAAGGCTCATACTTCATCACCTAAAAACAAAGCCACAGTAATCAAGACAGTACAGTACTAGCATAAGGTTAGATCAATGGAATAGAACTGAGAGTCCAGGAATAAATCCATAATTGTGGTCAAATGATTTTTGACAAGGGTGCCAACACAATTCAACGAGGGAAAGAATAGTCTTTTCAGCAAATGGTGCCAGGAGTAGATAGCCACAGGCAAAACAATGAAGTTGTACCCTTCCTTCACATCAACATAAAAATTAACTCAAAACAGGCTGGGAGCAGTGGCTCACTCCTATAATCCCAGCACACTGGGAGGCCAAGGTGGGTGGATCCCTTGAGCTCAGGAGTTAGAGACCAGCCTGGCCAACATGGTGAAACCCCATCTCTACCAAAAATACAAAAAATTAGCGAGGCATGGTGGTGTGCACCTGTGGTGCCAGCTACTTGGAGGTTGAGGTGGGCAGATCGCTTGAGCCCGAGAAGCAGAGGTTGCAGTGAGCCAAGATCGCGCCACTGCACATTGCACTCCAGCCTGGGTGACAGAGCCAAGACCTTGTCTCAAAACAAAACAGTTATGAGTAAAATAAAAACATGTTTATTACTTAATTTTAAAAGCAATTTTTCCTATTTTTATGTTACTGCTGATATACAGAAATTATTAATTTTCATGGTTTTTATTTAGCCAGTCACTTTACTGAATTGTTCTTCTTAATCATTTTCAGTCTTTTCCTTTCTTTCTTTTTTTTTTTTTTTTTTGGAGACGGAGTCTCGCTCTGTAGCCCAGGCTGGAGTGCAAAGATGTGATATCAACTCACTGCAACCCCTACCTCCCAGATTCAAGCAATTCTCCCGCCTCAGCCTCCCACGTAGTTGGGATTACAAGCACACACCACCACACCTGGCTAATTTTTTTGTATTTTTAGTAGAGAAGGGGTTTCACCATGTTGGCCATGCTGGTCTGGAACTCCTGCCTTCAATGATCCGCCCACCTCAGACTCCCAAAGTGCTGGGATTATAGCCATGAGCCACTGAGCGTGGCCCAGTTTGTTCCTTTCCATTTAGTTGTCTAGGTATAAAATCATAGCATTTGTAAATAACAAGGTTTTATCCTCCTTTCTATAATTTATACCTCATTTGTTTTACATTTTACTGCATTGAATAAAACATGAAATAATAATCATAGAAAACATTTTTCCGTTCTTCATTTTCATGGTAACACTTCTAAAGCTTTACCATTAAAAACTATATTAACCCATTTATGCCCGAGGTTGCAAATTTTTTTCTGTGAAAAATCAGACCTTGGTGATGACCTTGAACAGTAGGATATCAATAACTCCCACAAGCTTAGCAACCCAATAATGAAACACTAAGCATAAATGGGCTAAGACCCCAAACGGACAAAACAATCTTGAAAAAGAACTAAGTTGGAGGTCCCACACTTCCTGATTTCAAAACTTACTACATGCCGGGCGCAATGGCTCATGCCTGTAATCCCAGCACTTTGGGAGGCCGAGACAGGCGGATCACCTGAGGTCAGGAGTTCCAAGACCAGCCTGGCCAACATGGTGAAACCCCATCTATACTAAAATTACAAAACATAGTCGGGCGGGATGGTGCACACCTATAGTCCCAGCTACTCGGGAGACTGAGGCAGGACAATCGCTTGAACCTGGGAGGTGAACGTTGCAGTGAGCTGAGATTGCACCACTGCATTCCGGCCTGGGCAACAAAGTGAGACTCTGTCTCAAAAAATAATAATAATAATAAATTTTTAAAAATTTGGCCAGGCGTGGTGGCTCACGCCTGTAATCCCAGCACTTTGGGAGGCCGAGGCAAGCGGATCACAAGGTCAGGAGATCAAGACCATGGTGAAACCCCGTCTCTACTAAAAATACAAAAAATTAGCTGGGTGCAGTGGCGGGCGCCTGTAGTCCCAGCTACTCGGGAGGCTGAGGCAGAAGAATGGCGTGAACCCGGAAGGTGGAGCTTGCAGTGAGCCGAGATAGCGCCACTGCACTCCAGCCTGGGCGACAGAGCGAGACTCCGTCTCAAAAAAAAAATAATAAATAAATAAATAAATAATAAAAAATAAAAAATTACAAAGCTATAGTAATCAAAACATCGTGGTATTGGCATTAAAGACAGACATATATCAATGGAAAAGAATGGACAGCCAGAAGGAAATCCTCACATACATGGTCAAATGATTTTTGATAAGGTGCCAAGGCTATTCAATGGTGAAAGTCAATTTTTTCAAAACCTGGTGCTGGAGGCTGGCGCGGTGGCTCACGCCTATAATCCCAGCACTTTGGGAGGGTGAGGTGGGCAGATCACTTGAGGTCAGGAGTTTGAGACCAGTCTGGCCAACATGGCGAACCCAATCTCTACTAAAAATAGAAAAATTAGCTGGGCATGGTGACACATGCCTATAATCCCAGCTACTCGGGTGGCTGAGGCACGAGAATCACTTGAACCTGCAAGGTGGAGGTTGCAGTGAGCTGAGATTACTGCCAGTGCACTCCAGCCTGGACGACAGAGTGAGATGGTCTCAAAACATGGTGCTGGAGAAACTGGATATGTACATGCAAATGAAATGAAAGTTGGACCATTACTACATGCAAAAATTAACTCAAAACACATCAAAGACCTCAACATAAGAACTAAAACTAGCTTTCCAGCCCCAGCCCCGGACCCTGCAGCCGCAGAGATGTTGACGCCTAAGAAGAACCGGATTGCCATTTATGAACTCCTTTTTAAGGAGGATGGTCATGGTGGCCAAGAAGGATGTCCACATGCCTAAGCACCCAGAGCTGGCAGACAAGAATGTGCCCAACCTTCATGTCATGAAGGCCATGCAGTCTCTCAAGTCCCGAGGCTACGTGAAGGAACACTTTGCCTGGAGACATTTCTACTGGTACCTTACCAATGAGGGTATCCAGTATCTCCGTGATTACCTTCATCTGCCCCCGGAGATTGTGCCTGCCACCCTACCCCGTAGCCGTCCAGAGACTGGCAGACCTTGGCCTAAAGGTCTGTATGTGAGGAGTGCTGTGCTACCTGGTGCCGACAAGAAAGCCGAGGCTGGGGCTGGGTCAGCAACCGAATTCTAGTTTAGAGGCGGATTTGGTCGTGGACGTGGTCAGCCACCTCAGTAAAACTGGAGAGGATTCTTTTGCATTGAATAAACTTACAGCCAAAAAAAAAAAAAAAAAAAAGAACTAAAACTATAATCAACTCTTACAAGAAAACAGGGAGAGCCAGGCGCGGTGACTCACGCCTTTACTCCCAGCACTTTGGGAGGCCAAGGTGAGTGGATCAACTGAGTTCAGGAGTTTGAGACCAGCCTGGCCAACATGATGAAACCCCATCTCTACTAAAACTACAAAAATTAGCTGGGTGTGGTGACGAGCGCCTGTAATTCCAGCTACTTGGGAGGCTGAGGCAGGAGAATCACTTGAACCCGGGAGGAGGAGTTTGCAGTGAGCTGAAATCGTGCCACTGCACTCCGGCCTGTGCTACAGAGACTCCATCTCAAAAAAAAGAAAAAAAAAAAAAAAAAAGAAGAAGAAAACAGGGAGAAAGTGTTACAGCGTTGAATTTAGCAATGATCTCTCGAATGTGACACCAAAAGCAGAGATAAAAACAGTAAAAATACATAAAATAGACATCAAAATTTAAAATCTGTGCATTAAGTGACACAATCAACAGAATAAAAAGGAAACCCATGGAATGGGAGAAAATACTTCCAATTTATATATATGGTAAGGCATTAATAACCCAAATATATGAATAACTGCTACAACTCAACAACGACAAAATAAACAACCCAATGAAAAAATGGGCAAAGGACTTGAACAGATATTTCTCCAAAGATACAAAAATGGCCAACGACCACATGAAAAGATGCTCAAAATCACTAATTTTAGGAAACTGCAACTCACAAAAAGACACCGCCTCACATCCATTGAGGTGACCACTACCAAGAAAACAAAAAACCAACCAACCCTACAAAATAACAAGTATTGGTGAGGATCTGGAGTAACTGGAATACTTGTACACTGTTGATGGGAATGTAAAATGGGGCAGCCACTATGGGAAACTATGGCAGTTCCTCAAAAACAGAATTATCATATGATACAACAATTCCATTTCTGGGAATATACCCAAAAGAGTTGAAAGCAGGGACTCAAAGAGATAGCTGTGCAACCATGTTCACAGCAGTATTATTCACAACAGCCAAAAGGTGGAAGCAACTCAAATATCCATCAACAAATGAATGGATGAACAAAATGTGGTGTATATATGAAATTCTACATTCTACAACATGGATAAACCCTGAGAGCATTATGCTAAGTGAATAAGCCAGTCACAAGAAGACAAATACTTTGTGATTCCACTTAGATGAGGCACCTATAATAGTCAAATTCATAGAGTCAGAAAGTAGAATGGTAGCTGCCAGGGGTTGGGGAGGAAGGTGGATATGAGGAGTTGTTTAATGGGCATTTCAGTTTTCATTTTCCTAGGTAAAAAAAGTTCTGGAGATTGGATGCAAACAATATGAATGTATTTACTACTGAACTGTACACTTAAAAATGGTTAAGATGGTGGGCCGGGCATGGTGGCTCAGGGCTGGGCACGGTGGCTCACGCTTGTAATCCCAGCACTTTGGGAGGCCAAGGCAGGTGGATCACGTGAGGCCAGGGGTTTGAGAGAAGCCTGGCCAACATGGCAAAACCCCATCTCTACTAAAAATACAAAAATTAGCCGGGTGTGGTGGCGGGCACTTGTAATCCCAGCTACTCAGGAGGCTGAGGCAGGAGAATGGTTTGAACCCGGGAGGCAGAGGTTGCACTGAGCCAAGATCGCACCACTGCACTCCAGCCTGGGCAACAAGAGCAAAACTCCATCTCAAAAAAAAAAAAAAAAAAAAAAAGGTTAAGATGGTAAATTTTATGTTATGTGTATTTTACCACAATTAAAACGTTTTTGAAACTGTATTGTTTTTAAAATTACAAAGTAGGAATGACTATTGAGTTTATCCAATTTTTTTTTTTTTTAATTATTATTGACTGGGCATGGTGGCTCACACCTGTAAGCCCAGAACTGTGGGCGGCTGAGGTGGTGGATCATTTGAGGTCAGGAGTTCGAGACCAGCCTGGCCAACATGGTGAAACCCCCATATCTACTATAAATACAAAAATTAGACAGGCATGGTAGCACACACCTGTAGTCCCAGCTACTTGGGAGGCTGAGGCAGAAGAATCGCTTGAACCCAGGAGGTGGAGGTTGCAATGAGCTGAGATCGCACCACTGCACACCAGCCTGAGCAACAGAGCGAGACTCCATCTCAAAAAAAAAAAAATTATTATTTATTTGCTGTGTTGTAAAGTAATAACAATAATAACTAACACGTAGCACTTTTTTTAAACACAATCCTCAAAAGCTCACATAATGTAGCACTTTACAGGCAAGACATTCTATATTAGCACATTTAATTGTCACAGCTTATAAAAACAGACCCTTGGCCGGGCGCAGTGGGCTCACGCCTGTAATCCCAACACTTTGGGTGACTGAGGCGGGTGGATCACAAGGTCAGGAGTTCAAGACCAGCCTGGCCAAGATGGTGAAACTCTGTCTCTACTAAAAATACAAAAAATTATCTGGACGTGGTGGCAGGTGCCTGTAATCCCAGCTACTCAGGAGGCTGAGGCAGAGAACTTCTTGAACCCAGGAGGCGGAGGTTGCAGTGAGCCAAGATCGCACCACTGTACTCTAGCCTGGGTGACAGAGCGAGACTCCATCCCAAAAACAAAGCAAAACAAAAAAAGCAGACCCACATAAATATATCCAACTGATTTTTTACAAAAGTATAAAAGCAATTTAATAGGGTTCACCCCTGTGATCCCAACACTTTGAGAGCATGAGGTGGGAGGATTGCTTGAGGATCACTTGAGCCCAGAAGTTTGAGACCAGCCTGGGCAACAAAGCGAGATCCCATCTGTACAAAAAAATGAAAAAGTCAGCCAGCCATGGTGGCACTGTCTGTAGTCCTAGCTCCTAGCTAATTAGAAGGCTCAGGCGGGAGCTCAGGATTGCGAGTGCAAGGTTACAGTGAATTATGATCACAACTGCACTCCAGCCTGGGCAACAGAGTAAAACCCTGTCTCTTTAGAAAAAAAAAAAAAAAGGCAATTTAATAAATTACATAAATTGAAAAAAGAGACTTTTAAATAAATGCTACTGGAACAACTAGATGCATAGGCAAAACAAAAAAACAAAACAAAACAAAAAAAAACACCTTGCTTACACCTTATAAAATATTAACTCGGCCGGGTGCGGTGGCTCACGCCTGTAATCCCAGCACTTTGGGAGGCCGACGCAGGTGGATCACCTGAGGTCTGGTGTTCAAGACCAGCCTGGCCAACGTTGTGAAACCCCGTCTCTACTAAAAATACAAAAAGTTAGCTAGGCATGGTGGTGGGTGCCTGTAATCCCAGCTACCTGGGAGGCTGAGGCAGGAGAATCGCTTGAACCTGGGAGGCAGAGGTTGCAGTGAGCTGAGATCGCACCATTGCACTCCAGCCTGGGCAACGAGAGCGAAACTTCGTCTCAAATAATAATAATAATAATAATAATAATAAATAAATTTTTAAAAAAGAAAAAAACAAAACAGATCAAGAACTTCAATGTAAAACATAAAGCTGTTAAGAAAAAAGGGGAGAAAAATCTCCACAACTCAGAACTAAGCCAACAGTTCCTAGACTTGACACCAAAAGCTCTAATCCACAAAAGGAAACACTGATAAATGGAAGCTCATCAAAAGTACAGAGTAAGACCCTGTAAACAGGATGAGGAAACAAATTACTGACTGGAAGAAAATATTTTCAAGTCACACATCTACCAAAGAACTTGAGATTAGACTATCTAAAGAATTCCAATTAGAAAACTGGCAAAAAATATGAATAGACATTTTACTAAAGAGGATGTAGGCCAGGGGCGGTGGCTCTCCAGCACTTTGGGAGGCTGAGGCGGGCGGATTACCTGAGGTCGGGAGTTCGAGACCAGCCTGACCAACATGGAGAAACCCCGTCTCTACTGAAAAATACAAAATTAGCCAGGTGTGGTGGTGCATGCCTGTAATCCCAGCTACTTAGGAGGCTGAGGCAGGAGAACTGCTTGAACCCAGGAGGCAGAGGTTGCATGCAGTAAGCCGAGACCATGCCATTTGTACTCCAGCCTGGGCAATAAGAGCGAAACTCCATCTCAAAAAAAAAAAAAAGGAGGGGTGATGTAAAGATGGCTAATGAGCACAAGAAAAGATGTTCAACACATTAGCCTTTAGGGAAATAAAAGTTTAAACCACAATGAGATTTCATTACACACCTTTAAGAATGATTAAAATAAAAAATAGCAACAACGCTAAACGCTGTCAAGGATGTAGAGAAACTGAATCACTTACATGTATTGCTGGTGACAATGTAAAAAGGTAAAGCCTTTTTTGACAGTTTCTTTTAAAACTAAAAAGGCACTTAAAACTTATCATTTGACCCAGCAATTGTAATCTTGAACATTTATTCCAAAGAAAGAAAAACATGTTGGTGTAAAAACCTCTATAAGAATGTTCAGAGTAGCTTTGTTCATAATAGCCAAAAACTGGAAACAAACCAAATGTCCTCATGGAGGCAATGGTTAAGCAAAGTGTACTATATCCACATCATGGAACACTGCACAGCAATAAAAAGGAATGGCCTATTTATATATGCAAAATCTTGGAACTTCAAGGAAATTATGCTGAGTGAAAAAAAGCCAATCTCAAAGGCTGGGTGCAGTGGCTCACACCTGTAATCCTAGCACTTTGGGAGACCAAGGCAGGAAGATTGCTTGAACCCAGGAATTCAAGACCAGCCTGGCCAATATAGTGAGACCCTGTCTCTACAAAAAATTTAAAAATTAGCTAGCGTGGTGGTATGCACCTGTAGTCCCAGCTACTCTGGAGGCTGAGATGGAAGGATCACTTGAACCCAGGAGGCAGAGGCTGCAGTGAGCTAAGATCGCACCACTGCATGCCAGCCTGAGTGACAGGGTGAGACTCTGTCTCAAAATAAAAGGTTGTTTACTTTGTGACTCCATTTATATATATTACATTCTTGAAATAATGAAATTATAGAGGAAAATAGATCTGTAGTTGTCAAGAATTAAGTTTTTAAGGGAGAGTGGGTGGGTGTGGCTACAAACGTGTAGCAGGAAAGAGCCTTGTGATGAAGTAGTTCTGCATTTTGACTGTAGTGGTTACAAGCTACACATGTGATAAAATTGCCTAGAAGTGTAATACACACACACAAATGATTCATTTATAACTTGAAATGTGAATTAGTCCTATGGATTGTACCAATGTCAATTTTTTGGTTTTAATAATGTACTAGAATTATACATGAGGAGAGATGCACGGTGCATGAACAGAACCTTCCTATACATTTTGTGCAACTTCCTGCCAATCTCTAATTACTCTGAAATAAAAAAGATTTCTCTAAAGTTTTTGGGGTTTTATGTATTACTTATTATCGTAAAGTAATAATAATGATAACCAACACTTAAGTAGCATTTGCTAGGGCCAGGTATATCAGGGCATTTAACCCTCATAACAACCTGTTATGAGCTGAACTGTGTCCTCCCAAAATTCCTATGTTGAAGCCCTAATCTCCAGTACTTTAGTGTATTTGGAGATAGAAGCATAAATCCAATAAAACTGGTATTCTTATGAGAGAAGATCAGGGCAAAGAATGAGAGAGCAAGTGAGCACGCACAGACAGGTATGCACACAGAGGGACTACAATATGAGGCCACAGGAAGGAGGCAGACATCTGCAAGCCAAGGAGAAAGGCCTCAGAAGAAACCAAACCTGCTGACACCTTGCTATTGCACTTCTAGCCTTCAGAACTATAAGAAAATAAATTTCTGTTGTTTAAGCCACACAGTCTGTGGTATCTGTTATGGTTGCCCTACCTTGTGAGGTAGCTGCTCTTATTACTCACTTATAGATGAGGAAAGCATAAGAGAAGATCAATAAACTCATTCAAGGTCACACAGTCATTAGGAAGCAAAGCCAAGATCTGAACCAAGCCTATCTGGTTCAAAAAAAGTACTTCTCACCATTAAGCCATACTTAGTCTGTAGGTGCTGTTATGACAGAATGCCTGAGACTGGGTAATTTTTTTTGAGACAGGGTCTCGCTCTGTCACCCAGGCTGGAGTGCAGTGTTCCAATCCTGGCTCACTGCAGTCTTGACCTCTGGGCTCAAGCAATCCTCCTGCCTCAGCCTCCCAAGTAGCTGTGATTACAGGCACATGCCACCACGTCTGGCTAATTTTTGTGTTTATGTAGAGACGGGGTTTCACCACTTTGCCCAGGCTGGTCTCGAACGGCTCAAGCAGTACGCTCGCCTCCACCTCCCAAAGTGCTGGGATTACAGGCATAAGCCACTGAACCCAGCAGACTGGGTAATTTATGAAAAACAGAAATTTAATTTCTGACAGTTCTGGAGGCTGGGAAGTATAATACCAAGGCACCAGCAGGTTAGGTGTCTGGTGAGGGTCCAGGCTCTGCTTCCAAGATGGTGCCTTCAACAGTGTCCTCCAGAGGGAAGGAATCCTACATCCTCACAAAGTAGAAGGCAGAAGGGCAAGAGGGGACGGACACTGTCCTCACATGGCAAGGTGTAAAAACAGACAAGGTTACGCCATCAAGCCTTTAAAAGGATACCTAGTCCCATTCATGAGAGGAGGAGCTCTCTTTACCTAATCACCTCTTAATACACTGGCGACACCTGAATTTTGGAAGGGACACATTCAAACCACAGCACTGACTCTAGATATATTACTGAGTTTTTAAACACGAACTTGTTTGACATTCCTGGGATAAACTACTTGAAACAAAACAAAGGAATAATCTGCTGTGGCCATTTACTAGTATTTTTATTTTATTTTAAACATCTATACATTCACTTTTACTTTTTCATGTTTGTCATTTTGCTGTCAGAGTTGTTTACTTCTATCATATTATTCAACATGAGAAGTATCTGCTTCTTAAAAGGTTAGGAGAGACCAGGAGTGGTGGCTCACACCTATAATCTCAACAATTTGGGAGGCTGAGGAGGGAAGATTACTTGACCCCAAGGGTTCCACACCAGCTTGGGCAGCATAGCAAGATCCCATCTCTACAAAAAATTAGAAAATTACCCGGGTGTGGTGGCCCATGCCTGTGGTCCCAGCTACTTGGGAGGCTGAGGTAGGGGAACTGCCTGAGCCCAGGAGGTCGAGGCTGCAGTGAGCTATGTTTGTACCATTGCACTCTAGCCTGGGTGACAGAGCAAGACCCTGTCTCAAAAAATAAATAAATAAATAAATAAATAAATAAATAAAATAAAAGGTTAGGAGAAATCAACACCTAGAGAGGAGGAAGTAGTTTTATAATCGCCTCAATTTTTTTCTTGGTTACAGGAGTCTATTCTGGTTTTGTTGTTGTTGTTGTTGAGATGGAGTCTCACTCTATTGCCCAGGCAGGAGTGCAGTGGTGCGATCTCGGCTCACTACAACCTCCACCTCCCGGGTTCAAGCAATTCTTGTGCCTCAGCCTCCCAAGTAGCTGGGATTACAAGCGCACACCACGCCTGGCTAATTTTTGTATTTTTAGTAAAGACAGGGTTTTACCATGTTGCCCAGGCTGGTCTCAAACTCCTGACTTCAGGTGATCTGCCTGCCCTCGGCCTCCCAAAGTGCTGCGATTACAGGCATGAAACACCGCGCCTGGCCCCTATTCTGATTTTTATGTCTTATTTCGTCAGTATTAATTCCTAGTATCTTTGAAATTATTTATGCATTGAGACTTTCATATAACAACATTCACTTCCAGTATTTTCTTTTTGTAAGTCCTCAGTACCTTTTGTTATATCTGATGTACTCTCCTTCATTTTGCCTTTTGTTTCCTAATTTTCCAACTCTTGATTATTTCCCATTCTTCTGTTTTGCAATGTATTTATTTCTTCTTGCATATTTACTGTTTTTTCCTCCTCTTTTCTAGTTTTCCTAAAACCATAAATTGAATGGTAAATTCATACTCTTGTACATTAAATGCTTCTTTGTCCACATTATTTAAGTTTAACTATGTGGCATTTTATCTTATTTTCTTAGTAAAATAGTCTGTTACTTGTCATTTGCTATATAATAGCTATCTGGGAGAATGCTTACTAATATCCATATCACTTGGGAGGGAAAATTATCCTTTAAAAGAGCCACCCACAGACTCAAAAAAAAAAAAAACCAGGAAATTTTTTTAATTTACTAGTTTAAATTTCTTAATTTCACAAATTTAAAGAAATTTAACTAGTCTGATTTGTTAAATCAAAACTAATTTTGATAAGATCTCTCCATAAAAGTTCTATTGTCTATGACAACATTTAAACTACCTCCCGTCTCCTGCTGATAATAATTTTCTAAGTAAAAAAATCAAATGGACAGTTTAGAAGATGAACAAGAGTCAAGTTTCTTGTTTTTAAAAGAGTACAGTTTGCAAAAATAAAACATGTTTCTAATATACTTAAAATGTACTTTTTTTTCTAGGGGGATCTTAAAAAATACTTTAGTTACAAGCCTAGAGAAAATTCTGTGGATAAATTATAAATCCATGAACACTGAGGTTAAGATGCAAATGTTGACTACCAGCCCTTTAGCACCACGAAGGAGGCTCATATAAACTAAGAAAAATTTGTAGAGACCATAGGTTAATCTTTCACTCCTGTAAATGTTTAAATGTCAACATTTACTGAGTTTCTGAAGTTTTCATTTCCTCCTTAGACCAAATTGGCTGCTTAAAAGGGACTGAGAACAGAAGACAAAAGTTAAGCCTGCCTAGGTATAAAGAAGCATAGCTGCCAACAAAGTCAAACTCCAGTAAAGAAGATAACGCCATTTAAAAAAACTAAAGGTCTCTATGCTTTTTATTTTAGTCACTAGTAGTACTACCTTTTCACACCATACCAGAGTCAAAATAGCAATCAAAATAGTTTGACTCCCAGAGACCTTACAACATTCCTAGAAGTGAAACAGATGTGAAATCTGTTAAGTTCTTACTTGATGTGTATAAACAGAAGAGTTCTAGGTCAAGTGAAAAAAAGTTTACCTTTTTTTTTTCTTTTGAGACAGAGTTTTGCTCTTTTGCCCAGGCTGCAGTACAATGGCACAATCTCGGCTCACCGCAACCTCCACCTCCTGGGTTCAAGTGATTCTCCTGCCTCAGCCTCCCTAAGTGCTGGGATTACAGATGTGACTCACTGCGCCCCGCCAAAAAAAAAAACCCACTTTCAATAAGTGACAAAACACTGTAAATAAATGTGTTTACAGGATGATTATTTAAAGAACAATGACCCAAACTAGGTCTGTATGTATCAACATCTACCTGGTAGATCTCCAAAATCATCTGCTGAGCGGAAAATGAGCTATTACAGTTCTCATTATTATAAAAGTATGCAAACATTCTTTATATAACTGGAAATTAATCATTAAAGAAAAAACAAATCCTAAGAGAAAACAGTACAATTCCAATACACATAGAAGCAATAGCCATATGCAACTACTATATATTTCATTATGGGGCCTATAATCTATGTTTTTAGCTTTCTCTTTATGCTAAAAAGTTCTCTTTTATCGAGAACAAATTCAATATTTAAATTACAGACAGAAACTAGAAGCTCTGTACAAAATCCTGGAGCACATTCACAGTAAAGAAAACAAAGAAATAGAAAAATGAGAACAAAAATATAAAAATCAACATAATCTAGATTTAAAATACCAAAGAGGTACGTAACCTTGAAGAAAATTCAGTGACCAATAAGTTTAGTTTTGTGGCTTCTTCTGTTGTGAAGAGACTATTACTTCACATATGAGGAAAAAAAAGAAAAAAAATCCCACTGCCATCTCCAGTAGAAACTGTATAACAAAATTCCTACTGGAACTGGTGTAAGATGATGCAGGAGTCAACATTCCAGTTCTGGTTCTTGACTGTGGCACAAGCGTTAACAAGTTTACTATAAAGAACTAAGCAGACATCACTAATATGGCCTTCCTTCAAGGCCCAGAAGTTAAGATAGCAACTTTAAGTTCATATCACCAATGACTACCTCCTACATACACACACGTCCTAGCACTGGTTCCAGGTTCTACCTATCTGCCTGGAGAAGACAGTTCGGAGAGCTTTCCACCAAGCCATAGCAATCTCATCTGTGACCTACCAATTCCAAAAATTACACTACTAACCTATAATCACATGATGGCAGTACATTTGGTATAACCCACATATGACTCTCAGCTAGATAACTGTTACTTATGACTCTAAATTACATATTTCCAAGGTACAGGCTCATGGTTCAGAGTTAAACTAACTTACAATTTAAATAGACACTGACTTGGATTAAAGTGTATTGACTGGGTGCGGAGGCTCACACCTGTAATCCCAGCACTTCGGGAGGCCGAGGCAGGAGGATCACTTGAGCCCAGGAGTTTGAGACCAGCCTGAGCAACATGGCAAAACCCCATCTCTACAAAAATAAATAAATAATTAGCCAGGCATGATGGCATGCACCCGTAGTCCCAGCTACTAAGGAGGCTGAGGTAGGAAGATCAATTGAGCCCAAGAGATAGAGGTTGCAGTGAGCCCTGATCGCACCACTGCACTCCAGCCTGGAATTGGTATAATAATAAGATGCAGGAGTCAACATTCCACCCAACATTCTGGGTGACACAGCAAGAATATGTCTCAAAAAAATTTGAAAACAAAGTGTATTAAAAGCATTTTTTAAATGGTGTCTCAAAAATAAAAACAAAAAATAGAAAAAAAGAAGAAAAAAACAACTGGTGTCTTGAGCTGCATGTGGTGGCTCATGCCTGTAATCCCAACACTTCGGGAGTCTAAGGCGGGAGGACCACTTGAGGCCAGGACTTCAAGACAGCTTGAGCAATGCGGTGAGACCCGGTCTCCACTAAAAAAAAAAAAAAAAAAAAAAAAAAAAAAAAAAAAAAGCTGGGTATGGTAGTGCATGACTGTAGTCTTCACTTCTTGCAAGGCTGAGTTGTGAGGATCACTTAAGTCCAGGAGTTTGAGGCAGCAATGAGCTAGCAGTGAGCTATGACTGCACCACTGCACTTTAGTCTGGGCAAGAGAGCAAGATCCTGCCTCTAAAACAAAATTTTAAAATGAGAAATAAAACTGGCATTTTGACATATCAGCTGTGAGGTGCATCACAAGAAATCCTGACAGTGTTTTTTCTTGTGAGTGACATACTTTTAAAATAAAATCACGGCCAGGCAGAGTGGCTCACACCTGTAATTCCAACACTCTGGGAGGCTGAGTCAAGTGGATCACTTGAGGTCAGGAGCTCGAGACCTGGGCAGCACAACAACACCCTGTCTCTACTAAGACTTCCAAAATTAGCCAGGCATGGTGGCGCACGCCTGTAGTCCCAGCTATTCAGGTGGCTAAGGAAGAAGAATCACTTGAAACTGCGAGGCGGAGGTTGCAGTAAGCCAAGATCACGCCACTATACTCCAGCCTGGGTGACAGAGTGAGACTCAGTCTCAAAATAATAAATAATAAAATAGACTCAAAATTAGCACTATATACATACATTTTTTAAAGATAAGGTCTCGCTCTGTCGCCCAGGCTCAGTGCAGTGGTGCCATCACAGCTCACTGGCAGCCTCAACCTCCCAGGCTCAAGCAATCCTCCCACCTCCCAAGTAGCTGAGACTACAAGTTCATGCTGCCATGCCCGGCTTTTTTAAATTTAATTTTTTGGTAGAGGTGGGGTCCTACTATGTTGCCCTGGCTGGTCTCAAACTCCTGGGCTCTACAGATCCACCCACCTTGGCCTCCCAAAGTGCAGAGATTATAGGCATGAGCCACCATGCCCTGCCTAAAAAATTAATCTCATTTACTTGCATTTCCTCCTGACTAGGAACACATGGGATGGTCCAAGGGTATGATCAACAGAGAACAGTTGGTCCTGACAGTTTAAAGTCAAATAGGTGTGGGACTAAATCTCTGAACCACTGTATGAAACTGGGCAAATCACTGAAGTTCTATTAGCTCTTCTTGAAATCTGTGGATTTCAAGAGTAAAAACCACCTACTTTATGGATGTTTCAAGGATTAAATAAAACAGTACTATATGTTGGGGATGAGGGTAATACAGTGCCTGAAATATAGTTGGTGCTCAATGAAGATTATTAGTTACTTCTTTTCCCCTATATGGGAGTCCTGCATGGACCATCCTTAACATGAAATTTTAACCAACCAACCAGTTTCAACCACCCTATGAACTACCAAGCATGTATTACAACAAAATAACTTGCCACTCATGGGGGCCAAATTATTCAACAAGTCACAATATTTAAGATATAACTGGCCGAGCGTGGTGGCTCACGCCTATAATCCCAGCACTTTGGGAGGCTGAGGCGGGTGGATCACCTGAGGTCGGGAGTTCCGGACCAGCCTGACCAACATGGAGAAACCCCATCTCTACTAAAAATACAAAAAAAAAAAAAAAAAATCAGCTGGGGTGGTGGCACATGCCTGTAATCCCAGCTACTCCGGAGGCTGAGGCAGGAGAATCGCTTGAACCTGGGAGGGGGAGGCTGCAGTGAGCTGAGATCACGCCATTACACTCCAGCCTGGGCAACAAGAGGGAAACTCTGTCTCAAAAAAAAAAAAAAAAAAAAAGATATAACTAGGCCAGGTGCTGTGGCTCATGCCTGTAATCCCAGCACTTTGGGAGACTGGGGCAGGAGGATCACATGAGACCAGGAGTTTAAGAGCAGCCTGGCCAACATGGCAAAACCCCATCTCTCCTAAAAACACAAAAATTAGCCAGGCATGGTGGCACACGTCCATAATCCCAGCAACTAGGGTGGCTGAGGCATGAGAATCACCTGAACCCGGGAGGCAGAGGTTGCAGTGGGCTGAGATTGTGCAACAGCACTCCAGCCTAAGTGACAGAGTGAGACTCTGTCTCAAAAAAAAAAAAAAAAAAGTTATCACTAAAAAGTAAAAGCTTTGAACCACTCATCTAAATAAAAAATGTTAAGCCAGGCCCGGTGCGGTGGCTCACACCTGTAATTCCAGCACTTTGGGAGGCCAAGGCGGGCGGATCACAGGGTCAGGAGATCAAGACTATCCTGGCTAACACAGTGAAACCCCGTCTCTACTAAAAATAGAAAAATTAGCCAGGCGTGGCGGCATGTGCCTGTAGTCCCAGCTGCTGGGGAGGCTGAGGCAGGAGAATGGCGTGAACCTGGGAGGCGGAGCTTGCCGTGAGCCAAGATCGCGCCACAGCACTCCAGCCTGGGCGAGAGAGCAAGACTCCGTCTCAAAAAAAAAAAAAAAAGTTAAGCCAAAGCCGGAAACTGAGGCCCTACATTTATTTCTCCTTTCAATTTCCATTAGATTATAAATTTTATGAGGGCACGGGTCAATGTTTTTATTTACTACTATATCCCTAGCACAGTATCTACTACATAGATGTTTATAAAGACATGCTTATGAACAAATTAATGTTCTTTAATCCTCTGCACCTGAATGCCTTCATCCATGAAACAAGAATATAAAATAATTTCTTCTGTTCTTGGGGAATGTTTTAACATTGCACATTATTTGATGCTATTATAAATGATTTGCTTTTTTTTTTTTTGCTTTTACTTCAACTGCCAATTGTTCATTGCTAGTATGAGAAATACAACTAGATCTTCCAAATTGATTTATATTCTAGCTAAACTTAAATTCTAGTAGCTTTTTTATAGCTTACTTAGGGCTTTCTATGTGTACAATCATGACATCTAAAGAATAAATAGTTTTACTTTTACTTTGTAATCTGTAAGATTATTCCTTTTACTTGTCTTATTTCATTGGCTAGGACCTTTGGAACGTTTAATAGAGGTTGCGAAAACAATTATCATTGACTTGTTTGGAGTATTATATAGAAAGCATTCATTCTTTTACCATAAGTATGATGTTACTTATATATTTTTCATAAATGCCTTTTATCAGATTAAAGAAGTTCCCTTCTATTCCTAGTTAGCTGAGAGCTTTTATCACAAATAGTGTTAAAAGTTTGTCAAATGCTTTTTGGGTAACTATTACAAAGCCACTTAGCTTTTCTCCTTTATTCTATTAATATGGTGAATTACAATGAATTCTAATGCTAAATCAACTTTGCAACTGGGATAATCCAATTAGTTATGTTTTTATTCACTGCTAGATTCAATTTTCTAATATTTTGTTAATTATTTCTGTATATATATTGAGGGATACTGAGCTACAGTTTTCTTTTTTCCTAATGTCTTGGTCTGGTTTGGTATCAAGGTAATGCTGGCCTCATAAATGTCTTGTGAAATTTGTTAAAAAAAAAAAAATTGGTATTTTTTCCTTAAATGTTTGATAGAATTTACCAACAAAGCCATGTAGGTCTGGATTCTTCTTTTTAGGAAGACTTTGTTTGATTGTTTGTTTGTGACAGTGATTGTGCCACTGCATTCCAGCCTCAACCTCCTGGGTTCAGGCAGTCCTCCCAACTCAGTCTCTCAAGTAGCTGGGACCACAGGCGTGCACCACCACACCTGACTAATTTTTATTCATTTATATTTTTTGTAGAGATGAGTCTCGCTATATTGCCCAGGCTGGTCTCAAACTCCTGGGCTCAAGTGATCCTCCTGCCTTAGCTTCCCAAAGTGCTAGGACTAGAGCCATGAGTCACCGTGCCTGGCTTTGTGGGAAGATTTTTAATCCAATTTCTGTAATAAATATGGGGTTATTCAGATTCTCATTCTTTCTTTCTTTTTTTTTTTCATTTGTTTTTTCTTCCAGTATTTTTGTATTTTAGTATTTTTGTATTTTGCTATATTGCCCAGGCTGGTCTCAAACTCCTAGACTCAAGCAATCCGCCCACCTTGGCCAACCAGAGTGCTGGGATTACAGGAGTGAGCCACCTCACCCGGCCTTGTTTTCTATCTCATTTACTTTAGCTCTTTATTATTTCTCTTCTATTTAGATTTCTCTTTCTATTAAGGCAGAATGTTAGGTCACTGATTTTAGACCTTTCTTTTAAAGCTGAAGTTTCCTTCTAAAGCACTGTATTAGCTGTATCCCACAAATTTTGATATACTGTGTTTTCATTTTCATTTAATTACAAATATTTTCTTTTTTTTCTTTTGAGACGGAGTCTTGCTTTGTCACCCAGGCTGGAGTGCAGTGGCGCGATCTTGGCTCACTGCAAGTTCCGCCTCCCAGGTTCACACCATTCTCCTGCCTCAGCCTCCCGAGTAGCTGGGACTACAGGCACCTGCCACCACGCCCGGCTAATTTTTTGTATATTTAGTAGAGATGGGGTTTCACCATGTTAGCCAGGATGGTCTCGATCTCCTGACCTCGTGATCCGCCCACCTCGGCCTCCCAAAGTGCTGGGATTACAGGCATGAGCCACCGCGCCCGGCCCACAAATATTTTCTAGTATCTCACAAATTTTGATATATTGTGTTTTCATTTTCATTTAGTTATGAATATTTTCTAATTTCCTTTGTGAGTTCTTTGACCCAAAGGTTATTTTGAAGTATGTTATTTCACTTTCAAATATTTGGAGACTTTCCAGGTATCTTTTTCATTTCTAATTTAATTCCATTGTAGTCAGAGTAGACACTACGTTTCAATCCTTTTAAATTTGTTGAAATGTGTTTTGTAGCCCAGCATATGGTCTATTTTGGTAAATGTTCCATGTGCACTTGAAAAGAATGTGGGCAGAGTGTTCTGTAAATGTCAATTAAGTATAGTCCATTGAGAGTACTGTCCAAATCTTCTATAACCTTACTGATTTTTTGCCTGCTTGTTCTATCAGTTATTGAGGAAGAATGTTGCAATTTCCAAATGTAATTGTGGATTTGTCTATTTCTCCTTTCAACTGTCAGTTTTTGCTTCCACTCTGTTACTGGATGCATATACATTTAGGACCGCTGTGTCTTCTCAAAAAATTGATCCTTCTTTCGTGACGAATCGTGCTTCATTACTCCTACCAATATTTTTCTTGTTCTGAGGTCTCCTTTGTCTAATAAAAATCACTCTAGCTTTTTTATACTTAGTGTTTATACTTAGCTTTTTTATATTTAGTGATACTGTTTATACAGTATCTTTTTCCATTCTTTTAAATATAAAGATACAATTAGCCAGGTGTGGTAGTACACACTTGTAGTCTTCCCTACTTGGCAGGCTGAGGCGGGAGGATCACTTGAGCCCAGGAGTTTAAGGCTGCAGTGAACTATGATCATACCACTGCACTCCAGCTTGGGCAACATAGGGAGACCCTCATCTCTTTAAAAAATAAAATAATAACAACAAAGACCTGATCTAGGAAATTCATTGTAATAAAAGGTTTGCTAGTAAAAGCAGGATCCCATTATAGCAAATGGCACTCTAAAAAGTTCTGTAAGAATGGCCCATAATAAGAATTTTGTTCTGATCTTTTATTTTAGAAATAAATAAAACTTTGGAGAACTTGTTAAAATAAGTTTTTCACAACAAATAATTCTTTTTTTCTTTTTTTTTTTAGACTGAGTCTCGCTCTGTCGTCCAGGCTAGAGTGCAGTTGCACGATCTCGGCTCAATGCAACCTCTGCCTCCCAGGTTCAAGCAATTCTCGTGCCTCAGCCTCCCGAGTAGCTGGGATTACAGGCACACGCCGCCATGCCCGGCTAATTTTTTGTATTTTTAGTAGAGACAGGGTTTTACCATGTTGCCCAGGCTGGTCTCAAACTCCTGAGCTCAGGCAATCCACCCACCTCGGCCTCCCAAAGTGCTAGGATTACAGGCGTAAGCCACCTTGCCTGGCAAACAAATAATACTATACAACAAATGGCTCCTTGAGTTCTGGTCCAGAGTATATAACAATTTTCTTTGTTTTCCTTACTGAGCACTATTAGTAGGTAAAAAATAGGCTGGGCACGGTGCCTAACACCTGTAATCCCAACACTCTGGGAGGCTGAGGCGGGCGAATCACTTGAACCCAGGAGTTCGAGACCAGGCTGGGCAATGTGGCAAAACACCGTCCTTTTTTTTTTTTTTTTTTTTTTTTTTTTGTGAGACGGAGTCTTACTCTGTCACCCAGGCTGGAATGTAGAAGCTCAATCTCGGCTCACTGCACCTCCTGGGTTCAAGCGATTCTCCTGTCTCAGCCTCCCGAGTAGCTGGGACTACAAGCGCACACCAACAAGCCCGGCTAATTTTTATGTTTTTAGTAGAGACAGGGTTTTGCCGTGGTCGCCAGGCTGGTCTTGAACTCCTGACCTCAGGTGATCCACCCGCCTCAGCCTCCCAAAGTGCTGGGATTACAGGCATGAGTCACTGCGCCTGACCAACCTCGTCTTTACAAAAAATACAAAAATTAGCTGGGGACAGTGGCGCATGCCTACGGTCCCAGCTACTCAGGGAGGCTGAGGTGGGAGGGTCTCGTGAGCCCTGGAGGTTGAGGCTGCAGAGAGCCATGGCTGCGCCACTGCACTCCAGCCTGGGTGACAGAGACTGTGTCTCAAACAAACAAACAAATAAACCAAAGAAATAGCTGTTCAAGAGCTGAGACCTTTTAACTTTTGCTCCAGTATCAAGCAAGACATACAGGTCTAACTCACTTTTCCCCACATAAAATATTCTAATCATCTCTAGAAAAATTCTCTTTCAAAATGAGCTACCAAATAATAATACAGTAAAAAAGACAGGGCTTGGCTAGGCCCGGTGGCTCATGCCTGTAATCCCAGCACTTTGGGAGGCCAAGGCAGGTGAATAACCTGAGGTCAGGAGTTCGAGACCAGCCTGGCCAAAATGGCAAAACCCCACCTCTACTAAAAATACAAAAAATTAGCTGGGTGTGGTGGCACACACCTGTAATCCCAGCTACTTGGGAGGCTGAGAAAGGAGAATCGCTTGAGCCCAGGAGGCAGAGGTTGCAGTGACCCGAGATTGTGCCACTGCGCTCCAGCCTGGGCGATAGAGCAAGACTTTGTCTCAAAAAAAAAAAAAAAGACTGGGCTTTATACAACACTATCAACTATGTTTAAGTTAACTAAATCTTTTAACTTTCTAATTAATTACATGGTGCTACTGTTTTCTCTCCAAGACCTAAAAACTAGGAATTGTAACTTTTGATAATATGTATATTACAAATTAATTCCAATATCCCAAAACCTGAAAGCCCTAAGGAATCTGTTATGGTGAATGAAATTTTCCTTGCAATAGTACTTGCAGAATTTAATGTAAGCCCTCATTTAAACCTATTTTACACACACAGAATTCAAAAGAAATATGGACATTATCAGGTATAAAGGTTTGTTCTTCATATCTTCAGTAAGTCCAAGAGGTAATAATGAGGGTCTCTGAATTATTTTTCACCGACACAGTCTAGTTAAAATGTCAGATTGGGCTGGGCACGGTGGCTCACACCTGTAATCCCAGCACTTTGGGAGGCCAAGGTGGGTGGATCACCTGAGGTCAGGAGTTCGAGACCAGCCTGGCCAACATGGTAAAACCCCGTATCTACTAAAAATACAAAATATTAGCTGGGCATGGTGGCACAGGACTGTAACCCCAGCTACTTAGGAGGCTGAGGTAGGAGAATCACTTGATCCTGGGAGGTGGAGGTTGCAGTAAGCCTAGATCGTGCCACTGCACTCTGGCCCGCGCAACAAGAGCAAAACTCTGTCTCAAAAGAATACAATACAATACAAATGTCAAATTGGCTTGACTTTAGCTCAACTTTTATCAACTCCTAATAGATGAAAGGATTTCAACTCCCTGTAGTAAAACTTACCACAAACTATCTAAAGCTCTCATTAATAAAATTGGAGAAATAAAGTACTGCTTAATAAATTCAGTCTAATAATGGGGGAAAAAGCCTTTTAAAACATGGTCTCAAGAGTGGGAGGAATAACAGTAAAAGGTTGGGAATTAGATTTAGTCCAGTCTCTTCCACAATGACTTTCCACACAACATCTCTAATAATTATGTACATAGCTTCTGCTCAAATACTTCCTGTAAGAGAAAAATACTGTGTAGAGAAAAACAAAGCAGTGTGCTTAATTCAGGTCAACTAACTACAAGTCAGTGGTTTCTTTAACCTATTTTGAGTCACAGAATTTTTTTTTTTTTTTTTTCTGAGACAGGGACTCACTCTGTTACCCAGGCTGAAGTGTAGAAGTGCAAATACAACTCACTCTAGCCTTGACCTCAACCTCCAAGGCTCAGGTGATCCTCCCACTTCAGCCTCCTGGACAGATGCAGATGGGACTATAGGCACATGCCACCATGCCCGGCTAATTGTTTGTATTTTTTGTAGAGATGGGGTTTCACCACTTTGCCCAGGCTGGTCTCAAACTCCTAGGCTCAATGGTCCTCTTGCCTTGGCCACCCAAAGTGCTGGGCCTCGCCACTGTGCCTGGCCAAAGAACTTTTTTTTTTTTTTTTTGAGATGGAGTCTCGCTCTGTTGCCCAGGCTGGAGTGCAGTGGTGCGATCTTGGCTCACTGCAAGTTCTGCCTCCCGGGTTCACACCATTCTCCTGCCTCAGCCTCCCGAGTAGCTGGGACTACAGGCGCCCCCCACCATGCCCAGCTAATTTTTTTTGTACTTTTAGTAGAGACGGGGTTTCACTATGTTAGCCAGGATGGTCTCAATCTCCTGACCTCGTGATCCACCTGCCTCAGCCTCCCAAAGTGCTGGGATTACAGGCATGAGCCACCGTGCCCAGCCCCAAACAACTTTCTAAGAACGTAATAAAACCATGGACTCTTTCTAAAGAAAAATATACATCCATGTATATACACACACAAATATTTACCTATCATTTCACAGAGTTCAAGGACCCTGATGCCTGTCCACCCCTTGCCATACTTGACCATGGGAGACAAATTCCCCCTCTCCATGGAGAAGAATGTGGCCATATCTACTAAAATTACAAATGCATATATCCTTGAAAAAAGCAATTCCATTTCTAGGGATTTATCCCGTAAATGTATCTGAATGTGTGTTAAATGACATTATGTACAAGATTATTCACTATAGCACTATTTATATCAACAAAACACTGCTGTCCATCTAAGTGTCCATCAACAGGAAACGGTTCAGCCATACAATGAAATACAAAGCAGCCTTGAAAAACAGAACAAGGAAGCTCTATATGTATGAATGTAAAACAATTCCTGAAATATCTTAAGCACAAGAAGCAAAATGCACAATAGTTTATATAATATAGTTGCATTTTTTAAAAATGGAAGGGTTGAATATACAAAAGTATTTGCAGATATATCTCTCAAATATAAGAAACTTTATAACAGTTGTCTCTAGGAAGGAAACCAGGTGGATAAGGGAGAAATGTAGAAGAGATGTTTCACTGTATATCTGTGAAAGATTCTGAATTGTGTACTATATATTAACTAGTAAAAAATTTTAATTTTGGGGCCAGGCATGGTGGCTCACGCCTATAATCACAGCACTTTGAGAGGCAGAGGTGGGTGGATTGCCTGAGCTCAGGAGTTCGAGACCAAAGCCTCGACAACACGATGAAACCCCGTCTCTACTAAAAAACAAAAAAAAAATTAGCTGGGCATGGCGGTGTGCGCCCATAATCCCAGCTACTCGGGAGGCTGAGACAGGAGAATCGCTTGAACCTGGGAGGTGGAAGTTGCAGTGAGCCGAGATCATGACATTGCACTCCAGCCTGGGTGACAGAGTAAGACTCCGTCTCCAAAAAATATATATATATATAATTTTTAAAATTTTTTACCACATACCTAGACTTCAAGGAAACTAATCAAGATTAATTATTTAAAAACACGTCTCGGCCAGGCGTGGTGGCTCACGCATGTAATCCCATCACTTTGGGAAGCTGAGGCGGGAGGATCACTTGAGCCTGGGAGGCGGAGGTTGCAGTGAACCAAGACTGCGCCACTGCACTCCAGCCTGGGTGACAGAGCGAGACCCTATCTAAAAATAAAAATAAAAAATAAAAAAGGCCTCTGCCCTGGACTCTAAACTCTTTTGCTAAGCTTCAAAACCAAGCTATCCTGTACTCATCATTCTTTAATTTATTCCTAATAATATTGTATCAAAATTGTTCTGAGTTTTTTGTTTTTTGAGATGGAGTTTCCCTCCTGTTGCGCAGGCTAGACTGCAATGGTGTGATCTTGGCTCACCACCACCTCATGCCCGGCCATGAGGTTGTTTATCTACAGTAATCGTTTCCCTTTTTTTTGGAGATAGGGTCTTGCTCTGTCACCCAGGCTGAAGCGCAGTGGTGCAATCTTGGCTCACAGCAACCTCCGCCTCCCGTGTTCAAGTGATCCTCCTGCCTCAGCCTCCCAAGTAGTTGAGGTTACAAGTGCCCACCACCATGCCCAGCTAATTTTTGTATTTTTTAGTAAAGACGGGGTTTCACCATGTTGGCCAGGCTGGTCTTAAGCTCCTCACCTCCAGTGATTCACCTGCCTCGGTCTCCCAAAGTGCTAGGATGATAGGCATGAGCCACCACACCCAGCCAATCTACAGTAATCTTAATTCTGCTTTCTGAGCAATACACAATGAACAAGTTAATTATACTCCCTTATTCTGGGCTCATAATACCTTCCCATCAGCATGTCCATCCTCAGCTATGTGCCATAGGCATCTGAGTCCCTGTTTGTCTGATTATAAATGCCTCAAGACTATACAATGCATCTGGGCCAGGCACGGTGGCTCACACCTGTAATCCCAGCACTTTGGGAGGCCGAGGCAGGTGAATCACTTGAGATGGGTGGATCACCTGAGGTCAGGGGTTCGAGATCAGCCTGGGCAACGTGGTGAAACTCCTTCTCTATCAAAAATATTGGCCAGGCGCAGGGGCTCATGCCTGTAATCCCAATACTTTGAAAGGCCAAGGCAGGCAGATCCCTTGAGGTCAGGAGTTCGAGATCAGCCTGGCCAACAAGGTGAAACCCCATCTCTACTGAAAATACAAAAATCAGCCAGGTACAGTGATGCACGCCTGTAGCCCCAGCTACTCAGAAGGCTGAGGCACAAGAATCACTTGAATCTGGGAGGTGGTGGTTGCAGTGCGTCAAGATGATGCCACTGCACTCCAGCCTGGACAACAGAGCAAGACTCTGTCTCAAACAAACAAAAAAATTAGCTTGGGGTGGTGGTGCCGTGTCCCTGTAGTCCCATGTACCAGGAGGCTGAAGTGGGAGGATCACTTGAGCCCTGGAGGTCGAGACTGCAGTGAGCCATGATCGTGCCACTGCACTCCAGCCTAGGCAACAAAGACTTTGTCACAAAAAAAAAAAAAAGTATACAGTACATCTGGTTGATTTTTTTAAATTCCCCTAACAATCTAAATACAGTATAGATGTGATCAAAGTTGGCTGAACTCAACTGCTGCAAAATTTGGACACTAAGCTTTTGACACAGGCCAGGCACAGTGGCTCATGCCTGTAATTCCAGTGCTTTGGGAGGCCGAGGCGGGCAGATCACCTGAGGTCAAGAGTTCAAGACCAGCCTGGCCAACATGGTGAAACCTTGTTTCTACTAAAAATACAAAAAGTAAGCCAGGTGCAGTGGCTTATGTCTGTAATGTCAACACTTTGGGAGGCCAAGGCAGGCAGATCACTTGCAGTCAGAAGTTGGAGACCAGCCCAGCCAACATGGCAAAATCCTGTCTCTACTAAAATACAAAAAATGGCCGGGAGTGGTGGCAAGCACCTGTAGTCCCAGCTACTCGGGAGGCTGAGGCATGTGAATTGCTTGAACCCGGGAGGCGGAGGTTGCAATGACCTGAAATCAAGCCATTAGACTCCAGCCTGGGTGAAAGAGCGAGACTCCATCTCAAAAAAAAAAAAAAATTGATACAGCTATTATGTCTCTTTTCCTTCATCTTATCCAGACACAAGCAGGTCAAATGGCTTTTCAAAAGAAATTAACTGAGTATTCTGTGTTTTGTTCTAGCTGGTCAATTGTTACTATAATGGAGGATGGATAAGTTAGTTTGATGCTAGTAACTACTGCTAAATTTGAACATTAAATGTGGTTGCTGAAGTTAGTAACAGAAGACATCCTGAATTGGAGGATCCTGAGATCAGCTGTACCTTCAGATTATATTTTAATTCCACAATCAATCCTTAGTAGTCTTCTAGAGTCAGGTAGAACAGGAACTAAGTGATCAACAACTCTGGCAGCAGTTTATGTAATAAAAGTCACATATATACCTTTTGTAGAAGAAAAGTTATCAGTCATACAGATCACATCCATTACAAGGGATACCAGCACCTTGTTATCTTTACGTAGGCAACATTACCAGTCTTCAAAGGACTGATTATAATACTATTTGGGGCCATACTCATTTTTGTTTTTTTTGAGATGGTCTTGTTCAGTCACCTAGACTGGAGTGCAATGGCCATCTCGACTCACTGCTCCCTCCGTTCCATGGGCTGAAGCGATCCAGTAATAAGCATCATCTTTTATTATGAAGACAATAAAATCTTGAGGTTGTGTTCACTTAATCTGGTTGCAGTTGGTCTTTTGGGAGGGAATAAACTAGGGCCATCAATAAAATTCCCTTTGTAGAAAAAATTTTCTTAAATTAAATAAAATTCTGGCTAGGTGTGGTGGCTCATGCTTGTAATGCCAGCACTTTCGGAGGCCAAGGCGGGTGGATCACTTCAGGTCAAGAGTTCAAGACCAGTCTGGCCAGCATGGTGAAACCCCATATCTACTAAAAATACAAAAATTAGCCAGGCGTGACGGCACACGCCTGTAGTCCCAGCTACTTGAGAGGCTGAGACAGGAGAATCGCTTGAACCCAGGAGACGGAGGTTACAGTGAGCTGAGATCACACCACTGCACTCCAGCCTAGGCAACAGAGTGAGACCCTGTCTCAAAAACAAAACAAAATAAAATACAGTAAAATTCTAGTACAGCAAATCTCGGTAGCAAATTAGCAAATGTGTGATATTCTAAAAGTAACCTACGGTTTGACTAACATGAAAGTCTATCCTATGGCTGGGCGCAGTGGCTCACCATGGTGAAACCCCGTCTCTACTAAAAATACAAAAATTAGCCAGGCATGGTGGTGGGCACCTGTAATCCCAGCTACTTGGAAGGCTGAAGCAGAAGAATCGCTTGAACCCAGGAGGCGGAGGTTGCAGTGAGCCAAGGTTGTGCCATTGCACTCCAGCCTGGGTGACAGAGCAAGACTCCATCTCAAAAAAAAAAAGGCTATCCTATGTAACTTGCCAAGTTACATGGTAGCTTAGTTCTTACTTACTGGGCCAATAATACTATTTGTAATAGTTGCAATTTGACTGTCATTACTAGTTCATCTGCATATGTTAATAGGATTTCTAAGACTTCTAAAGCTTTTGTAGAATGTGAATTAAAAGAACCACTATTTTCTAGCTGTCCCTTATTAATAAGGCCTGAGAGGAGGTCAACAAAAGAGTACAGTTTAATATGATCCAATAATTCAACTTCTGGGTCTGCAGCCACAAGAATTTAAAGCAGGGACTGCAAGACTACAGCCATTTTCATAGCAGCAGCATTTGTTTTTTCATAGCACTATTCACAAGAGCCAAATGGTAAAAGTAACCCGAGGGTCCAGCAACAGATGAATGAATAAACAAGATGTGGTATATGCATACAATGAAATATTACTCAGCCTTAAAAAGGAAGGAAATGAAATTTTGACATATACTACAACACAGATAAACCTTGAAGATACTATGCTAAGTGAAACATGCCAGTCAAAAGGACAAATACCGCTATGATTTCATTCACATTAGTACCTAGAGTAGTCAAATTCACAGAGATGGAAAAACAGAATGATATTTGCCAGGGGCTGGGGAGTTATTGGGAGGTTTTTTTGTTGTCATTGTTTTGTTTTTTTGAGACGGAGTCTTGCTCTGTCGCCTAGACTGGAGTGCAGTGGCATGATCTCGGCTCACTGCAACCTCCGCCTCCCGGTTCAAGTGATTCTCTTGCATCAGCCTCCTAAGTAACTGGAATTACAGGTGCCCACCAACACGCCCAGCTAATTTTTTTGTATTTTTAGTAGAGTTGGGGTTTCACTATGTCGGCCAGGCTGGTCTCGAACTCCTGATTTCGTGATCTGCCCACCTCGGCCTCCCAAAATAGTGAAATTATGGGCTTGAACCATTGTGCCTGGCCTGGGAGTTATTATTTAATGGTCATGGAGTTACGATTTGGGAAGATGAAAAAGGTCTGGGCCAGGCGCAGTGGCTCACGCCTGTAATCCCAGCATTTTGGGAGGCCAAGGTGGGTGGATCACCTGAGAGGTCAGGAGTTCAAGACCAGCCTGGCCAACATGGTGAAACCCCATCTCTACTAAAAGTAAAAAAATTAGCCGGGCAAGGTGGCAGGTCCCTGTAATCCCAGCTACTCACTCGGGAAGCTGAGGCAGGAGAATCGCTTGAACCTGGGAGGCGGAGATCGCAGTGAGCCAAGATCGTACCACTGCACTCCAGCCTGGGCGACAGAGTAAGACTGAGTCTCAAAAAACAAAAAAAAAACCAGTTTAATAACAAATCTCTATTTCCCTCATCTAGTTAGGACTAGAAAACAGACACCATCCTTATTCTGAGACTATTTTTAGAAAAATGTTTCACCTTTATTTTCCTCACTGCTGTCTTCAGAGTATATTTAATGGGCAAAACAAGGTACTTTTCTTGCTCCTATGGTATTTTTCTAATATCATTATTTTATTGTATGCAACCCATGTTCCCAAAAGGCTATATATATACAAAATGAAGGAAAGAATTTTGGCAGATTTTATCCTATAGAACCTTTGTTCCTGAAGGTTTATATTTTAATACCACCACTCATTTTTTCACACTATTAATACTTAACTGGAATTTTTGGAATTTATTATCCTGTATCTCAAATCTGGCTTCCTCTTTTTGTGTAGTTTATCAAACATAAAATTCTTAAATTGGAAGTGCCCAGAGAATTGAAATGACTCCTAAGTTAACTAAAGCTAGCTAACTTCTTAGCAGATTCTAGTATCAAAGCTATATTATTCCTACTCCAATACTTTGCAATATATGCAGTTTTTTTAGAAAAAGGATATGTTAAGAGTAAGATATGGGGGCCGGGTGTGGGGGCTCATGCCTGTAATCCCAGTGCTTTGGGAGGCCAGGACGGGTGGATCATGAGGTCAGGAGATCGAGACCATCCTGGCCAACACGGTGAAACCCCATCTCTACTAAAAATACAAAAATTAGCAGGGCATGGTGGCACCCACCTATAGTCCCAGCTACTAGGGAGGCTGAGGCAGAATTGCTTGAACCCGGGAAGCGGAGCTTGCAGTGAGCCGAGATCACGCTACTGCACTCGAGCCTGGGGAACAGAGCGAGACTCCGTCTCAAAAATAAATAAATAAATATATGAAGTACTTAGCTAACCATGGCCAACATACTAGGAAGTAGATTCCAAACTAATCCCATCACATCTAGTAGTAGCCAGGATCAAGTGAAACATACCACCAGGAGGAACCTAACAATTTTAAGACCCAGACAAGGTAGAGAGGAAGAATAGAACTAAGTCAAATTATCCCTAGACCCAGGTATGAAATAAGAAACCACTGATAATATACCTTATTTGTTTTCCCTCTCATGGCCTTTCTTAAAAATAAAATTTTAAGAAATCTTTCCATTTAATCTGAATTTAACTAAAAGTAAACAGAGAACAGGAAATAAATGACTTTAAAGGCCAAGAGTGATGACAACGCCAATGCCAACCACTTATAGGCAGGAAGGAAGAAGGAAGCAGATGAGAAGTGAAAGTCACAAGGAAGTAAACTTTACAGTGACACAAGAGTTCACACACACTAAGTGTTAGTTTTATATTATTGAGTGCAAAGCAATGAAATAAAGAATTACTTCTGTAAGAAGTCAAGAATCCAGAGACACAAGACCAGAACTCAAAAAAATCACTTCTGCTGGGTGCAATGGCACATGCCTGTTGTCTCAGCTACTTAGGAGGCTGAGGTGGGAGAATCACTTGAGCCCAGGAGTTCGAGGCCAGCCTGGGGATGAAGTCCTGTCTCTAAAAGTTAAAATTTAAAAATAAAAAATGATTTCAATTTGAAGTCATTTGCAGATTAAATTCTAAAGAAAAATTTTTGAAATTAGGCCAGGCGTGGTGGCTCATGCCTGTAATCCCAGCATTTTGGGAGGCCGAGGCAGGTGGATCACCTGAGGTCAGGAGATCGAGACCAGCCCGGCCAACATGGTGAAATCCTGTCTATACTAAAAATACAAAAATTAGCTGGGTGCAGTGGCGCGTGCCTACAGTCCCAGCTACTTGGGAGGTTGAGGCAGGAGAATCGCTTGAACCCAGGAGGTGGAGGTTGCAGTGAGCTGAGATCATGCCATTGCACTCCAGCCTGGTGACAGAGCAAGACTCCATCTCAAAAAAAAAAAAAAGAAAAAGAAAAAGAAAAATCTATGAAATTAAGCTATAATTTAAGAGGCCTGGGAGTATAGGGAGAGAAGAAAGTCAAAGCCCGGGCCCTGCCCAATGAGGGGAGTGTGGGAAAGCCACCCCATACAGTAGAAGACCCATGGGCTACACCCTCAGGATAAGAGTGACTCAGCTTTTATAAAATTTCAACGTATAGGTTTATGTAGATTAGGCAAATCTGAAGAGAAAATTAATCAAGTGGAAGATAGGTCACAAGAAACTACCAAGTATTTAGATAAGAAAACAAAAAGACAAGCAATACAAGAGACAGGGTAAGAGGCAGAGAAAACACAATGAGAAGGTCTAGTATATGTTTAGCATGCCAGAGAAGACAGAATAAGACAGAAGCAATATATGACAAGATAACGGCTGAGAATATTCTGTAACTGGCCGGGTGTGATGGCCCACGCCTGTAATCCCAACACTTTTGGAGGCCAAGGCAGGTGGATCACTTGAGGTCAGGAGTTCAAGACCAGCCTGGCCAACATGGTGAAACCCATCTCTACTAAAAATACAAAAATCAGCCGGGCGTGGTGGTGGGCGCCTGTAATTCCAGCTACTCAGGAGGCTGACACAGGGAGAATTGCTTGAACCTGGAAGGCAGAGGTTGCAGTGAGATGAGATCGCGCCACCACACTCCAACCTGGGCAAGTTGACTCCATCTCAAAAAAATAAAAATAAAAATAAATAAAGAGCCTAATGGAAGCCAGTAGACAACTGTGAACAATGGACTTTAGTTAATAATGTATCATCAATTGTAACAAAGACACTAATAATGCAAAATGTGAATAATGAGAAAGTAGGGTAAGGAAGTATATGGGAACTCTGTATTAGCTGCTCAATTTTCTATAAACCTAAAAGTGCTCTAGAAAATATACAGCCTGGGCATGGTAGCTCACACCTGTAATAATGCAAAATGTGAATAATGAGAAAGTAGGGTGAGGAAGTATATGGGAACTCTGCATTAGCTGCTCAATTTTCTATAAACCTAAAAGTGCTCTAGAAAATATACAGACTGGGCATGGTAGCTCACACCTGTAATCCCAGCACTTTGGGAGGCCAAGGCTGGCAGATCGCCTGAGGTTAGGAGTTCGAGATCAGCCTGGCCAACATGGTGAAACCCCATCTCTACTAAAAACACAAAAAAACAAAAATTAGCCGGGCATGGTGGCACGTGCCTTTAGTCCCAGATACTCAGGAGGTTGAGGCAGGAGAATCACTTGAGCCCAGAAGGCAGAGGTTTCAGTGAGCCGAGATCGCACCACTGCACTCAAGCCTGGGTGACACAGTGAGACCATGTCTCAAAAAAAAAAAAAAAATTTACACACACACATACGTACAATTAAATACAGAACAGCAATAGCGTGTGAATTGTGAGGGGAATAAATGGAGTTAAATCTTCAAGGTCACCAGTCTGGGCAACATGGCAAAACCAAGTTTCTACAAAAAATACAAAAATTTGCAAGATGCTGATGGAAGGCATTTTTTTTTTAATTTATAAAAAGAAAAACTACAAAAATTATTCAAGTGTGGTGATGTGTGCCTGTAGGCCCAGCTACTCAGGAGGCTGAAGCAGGAGGAGCACCTGAGCCCAGGAGGTCAAGGCTGCAGTGAGCCATGATCATGCCACTTCACTCCAGCCTGGGTGACAGAGCAACCCCCTATCTCAAAAAAAAAAAAAAAAAAAAAAATCTTCAAGGCCCTTGTACTGACCAAGAGGAAGACAAAGGTATTAACATTAACCTTTATAAGTTAAAAATATGTGTTGTAATTTCTGTGGTAACCAATAGAAGAACAGAAAGGGTGCAAGACTTCCAAACTAGAATTTCAAGTTATGAATAAAAACAGTCTGGATTAAGGCAGTAGCAATGGGGGCAGAAAAACACTTCAGAAATTTCAGAGAAAGAGGCACGTGTTGGTACTTGACTACATGTGAAATAAGGAGGGAATCAAATAAATACTAAAGTAAATTAATCCACAGTTCCTTAAAATGCATCAGTATAAGTATAGGCCATTTCTCAGCATTCATGCTTATTGAGCATTGTCAGGCATGTAATTAAATCTAAGACATACAAACATTTTTAAAAAATGAAAGTGACTTTGGTATGTGAAAAAGCTGACACTAGATATTCATGACTGAAAGCTTCTAATTGCTGCAACGAACTACATGAAAAGAAAGGTATCAGTTAGTTAAATACCTTTTCAGAAGTCAATTTGATTACATAATGTGATGTATCAGACTTAAAAATTTATAAAAGATAGAAAAAGAGTTCCTTGGCCCCGGCACGGTGGCTCACGCCTGTAATCCCAGCACTTTGGGAGGCCAAGGCGGGTGAACGCCTGAGGTCAGGAGTTCGAGACCAGCCTGGCCAACGTGGTAAAACCTCGTCTCTATTAAAAATACAAAAATTAGCTGGGCATGGTGGCGGGCACCTCCCAGCTACTCGGGAGGCTGAGGCAGGAGAATCGCTTGAACCTGGGAGGTGGAGATTGCTGTGAGCAGAGATCATGCAACTGCACGCCAGCCTGGGCGACAAGAGTGAAACTCTCCAAAAAAAAAAAAAAAAAGTGAGAACTTAAAAGATACTTGCCGCCGGGCGCAGTGGCTCACACCTGTAATCCCAGCACTTTGGGAGGCTGAGGTAGGCGGATCACTTGAGGTCGGAAGTTCAAGAACAGCCTGACCAACATGAAGAAACCCCATCTCTAATAAAAATACAAAATTAGCCGGGCGTGTTGGTGCATGCCTGTAATCCCAGCTACTTGGGAGGCTGAGGCAGGAGAATCACTTGAACCTGGGAGGCGGAGGTTGCGGTGAGCCGAGGTCACGCCATTGCACTCCAGCCTGGGCAACAAGAGTGAAACTCTGTCTCAAAAAACAAAAACAAAAACAAAAAAAGATACTTGCCAAGGATTTAAGTAAAGAATTCCTGCAGATTAAAAGAATATCATAAATTTTTACAGATATCTCCTTGCTGACTTACTTTTTTTTTGAGACAGAGTCTCACCCTGTTGCCCATGCTGGAGGGCAGTGGCACAATCTCGGCTAACTGCAACCTCCGACTCCCTGGTTCAAGTGATTCTCCTGCCTTAGCCTCCTGAGTAGCTGGGATTACAGGCACATGCCATGACGCCCAGCTTATTTTTTGTATTTTTAGTAGAGACTGGTTTCGTCATTTTGGCCAGGACGGTCTCGATCTCCTGACCTCGTGATCTGCCCGCCTCGGCCTCCCAAAGTGCTGGGATTACAGGCATAAGCCACTGCGCCCGGCCTGCAATCATATTTCATTGCTTTATGCAATTGTGTATTAAATTGAATAATTACAACACAAGTGTTAAGTTACTGTAAAATGATCATTGACATGGCTATAATTCAACTGGTGGGAGCAATGTGATAAGCATCAGTCAGTATGGCTTATAAAGAGAGAATGGAGAATGCCTATTAATCCAGTGAGTTGATTACGTACAGATTTGTTAACCATTATCCCTGTTATAAAAGATCTAAATTCACTTCTTATTGCTTTTGTTGTACTGTTGGAACAGTAACTGGCACACAGTATTATAAGTATTTGCTACTGTATTAGCATTGATATTCAACTAGGTACAAGTAACAATGCATGCAAGGGTGAAATTCTGCCTACTTTACATGGTCTCCAGAACTGCTGAGACTATCTGTACTTAAACTGTCAAAAGGGAGCAGGGTGTGAAATATAAACTGCAACAGGTTGATTGAAAACATATGAATTCAAGATATAGTCAGTTTCACATTACTAGAAGTAGATTATCCAGTGCTTACAGGAAGAGGTCTTAAAAAAGAGGTAGGACAGGCCAGGCGGGGTGGCTCACGCCTGTCATCACAGCAATTTGGGAGGCCGAGGCGGGCGGATCACGAGGTCGAGAGAGAGACCATCCTGGCCAACTAACATGGCAAAAACCCGTCTCTACTAAAAATATAAAAATCAGCTGAGAATAGTGGCACACGCCTGTAGTCCTAGCTACTTGGGGAGGCTGAGGCAAGAGAATCGCTTGAACCTCGGAGGCAGAGGCTGCAGTGAGCCGAGATCGCGCCACTGCACTCCAGCCCAGGTGACAGGGCGAGACCCCATCTCAAAGAAAAAAAAAAAAAAAAAGAGGTAGGACAGCTCACATGTCAGGTCAACAAGACATAAAGAACTAGCAGCAGGGTGCAGTGGCTCATACCTGTAATCCCAGCACTTTGGGAGGCCAAGGCTGGCAGATCACGAGGTCAGGAGATCGAGACCATCCTGGCTAACACGGTGAAACCCCATCTCTACTAAAAATACAAAAAATTAGCCGGGTGTGGTGGCGGGCACCTGCAGTCCCAGCTACTCGGGAGGCTGAGGCGGGAGAATGGCGTGAACCTGGGAGGTGGAGCTTGCAGTGAGTAGAGATTGCGCCACTGCACTCCAGCCTGGGCGACAGAGTGAGATTCTGTCTCAAAAAAAAAAAAAAAAAAAAAAAACTGAAAATTACTAGGTTCACAACCCAGTTTAACCTTATCACCTCAAAACTGCTAAGACGATGGCTCCAGGTCCTCCTAAAAAGGGGCAGCTAGACTAGGGAGCCTGCTATAGACTTTTGGGTGCACATTACACTACTTTCCCCTCATCAGTTCATGACAGAAAATGTCACTCTTTTAAACATAAACCAAATAGTGCATCCCAAACCCCAAAATAAATGACTTTTGTTTTACCATTATTTTGAAGTAAATATGCTGAGAAACTGAGTACCTACCTATAAACACACTATGCAAGAAAATTAAAAATTTGCACTATGCAAGAAAATTAGAAATAAAAAATTAAAAACCTAAATATAGGCAATGAGCAAGTTAAATATAAGTAATAGATGTGGAGATTTGGCCATTTTGTTTTAGTCTAAGTAATGGAGTGTATATCTAATTTGCAGGTGGAAAAAACTCGAAAGTTATACAACAGAAGATTTACAACAACCAGAAAGTTCAAAGACTGTAGCTACTTGTAACACTCTTGTCCACTAGGAAAGAATCCACAGTGGCACTGACTTTCTTCCTTCTATGGACATCAAAAAGTACTGAAAAATGTTATGAATAGTTAGAAGAAATTCCAGAGACAGCCCAAGAGGCTGAACCAGTCCCACTAGATGGCACCATCACAGGGAAGTCACTCTGCTCTCTTATTTGGAGCTGCAGGGGCTGAAATCTTTTTTGATCTTTGAAAAACAAAGCTGTCATCAACACAGTGATATTCTATTTTTGTTTTGTTTTGTTTTTTGAGACGGAGCCTTGCTCTGTCGCCCAGGCTCACTGCAAGCCCCGCCTCCCGGGCTCAGCCATTCTCCTGCCTCAGCCTCCCGGGTAGCTGGGACTACAGGCACCCGCCACCAAGCCCGGCTAATTTTTTGTATTTTTTAGTAGAGATGGGGTTTCACCGTGTTAGCCAGGATGGTCTCGATCTCCTGACCTCGTGATCTGCCTGCCTTAGCCTCCCAAAGTGCTGGGATTACAGGCGTGAGCCACCGTGCCTGGCCCTAACACGGTGATGTTCTCATTGGGAAATAATGATCCGAAATGAGAATTCAAAGCCAGGGAGAGGAGTTTTTCCAAAAGCACCCTTTTCTCCCAGTATCATCATCCCCTCCACACCCCCATTTCAAATCAATAGTCTGAGAGGTACAATGTCTTACTGGTAAAAGAAGTAATACAAAGGCTGGGCGCGATGGCTCACACCTATAATCCCAGCACTTCGGGAGGCCGAGGTGGGTGGATCACCTGAGGTCAGGATTTCGAGACCAGCCTGGCCAACATGGTGAAACTCCATCTCTACTAAAAATACAAAAAATTAGCCGGGCGTGGTGGCACGTGCCTGTAATCCCAGCTACTGGGGAGGCTGAGGCACGAGAATTGCTTGAACCCAGGAGGCGGAGGTTGCAGTGAGCTGAGATCGCGCCATTGCACTCCAGCCTGGGCAACAAGAGTGAAACTCTGTCTCAAAAAAAAAAAAGTCATACAAAATGGAGATTTTCTTTTCCCGGCTCTGCAAACTACAGAATTAATTTTTTTCTTCAAGTTTCTTTGTTATGGAAAAAAAAATACTCTCCTGCTAGTCCTCAAATAACAAATTCATTGTAATCAATATACTTACCATGACTGGAAATATCAAAATAACATACGACTACTTAAGCCGGGCACAGTGGCTCACGCCTATAATCCCAGCACTTTGGGAGGCCGAGGCAGGCACATCACAAGGTCGGGAGTTCGAGATCAGCCTGGCCAATATGGTGAAACCCCATCTACTAAAAATACAAAAATTAGCTGGGCATGGTAGCAGGTGCCTGTAGTGCCAGCTACTCAGGAGGCTGAGACAGGAGAATCGCTTGAACCCGGGAGGCAGAGATTGCAGTGGGCCAAGATCGTGCTACTGCACTCCAGCCTGGTCGACAGAGCAAAACTCTGTCTCAAAAAAAAAAACACTAATGGAATAAAAACAACTGGAAATAAAGCTGGGTGCAGTGGCTAATGCCTGTAATCCCAACACTCTGGGAGGCAGAGGCAGGTGGATCATTTGAGGTCAGGAGTTCAAGACCAGCCTGGCCAACATGGTAAAACCCCATCTCTACTAAAAATACAAAAATTAACAGGGTGGTAGTGGCGCACGCCTGTAATCCCAGCTATCTATAGGCTGAGGCAGGAGAATCGCTTGAGACTGGGAGGTGGAGGTTGAGGTGAGCCGAGATCGTGCCACTGCACTCCAGCCTAGGCTAGAGAGTGAGACCTCTCAAAAACAAACAAAAAAACTGGAAATAGGTAAATTTCTTTTTCTGTACAGAGAACTTCTTTCTATGTTAAAGGTAGAATTTCCTATTAAACAGATAGGTTACTGTATTAAAGTTTTCTGATACCTTAGTTACATGACTTTAAGTTGGGTCTAGACAGCAACATGTTGAATGTCACTCATTCTTATCACTTATGCCCTACTCCATCAAAAGTATACTTGGATACAGCCATCACAAACCTAAAAACAGAACAACAACCCTAATCCAAAGATCAGTGAGCTTAAACTATGTAAAATTTGAATACAAACTTACTGACTTACGGGAGGCGGGGGTGGGGGGACCATTTAAACAGACAGATCTGGATATTAGCCTTATGCTCAATCTTCAAGTTAAAAAGACACATCAGAGGTCATTTATAGATCAATTTAGTATTCAAATATATTGCTCACTTCTACTTGAAGCTACTTCACCTAGATCAGAGAGTTTACATTTGTAAATGTAACTTCAATATACAACGTCCAGGGGCACAGCCACTCTAAAGTGCCACAAAAGTAAACTGTTTAAGTGGCCAAAGAAATTAAGAATATGTAACAAATCCTGTGTTCCCACAGCACCTTGTCACAGCTCTAATACAGATCTCATCACGGTGTCATCTCTCTCTCCCCATACTGCAGATGTGGAGGTACTGTGCTCAAGCATCAGCCCTAACACCTTGCACAATGCCTAGCATACAGCAGGTGCTCAATATTTGTTGGATAAACAAAAACTATCAAGCTGGTTGGGCGTGGTGGCTCATGCCTGTAATCCTAGCACTTCGGAAGGCCAAGACAGGCAGATCACTTGAGGTCAGGAGTTCGAGACCCAGCCTGGCCAACATGGAGAAACCCTGTCTCTACTAAAAATAAAAAAATTAGCCAGGCATGGTGGTGCATGCCTGTAATCCCAGCTACTCAGGATGCTGAGGCAAGAGAATCACTTGAACCCAGGAGACAGAGGTTGCAGTGAGCCGAGATCATGCCACTGCACTCCAGCATGGGTGACAGAGCAAGGCTGTCTCAAAAAAAAAAAAAA
This sequence comes from Homo sapiens, assembly GCF_000001405.40. Classification (NCBI taxonomy): domain Eukaryota; kingdom Metazoa; phylum Chordata; class Mammalia; order Primates; family Hominidae; genus Homo; species Homo sapiens. The sequence goes on along the minus strand of NC_000007.14, from coordinate 128,534,974 downwards.
AAACCCTATCAAGCTATCCCAGCTCACCAAAACTTGAGACCCATCAAAGAAGCCCATTTTTCCAACTAAACCTCAACACGCCTTCTCCTTGGAGAAGCTACTAACTAAAGCACGAGATCAACACCCAGGTTGCCACGAGACAGGATTTCTTGAAAAGCACAGAAAGAAATGTTGTATCACATTGGTTAAAGATCAAAAGCTCAGCCAGGCACAGTGGCTCCTGCCTGTGATCCCAGCACTTTGGGAGGCCGAGGCAGGTGGATCACCTGAGGTCAGGAGTTCGAGACCAGCCTGGCCAATATGGTGAAACCCCGTCTCTACTAAAAATACAAAAATCAGCTGGGCGTGGTGGCGGGTGCCTGTAATCCCAGCTACTCAGGAGGCTGAGGCAGGAGAATCATCACCTGAACCCAGGAGGTGGAGGCTGCAGTGAGCCGAGATCACACCATTGCACTCCAGTCTGGGTGACAAGAGGAAAACTCTGTCTCAAAAAAAAAAAATCAGTAGCTCATACGTTCACACATCTCAAGCCCAAGTAATATGATCTTGGACCAATGAAGCTTTTAAATAAAATATTGTAAATATACTTTGCGTACTGTATTAAAATCAAACATTTTACACATTGTAAAATCATCCTATGAGAGCAGAGGGGTGGACCAGTGGGTACATAAACATGCATAGGAAACTATAACATTGCTTAACTTCATACGTGCCCGTTAATGGGGGCCTAATCTAATATTATGCTCCTGCAACAAAAATAAAAACTAAGAAGGAAGAATGAGAAGAGCAACAAACCAGTCTGGGGGTGCAACCAGTAAAGAGTCTGCAGACTTCACAGAGGCCAATGTTTCAATACTCTGCCATGTAACTACCTCCAAAGTCCAATGTAACAAAGCTATGCAATGCCTTGTAATTTTCTTTCTGAATGGCTGACAAATTTTAACAAAATATGGCATAGAATCTATACACACATCCTGTTAGTTTCCTTGTAACAAGAACCATGAGAAACCTCTCCTATACCAGAAAGGAAGAAGAAACATATATTCCCATAAAGAACATTTTCAAACCTACCATGTTAAATGACTACTGGAATGACTAGTAGGATCTAAAAGTTCACTGAAATTAAGACCCAAATCTTCTCCCCTGCAAACTATCAGAAGGGCCTACCCAAACTGCTCTTAATCATTTAAAAAATGTGTTTAAACTAGAATATGAATAGTGTTCATTATCATCATTTTACTCACCTTACTAACACCTACTCCAGTAAACCTGGCCTCTAATAATTCCTGCCGTCGTGGGTCCAGGCTATGCAATTCTTCCATTATTTCTACTGAAAAAGAAAGAGTAGGCTGTGAAACCATAAACACTAAAATGTGAGGAGGCAATTTTTTGTAGAACAAAACTCACAGTAATTATTTCACTGAAAGATCAAATGCAGGTAAATCTCAAGTAAATATAGCATACAAGTGGTAGACTACTATGTGCTGCATCAAACGGTAATATATTGAAAAGTTTTAAAGCAGCTCAGAAGTCCTCTTCTATGACAGCCACTTATTCTTCCCTGGTTCTGATTTGATTTTAACAGCAAAAATAAACCCCTCAAACCCTTCACATAATCTCTGCAAAAGTTGAGCACAGGGGAAAGAACAAAACAAGAACTAGCCTGCAAAAAGAAAATTCCTTCTATCAGCCTTCGAATCTAGCTAAGTATCTTCAGATATTTATTTCCCACTCAGGAAGTAGTCCTTAAACTAAAAATATGAATCATTGACAATAATTTCAAAAGAATACAGGATGAATCAGAAGCTACAAATAACTGCAAAAACACTATTATACAGCTCCTTTCTCTGAAGAGCTCACAGTAGCTCATGAGAAAAGGAATTATTTTAAATTTAATAGAGAGCCCATGGTAAAACCATCCACCTCCATTCACTCAGTAAATTAATATAGCTCCATAACAATCCCTTTAAAAAATCTTTTTCTGACCACTCCCTGCATTAGTTTTCTCTTGATTCTGGACATCTGCTTTTAGCCCTTCTTCCAAGCAGGGAGGGGCAGGAGGACACCATTTTTAAACTTCCATAACCAATTAATGCACAGGCTACTTTCAGCAAATATGTCCATCCTTTGCAAGAGACCAACTCCTACACAACCCATTGAAAACCTCTCTTTAATATTAACAGTGGAAAAGAAACATATTACATAGAACCCCTTCGAACACATTATTAAGTAGTTGGAATGGTTGGTGTGATTTTAAAGTTACTGAAAAGATGAATCGAACATTCTCCTCTGCAATCCAACAACTCTACAATCTCCAGTAACAACCCCCTTACAAGTCCTTCAATTTCATTTCCCTTCCTGGATTGAGAGCCTGGGGCAAAGGGGAATGAAAAGGTGACAAATTAAAGTTTCACCCACACATGCAAGTGCAGGTTAGAGAGAGAATTAGGAAATTCTCAGAAAGGCTGAAATGCATCTTCGCAAAAAGAAAAAGAAGGAAAAAAAGAGACTGGGAGAATGAGTTTCCCCCGTGGCCTTCCTTGCGTCTTGCCCTGCCCTAATCGAGGTCGAGGTCGAGGTCGGAATGGCAGAGGCTGCAGTCTCTCCCAAACCCCAAGGTCTCTCGCAACACTTACCAAACCTCCATTCCCCAGGCCCGGCCCGGAAAATGACGCCCCGGCGGTTATTCCGTTTAATGCCAACTCATGTTAAGGAAATAGCCACTCCGTCTAATTCCAGCGGGGCCTTGGACTGGGATCCTCCCTGCAGCCCACAGCCAGGAAGCAGGAGCGATGGGGCCTGGTCCCGGCGCCCCTCGCCGGCTCCAAACTTTCCCCAACTCCAGGCCCACCTGTCACGGAGGAAGGGAGGGCCGGCTCTCGGGGGCGCCCGGGAGGCTGCCGAGGCCTCCAGCTGCCGAGGGGCCCCAGTCTCTCCTCCGGCCGCCGGCCCCAATCCCAGGCCGGGGCCGCCTGGGCCTCCCCCATCTTCTGCCCGGCCCCTCAGCGACCCGCAGCCCTCAGGGAGCCCCTCCCGCCTCAGCGCCCAGGAGCTGCGGTCCGGAGCCGACACCGAGCTGGGCCCAGGTCGCAGGCTCCTCAGGCCAAAAGGGTCCCCGGGACGGTTAATGCCCCAGGCCTGGCGCCCTCCCCCGCCCGGGGCTCAGCCTCTCACCTGCCGCCGCCGCCGCTCCACGCTCCTCCCGGGAGGGGCCCCGACCCGACCCGGCTGCGGGCCGCTCCGCTCTCCCCCTGGGCAGGCCCGGGGCGGAGCCGGGGCCTCCCCTGAGCGCCGCAACCCCCCGCCCGGGCAGCAGCCGCCTGCGCCGGGCTCCACGAAAGGGCGGGCGGGGGAGGGGGGGCACGAAGGCCGCAGATCCCCGGGCTCGCGTACAGAGCCAGGCGCCCGACGCGGGCGCGGGACCGGCCTCCTGGCGCTGGACAAAGGCCAAGGGAGGCGCAGAAGGGCCCAGGCCGGGCCAGGAGGTGGGGGCCCGCTCGGCTGGGGGCCACTCGGGTGCGGCGCGGAGGGCCGGGGTGGGTCGGAACCGCTGGTGCCCAGGACCCGCCTCCGGCCCCTTAATCCGGATCGGTTCGGTCCGGATTAGTACTGATCGGTGTAAACACACTAGTGAAACCGCGTGTTTCCTCGCGAGATTTGCACGGCTGGGAGGCAGGGGGGGTCCTGGGGGGTGGGGGAAGCGCCGACAGTGGGAGAGGAGGGGGAGGGGACGAGGAAAGTGCGGAGTGGGGGGGGTCCCCGCTGCCCCGGCGCCCCGCCTCCTCCAATCAGCGGCCGCGCTGCCGGGCAGGGGTTAACCAGGGCACCCCGCGCCGGCTGAGGAGGCCGCACCTCGCCGGACGGCTGAGGGCGGGCGACGGGCGGCGCCGGCGGACGGGCCGCGACGCCAGGGAAGGTCAGGCGGCCCGGGGCGTCCTGCGACTGCCCGAGGTCGGAGGCCCGGAGGACCCGCCGCCGCCTTTGTGTCACCAGCCCCCGCCCCGCTGGACTGGCCCGGGCCGGGGCGGTTGGGCCGGCGCTGAAGAGGCTTGGCCGCCCGGGTCCACCCGTTCCCGGATCCGCCTCGGCGGCCCCCGCGCCCGCCCAACCCCTGCCCAACCCCTCGGCTCCGCGAGTTTGGGTGAGAAGTGCGGCGGCTTTTCCCAGGGATGGAGTTTAGAGGACGCTAATCCTATGTGCGAGCGGCGGACCCCGCCCGGATTTCCCGGAGGCGCCCGGTTAGTGAGGCGACGGCGCCCACCCGCGTTCGCGGGCTCCCGACCGCCACTCCCCGGAGCCGCCGGCCCGCCCCAGCCCCGCGCGTCGCCCCGGAGGGCGGGCTGCACTCCCTCCACGCACCTGGCTGGCAGAGCGTCTCCAGGGACAAAAGGTGCCCTGGCATCAAAGCCGAGCCCCCGCCCCCGCCGGGATGCTGCCCTCCGGAAGGAGGGGCGCTGCCCCCAAGGTACTCTCCCCGGGCACCCAGGGGGAGGTTCCATTTCAACCTCCGATGAAAAACACGGCCCTCCCGGGTATTTAGGAGGGTCTGAGGGTAAGTGCCAAGATGGAGAAAACACACCGGCCCCTCACAGAGTATCTCCTGAGGAATGACAACTATCTAGTGGGCAAGGAGGGCTTCCTGCATAGCAGAGGGCACCCCCTCTGATCCCCCAACGCCAAGGGAAAAAAATCACTCTTCACCGGCTCCCCTGAGCCAGGACAGGCTCCAGTGCAGCCACCCACCTTATAATTTTCCGCGGATGCTGCCTTGATCAGATAGATCTGAAGATGACTTTAAGGACTACAAGCAAATCTCAAGGGAAAAATTCAGACCTTGAACAACAGCCTTGAACTTTTTCAGGGTTAGACAAGTACTCCCCTGTGGAGTTTCTGCCCTTATTTCTTCGTTCTTCTGTTAATTCTTCCATATTTTAACAGAACACAGACCTGCCGAAACGACACAGGATGGCGCTTTGCTTTTTGTTAGTTCTCCAACCTTCCAAACCCTTGGGGCACATGCAAGCACTGTGGAAAAACTCCATTAAACCAAGAGTCATCTTACTCCAGATCCCAGACTGCTTGGGAAGTTGGACATGCATATTCCCAAAGAGAACAGTGTTGGAAGGAGACAGGAGAGCAGCTCGGGGGTTGGGGGTAGAGGGTAGGAAAAGAGGGCAAGATGGATGACTACCACTCGAGGCCAGCCTCCACTGCCTGTTAGGGCAGTAGAACCTAAGAGCCGGTCCAAGGCAACACAAAAGACAGTGAGGCTAGGTCTTTCATTGCAGCCAACGATCAAGAAAGCAACTCCATCAAATGACACTGTCTTTTAAAAAAAAATTTTTTTTTTGAGACAGAGTCTCGCTCTGTCGCCCAGGCTGGAGTGCAGTGGTGCGATCTTGGCTCACTGCAACCTCTGCCACCCGGGTTCAAGCAGTTCTCCCTGCCTCAGCCTCCTGAGTAGCTGAGATTACAGGCACGCGCTACCAGGCCCGGCTAATTTTTTTTTTTTTTGGTGGAGTCGAGGTTTTGCCATGTTGGCCACGTTGGTCTCGAATTCCTGACCTCAGGTGATCCGCCCATCTCAGCCTCCCAAAGTGCTGGGATTTCAAGCGTTAGCCACCGCGCCCGACCAAATGACACTGTCTTAAATGATTTAATGTCTTAAATCGGGAAAGGAGAGTAAGAGAAAGCACTCAACGGAGTCAGAGGTGTCTTGCAGCCTAGCTCTTTCCACAGACAAGCTACATGGGCCTATCATCTAACCTTTTCAAGCTTCTCCGACTGCTTCTGTGTTGGAGGGATTTGGGCTAGAGGATCTTTTTATTTTTTTTTATTTTATTTTGGTGACGGAGTCTCTCACTGTCGCCCGGGCTGAAGTGCAGTGGCGCAATCTCAGCTCACTGCAACCTCTTTCTCCTGGGTTCACGCGATTCTCCTGCCTCAGCCTCCCAACTAGCTGGGATTACAGGCGCACACCACCACACCTGGCCTATTTTTTGTATTTTTAGTAGAGACGGGGTTTCACTATGTTGGCCAGACTGGTCTCGAACTCCTGACCTCGTGATCTGCCCACCTCGGCCTCCCAAAGTGCTGTGATTACAGGCATGAGCCACCGCACCTGGCCTGTGATCCCATTTTTCAAAGTAATTAGGCTGGGTGCAGTAGCTCACGCCTGTAATCCCAGCACTCTGGGAGGCCAAAGCGGGTGGATCACTTGAGGCCAGCAGTTCGAGACCAGCCTGGCCAACATGGTGAAACCCTGTGTCTACTAAAAATACAAAAATTAGCTCGGCATAGTGGCACGTACCTGTACTTTCAGCTACTTGGGAGGTTGAGGCAGGAGAATTCGCTTGAACCCGGGAGGCAGAGGTTGCAGTGAGCCAAGATGGCACCACTGCACTCCATTCTGGGTGACAGAGTGAGACCCTGTCTCAAAAATAATGATAATAAAATAAAAGTAATTATTTAAGGCTGGGAGCGGTGGCTCATGCCTGTAATCACAGCACTTTGGGAGGCCGAGGTGGGTGGATCATGAGGTCAGGAGGTCGAGACCATCCTGTCTAACACAGTGAAACCCTGTCTCTACTAAAAATACAAAAAAATTAGCCAGGCATGGTGGCGGGCGCCTGTAGTCCCAGCTACTCGGGAGGCTGAGGCAGGAGAATCGCTTGAACCCAGAAGGCGGAGGTTGCAGTAAGCCGAGATCACACCACTGCACTCCAGCCTGGGTGACAGAGCGAGACTCCGTCTCAAAAAAAATTATTATTATTATTTAAAATAATCATTGGGCCTGGTGCGGTGGCTCACACCTGTAATCCTAGCACTTTGGGAGGCCAAGGCGGGCGGATCACGAGGTCAGGAGATTGAGATCCAACCTGGCCAACATGGTGAAACCCCATCTCTACTAAAAATATTTTTTTAATTAGCTGGGCGTGGCGGCGGGCACCTGTAATCCCAGCTAGTCGGGAGACTGAGGCAGGAGAATCGCTTGAACCTGGGAGTCGAAGGTTTCAGTGAGCCGAGGTCGTGCCACTGCAATCCACCTGGCCAACAGAGCAAGACTCTGTCTCTAAAATAATAATTTTTATTATTGTTATTCTTGACAGGCCAGTGTAGAACAGGTGGGGCATCTATGGTGACAGAACTGGGTTCCAATTCTGTCCCTTCACCTGTCCCAGGTTCCTCATCTGAAAACTGTGACCCAGTAAACCTAATTTCATGAGCAGCTTTCATTAAAATTGAAATAATGGTGGAAAATGCCTTGTAACCGTGCTTGATGTAGAGTAGTTACTTAGCCAGTTATTTCCTCTCTTCTTCCCATTCCTAACAAAATGGAAAAACGTTTGGTTGCTAGGAAAGAGCCTTAAGGGGATTTTGTTGTTGTTTGACTCTATCGCCCAGGATGGAGTGCAATGGCACAATCTCTGCTCAGTGCAACCTCCGCCATAGACAGGAGCCAAGCGTAGTGGTGTGCACCTGTCGGTAGTTCCAGCCTCTTAGGAGGCTGAGGCAGGAGGATTGCTTGAGGCCAGGAGTTTGAGTCTAGCTTGGGCAATATATTGAAACCTTGTCTCTTAAAAAAAAAAAAAAAAAAGAGGCCAGGTGTGGTGGCTCACACCTGTAATCCCAGCACATTGGGAGGCCGAGGCAGTGGATCACTTGACACCAGGAGTTCGAGACCAGCCTGGGCAACATGCAAACTTATGTCTTTTAGGCCGGGCGCGGTGGCTCACACCTGTAATACCAGCACTTTGGTAGGCCGAGGCGGGCAGATCACGAGGTCAGGAGATCGAGACCATCCTGGCTAAGATGAAACCCAGTCTCTACTAAAAATAAAAAAAAATTAGCCGGGTGTGGTGGCTGGCGCCTGTAGTCCCGGCTACTTGGGAGGCTGAGGCAGGAGAATGGCATGAACCCAGGAGGTGGAGTTTGCAGTAAGCCAAGACAGCACCACTGCACTCCAGCCCAGGCAACAGAGCTAGACGCCCTCTCAAAAAAAAAAAAAAATTACATCTTTAAAAAAAAATGCAGGGCCGGGTGCGGTGGCTCATGCCTGTAATCCCAGCACTTTGGGAGGCCGAGGCGGGCGAATCACGAGGTCAGGAGATCGAGAGCATCCTGGCTAACACAGTGAAACCCTGTCTCTAGTAAAAATACAAAAAATTAGCCAGGCGTGGCAGCATGCGTCTGTAGTCCCAGCTGCTGGGGAGGCTGAGGCAGGAGAATGGCGTGAACCCAGGAGGCAGAGCTTGCAGTGAGCCAAGGTCCCGCCACTGCACTCCAGCCTGGGCGACAGAGCGAGACTCGGTCTCAAAAAATAATAATTAACAAAAAAAAAAAAATACAAAAGTTAGTTGCACATGTTGCCATATGCTCGTGGTCCCAGCTACTCAGCAGGCTGAGGTTGGGAGATCACTTGAGCCCAGAAGGTGGAGGTTGCAGTGAGCTGAGAACCCACCATTGTACTCCAGCCTGCGTGTCAGTGAGATTCTGTCTCAAAAAAAAAAAGAAAAGAAAAAAAATCTAGGCTATGCTCCCTAGTATGGGAAATCTAGTCTAGTCATTTGACAGAATCAGGCTTTGCAGGCCATATTGTCTCTGTCGTAACTACCAACTCTGCTGGTTAAAAGGGAAGTAGCCACAAACAATATCTGAATGATGGATTATGGCTGTGTTCCAATAAAACTTTATTTGCAAAAACAGGTTGCTGGTTGCAAGGTAGTTTTCCAACCTCTACGTGATTCTCAGACTTTAGGTTGCATCATAATCACCTGGAGGGCTTGTTCAAACGCAGATTGCTGGGCCCCACCCCCAGAATTTTTGATTCAGCCAGTCTGGGGTGGGGCTGATATTTGTATTTCTACCAACTTTCCAGGTGAGGCTGGCTGATGATGGTCTGGAAACCACTTTGAAAACCTCTGAAGCTTTTCTCAACTCCCTTCTTTGTGTACCTAAAACACTTTATCCCTACTGTAGATGTAGCATTAGCGTGTTATATTAGTTTAGTGATTGGTGTGTGGGTCTCTGGGAGCCTTTCTGAATCACCTCCCTAGCCTAGTGCCTGACAATAGCAATTTGCTCCCCATTCATTGACTGAACTGAAACCGGAGGGTCATGGTCATCATCATTGTTCCAAGCCATAGATAGAAGATGAAGTCACCACCCCTGATCTCAGAGCTCATCAGAGTAGAGCTTGGGCTGGACCCTGCCCTTCTCTGCAGTGAGCAGTTTTCTCTGTGGAGCTCTGTGCAACCTGGAGCCAGTCCTGCCTGGGGTAAGAGGAAAAAAGACTCCTTCCCCCCAGCCCCACAGCCTGTACGCAAACACACCGGGAGACATGACCTGCTCAGAGGAGACCTGGAACCAAGGGAATAAAATGAGAGTGGGTTGGGGGCTGCTGTTAGTTATTTTTTGCTTGTAAGTGGACAATTTGTGGTGTGGTGTGTGAATTTGGGGTCTTAAATCCAGATAGCTGTCTGCTGTGGACAGCCACTGTTTCTGAATTACAGGGCATTTCAAGTGACCTGTGGTCAGGATGTTTTCTCAGATCAGGCAAAATCAATTGGTCCTGATAATAACCAGGGGAGTTGTACTTTCCCTATCTTGAGTAGAAGAAGCCACAGCTCCCGGGTCCACCTGCCTCTCCTGACTGCCCACCTCCTGGCTTTTTCTTTTTCTTTTTTTTTTTTTTTTTTTTGAGACGGGGTCTTGCTCCATTGCCTAGGCTGGAGTGCAGTGGTGCGATCTCAGCTCACTGCAACCTGGGCCTCCTGGGTTCAAGAGATTCTCCTGCTTCAGCCTAGCGAGGAGCTGGGATTACAGACGCGCGCCACCTCGCCCAGCTAATTTTTTTATATTTTTAGTAGAGACGGGGTTTCACCGTGTTAGCCAGGATGCTCTCGATCTCCCGACCTCGTGATCTGCCCGCCTCGGCCTCCCAAAGTGCTGGGATTACAGGTGTGAGCCACCGTGCCCGGCCGGCCTCCTGGCTTTTATCCTGGGGGCACTGCAAGTAGAGCCAGGCATGTGGCCCATGCATCCTTCCCAGCCTCTTTCCTGCTGGGCATGGAGGAGGAGGCACTGCCAGGAGCTCCCCACAGACAGGCGCTGCTTACTGATGGGTTGGCTGCAAACTGTAGGCATAACAGTTACCTTCCTCTTCACAACCCCCAGGCCTGACGAGGCTTACATGGGAATTGCTTTGATTTGTGAAGTCTTAAGACTATACTGCTGGGCGAGGTGGCTCAAGCCGGTAATCCCAGCACTTTGGGAGGCTGAGGCGGGCGGATCACGAGGTCAGGAGATCAAGACCATCCTGGCTAACACAGTGAAACCCTGTCTCTACTAAAAACACAAAAAATTAGCCGGACATGGTGGGGGGGTGCCTGTAGTCCCAGCTACTTGGGAGGCTGAGGCAGGAGAATGGCACGAACCCGGGAGGCAGAACTTGCAGTGAGCCGAAATCACACCACTGCACTCTGCACTCCAGCCTGGGTGACAGAGCGAGACTCTGTCTTAAAAAAAAAAAAAAAAAGACTATACTACCTAATCTTCCATGCCTCGCTCTTTCCACATTAATAGACAAAACCAGGAAAAAGGACTGCTTCCCCTCCAGCTCTTGATTGGGCTCCATAAGAACTGCCAAAAGGCCAGGCAGCATTTGCTACTCTTCTGGGGTTCACTTCTGAAAGGTGCGACCCTGCAACCTAGAGCACAGGGAAGTTAGGACAGCAAAGGAGCTGGGCTGAGCCGACGCTGGCTTAGAACTCTTTCTGATACTCCCTGTTCCCGCCAGCTCGTTAGCCCAGCCTGCCAATCAGTTTTGCATCAATAAACTTTATGTTCTGAGGTTGGCCAGATGAATGAGAGGAGAGCAGCTAAAGACTGATCTCTGACCTTGGCACGTAAACAGCCTCCAGATTGGACTTGACAGTTAATAAAGGAAAGGCCCTGCAATTCTCTGATGTCTTTTTGCCTTAATTAGATTGAGCATTCAAAGGCTATGGGGAAATCTTCCATTTGAAGAGAAAGACCTCACAAGACAGGAAGTCACTTCACTCATTCATTCTTTCAGACTGTCAATCATTCGGTCTACAGTCACTGGCATTTGTCAAATGCCCTATTACCTGTGCTCAGCACTATGCTAACTGCTTTTGAGTCGAGTGGCTGCAAGAATTCCAGAAGTCCATGCCGTGCTCTTCTGGAAGACTGCACAGCCAGGCAGTCAAGAGCACAAGCTTCAGTTTAACATATCTGAGCTCAAATCCTGATTCTGCCATGTGACTTTTGGCAAGTTATTTAAACTCTCTGCCTTTAGTTTCCTCTTGGAGTAAATAATACCAACTTCCACAGGTTGTCATCAAGGCCAAGTGAGACCATCTGTGTAAAGTGGGCAGCACAGAGCCTGGTCGTTGGCAGGTGCCTGGTGGCCATGAACATGACAGTGCCTGCACTTGGCTGAACTGTCAGGCCGAAAAGCCTCCCTTCCTTCCTTCTCTCACCTCCCCCATTCCTGGCATGCTGCCAGTCACTGGGGAGCTGATGATGACTCACAATCCCTGCCCTCAGTGATATTATAAATCTATTGTTGGCCGAGCACTGTGGCACAATGCTTGTAATCCCAGCACTTTTGGGAGGCTGAGGCAGAAGGATCACTTGAGGCCAGAAGTTTGAGACCAGCTTGGGCAACATACCAGGATACCATCTCTACCGAAAATTTAAAAATTAGCCAGGCATGGTGGTGTGCACCTGTAGTCCTAGCTACTTGGGAGTTGGGAGGCTAAGGCAGAAGGATCGTTTGAGCCTCGCAGTTCAGGGTTACGGCCTGGGTGAAAGAGGGAGACCCTGTCCCTTTAAAAATAAAAATAAACTATTGGCCAGGCATGGTGGCTCACGGCTGTAATACCAGGACTTTGGGAGGCTGAGGCAGGTGGATCACTTGAGGCCTGGAGTTCAAGACCAGCCTGGCCAACAGAGTGAAACCCTGTCTCTACTAATAATACAAAAAATTAGCCAGGCGTGGTGGCACATGCCTATAATCCCAGCTACTCAGGAGGCTGAGGCAGGAGAATTGCTTGAACCTGGGAGGCAGAGGTCGCAGTGAGCCGAGATCGCACTGCTGTACTCCAGCATGGACCACAGTGGGAGACTCCCTCTCAAACGCGCGCGTGCACACACACACACACACACACACACACACACACCAAAAAACAGGACGGCCGGGCACAGTGGCTCCTGCCTGTAATCCCAGCACTTTGGGAGGCCGAGGTGGGCAGATCATGAGGTCAGGAGTTTGAGACCAGCCTGGCCAATATGGTGAAACCCTGACTCTACTAAAAATACAAAAATTAGCCGGGCATCATGGCACGTGCCAATAGTCCCAGCTACTTGGGAGGCTGAGGCAGAAAAATCGCTTGAACCTGGGAGGTGGGAGGTTGCAGTGAGCGGAGATCATGCCACTGCACTCCAGCCTGGGCAATAGAGTGAGACTCAGTCTCAAAAAAAAAAAAAAGAAAGAAAGAAAGAAATCCCTGAACCCTTTCACGCTATATTTGCTCGCACGTACAGGTTTCTTCAGTGTTAACCGTGTTCATCACATTGATGTGCTGTTTCACTTCATGCTGTGTGATGTGAACTTCAGCCAGAGCAAGGAGAAAGCAGTATATACTCTGAAAAGGACCCCGCACCGTGTTCACCCAAACAGCACCTTCTCATGCATCTCAGAGCCTTCGGCCTCTGGGCCACCTCCTCACTCCCCCAGGGGTGCTCTGAAGCCTTAAGCAGTCTGCTTTTCTTTTTCTTTTCTTTCTTTCTTTTTTTTTTTTTAACAGAGTCTCGCTCTTGTTGCCCAGGCTGGAGTGCAGTGGTGTGATCTTGGCTCACTGCAACCTCTGCCTCCCGGGTTCAAGCGATTCTCCTGCCTCAGCCTCCCGAGTAGCTGGGATTACAAGCATGCGCCACCACACCTGGCTAATTTTGTATTTTTAGTAGAAATGGGGTTTCTCCATGTTGGTCAGGCTGGTCTCCAACTCCCGACCTCAGGTGATCCACCTGCGTCAGCCTCCCAAAGTGTTGGGATTACAGGTGTGAGCCACCACACCTGCCTCTCTTTTTTTTCTTTTTCTTTTCTTTTCTTTTTTTTTTTTTTTTTGAGAAGGATTCTCGCTCTGTCACCCAGACTGGAGTGCAGTGGCGAGATCTGGGCTCACTGCAACCTCCACCTCCCGGGTTCAAGCGATTTTCCTGCCTCAGCCCTCTGAGTAGCTGAGACTACAGATGCCCACCACCACGCCCACCTAATTTTTTGTATTTTTAGTAAAGACGGGGTTTCACCGTGTTAGCCAGGATGGTCTCACTCTCCTAACCTCATGATGTGCCTGCCTCGGCCTCCCAAAGTGCTGGGATTATAGGCGTGAGCCACCGTGCCTGGCCAGCAGTCTGCCTTTCATGTGCCTCTTTGTATTTACTGGTTTTTTTGTTTTTGTTTTTTGGTTTTTTTTTTTTTTGGAGACAGAGTCTCACTCTGTCACTCAGGATGCTGGAGTGCAGTGGCACAATCTTGGCTCACTGCAGTCTCTGCCTCCTGGGTTCAAGCAATTCTCCTGCCTTGGCCTCCTGAGTAGCTGGGACTACAGGCACATGCCACCACACCCGGCTAATTTTTGTATTTTTATTAGATACAGGGTTTCGCCATATTGGTCATGCTGGTCTCGAACTCCTGACCTCAGGTGATCTGCCCACCTCAACCTCCCCAAGTGCTGGGATTACAGGCATGAGCCACCATGCCTGGCCTTCTTGTATTTATTGGTTTTAATCCTCAATTAGAAACCTCTTAGGCAATTGTCTAGTTTTTACTAGCTATCCCTAATTCTTTTTTTTTTAAGTGAAATCAAGTTTATTAAGTAAGTAAAGGAATAAAAGAATGGCTACTCCGCCGGGTGCAGTGGCTCACGCCGGTAATCCCAGCACTTTGGGAGGCCGAGGCGGGGGGATCACAAGGTCAGGAGTTCAAGACCAGCCTGGCCAAGATGGTGAAACCTCGTCTCTACTAAAAATACAAAAATTAGCCAGACGTGGTGGTGGCGCATGCCTGTAATCCCAGCTACATGGGAGGCTGAGGCAGAGAATCGCTTGAACCTGGGAGGCGGAGGTTGCAGTGAGCCGAGATCGCGCTATTGCACTCCAGCCTGGGTGACAAGAGCAAAACTCCGTCTCAAAAAAAAAAAAAAAAAAAAGGAATGGCTACTCCATAGGCAGAGCAGCCGCTATCCTTAATTCTTAAATAACCCAGGCTCGTGCTATTCAGTATATGCTTCCCATCACTTCCTAAAGGGACCATGAGCGTACAGGAGTTCAGAGTCCTTTGAGATCTCCTAGTTCAATCTCCTCATGTTACAGATGGAGAAACTGAGTCTTGGAGGAGTGGGGACTTAATCTTTCCTCTTGTCTCCCTCCCTAAACCAATAAACAATCTTCACCCAGATCGTCAACACAAACCCACAAACCTCACCAGTTTTTCCCTGCGGGAACCTCCCCATTGCTCTCCTGGCCCTTCTTAGCAGAGAGCCTCATATCCTACGTAGAGGAGAGAGGGGAAGTCATCAGACAGGAACGCCCTCCACCAAGTTGCCCGTCTGACGTGTGGCCGCCCACACTGGGCAAAGGCCACCCTCCAGGCCCTCACTCTGGGCCATCCACCTGCTCCTCCAGGATTCTGCCCTGCACCTCTCACCCCTGGCTGACATAATCACCTTCTCCTCCTCCCTTCCATGAGCATTGCTTTCAACACACACTCATGCTCCCATTCTTCAAAAAATTTATCAATTGTATGAAACTTTCTCCTGACCCTGCTAGTCACCCTTCCTTTTTGTAATTAAAATTAAAAAAAATTTTTTTTTGAGGCGGAGTCTCACTGTCGCCCAGGCTGGAGTGCAGTGGCGCGATCTGCCTCCCGGGTTCATGCCACTCCTGCCTCAGCCTCCCGAGTAGCTGGGACTACAGGCGCCCGCCACCATGCCCAGCTAATTTTTTGTATTTTTAGTAGAGACGGGGTTTCACTGTGTTAGGATGGTCTCAATCTCCTGACCTCGTGATCTGCCTGCCTCGGCCTCTCAAACTGCTGGGATTACAGGCGTGAGCCACGGCGCCTGGCCTCTTTTTTTTTTTTTTTTTTTTTTGAGACAGATTCTCGCTCTGTTGCCGAGGCTGGAGTGCAATGGTGCGATCCTGGCTCACCGCAACCTCCACCTCCTGGGTTCAAGCTATTCTCCTGCCTCAGCCTCCCAAGTAGCTGGGATTACAGGCGCCCACCACCACGCCCGGCTAATTTTTGTATTTTTATTAGAGACAGGGTTTCACCATGCTGGCCAGGCTGGTCTTGAACTCCCGACCTCAGGCGATCCGCCCGCCTCGGCCTCCCAAAGTGCTGGGATTACAGGCGTGAGCCATCGTGCCCAGCAAGCCCAGCTAATTTTTGTATTTTTAGTAGAGATGGGGTTTCACCATGTTGGCCAGGCTGGTCTTGAACTCTTGACCTCAAGTGATCTGCCGGCCTCAACCTTCCAAAGTGCTGGGATGACAGGCGTGAGCCACCGCACCCAACTTAGTTTTTTTTTTGGAGACAGGGTCTCACTCTGTCATCTAGGCTGGAGTGCAATGGCAAGATCTAGCTCACTGCAACTTCTGCCTCCTGTGTTCAAGCTACTCTCCTGCCTCAGCCTCCGGAGTAGCTGGGATTACAGGCAGGCGCCCGCAACCACACCCGGCTAATTTATTTATTTATTTATTTATTTAAATTTTTTTGAGACAGAGTTTTGCTCTTGTTGCCCAGGCTGGAGTGCAATGGCGAATCTCAGCTCACTGCAACCTCTGCCTCCTGGGTTTCAAGTGATTCTCCTGCCTCAGCCTCCCACGTAGCTGGGATTACAGGCATGCACCACCACAGCCGGTTAATTTTTTGTATTTTTAGTAGAGACGGGGTTTCACCATGTCAGCCAGGCTGGTCTTGAACTCCTGACCTCAGGTGATCCACCCGCCTCGGCCTCCCAAAGTGCTGGGATTACAGGAGTGAGCCACTGCACCCAACTTTGTAAGGAAATAATTAAGCTGAAAGAGGAGTTGAAAAAAATATTAAAATATTCTTCACCTAGATTTTTCCAATTAACATTTTGCCATCTGTGCTTTCTCTGTGTATGGGGTATGTGTTTAATTTTTTGTTATTGTTGGAGCACTGGAAAGTTTCAAGTATCTACTCTTTCTGCCCTAAATACTACAATGTGTGTCTCCTACAGAGTTTCTCTCTTACCACACACCATTATCACACACAACAAATTCAGAGCTGCTATATTATCTAATACAGCCCAGGCGTGGTGGCTCATGCCTGTAATCCCAGCACTTTAGGAGGCTGAGGCTGGAGAATCACTTAAGCCCAGGAAGTTGAGGCTGCAGTGAGCTCCCTACACTCCATCCTGCATGCCAGAGTGAGACCTTGTCTCAACAAAAAAAAGTATTATTTAATATGGAGTCCATTTTCCAATTTCCCCATTTGCCCCCAAAATGTCCTATATAGCTATTTTTTTTAAGTATAAATATTTTTTATTTCAGAGATAGGGTCTTGCTCTGTCACCCAGGCTGGAATGCAGTGGTGCAATTGTAGCTCACCCACAGCCTCAATGTCCTGGGCTCAAGCCATCCTCCTGCCTTGGCCTCCAAGTAGCTGGGACTATACCCGGCTCATAGCTGTTTTTTAGTCCAGAGCCCAGGCAGGGATGAGGCCAGGCACTGGTGATCGTGCTGTTTTACTCTTCCTTCCCATCCCAATTTGACTTCCAGATTCCTCCCTCTACCCAGAGGGCTCTGGTCAAAGTCAGGAGCCACTTGCATTACCAGATCTAAAGGATCCTTCTCGCTGGGCACGGTGGCTCACGCCTGTAATGCCAGCATTTTGGGAGGGCGGATCACCTGAGGTCAGGAGTTAGAGACCAGCCTGGCCAACATGGCGAAACCCCATCTCTACTAAAAATGCAAAAATTAACTGGGCATGGTGGGCACCTGTAATCCCAGCTATTCAGGAGGCTGAGGTAGGAGAATCACTTGAATCTGGGAGGTAGAGGTTGCAGTGGGCTGAGATGGCACCACTGTACTCCAGTCTGGCCAACAAGAGCGAAACTCCGTCTCAAAAAAAAAAAAGAAAGGATCCTTCTCTGTCTTGTCTTCATTCTGTCTTCAGCAGGGACTCAACAAGGGCAGTTTCCTCTGAGTTTCTGGGTCACAGCACATTCCCATTTCCTCCCTAACTCAGAGATTTGCGGCTTCAAACACGAGTTGTGCACTGATGCCACCCACACTTCCAGCATCCTGGGGCGTTCAGCCCTGACCTGTCTCCCCCACTCCAGACTGACATGTTCCACTGCCTTCTCCACACTTCCATGTGTGTGTGCCATGGGTACCTCAATGGGTCTGAACAGAAGTCTTCATGTCTTCCCTTCTTCCCCAGCTCAGGAGCAGAACAGCACGACCATCACCACCATTTATCCTTGATAACAGCCTTTCCTTTCCCCCTCCAGCCCCTCCACCCACAGGTCCTCTTGGACCCACCTGTCTCCATCCTCACCTACATCGCTGAAGCCTGGCCCCCCATTCAGAGTCCAGAAGTATCCAGGGCTCTCTATGCGGCTCTCAGCTCTTGCCCCACCTCCACAGTACACTTTCCACAGTGCTAATCTCTTTAAAATGTAAATCAGATCTGGTCACTCCCTCCCTTAAAACCCTTTAATAGCTGCTCATTGGAGTAAAAAAAAAACCTCAGCTCCCTCTGGCTTATAAGGCCCAGGTGGTCCAACCCTGCCTCTATCTCATCTCCAGCCTCCTCCACCATTCTTGCCGGGGACCCTCCGGGGCCTGCCTTTAGCTGCTTGAATGCGGATATTTTCCTGCCTGGGGGCTTTTATACTTGCTTTCACCCTGGCCTGCCATGCTGTCACCCTGGAATCTCCCGTGGCTGCCTCCCCTCCACCTTCCTGGCCTCCCAGAACTCCCCAGCACTCACTGTCCAGATCCTGCTGCCTGGAGCAGGCTGTCCTCTCCATCTGGGGTCCGGGGCAGGGGCTCTGACTGGCTCAGCTCAGGACACATGCATGGCCTTCTCCATTCACCTGGACAAGGGCGGGGGTAAGGGATCATCATTTGGTCTAGATTCATTCTCATAATATTCATTATTATTATATGCATATTTTCTTCTGATTTTAAAATTAATTAAAACAGTTTCCAGGGCCCCTAACAGTGTCATAGGCCTGATGGAGCAGTGGAACCTGCCTGAGGGTAAAGCTGAAGTTCCTCGGAAACCAGACGGCCTTACAGCCTCTTCACTGCTCTTTGAGATGGAAGACAAGAAATGCAGATGAGTGCTTTCTGCTACAAATCTCATCTCTCCAGGCTGAAGTTGCCAAGGAACATGCCATCACTGTAACTGCTAAAAACACAACGTGTAATGAAATGCATCTTCTACAAATGAATCTGTGAATACAGAATAGCCTACAGAGGTTGACAATTTGATTCTGTTCTCTGCAAGGCATTAGAATTTCACTATGGGGGCCACTAGGACTGCTGTATTAATTAATTCTTTGTATTCTATTGTTTTTTGTTGTTGTTGTTGTTTCAGACGGAGTCTCACTTTGTCGCCCAGGCTGGAGTGCAGTGACTCTATCTCAGCTCACTGCAACCTCCCAGGTTCAGGCGATTCTCCAGCTTCAGCATCCCGAATAGCTGAGACTGTAGGCGCTCACCACCACACCCAGCTAATTTTTGTGGTTTTTTTTTTTTGTTTTTGAGAGATGGAGTCTTGCTCTGTAGCCCTGGCTGGAGTGCAGTGGCACATGATCTCGGTTCACTGCGACCTCTACCCCCCGGGTTCAAGCAATTCTCCTGCCTCAGCCTCCTGAGTAGCCAGGATTACAGATGTGTCCACCACGCCCAGTTAATTTTTTGTATTTTTGGTAGAGACGGGATTTCACCATGTTGGCCAGGCTGGTCTCTAACTCTTGACCTCAAGTGATCTACCCACTTCAGCCTCCCAAAGTGCTGGGATTACAGGCGTGAGCCACCGTGCCTGGCCCTATTCTATTGTTTATACTCAATTTTCAGTCGAGGAAAACAGCATGAGAGAACTTTAACTTGGCCAATACGGCAGAGAGAACAAATGGTGACTCCAGGGTTTCAACCCCAGCCCCTGCTCTTAGGGGTTGCTTTGGAGAGATTGGGTTTGAGGTGCCTGGGGCCCTGCTAGGGGAGAGATATGTCTAGGAGTTATTTAGATAAACTAATTCAAGGCTCAAGAGAGATCCTTAGCTCGTGATATAGATTTGGGAATTATTCTTGTATTGGTAGCACTTAGAGATTCAAAGTCGATCAATTCATTCACTCTTGTCATCTTGTGGGGCCTAGAATTGTTTCCACACGTCTAAACCATCTTGATGCAGCCTCCTCCCCATGACAGGCTTGCTCCCCGGCTGGCTCTTTTGTCCTGCTCTTTCCCAGGAATGCGTGGCTTAGAAGTAACACTTAGGGAGCCCCTCCTTTCTGCAGGTTTTGAGGTCCATCTCCAGCCCTGCTGTTACCTGCTGGATCGGGTGGCAAAACTTGTCTTTCCTCCCTTTGGTGCCTGACACTCTCAGGGACATGGCTTGTAGGTGACATTCTTCTAAGCACTTGCCCACCCAATAAATATTTACTGAGCACCTTCATGTGCCAGGCAAATCTAGGTACTGAGGATACAACTGTGAGCAAAATTGACCAGGTCCCCAGACCCAAGGGGCAAGCCCATAGTCTAGAGGCAGGAGGTAGAAGTGAGCAGGAACAAGGATGCTGCTAAGGAGTCATAAGAAATGCAAAGCCAGGCACAGTGGCTCACGCCTGTAATCCCAGCACTTTCGGAGGCTGAGGCGGGTGGATCACCTGAGGTCAGGAGTTCAAGACCAGCCTGACCAACATAGTGAAACCCCATCTCTACTAAAAATACAAAAATTAATCGGGCGTGGTGGCAGGCGCCTGTGATCCCGGCTACTTGGGAGGCTGAGGCAGGAGAATCTTGAACCTGGGAGGCGGTTGCAGTGAGTCGAGATTGTGCCATTGCACTCCAGCCTGGGCAACAAAAGTGAAACTCCGTCTTAAGGAAGAAAGGAAGAAAGGAAGAGAAGGAGGGAGGGAGGGGAGGAAGGAAGGGAAAAGAGGAAGGAAGGAAGGAAAAGAAAGAGAGAGGAGAAAGAAAGAAAGAGAAAGAAAGAGAGGGAGAGAGACAATCAAGAAAGAAAGACAAACCCTGGGACGCCGTGGGACCGAGGGGTCGTGGGAGGTCAGGGAAGGACTGTTAGACGGGCAAGTCCTGAGGGTATAGGATTGGCATGTCTAGAAGGCCTGCTTGAAGGTGCCCAGGGGTCGAGGAGAGTGGAGGAGGGGCTTAGAAAGGGAGGAGGATCAGAAGGGAGGGGAATGTCCCCCCGGCATACTAAAAATGCAAACATTAGCCAAACATGGTGGCGGGTGCCTGTAATCCCAGCTACTCGGGAGGCTTAGGTAGGAGAATCGCTTGAACCCAGGAGGAGGAGGTTGCAGTGAACCAAGATTGTGCAGTGATCTTCGTCTAAAAAAAAAAAAAAAGTCAAGAGAGCTGGGCACAGTGGCTTACGGCTCACACCTATAATCCCAGCACTTTGGGAGGCTGAGGCGGGAGGATCACTAGAGCCCAGGACTTTGAGATCAGCCTGAGCAACATGGTGAGACTGCAGTCTCTCGTCTCTTAAAAAAATTAGACAGGCATGGTGGCACACACCTGTAATTCCAGTTACTTGGGAGGCTCAGGCGGGGAGGATTGCTTGAGCCCAGAAGTTCAAAATTAAAATTGCAGTGACCTATGACTGTGCCACTGCACCTCCAGTCTGGGTAACAGAGCCAGACTCTGTCAAAAGAAAGAAAGAAAAGAAAGAAAAGAAAAGAAAGAAGGAAGGAAGGAAGGAAAAAAAAAAGGCAAGAGCAGACAGCTCTTTGTGAAGGAGAGGAAAAAGGAGGAAGAAGGAGCAAGAAAGAGGCAGCAGCAGGACTGGCTGGGTTCTTTGCGAGACCCAATGTAAAATGAAAATGCTGGGCCCCTCATTAAAAATAATTATTAATAATTCTGGGCTGGGTGTGGTGGCTCACACCTGTAATCCCAGCACTTTGGGTGGCCGAGGTGGGTGGAATCACTTGAGGTCAGGAGTTCAAGACCAGCCTGGCCAACATGGTGAAACCCCATCTGTACTAAAAATGCAAAAATTAGGCTGGGTGTGGTAGCTCACGCCTGTAATCCCAGCACTTTGGGAGGCCAAGGTGGGTGGATCATGAGGTCAGGAGTTCGAGACCAGCCTGACCAACATGGTGAAACCCCATCTCTACTAAAAATACAAAAATTAGCCAGGCATGGTGGCGGGCACCTGTAATCCCAGCTATTCTGGAGGCTGAGGCAGGAGAACCACTTGAACCCAGGAGGCAGAGGTTGCAGTGAGCCAAGATTCTGCCACTGCACTCCAGCCTGGGCGACAAAACAAGACCCTGTCTCAAAACAAAACAAAACAAAACAAAAATACAAAAATTAGCCAGGCGTGGTGGCGGGCACCTGTAGTCTCAGCTACTCGGGAAGCTGAGGCAGAAGAATTGCTTGAACCCAGGAGGCAGAGGTTGCAGTGAGCCCAGATTGCACCACTGCGCTCCAGTCTGGGTGACAGAGCGACACTCTGTCTGAAAAAAAAAAAAAAAAAGAAAAAGAAAGAAAAAGAAAAGAAGAAAATGAATTCTTGCCGGGCTAATCCCAGCTACTCGGGAGGCTGAGGCAGGAGAATCGCTTGAACCCAGGAGGCAGATGTTGCAGTGAGCCGAGATCGTGCTACTGCACTCCAGCCTGGGCAACAGAGTGAGACTGGAGACTCTGTCTCAAAAACAAACCAACCAACCGGAAAAAAAAAAAAGGAAAAGAAAGAAGCAAGGAGAAGGAATCTCAAGACAGCAATGGAAGGGCATGAAATCAAGCGTGGGCCCTTCTGTAACTCAACAGGCCACAGCCTGTGAAGCCTCCACGGAACCCCTTGAACATGAGGGATTAGAATCCCAGCACCCCCTGGCCAGGTGCGGTGGCTCACGCCTGTAATCCCAGCACTTTGGGAGGCTGAGGTGGGCGGATCACGAGGTCAGGAGATCGAGACCATCCTGGCTAACATGGTGAAACCCCTTCTCTACTAAAAATTCAAAAAATTAGCCGGGCGTGGTAGCTGTAGTTCCAGCTACTGGTTGGGGGTTGGGAGGCTGAGGCACAAGAATGGCGTGAACCCGGGAGGCGGAGCTTGCAGTAAGCCGAGATCACGCCATTGCACTCCAGTCTGGGTGACAGAGCAAGACTCCATCTCAAAAAAAAAAAAAAAAAAAAAAAATCCAAGCTCCCCCTTCACCCCAGGAGGATCTGGCCCATAGGGTAAAGATGGGGGATTTCAGTTTTCTATTTTGATGAAAATGTTGCAATTTGGACAGTGTTGCAACACAAACACAAATTATGTAGACGATTGCATGGACTGTTGATAGTTCTTTTACTAAAACTTCTGATAGCTGCAGGGTTTTCTTCTCCTGGGGAGGGTTGGGGTGAGGGTGCCTTCTCCTCCAGCCCGCAGCAGGGTTAACATCTGAGCAGGTGTAACATTTTCCTGGACTGGCATCATTGGTTGGAGCCAAAAATGTCTAAACCCATATATTATGTCAGATATCATTTCTATCAAACTACCTCTCCCTAATCTAAGGCTAATTACCTCACGATTAACACTGGTAGTCTGACCTTGGTAAACCATTTACCCTCCCTGAACTTCGGATTTCCTCATCTGTAAAATGGAGATAATTACGCTTATATTCACAGAGGCAATGTGAGGATTAAATATATGAAAAGCTATTTAAAGAGTCTTAAGGTCTGGACAAACGCCAGCTCGTGTTAGTGCAAACCTGCTCAGCAGTTGCTTCGTTGGTGCGATGGGGCATCTCGGAACGGGACGGCTTGACAGAAACCTCCCTTGGTGCCATCCAATCTCTGGGCTCAGTTGTATTCTGAACAATCAACTTCTGATCTAAATTCAGTTTCTCAAGTAGCTTCCCTTCCTGGGGAGATCCCCTCAGCTTGTCAGTTACGTTTCAGATTACAGATCAATAATCTTGCTTTAGGAGCACGATTAGTGGCGTGGGGAAAAAGAAGAGCAAAATAATCTTGCTGTATAATCCAGACCCTTGTGAGCGGGGCTGACCTCACAGCTTTAACAGTTCCTAAATGAACTGAGAAGAATCCAGACCCTGCACACGAGGGTTGATTGGAAGCCGGCAATCATTCTCACTCATTTCTCCGCACCTAATGCACTTGGGTAGTACTAGGGCTGAGTGTGGTGGCTCAGGCCTGTAATCCAAGCACTTTGGGAGGCCAAGGCAGGAGGATCACTTGAGGCCAGGGGTTTGAGACCAGCATGGCCAGCATGGCCAAACCCTGTCTCTACAAAAAATACAAAAAAATTAGCCAAGTGTGGTAGCGCATGCCTGTAATCCCAGCTACTAGGGAGGCTGAGGCACGAGAATTGCTTGAACCCAGGAGGTTGAGGCTGCAGTGAGCTGAGATTGCACCACTGCACTCCAGCCTGGGTGACAGAGCGAGACTCTGTCTGAAAAAAAAAAAATGTGCTTGAGGCAGATACATTCATTACGAGAGTGAGCAATGGTACCAAGCTTAAGATTCATGATGCAGCGTTCCCCACACTGGGTGGGTGGAGAATCCACCATGAGCCTCAGGCCTTTGCACTGGCTGTTCCTTCCACAGAGAAGATGTTCCATGAGAGATGTGACCTTCTCCAGGAGGCCTTCCTTGTCCCCACTCCCAACCTCAGAGTGTGCCTTTTTCCTGATCCCTGCCACCTCTCTATTTTCCCTAGCTTGCTTGGTTCTTCCTGGCACATGCCCACGTGTTAGAGGATTTATGGGTTTATTGTTGGAATCTCCTCGTCCAAATTTGACAGCTCCAGGAAAGGTGTGACTGATGTGTTCACTCCTGTTTCCAGACCTAGTGCTCCAAGTCTTTGGCCCCAAAGGCATCCAACTGGAACTTAAGGTATTGTTTTGTTTTCATTGTATTGATCTTTAAAATACATTTTTATTTTTATTTATTTATTTATTTTTAAATAGAGATGGGGCCTCACTATCTTGCCCAGGCTTGCCTCAAACTCCTCAAATGGTTTAAGCCACCCTGGGTTCAAGTGATCCTCACACCTCGGCCCCCCAAAGCGTTAAGATTACAGGGGTTAGCCACTGCACATGGCCCAAAAATACTTTTAGTTCATGGCAACTAATACTTACTTTACCTTTATAGCAGTGATTTTTAAAAAATCCCTTAAAAATAAATTTAAGGCCGGGCACAGTGGCTCACGCTTGTAATCCCAGCACTTCGGGAGGCTGAGGTGGGCAGATCACAAGATCAAGAGATTGAGACCATCCTGGCCAACATGGTGAAACCCTGTCTCTACTAAAAATACAAAAAATTAGCCGGGCGTGGTGGCACGCACCTGTAGTCCCAGCTACTCTAGAGGCTGAGGCAGGAGAATCACTTGAACTGGGAGGCGGAGGTTGCAGTGAGCCGAGATCATGCTACTGCACTCCAGCCTGGGTGACAAGAGCAAGACTCCATCTCAAAAAATAATAATAAAAACAAATAAATAAACACATTTAAGTAAAAATATAAATTTTTTTAAAAAAATTCTGTTTTTTGAGATAGAGTCCCACTCTGTCACTCAGGCTGGAGTGCAGTGGCACAATCTCACTGCAACCTCCGCCTCCTGGGTTCAAGTGATTCTCCTGCCTCAGCCTCCTGAGTAGCTGGGACTACAGGCAAGCACCACCACCCCCAGCTGATTTTTGTATATTTTTTTTTTTTAGTAGAGATGGGGTTTCACTGTGTTGGCCAGGCTGGTCTGGCCTCAGGTGATATGCCTGCTTTGGCCTCCAAAGTGCTGGGATTACAGGTGTGAGCCACTGCGCCTGGCCAAAAATATAATGTAAAAGGATTCCATAATGGTCTACTCGGATATCAATATTTGGGAAGATGAAATAAACCAGCTGAAGTCTAGGAAATCATGCTCTTACGGATGCCTTTTTGGGGATTCTGCCTGCCATTGTGGGAACTGGCTGCCTAGACACACACACACGCACATGCTGCACACCCATTTTACAGAGACATCAAACCTCAGGAGCTTGGTTACAGCTGCCTCCCACAAGTGCACTAAGGAGCAGAGAAGTGGTCCTTAAAGAGGCTGCAGGAGTGAGGGCAACCGGGCAACCACACACCTCCCAGCGTGGGGTCCAGGAGGCGCCCTGTGCCCTTCTACTGTTGTTTTTTGTTTAAGCCACCTTGAGCTGTTGATAGTTGCAACCTTGTATGATTTTGTTTTTAAGTTAAATACAAACTGTGTATCCGGGGTGTCTGTGCAGTGGTAGGGGGCAGTGGGCAGGGTAGGAAGAAGCTATTCAGGCATTCAGTCCCCACTTACTGGGCACTGACCATGGGCCAGGGGCTTTGGTAGTCTGCTGTGTTTAGAATACAACGGTCCCCCAAGAAATTCACAATTTATTTATTTATTTATTTATTTGAGATGGAGTCTCACTCTTGTCACTCAGACTGGAACACAATGGCTTGATCTCGGCTCACTGTAACCTCCACCTTCCAGGTTGAAGCTGTTCTCCTGCCTCAGTCTCCCGAGTAGCTGGGATTACAGATGCGCGTCACTATGCCCAGCTAATTTTTGTATTTTCAGTAGAGATGGGGTTTCACCATGGTGTCCAGGCTGGTCTTGAACTCCTGACCTCAGGTGATCTGCCTGCTTTGGACCCCCAAAGTACTGGGATTACAGGTGTGACCCACCGTGCCTGGCCTTTTTTATTATTTTTTGAGGCAGAGTTTTGCTCTTGTCACTCAGGCTGGAGTGCAATGGCAGGATCTCAGCTCATTGTAACCTCCGCCTCCCGGGTTCAAGTGATTCTCTTGCCCCAGCTTCCCAAGTAGCTGGGATTACAGGCACTCACCATCACACCTGGCTAATTTTCAGTAGAGACAGGGTTTCACCATGTTGGCCAGGCTGGTCTCGAATTCCTGACCTCAAGGTATCCACCTGTCTTGGCCTCCAAAGGGATTACAGGCATGAGCCACCGCACCGTGTCAGAAACTCATAATTTAATGAGCTCGATTGAATGTCGGCCTTAATCGCCCACAAAAATTGAGGGGTAATCAGAAGCAAGGCTGAAGAGGGTGACAGGGGCTTGTCAGTAGCAGGGCTCTTCAGGGCCCTCGCCATTCTGCTCACCCTTGGAGGGTTTCTCAAGTGTGCCACTGCTGATAAATGTTCCTCCCTCCCTCCTTTCCTTCTTTTTTT
Organism: Homo sapiens; assembly: GCF_000001405.40. NCBI lineage: Eukaryota > Metazoa > Chordata > Mammalia > Primates > Hominidae > Homo > Homo sapiens. Next base: position 128,508,509 of record NC_000007.14, on the reverse strand, counting down.
TTTTCTTTCCTTCTTCCCTTTCTCTCTCTTTTTTTTTTGAAGGAGTCTCATTCTGTCACCCAGGCTGAAGTGCAGTGGCGTGATCTTGGCTCACTGAAACCTCAGCCTCCTGGGTTCAAGCGATTCTCCTGCCTCGGCTCCCCCAGTAGCTGGGATTACAGGCATGGGTCACCACACTCGGCTACTTTTCTTTTTCTTTCTTACCTTTCCTTCGTTCTCTCTCCCTCTCTCCTTCCTTCTTTCCTTTCTATCTCTCTCTCTTTTCTTTTCTTTTTTGAGACAGAGTCTTGCTGTGTCACCCAGCAGTGGTGTGATCACAGCTCACTGAAGCCTTGAACTTCTGGGCTCAAGCGATCCTCTCACCTCAGCCACCTGAGTAGCTAGGACTACACACAGGCACCACCACGCCTGGCTAATTTTTTATTTTTTTGTATGAACAGGATGCTGCTATGTTACCCAGGCTGGTGTTGAACTCCTGGACTCAAGCGATCCTCCCATCTTGGCCTCCCAAAGTGCTGGGATTACAGGTGTGAGCCATCACACCTGGCTATAACATTAAATTTTAATGGCAAAATCCAAATTCAGAGAATGGAAGTAGAGAATGAATGAATGAAGGCAGTGTGAGGCTCATCTGTGGGTAAAGATGCCAAGCTTGAGGCTGGAGTCAAGGCTACGGTGTCTCAGGGTCCCCAGTGGGGTATTAAATCGGACTGTGGTGATTTGTCCTGAAACCTGGTCATGGAGTGTGTTTCACTGGCTACAGAGACAATGTCCAACCTTGAGCCAAGACACTTATTTAAATAAAATGAAGCAGTCATGATGCAATGTTTCAGTGTTTTCACCTGGGAAATTCACCATGAGCACTTCTTCTACCTCTTAACCAGGGTTCCCAAATCACAACCTGTAGACCAAATTAGGAAGCACGCACAAATCTGCAATGCATCAACGCAGCCAGGCTCTGAAAATAGCAGCTGCAGCCACAAACCAAAGAACAGGCCTTTGTGAACAGACTGAAAGAAACTGCTTGTCCTGAGCTCATCTTTTAAGCCACAGACAGAACTCCTTACTCCTACTAAAGTATGTATTTAAGCAAAGATAGGAATCAATTACATCCAAGTAGGATGGCTTAGCACGTTAGATTTTCCCTTTCTCACTAAGTTTCCAAGGCCTAATTTTCCAACCAGAACCCAAGAGAATATGAACTTATATGAAAAGAAGTGGCCGACCCATTGTACATAGGTTTGATAGCATTAACAGAGGCCAGGCTCTACATGAATCCTGCAAGACCGGGAGATGAATCCCTTTCACAGTGCAAAACCCACTTTCAGGGTGATCGCTGCCTTCAGGAACATGGTTTCACTCCAATAGCTCCAGTGCATCTGTCTCAAACTGTCTCTCATTTTTCAAACAACATTGAATTTATCTCCTCACCCTAATTAACACTACTTAGGAAGGTAAATCAGTTTCAGAAACACTTCTCTGTTAGATTCACATTGAAACCACACAACTTCCTGAGCAGCTTCACACCTGGAGCCACCTTCCAGCCCCACATAGCACCTTTCTTTTTTTTTTTTTTTTTTTTTTGAGATGGAGTCTTGCTCTGTCACCCAGGCTGGAGGGCAATCTCTGCTCACTGCAACCTCCGCCTCCCGGGTTCAAGCAATTCTTCTACCTCAGCCTCCCCAGTAGCTGGGATTACAGGCTCCCACCACCATGCCTGGCTAAATTTTTTTTATTTTTAGTAGAGATGGGTTCTGCCATGTTGGCCAGGCTGGTCTCAAACTCCTGACCTCAGGTGATCCGCCTGCCACAGCCTCCCAAAGTGCTGGGATTACAAGCGTGAGCCACCACGCCCGACCCACCATTCTTGCATTAAGCATATTAAGAGATACCATTCAGAGCCAGACTGATAGTTGAGACAGTATTTATTTTTTAAGTGGCACTGAGGTCATATACTTTAATCCCTCCCAACACATGTAACAGTCCTCTGCCCATCATTAGCGATTCTGAGGATGAAACGTTATGCAAAGTCCCTTACAGAGTCAAATTTGGCCTGAGAGATAAAAAGTCGAGCTTAGCAGATGGCAGGGAATAAAAGGGAGCAGGGGCAGGAGAAGGCTCGTCTTTTTAATCTAAGCCAAAGCCCAAACCAGGTGCCAGAAAGATAAAATAAAAACTGTGCCTATAGTTTTGCAATGCTTTAGGGATGCTGAAGGACAGTCTTTAGAGAATCATTTAAATTAATGTATCTATTCTTCATTTCAAAAGATAAATGAAATACCATCCCAGTGATTCAGTTTTTTCCAGTTTTAAGTAAATACGGTAATGGAAAAGATGGGAGCTCTCTTCCTCCCTTCATTCTTTGCTCCCACCTCTGAAAACCCATTAAGTGGGGCCAGTCACGGTGGCTCATCCCAGCACTTTGGGAGGCCGAGGTGGGAGGATTGCTTGAGCTCAGGAGCTCAAGACCAGCCTGGGACACATGGTGAAACCCTGTCTCTACAAAAAATACAAAAATTAGGCTTGGTGGCACATGCCTGTAGTCCCATCTACTTGGGAGGCTGGGGTGGGAGAATCACTTGAGCATGGGAGGTCGAGGCTGCAGTAAGCAGTAAGCAGTGATCGTGCTGCTGCACTCCAGCCTGGGTGAGCCTGTCTCAAAAACAACAACAAATAACCCCACAAGAAACTCAAATACCCATGGGTCCATATTGAGACAAGTAAATCAGATATGAGAAAGCTTTTCTGTACAAAATACCAACCAATCAGTGTAGAAGGAATGGAAGGATCAGAAACCACTATTTGGCAACTATCATAGTTATTCAGACAAAAAACAGCAATAGATACTGAAACTAGGGGGTAGAAGTTTGATGAGGAACAGGATATTTAGTCTCAAAGCACTTCCCTACAAAATACTTATTAACTTTACAGTGGCAGAACCTGGCAGACAACACAACTAAGTGACATCACCAATAATGGGGAAATTCATAATCATGTGTCGCCTGATACGATCCTATGGGAGGAACACAGCATCACCTCTGAATATTCCTGCCCAAAATGCAGAGCCTGAACCAAATCATGAAGAAACACCAACAAACCCAATTCGAGTTTACACAATAGCCTCTTACCTTAAAATGCAAAGGTGCAAAAGCAAGCCTAAACTGTAGACTGAAGGAGACTGAGACACAACTAATAAATTCAATACAATTATTTATTTTTTACATTTTTTTTGTTTTTTTATTTTGAGACGGAGTCTCACTGTTGCCCAGGCTGGAGTGCAATGGTGCGATCTCGGCTCACTGCAACCTCCGCCTCCCAGGTTCAAATGATTCTCTAGACTCAGCCTCCCAGATAGCTGGGATTACAGGCGCCCACCACCATGCCCAGCTAATTTTTTTTTTTTTTTTTTTTTGAGACGGAGTTTCACTCTTGTTGCCCAGGCTGGAGTGCAATGGCGCCATCTCGGCTCACTGCAACCTCTGCCTCCCAGATTCAAGTGATTCTCCTGCCTCAGCCTTCCAAGTAGATGGGGTTACAGGCATGCGCCATCACACCTGGCTATTTTGTATTTTTAGTAGAGACGGGGTTTCTCCATGTTGGTCAGGCTGGTCTCGAACTCCCGACCTCAGGTGATCCACCTGCCTCGGTCTCTCAAAGTGCTGGGATTACAGGTGTGAGCCACCATGCCTGGTCTGTATTGTTAGCAGAGATGGGGTTTCATTAAGTTGGCCAGGCTGGTCTCGAACTCCTGACCTCAAATGATCCGCCCACCTCGGCCTCCCAAAGTGCTGGGATTACAGGCGTGAGCCACTGCACCCGGCCTATGTTTAACATTTTTTAAAAAGTCAGGGTCTTGGCCGGGCGTGGTGGCTCACGCCTGTAATCCCAGCACTTTGGGAGGCTGAGGCGGGCAGATCACCTGAGGTCGGGAGTTCGAGATCAGCCTGACCAACATGGAGAAACCTTGTCTCTACTAAAAATACAAAAAATTTAGCTGGGAATGGTGCTGCATGCCTGTAATTCCAGCTACTTGGGAGGCTGAGGCAGGAGAATCACTTAAACTTGGGAGGTGGAGATTGCAGTGAGCCGAGATCGTGCCATTGTACTCCAGCCTGGGCAACAAGAGCGAAACTCCATCTCAAAAAAAAAAAAAAAAAAAGTCAGGGTCTTGCTACATTACCCAGCCTGGTCTTGAACTCCTGGCCTCAAGTCATCCTCCTGCCTTGGGCTCCCAAAATGCTAAGATTACAGGAGCCACTGTGCCCAGCCAACATAATCATGTTTTTGTGTGACAAAGCTATTATTGGGACTACTGGGTAAACATGAATGGTTAGTGGCTGGCATTAATGTTTCCATGTATTCCTACTTGTGATGGATATATTTGGTAATATATTTGCTGATGTTGGGACATCAGAAAAAAATGGACTATTCTTGCAGTATTCCTATATAAATTTATTATTCCAAAATTTAGAAAAACATCAACAAGGTGAAAGCTAGGCATCTTTGTTTTTGAGATGCAGTTTCGCTCTTGTCGCCCAGGCTGGAGTGCAATGGCACCATCTCAGCTCACTGCAACCTCCGCCTCCCAGGTTCAAGCAATTCTCCTACCTCAGCCTCCTGAGTAGCTGGGATTACAGGCGCCCACAACCATGCCGGGCTGATTTTTTATTTTTTAGTGGAGACGGGGTTTCACTATGTTAGCCGGGCTGGACTGGAACTCCTGACCTCAAGTGATCTGCCCACCTCAGCCTCCCAAAGTGCTGGGATTATAGGCGTGAGCCGCCATGCCTGGTCGAAAAGTCCTTACTTTCTAAAATTAAGGATATATCCTATAACTGCATGGATCAAGACAGAAATATGTAAAAATAATTGAAAAAATGCAGAACATAAAAAAAAAGGATCTAACAATTAGCTAGGCATGATGGTGCCCACCTGCAGTCCTAGCTACTCAGGAGGCTGAGGTGGAGCGATGGCTCAAGCCAGAAGTTCGAGGTGATAATGAGCTATCATTGCACCACTGAACTCCAGCCTGGGCAACAAAGTGAGAGCCCTGTCTCCTAAAAAAAAAAAAAAAAAGCATCTAACACTGACAGTGATCACATTCAGAAGTGAAGTGATGATGTGGTTAAAATTAAGAAGTTCTCTCAATTCCTTTTGTGTCAAACACTTAAGGGTGCAGTAAAAAAAGATAATTTTGCAAAAAGTGAAAATTCTTTTCTTTTATTTTTTTGAGACAGAGTCTTCCTCTGTTGCCCAGGCTGGAATGCAGTGACATGATCTCGGCTCACTGCAACCTCTGCCTCCCAGGTTCAAACGATTCTCCTGCCTTAGCCTCCCGAGTAGCTGGGACTACAGGGGACTACAGGCGCATGCCACCATGCCCAGCTATTTTTTTTGGTATTTTTAGTGGAGACGAGGTTTCACCGTGTTAGCCAGGATGGTCTCGATCTCCTGACCTCGTGATCCACCTGCCTCAGCCTCCCAAAGTGTTGGGATTACAGGCATGAGCTACCGCACCCAGCCAAATTCTTTTAATTCTTTAGACATAGGTTAGAGGGGGAACAGTGCTTAAAATTCCATGGAACTAAGATTTTTTTTATTTTTATTTTTTTGAGACAGAGTCTTGCTTTGTTGCCCAGGCTGGAGTACAGTGGCGCAATCTCAGCTCACTGCAACCTCTGCCTCCTGGGTTCAAGTGATTCTCCTGCCTCAGCCTCCCGAGTAGCTGGATTACAGGCACCCACCAACACACCCAGCTAATTTTTTTATCTTTAGTAGAGACGGGGTTTCACCATGTTGGCCACGCTGGTCTCGAACTCCTGACCTCAGGTGATCTGCCCGCCTCGGCCTCCCAAAGTGCTGGGATTACAGGTGTGAGCCACCGTGCCTGGCGGAACTAAGATTAAAGCAAAGACCACGATCAATTACTTAACAAGAACACCACATTTTGATGCTGTCTACAGGGTCATTTTTTTCTTGTCAGGAAAATATCTGATCTGATTCTTCCCAGCTTGCTTCCCCTACAACTTAATAAGCCCTTCACTAACCCCTGTATGTATTAACTGCAATTGCCTAGCCCGGCATTTACACTCTCAAAAGATTTAACGCAATTACAATCAAAAAACACTTGTCATATATAACACTTTTTCACATGGAAATAAATGGTGGTTTAAGGTTTACAATTCCTTTGAATAAAATTTCAGTTATTAGTTACAAAATGCTAAGACAGATTGAGGTCTCAAAGAAAGAACTTGAGAAAATTATGTTTTAAAGGACTTCACAAATATGAAGCATAATTGTTAGAATCCTGATACAAAGTAACTTTTCCTAGGTTTAAGGTTCAAGTCTGAATTCTTGAATTGTCCAGCATCAACGAGACCTCATTTATATTCTTTTTATTTTATCATTACTTTCAGATTCAGGGTCTCTCGCTATTTTGCCCAGGCTGGACTCCTGGGCTCAATGGATCCTCCCTGCCTCAGCCTCCTGAGTGGCTGGGATTACAGGCATGCACCATGCCCGGTGCTACAAATTTTTTTTTAAAAAAGCTCGGAAACACAACGGGCTTGCATCGTGTTGGCAGCAGGTGCCTCTTAGCTGGTGCTGGACAGAAGGGGCTTGCAGTATTTGCACTGAATCCAAACCCGGTACATTGTCAGTTGCTTCCCTCGGTTCACCTGCAGTCGGCGGTCCACCAGATTCTGAACTTTTTCCAGTCCAGCAGTGGTGAAAAGCGTGTCCAGTTCCTCTAGTGTGGAAAATAAAAGATGTTTATGCATTTTCCCCTCAAGAAAAGGCATTTTTATCTACTAAGTCCTTGTTAAATGGGGCTCTGGGAAGTTGCTGTCGTGTTTTTTACATGGCCATTTGGTTATAAATGCAGTGGTGGCTTGGTAACAACAAGTTCATGTTTAGGTAGGGGAAGCCACTGTGTATAGGCCGCGGTTTTTTCTTTTTTAAAAACCTTTGGTTTATATTTGGCCTTTAGGCTCTATGAACACCTTAAAATTTATGCAAAACTATCTACGTATGTCAAAGCAATTGCTTTAGGAAAGAGGTTTCATCATCTTAACCAAAGGCTCAAAGAAGGTGACCCTAAAAAGGGCCCAGGAACAGAAGGCCCAAGTGAAGGATGAAGCCTGTGGATGGGCCAGTTGCAGAGGAGAGCAGTTCCCGGCACCCCTAGAACCCAGGGTTCACCCTGACCCAGGCACACCAAAGCACAACCCCGTGTAGAGGGTGAGACAGGCTGGACTGGAGGTGAGCCTTGCAGAGTGGGCAGGCTTCCCATTTTGGACAGTGGCAGACAGGGAGAGCAGAGCAGGACTGAAGGCATGGACAAGCCAGGGCTGCCTGGGGGCCCGAGTGGCTGGCTGCCATGGGTAGCCTAGCCCAGGGTGGAAGAGGGTGTGAGCAGCGGGGAACCGAAGGAAACAGCCTGCCTAAAAGGCAGGAGGGGCCAGATAGTTTTCCTTCTGAATGTGCCTTGAAGACCATCTGGTACTGGGGACTTTTAGCGTAAAAAGATGAGTGTTTCATACCTTGTGTGAAGAAGTAAACTCTGGTTCCATCACCTCTCACATAGAAATTTCCAGATAGACACTGACCTGCAGAGTGATGTATTAAAAATCAGAGACACTTTAAAGTGTCTCTTTGACTTGCACTGCTAAGGAATGTTAACTGAGAGGCCAGTTTGTTGGGTGGAGAGCACTCCTGCCTCAGTGCTTCGGGAAGAGCAGCTCAACGGGAGTAAGTCACAATGTCAGAAAACATGAGGTTCCTAAGCACCCCACTCCAAAACTCTAGAATTATTTGATGAAAACAACTTGTTCACTCTCCCAACCCTATTAAACTAACAGCACAAACTTTTTATTTATTTATTTTTTTTGAGACAGAGTTTCGCTCTTGTTGCCTAGGCTGGGTGCAATGGCGTGACCTCAGATCACTGCAACCTCTGACTCCCAGGTTCAAGTGATTCTCCTGCCTCAGCCTCCCAAGTAGCTGGGATTACAGGTTCCCACCACCACGCCCAGCTAATTTTTTGTATTTTTAGTAGAGACAAGGTTTCACCATGTTGGCTAGGCTGGTCTCAAACTCCTGACCTCAGGTGATCCACCCGCCTTGGCCTCCCAAAGTGCTGGGATTAAAGGCATGAGCCACCGTGCCTGGCCTATTTTTTTTCTTTAATTAAGCAATATAGCTGAGTTTAAGGAAACTTGAGACAACCATTACCATTTTGGTGGTGACTGTCCTTTGCATGTCTCTTCACGTGTCTACAGAATCATAAATACAACTCAGATACTGTTTTGATCATGAACATGCTTTCCCTTCTGCTGCTAACCTCCCTGACCTCATCTCAGTTTACCAGCCTGGCACATACTTCTAGACCTTCCCGAATGCCCAAATCATCACACGTGTATACTTATTTCCCTGCAGATACTGGTATACGGGGATGGAGTTTAAAATACTCCCTTGCACATTGCTCTCCTCTCACTGAATACACAACAGAAATCCCTCCAAGTTCAGTGGTATGGGGTCCACCTCAGGTGACAAGCACGACATCTCCCTATCCAGAGGCATTCACTTTGTTTACAAAGTTTTGCTCCTGCATGTATTATGTGCTAGTTCTTGACTATATTCAAAAAAAGACTGGACTGAACAATAATTGGGTACTTAAAAAAAGGCTGTAAGCTGGGAGCAGTGGCTCACGCCTGTAATCCCAGGACTTTGGGAGGCCGAGGTGGGTGGATCACCTGAGGTCAGGAGTTTGAGACCAGCCTGACCAACATGGTGAAACCCTGTCTCTACTAAAAATACAAAAAAATTAGCCAGGCGTGGTGGCACATGCCTGTAGTCTCGGCTACTCGGGAGGCTGAGGCAGGAGAATTGCTTGAACCCAAGAGACAGACGTTGCAGTGAGCCGAGATCGTGCCATTGCGCTTCAGCCTGGGAGACAGAGCGAGACTCCGTCTCAAAAAAAAAAAAAAAAAAAGGCTGTTAATACTGGGCACAGTGGCTCACACCTGTAATTCCAGCATTTTGGGAGGCCAAGGTGGGTGGACCCAGGAGGCAGAGGTTGCAGTGAGCCGAGATCGCGCCATTGCGCTCCAGCCTGGGCAACAAGGGCAAAACTCCATCTGAAAAAAAAAAGGCTGTAACAATTTCTTTTTCTACCAGTAATGAAGGAATGCACCTCTTTCTTTGAATTGGCCAGCAATAAGAAGTACTAACTTGTTATTTTTATTTCCTTGAAGTGTTGTTTACTGGCCATTTAGATACGTTCTTCTGTGAACTGACTAAACACTCTTCACCTGCTTTTTGGGTGGGTCACTGATCCTTATCAGTTTCATGACAGCTCCCTGAAGAGCAAAGATATTAAGTCTTCATCTATTATATGCACTGAAAATATTCCTTCTTACTCCGTCATTTGCCTTTTACATTTTTAATGGCATCTTTTGTCATGCCACATTTAAAATTATTTATGTCTTTCAGATGTCTTTTTTTTTTTTTTTGAGACAGAGTTTCACTCTTGTTGCCCAGGCTGGAGTGCAATGGTGCGATCTCGGCTCACTGCAAGCTCCGCCTCCTGGGTTCAAGCGATTCTCCTGCCTCAGCCTCCCGAGTAGCTGGGATTACAGGCATGTGCCACCATGCCCGGCTAATTTGTATTTTTAGTAGAGACAGGGTTTCTCCATGTTGGTCGGGCTGGTCTCGAACTCTTGACCTCAGGTGATCTGCCCGACTCGGCCTCCCAAAGTGTTGGAATTACAGGCATGAGCCACTGCGCCCGGCTGTCTTTCAAATGTCTTTCTAATAAAAGCTCTTCTAAAGGTAGCTGTCTTGCTTAAAAAGACCTCAATATCTAGATTATACAAGCCTCTTCAGTTTTCTTAAAAAATATACTACTCTGTCACATATTAAATGGCTTTATATAAGGAGTTCTAATTCTAGAGTTTCTATTCTGATGGCAGCACCATTTTTTGATTATAGTGGCCACATACCTTTTTTTTTTTTAAAATTATACTTTAAGTTCTGGGGTACATGTGCAGAACATACAGGTTTGATACATATGTATACACGTGCCATGGAGGTTTGCTGCACCTATCTACCCGTCATCTACATTAGGTATTTCTGCTAATGCTCTCCCTCTCCCAGCCCCCCCACCTCCAGACAGGCCCCAGTGTGTGATGCCCCCCACCCCGCGTCCATGTGTTCTCATTGTTCAACTCCCACTTATGAGTGAGAAAATATGGTGTTTGGTTTTCTGTTCTTGTGTTAGTTTGCTGAGAATGATGATTTCCAGCTTCATCCATGTCCCTGCAAAGGACATGATCTCTAGTGGTTAGGATTCAGCACTCTCAAAATACCTTTTTTAAACCGAAGCTGAGCCATGTCATAGCGGCCGTAATCTCGCAGAAGTACCATCCCCCCAGGTTTCAGAAGCCTGCTCAGCCTGTTGATAGCCTTCTGCATCCTGTGGAGACACAGGGAATTATAGTTAATCAGGTCTCCTTAAAGACAGGGTTCTCTTTCCCTGTAGCATATCCCAAAAAGCCAGTGGACTTCCTCAACTGACACACCAAGTCTGAGATCTAAGCTCCTCTACTCTTCAGTTAGAACTGAAGGACGTTAGCTGCCTGCTCACAGCTGTGGCCTCAATCCACTGCCTTCAGCCCGAAGAGGCCCAAGGACAGCCTGCTTCTGCCATAAGAAAGTTCTCTGCTCCCGGCCAGGTGCGGTGGCTCATGCTTGTAATACCACCATTTTGGGAGGCTGAGGCAGGCGGATCAAATGAGGTCAGGAGTTTGAGACCAGTCTGGCCAAAACGGTGAAACCCCGTCTCTACTGAAAATACAAAAAGTAGCCAGGCGTGGTGGCATGCGTCTATAATCCCAGACACTCAGGAGGCTGAGGCAGGAGAACTTCTGGAACCTGGGAGGTGGAGGTTGCAGTGAGCCAAGATTGCACCACTGCCCTCCGGCCTGGGCGGCAGAGTAACTGAGACTCCATCTCCAAAGAACAAACAAACAAACAACAGTTCTCTGCTCTCCATCTGGATCACTTCCCCACTGTCCTAGATAGCCATCTTTGCCCTGTGCTCCTGTGGCTAAGCCGAATCCTGAGCATCCAGTGGGTTCTGCTAGGGGACTTATCTGCCTGCACCATTAGACCTGAGCTCTTTCAATGTAGGGGCTGTATCTTTCTGTTTGCTAAATGAAGACTTGTCCTCAAGAACTTACAAGTTACATGGCAATACAATCAGTATGCAAATGAGTATAACAGACAGAGGGTTTTACACTTAGGTCTGCGCTTTCCATATGCAGTGTTCTTCAAAAGTCTTGGTGCAGGTTGAAGCTTTCATAACTTGAGAAGTCTAAATGCTACAAACTTCACCAAAAAAAATTTCAAAGTCTATTTAAATTTTGCATAATGAATGTTTCCCACTTAAAAAAAACAAAAAACAGAAAAATGGCTAAGGCAGGCAGATCACCTGAGATCAGGAGTTCGAGACCAGCCAGACCAACATGGTGAAACCCTGTCTCTACTAAAAATACAAAAAAATTAGCCAGGGATGGTGGCAGGCACCTGTAATCCCAGCTACTTGGGATGCTGAGGCAGGAGAATCGCTTGAACCCGGGAGGCAGAGATTGCAGTAAGCCAAGACCATAGCACACACTCCAGCCTGGGCAACAAGAGCGAAACTCTGTCTCAGAAAACAAACAAACAAACAAACAAACAAACAAACAAAGAAAAAGCAGCTGGGGTCCTGCTATGCTATGTTGCCCAGGCTGGACTCTTGGGCTCAAGTGATCCTCCTGCCTCAGTCTCCTAGGTAGCTGGGACTAAAAGTGTGTGCCACTGTGGCTGACTTGAATTTTAAATTTTAATAATTTGTTTTAGTCCATGTCAATTTTAAAAAAGTTTGTAGCATTGAAACTTCTAAAGTCATAGGTTTTTTTTGAGACAGGGTCTCACTCTGTCACCCAGGCTGCAGTGCAGTGGTGTGATCATAGCTCACTTCACTGCAGCCTCAAACTCCTGGGCTTAAGCCATACTCCCGCCTCAGCCTTCTGAGTAGCTGGGACTACAAATATGCACCTGGCTAATTTTTTTATTTTTATTTTTAGTAGAGACAGGGGTCTTGCTTTGTTGCCCAAGCTGGTCTTGAGCTCCTGGCTTCAAGCACTCCTTCCACCTCAGCCTCCCAAAGTGGTGGGATTATAGGCGTGAGCCACTGTGCCTGGTCAACCTCTGCAATTATTAAAGTTTAAAACCATGGTAGGCCTTTTGGGTTATCCTGCATATGCCTTTATTTCACACTCATCCTCTAAGGTTGGATAACTTCAGTACCCTTCTAGAGGAAGTGTGGCCTTCTAGAGGAAGGTCAATCACTCAAAGCTCCTATCCTGTGCAGCCAGCAAGGGGTCCTTGGACTCTGGGAGATAAACCAGGATCTCAATCACTGGTCCCTGCAGTCTCTAGTCATGTAATCTGGCTTCCTAACACCAGCTTACCTTGACCTTTAACACTAATTTACTTAATCATCTTTGCAGGACTCTGATGATACAGAATGAGGAGATGTTTGAAGTCTCTAATCTCATGATTTCATGGGTATAGTTTACCCTAACATTTGCCAACCCCCAGGCTGTCCAGACTCACTGCACTCTGGCAGTGACAAGGGCTTCCATGGAATTAGTCCACGGTATCTGAATCTCTTAGCCACCATCTGACTCTGCTTCCTTGAGAAGATAGTTTTGGTCAGGTGCAGTGGCTCATGCCTGTAATCCCAGCACTTTGGGATGCCGAGGTGGGTGGATAACTTGAGGTCAGGAGCTCAAGATCAGCCTGGCCAACATGGTGAAACCCCATCTCTACTAAAAATACAAAAAATATTAGCCAGGTGTGGTGGTGCTTGTCTGAATCCCAGCTGCTCAGGAGGCTGAGGCAGGAGAATCGCTTTAACCTGGGAGGCAGAGCTTGCAGTGAGCCAAGATCTCACCACTGCACTCCAGCCTGGGCAACAGAGTGAGACTCCATCTCAGAAAAAAATAAAAAAAAGAGAGAAGGTAGTTTCATAGGACCACTGGTTACCTATGCATATGAAGTTTTAATGGTGTATTTTAGGATATAGCATTTGACTTTCCTTTAATCAGAATCTGATTTTATAGAATTCTGTATCACAGTTTTCTAAAACACTGTAAGCATCAGAGAACACCTTAGTTAAGGTTCAATGTAAATTTCGTGTTGCTAATAAGGTTGTTTTATTTAAAGCATTTAAAAGGCCAATAGGCTGGGCGTGGTGGCTCACGCCTGTAATCCCAGCACTTTGGGAGGCCGTGGCAGGCGGATCATGAGGTCAGGAGTTCGAGACCAGCCTGGCCAACATGGTGAAACACCATCTCCACTAAAAAAAAAAAAATACAAAAATTAGCCAGGCATGGTGGCATACACCTGTAATCCCAGCTGCTTGGGAGGCTGAGGCAGGAGAATTGGTTGAACCCGGGAGGTGGAGGTTGCAGTGAGCCAAGATCTCATCACTGCACCCCAGCCGGGGCAACAGAGCAAGACTCCGTCTTCAAAAAAAAGGCCAGCGTGGTGGCTCACACCTGTAATCCCAGCATTTTGCGAGGTTGAGGCAAGCAGATCACAAGGTGAGGAGTTAAGACCAGCCTGGCCAACATGGTGAAACCCCGTATCTACTAAAAATACAAAAATTAGCCAGGCATGGTGGCGGGTGCCTGTAATCCCAGCTACTCGGGAGGTTGAGGCAGGACAATTGTGTGAACTGGGGAGGCGGAGGTTGCAGTGAGCCTAGATCACGCCATTGTATTCCAGCCCGGGCAACAGGGCGAGACTCTGTCTCAAAAAAAAATAAAATAAAATGAAAGGCCAATAATGAGACATTACCTGAAAGCTGTGACACCCACAGTTCACAGTTCTAAAACGGCATGTGATGAGATTATCAATAGGAATTTCCCCACATACTCATTAGAGACTGATTTCCCATTCTTTCCCAATGTTGAGCCACAACAAGGAAATGAAGAACCAACTACTGCAGAAGTTTCGAGGCCAGAACAGAAGTTGGACATCAAGACAAATTTAGGAAAATAGTTGAGATGCTCACATCACTACAAATGGTGTGGCTTCTTTGTGTCTATCAGAACATAAACAACTCTTTTTACTTCGAGCCCAACTCTAATATCAAGGTCTCTTGCCAGGCTGGGCATAGTGGCTCACACCTATAATCCCAGCACTTTGGGAGGCCAAGGTGGGAGGATTGCTTGAGCCCAGGAATTCAAGACCAGTCTGGGCAACATGGCAAAACCCCATCTCTGCTAAAACACAAAAATTAGCCAGGACTGGTGGCACGTGCCTGTGGTCCCACCTACTTGGGAAGCTGAGGAGGGAGGATCATTTAAGCTCAAGAGATTAAGGCTGCAGTGAGCCATGATCGTGCCACTGCACTCCAGCCTGGGCTGACGGAGCAAGACCCTATTTTAAAAAAAAAGGTCCCTCACCAAAGCTTTCTTTTTGTGACACTACCAGCTAAGGGACCCAAACTTACTTGTCTGGAACAACTGCTGAAAGAACAAATATGAGAATGATAATATCAAGACTGCCCTTGGGCACTGGGTAACTCTTCTCTTCATCACACAGGTCGTGAACAAAGGCAAAACACCGAGAAGGATCATATTCTGAATTTGTCTGCAGACAGGTGGAAGAGACAAGTAAGTTAGAAAATATTAACATAGCCCAAAGAAAAGATTATCTTGTTTTAAATTTTAAATGTAACTGTTGCTACTTCACGAAGAGGGATCTATTTCTTTTTTCTTTTTTTTCTTGAGGCAAAATCTCCCCATGTTGCCCAGGCTGGCCTCAAACTGTTGGGTTCACGCGATAGGATCACTTGCCTCACCCTCCAGAGTAGGGGATATATTTCTAATCATTATATAGATTGGTGAAAAAGTAATTGTGGTTTTTGCTATTGAAAGTAATGGCAAGGATGTGGTGGCTCATGCCTGTAATCCCAGCACTTTGGGAGGCCAAGGCGGGAGGACCACCTGAGATCAGGAGTTCGAGAGCAGCCTGACCAACATGGAGAAACCCCATCTCTACTAAAAATACAAAATTAGCTGGGTGTGGTGGCGCATGCCTATAATCCCAGCTACTCGGGAGGCTGAGGCAGGAGAATCGCTTGAACCCAGGAGGCAGAGGTTGTAGTGAGCCGAGATTGTACCATTGCACTCCAGCCTGGGCAATAAGAGTGAAACTCCGTCTAAAAAAAGAAAAGAAAAAAAAAAAAGTAATGGCAAAAACGACAATTACTTTTGCATCAATCTAATAGCATGTTATTTCAGGGAGGACTCAAAGAGTAAAGATCAGGAATAATTGAAGGGAGACAGTGAGGAATCTAATAGTTGCGTTTAAAATAGAACATTCCTGACTCCCCTACTTTTATTCTTTATTCTTGTGTACTTTCTGTACTTCTCATGCATGAAGTCAGATCTAAGAATTGGAAAACGATCATGAAAATGAGTGACCAACAGGGAAAAAAAAAAACATTCATAAGGAGAGAGACAGCACATACTTTAAATAAGCACGCAGTGGCTCACGCCTGTAATCCTAGCACTTTGGGAGGCCGAGGCGCGCAGATCATGAGGTCAGGAGATGGAGACCATCCTAGCTAACATGGTGAAACCCCGTCTCCACTAAAAATACAAAAAATTAGCCGGGTGTGGTGGCAGGTGCCTGTAGTCCCAGCTACTCGGGAGGCTGAGGCAGGAGAATGGCGTGAACCCGGGAGGCGGAGCTTGCAGTGAGCCGAGATCGCACCACTGCACTCCAGCCTGGGCAACAGAGGGAGACTCCGTCTCAAAAACAAAAACAAACAAACAAACAAACAAACAAACAAACCAAAAGCACGATCTGCTAGGCACAGTGGATCACGCCTAGAATCCCAGCACCCTGGGAGGCTGAGGCAGGAGGATCACTTGAGCCCAGGAGTTTGAGACCAGCTAGGCAACATAGTGAGACTTCATCTCTACAAAAAATAAAAAAATGCCAGGTGCAGGCCTGTAATCCTAGCACTTTGGGAGGTCGAGGTGGGCGGATTACCTGAGGTCAGGAGTTCAAAACCAGCCTGGCCAACATGGTGAAACCCCGTCTCTACTAAAAATACAAAAAATTAGCTGGGTGCAGTGGCACCCGCCTGTAATCCCAGCTACTCTGGAGGCTGAGGCAGGAGAATCGCTTGAACCTGGGAGGCGGAGGTTGCAGCGAGCCGAGATCACGCCACTGCACTCCAGCCTGGGCGACAGAGCTAGACTCCATCTCAAAAAAAAAAAAAAATTAGCCAGGTGTGGTGGCATGTGCCCGTAGTCCCAGTTACACAGGAGGTGGGAGAATCACTTGAGCCCAGGAGATCAAGGCTGCAGTCAGCTTGATTGTACCACTGCACTCCAGCCTGAGTGACTGAGACCCTGTCTCAAAACAAACAACAAAGTACACGATTCAAAACAACTCCCAACTAGAAAATATTACACAAACCATAGAATTCTTCAGGAAAATCTATTTCTGTAGATGTAGAAAATTTACTTTGTTATCAAAAACTGAAGTAAAGATAGGCTTCAATATTCATTTGGTCTTTAACTGCATGAATAATTCTAAAAGCATGGCACTACCAATTCCTAATCTGCCCTAACAGCATTATACATAATTGTGACAGACCCTTTTTTTTTTTTTTTTTTGAGACAGAGTCTTGTTCTGTTGCCCAGGCTGGAGTGGTGCGATCTCAGCTCACTGCAACCTCTGCTTTCCCAGGTTCAAGCAATTCTCCTGCCTCAGCCTCCCCAGTAGCTGGGATTACAGGTGCATGCCACCACGTCCTGCTAGTTTTTGTATTTTTTTTTTTTTTGAGATAGAGTTTCGCTCTTGTAGCCCAGGCTGGAGTGCAATGGCGTGATCTTGGCTCACTACAACCTCTGCCTCCCAGGTTCAAGCGATTCTCCTGCCTCAGCCTCCCGAGTAGCTGGGACTACAGGCACCTACCACCATACCTGGCTAATTTTTGTATTTAGTAGAGATGGAGTTTCACCATATTGGCCAGGCTGGTCTGGAACTCTTGACCTCAGATGATCTGCCCGTCTTAGCCTCCCAAAGTGCTGGGATTACAGGCATGAACCACTGCACCCGGCCTAGTTTTTGTGTTTTTTAAAGTAGAGACAGGGTTTCACCATGTTGGCCAGGCTGGTCTTGAACTCCTGACCTCAAGTGATCTGCCCACCTCAGCCTCCCAAAGTGCTGGCCACCACGCCTGGCCAATTGTAACAGACACATTTTTTTTTTTTTTTTTTTGAGATGGAGTCTTGCTCTGTCACCCAGGCTGGAGTGCAGTGGCACGATCTCGGCTCACTGCAACCTCTGCCTCCTGGGTTCAAGCGATTCTTCAGCCTCCCAAGTAGCTGGGACTACAGGTGCGTGCCACCATACCCAGCTAAATTTCATATTTTTAGTAGAGACGGGGTTTCACCATATTGGTCAGGCTGGTATCGAACTCCTGACCTCATGATCCGCTGGCCGTGGCCTCCCAAAGTGCTGGGATGACAGGTGTGAGCCACTGCACCCAGCCATAACAGATACATTTTAAGGCATCTACCCTCAATGTCCATCTTCTCCAAATATGTGAGTTTGTTTCTCATTGGCCAAAGCTGATTCAAACAGGGCTGCTGTATTTATCAGCTAGGTTGTGTTAACTAGACTTTCCAGGGACTTCAGAACTGGGACACAATCATTTTAGTGAGGCACCATGAACCCCTGAACAGGGTGAGCTTGTAAGGGACTGGAAGAAGCAAGCACGTTGGGGCCACGTGCAAAACTAGGAAATACTGACTAGAGAAAACTGGTATGCAAAGAGGGAAAAAACAAATGGGCCCTGGACAATGAGAGGTAAGATACCAGGAACTTGGGGCTGTATTTTGTGCCCTTAGGTTCTATGACATTCTACTTTATTGCTTTGAGTTTGTCTAGATGTTTCTGTTACTTGTAACTCAAAGAACCCCAATGGAATCATCTCATCAGGTTCGCCTGAGCCCAAAATTCAAGGCTACAGTGGGCTATGATTGTGTCACTCTACTTCAGCCTGGACAACACAGTGAGACCCTGTCTCAAAAAAAAAAAAAAAAAAGTGAAGCCTGAAGATGTAACTGAATTGCTGCAATCTTGTTGCTTCTTCTTTTTTAGTCTTATTCTTTCTTTCTTTCTTTCTTTCAACCAGCATCCTTATCTATAAGGAGTTGCTTCTTACGGTTGGGCAAAGAAAGTGGTTTATTGAGATCAAATCTACTCCAGAAAAGATGCTATGAACATTGTTTTGAAATGGCAAGAAAGGTTTTTTGTTTTGAAATGGCATCAAACTTAGTTGATAAAGCAGCAGCAGGGTTTGAGAGAATGGACTTCAATTTGAAAGAAGCTCTACTGTGGGCAAAATCCTATCAGCATCGCATGCTACAGAGAAATCTTTCATGAAAGGAAGAGCCAATTGATATGGTAAACTTCATTGTTACCTTATTTTAAGAAATTGCCGGCCGGGCGCGGTGGCTCACGCCTGTAATCCCAGCACTTTGGGAGGCCGAGGCGGGCGGATCACGAGGTCAGGAGATCGAGACCATCCCAGCTAAAACGGTGAAACCCCGTCTCTACTAAAAATACAAAAAATTAGCCGGGCGTAGTGGCGGGCGCCTGTAGTCCCAGCTACTTGGGAGGCTGAGGCAGGAGAATGGCGTGAACCCGGGAGGCGGAGCTTGCAGTGAGCCGAGATCCCGCCACTGCAGTCCAGCCTGGGCGACAGAGCGAGACTCCGTCTCAAAAAAAAAAAAAAAAAGAAATTGCCAGTCACCCCAGCCCTTAGCAACCACTACCCCAGCCCTTGGCAATCACCACCCTGATCAGTCAGCAGCCATCAATATCAAGGCAAGACCCTCCACTAGCAAAGATTACAACTTACTGAAGGTTTAGATGATTATTAATATGTTTTAGCAATAAACTATTTTTTTTCTTTCTCCCTTTTTTTTTTTTGAGATGGAGTCTCACTCTGTCACCCAGACTGGAGTGCAGTGGCACGATCTTGGCTCACTGCAACCTTTGCCTCCCCAGTTCAAGCAATTCTCCTGCTTCAGCCTTTTGAGTAGCTGTGACTACAGGTGCCCACCACCATGCCTGGATAATTTCTTGTATTTTTCTTTAGTAGAGATGGGGTTTCACCATGTTGCCTAGGCCAGTCTTGAACTCCTGATCTCAAGTGATCTGTCTGCCTCAGCCTCCCAAAGTGTTGGGATGACAGGCGTTAAGCCATTGTGGCCAACCAATAACGTATTTTTATCTTTATTTTTATTTTTTTGAGATGGAGTCTCGCTCTGTCGTCTAGCTGGAGTGCAGTGGCGCGATCTCAGCTCACTGCAACCTCCGCCTCCTGAGTTTAAGTGATTCTCCTCCTGCCTTAGCCTCCTGAGTAGCTGAAATTACAGGTATGTGCCATTTTTTGTATTTTTAGCCCGGCTAATTTTTTTGTATTTTTAGTAGAGACGGGGTTTCACTTGGTCAGGCTGGTCTTGAACTCCTGACCTCGTGATCCACCCACCCTGGCCTCCCAAAGTGCTGGCATTACAGGCATGAGTCACCGCACCGGCATGCAATCGTATTTCATTAGTTTATGCAATTGTGTATTAAATTTAATAATTACAACACAAGTGTAAGCTATCATTCGAGACCAGCCTGGGCAACGTGGTGAAACTCTTCCTTTCACTTGAGCACACAGAGGACACTGTAGAGTATGAAGTGGCCTAATTGCAATATTGTGTCTTAGAGAACAAGGAGACCTGAGGAGAGGGAGAGAAATGGAATGGCAGGTTGGTGGGGCAGTCACAACACATGCATTTATTAAGTTGACCGTCTTACACAGATGTGATTTGTGGAACCCCAAACCAAGTACAACAGTAACGTCACACACTATAACATACATAATAGTAAAAAAGTCTGAAATATTCTGAGAATCACCAAAGCATGACACACAGACACTAAGTGAGCATATGGTGGTGGAGAAACGGCACTGGTAGGCTTGCTTGATGCAGGGTTGCCACAGACTTTCAATATATGAACAGATATGACATCTGTACAGTGTGATAAAGTGAACTGCAATAAAACAAGGTATGCTCGTTATCAGTAAATCTTTTACTTTTAGACCGTAAGAACACAGACCGTATAAGAACACAGCCAGAGACCTTGATTTTTAGGAGAACCTTTTCCCTTTAATCAGTGGAAATTACCAATAGGTAATTTCCCATCGTACTCACCTGGACCAGTTCTATAGCTGTGGAAGAAAAATCACAGCAATAAACAAAGAGTCCTGGGTCACTGAAATGGGCAGAAAAGACAAAACAATGAGACTACAAATCGAGCTATGTCTACTCTCATTCTTGTGTAGCACAGTTAAAATATCAAATGGGAAAAACTATCATTCATTCAAATAAACTGTATCTATTAGTCACAACATATTTCATTTTGGTTAAAATCCTTTTTGAATTATATCCTTTTGGAGGCTCTGTGGACATAGCTAATATGAAGTTTATAAAACAACCAGGGAGTTTCAAATCAATGTCTTCTCTTTTTCCACCTACAGAAATCCTACTTTTCCCTCAAATGAAGCCTTGCTTGATAGCACCACAAGAATTCTTTTTTCTTCGCTGAGCCACCTTGGCACTTTCTCCACACCAGGAACACATCTGTACCTGTCTGTTGGCCCCCACCACATAGTGAGTGAGTGCTTTCACAGCGGCGATTACATCTTTCGCTTATTAGTTCACCAAACACTACTGAGAGCCCACTATGCATTGTGTATTATCTTAGATGCTGAGGAGATAAAGATGAACACCACAAAATCCCTGTGCTTATTTTTCTTGGTATCCTCACTATCTAGCACAAGTCTCAGCACAAGGTAGCAACACAAAAAATGTTGATTTTAAAACCATCAAAATTGCTTCCAATTATGAAGCACATTATATATTTATTCTGAAGGCATCAAAATACAAAACAATTTGTAATGCCAGAATTCTTTTTGTTAGTACAGGTCTAAATAAAAATGGGAGAGGAGGAAGGCTGTATGCTTGCGTTTTAGAAACAACAGCCCAGAGCTCTTCTGCACTGTTGGGCTCATAATTTGAGTGAGACGCTGGGATTTTTGGGAGTATGCAATACCTCCAGCCTCTCAAAGGCATGGGCTCTGCTTCCTGCTGAACTGTTGACCTTTGGAGCAGACAACTTCTGGGAGGTATAATCAAGACTAAAAACCCGGGGAACTGCAGCATTTGCTATGGTAATCACTAGCTACCTGTGGCTACTTAAATTAAAAATTCAGTTTCTCAGTCCCATTAGATACGTTTCACACGTGGCTAGTGCCCACCATAAGGGAGAGTGAAGATGCAGAACATTTCCATCACTGCACAAAGTTCTATTCCACAGCACTGCTCCGAAAGCAGGGTCCATGCCTGTCCTGTTCTCGAATCAGCCAGGCAGCTGCATCTGCCGAGTACCCATTAAGGTCACGGGCTAAGTTCTATCAGACTCAGCTTCTGCTTTCTAAAAGACTCATTGCAGTCTTTGCCTCCTGGGTTCAAGTGATCCTCCTACCTCAGCCCCTCAAGTAGCTCGGATTACAGGTGCGCACCACCACACCCAGCTAATTTTTGTATTTTTAGTAGAGACGGGGTTTCACCATGTTGGCCAGGCTAGTCTCAAACTCCTGACCTCAGGTGATCCACCTGCCTCGGCCTCCCCAGGTGCTGGAATTTCAGGGGTGAGCCACCGCGCCTGGCAAGCGTTGTTTTCTTCTTCATGTTTTTCTTTTTTTTTTTGTGAGACACGAGGTCTTGGCTGTGTCACCCAGGCTGGAGTACAGTGGGACAATCTCAGCTCACTGCAGCCTCTGCCTCCCAGGTTGAAGTGATTCTCCCACCTCAGCCTCCTGAGTAGCTGGGACTACAGGTGCCCACCACCATGCCTTGTTAATTTTTGTATTTTTAGGAGAGACAGGGTTTCACCATGTTGACTAGGTTGGTCTTGAACTCCTGACCTTAAGTAATCTGCCCACCTTGGCTTCCCAAAGTGTTCAGATTACAGGCATGAGCCACTGTGCCTGGCCTCTTTGTGCTTTTCTTTTTTTTTTGAGACGGAGTTTTGCTTTTGTCACCCAGGCTGGAGTGCAATAGCGTGGTCTTGGCTCACTGCAACCTCCACTCCTGGGTCCAAGCCATTTTCCTGCCTTAGCTTCCTGAGTAGCTGGGATTACAGGCACCCACCACCACGCCTGGTTAATTTTTGTATTTTTAGTAAAGATGGGGTTTCGCCATGTTGGCCAGGCTGGGCTCGAACTCCTGACCTCAGGTGATCTACCCACCTTGGCCTCTCAAACTGCTGGGATTACAAGAGTGAGCCACCACGCCCGGCCTGTGCTTTTCTTTAAGTTTTCTACAGGTCATATAGTTGTCCCTTGGTATCCAGCTCAAGTCTCTTACACAATGGTGTCGGGTGTAGCATTTGCATACAACCCACACACATCCTCCTGCATACATTAAATCATCTATAACGCCTAATATAAATGCTATGTAAACAGTTATAGTTTTAAAAATTGTTGTTTTATTGATTTTTGAGACAGGGTCTTGCTCTGTCACCTGGAGTACAGTGGTGTGATCATGGCTCACTGCAGCCCCAACCAATCCTCTGGCCTCAGCCTCCAAAGTAGCTGAGACTACACGTGCATGCCAGCATGCTTGGCAATTTTTTTTTTTTTTTTTGAGACGGAGTCTCACTCTGTCGCCCAGGCTGGAGTGCAGTGGTGCGATCTCCGCTCACTGCAAGCTCCGCCTCCTGGGTTCATGCCATTCTCCTGCCTCAGCCTCCCGAGTAGCTGGGACTACAGGTGCCTGCCACCACGACTGGCTAATTTTTTTTTGTATTTTGAGTGGAGACGGGGTTTCACTGTGTTAGCCAGGATGGTCTCCATCTCCTGACCTTGTGATCTGCCCGTCTCGGCCTCCCAAAGTGCTGGGATTACAGGCGTGAGCCGCAGCACCAGGCGGCTAATTTTTTTGTAGAGACGGGGTCTCACTATGTTGTTCAGGCTCGTCTTGAACTCCTGGGCTCAGGTGATCCTATCTCCTTGGCCTTCCAAAGTGCTGGGATTATAGGCATGGGCCACTGCGCCTGGCCTATACTATTTATTTTCAATCCATGGTTGCTTGAATCCTCGGATGCAGAAAAGGTGAATATGAAGGGCTAAGAGTATTATTTTTAAAATCAGAGTCCTTAATTGGGCTCTGAGGATAGAACTGTATTTCAAAATAATTGATTTTCTCTATTTTACTTCATATACTTAAAATTAGCCCAAGATAAATCTATATAGAGATTTGTGCATTTGTAGAGTAGTGGTTGCTTAGGGCTAGAGATTGGGGGAAATTGGGAAATGGGGAGTGACTGCTAATGGGTATAGGGATTCTTTTTGGGGTGATGAAAATGTCCTGAAGTTGACTGCAGTGATGGCTGCACAACTCTGTGAATTAACTTAAAACCACTGTATTACAGCCGGGTGCGGTGGCTCACGCCTGTAATCCCAGCACTTTGGCAGGCCGAGGCAGGCAGATCACGAGGTCAGGAGTTCGAGACCAGCCTGGCCAACACAGTGAATCCTAAAAATACAAAAATTAGCTGGGTGTGGTGGCGGGCGCTTGTAATCCCAGCTACTCAGGAGGCTGAGGCAGGAGAATCGCTTGAAACTGGGAGGCAGAGGTTGCAGTGAGCCAAGATCGTGCCACTGCACTCCAGCCCGGGCGACAGGGCAAGATGCCACCTCAAAACCAAACCAAAACAAAACAAAAAACCAACCAAACAAAAAAACCACTGTATTACACACTTTATATCTCAATAAAGCTGTTATATATAAAAAGAAAACAAATGAAAAATACATTAGCCTGAGAAATGATCCTAAGGCTTTATCAGATACATTAAAAAAATATTAAGAACCCTGGCCTGGGCAACATGGCAAAACCCCATTTCTACAAAAAAGACAAAAATTAGCAGGGGTGGTGGCACACGCCTGTTGTCCCAGCTACTTGGGAGGCTGAGGTGGGAGGATCACCTGAACCCTGGAAGGTTGAAGCTACAGTGAGCTGTGATGGCACCACTGCATTCCAGCTTGGGTGACAGAAATCCTGTCTCAAAAAAAAAAAAAAAAAAAAAAAAAAAAGGATCTAGGCAATAGGGTAACTCAAGAAACATAAAAAGGCTGTAAAGACTGCAGAGTGGGCTGGGCATGGTGGCTCATGCCTGTAATCCCAGCACTTTGGGAGGCCGAGGTGGGTGGATCACCTGAGGTCAGGAGTTCGAGACCCGCCTGGCCAACATGGTGAAAGCTCATCTCTACTAAAAAGTACAGAAATTAGCCGGGTACAGTGGCACACACCTGTAATCCCAGCACTTTGGGAGGCTGAGGCGGGTGGATCACCTGAAGTCAGGAGTTCGAGACCAGCCTGACCAACATGGAGAAACCCCGTCTCTACTAAAAACATAAAATTAGCTGGGTATGGTGGCGCATGCCTGTAATCCCAGCTACTTGGGAGGCTGAGGCAGGAGAATCACTTGATCCCAGGAGGCAGAGGTTGCGGTGAGCCAAGATCGCACCACTGCACTCCAGCCTGGGCAACAAGAGCAAAACTCCGTCTCAATCAACCAATCAATCAATCAATAATACAAAAATTAGCTGGGCGTGGTGGTGGGCACCTGTAATCCCAACTACTCGGGAGGCTGAGGCAGGATAATTGCTTGAACCTGGGAGGCGGAGGTTGCGGCTAGCCGAGATCGAATCACTGCACTCCAGCCTGGGTGACAGAGTGAGACTGTCTCGAAAAAGACTGCAGAGTGAGGCAGCTGGACGATAACAACTAGGGAAGTTTTCTAGATGCTTCTGATCTGAATGTGAGGAAGGAAGGAAATAGAGTAGTAGAAACAAAGGACATTTTGGAAAGGTACGGAGTCAGGGGAAGACATGCAAGGTGTGACCAGTGCACTGAGGGATAAGAGGACATACTTTATAGGGCACACTCTTGTAGAGGACTTTGAAAACTATGCCCAACAATTTAAACCTGATTCACAGGCAGTAGAAAACATGCCAATTCTAAGCCAGTGAATTACATGAACAAGTGGGTTCTAGTAAGATACTGAACACAGCGATCTTATTTAAATGGCATAAAGAGGCTGTGGCAAAGATGCCATCTACATTCAGTTTTACATTCATTGATGATATTGATGATTAATGGCCATAACTTGAAGCTAAGTCAATCTCCCATTTGAGGTGGGTTCCTCAGACTGTAACTTCAAGAGTAGAACAATCTCTTTTCTTCAGTGTTAGTACTAGGACTTGCCATTTTCTTAGAAATTTCTGAGAACAAATTGTAGAAATATTTAAATGTATATTAGTAATGAGGCTAATGTTTTACTTAATCCTGTTAATGAATACTGTGGGCTAAATTGGCAAAGTATATATTATATGAAACCTTTGAGAAACAGTGGATTCCAGTAATGAATACAGAACTGGAATGTCATTTCCACAAGGGGTTTAAAAACAGCTATAGGGCCAGGAGCCATGGCTCACGCCTGTAATCCCAGCACTTTGGGAGGCTGAGGTGGGTGGATCACTTGAGGTCAGGAGTTCGAGACCAGCCTAGCCGACACGGCGAAACCCCATCTCTACTAAAAATACAAAAATTAGCTGGGCATTGTGGCGCATGCCTGTAATCCCGGGTATTTGGGAGGCTGAGGCAGGAGAATCGCTTGAACCCAGGAGGCAGAGGTTGCAGTGAGCCAAGATTACGCCACTGCACTCCAGCCTGGGCAACAGAGCAAGACTCCGTCTCAAACAAAACAAAACAGGTATGGTATAATAAATATATTTGGTGTTGGTCTTTGTGGTTCCAGGCACAGAGTTCCAAAAACCTTAAGAATTTCCTCAGCAGGCTGGGCGCGGCGGCTCACACATATAATCCCAGCACTTTGGGAGGCCGAGGCAGGTAGATCACCTGAGGTCAGGAGTCTGAGACCAGCCTGGCCAATGTGGTGAAACCCTGTCTCTACTAAAAATATAAAAATTAGTTGTGTGTGGTGGCATGCACCCTTAATCCCAGCTACTAGGGAGGCTGAGGCAGGTGAATCACTTGAACCCGGAAGGCGGAGGTTGCAATGAGTCGAGATTGTGCCACTGTACTCCAACCTGGGAGATGAAGCAAGACTCTGTATCTTTTGTTATTCATGATGAACTCCCTCAGGACCACACTGAATTTATGTTAATGAGATGACCTGGGGTGGGGCCAACACTAGTAAGGGCAAACTGATTGGAACTTTCAGCTTCACCCACCAATGTCCTGAATAGAAATGCAGATTATGTTGTATGAAAACTATTTTCTTCTTCTCCTTTTAAAATTAATTTTCCCATAAGTCTGTGTCCTAGCTGTATAAAAACTCTTGAGGCTGGGAACGGTGACTTATGCATGTAATTCCAGCACTTTGGGAGGCCGAGGCAAGAGGATCACTTGAGCCAGGAGTTTGAGACCAGTCTGGGAAACAAAGTGAGACCCTGTCTCTACAAAAAATAAACAAAAATTAGCTGGGTATGGTGGCATGTGTCTGTAGTCCCAGCTACTTGGGAGGCTGAGGTGAGACGATTGCTTGAGCCTAGGAGTTTGAGCCTGCAGTGTGCTATGGGCACACCACTGTGCTCTAGTCGGGATGACAGAACAAGAGCTTGTCTCAAAACTAAAAAAAAACCCTTGATGAGCTTCCAGGTTGGTGAACACATCCGTGTGCTAGGAGAACACTGCACTGAGCTCCTCAGGGTCAAAGCTCCTGAGCGTGAGATCCTCTGAACCCCACTCTAATTACTTCTTCAGCTGGCTGTTAATCTGTATCCTTCATAACAAACACATAAATGTAAGTAAAGTGTTTCCCTGAGTTCTGTGAGCCATTCTAGGAAATTATTGAACTGGAGACAGGGCTCCCCTGATTTACAGCCTGTAGGGCAGAAACACGGAGGGCCAGATTCACAACTGGCATCTGAAGTGGGGGGCAGTCTTCTGGGACCGAACCCTTAACTTGTGGGATCTGATACCAACTCCAAGTAGACAGTGTCAGAATTGAATTGTAGGACACCCAGCTGTTGTTGAATTGGTCAGTGTTGGCAAAAACCCTGCACATTTGGTGTCAGAAGCGTTCTGCTTAAGTACACAAAACCAGTGTGTTTTCATCAGAACAGGAGACATCTTCATGTATGATAGCTTTCTCAACTCTACCATGGGGGTAATGACAACTCAGCCACTGACTGTTCTTCAGAGATCATGAGAATGGAAAAGTTGAACACATTTGTTCCTTAGAAGAAGAAGAAGGCACTAAACGTTAACACTAGCAAGTTTTAAGTCTAATTTTCCAAATGATAAAGATAATCAAATTAAAACAATCCATAAATGAACAATGTAGAAATCTGAATCTGACATAATCCATATTTTCCAATAACCATTATTGATAGTTTGATGCAGCAAGTTTTGAAAAAATCTTTACTTTTTTTTCTTGCTACATTGCCCTGGCTGGTCTCACACTCCTGGCCTCAAGCAATCCTGCTTTGGCCTCCCAAAGTGCTGGGATTACTGTCGTGAAGCAATGCGCCCAGCCAACCTTCACTTTTATCTTCTTTGCTATCATAAACTTTTACAACATACTTACTTGTTCGTTTGTAAAATTGGAAAGACTGTGTTTCCCACACCACAGCCAACCTGCAGACAGAAATGAACTATTAATCACAGAACTTTCCAGAGTTAATTCCCGAAAGCTAGAAAAGCTAGAAAAATAATAATCAACAAGAATCTGGCCTAACTGTATTAGGGAAGGTGTAGTGACCAGAGCTAAACAGTACCCATGACATTTGTTGATTTTGATGTTGACTTCAGGAACCCTTAAAAGACAAGAACATGGGTTTTTATTAGCAGAAACGAGGTGGTCTAGAAAAAAGGGCAAGGATTGCTTTTATCTTTTGAGTTCTAGCAAATTGTCCTGTAGATGAAGTATTTTCTTACTAAGCTTATATTATTATTGTGAAAATATTTGTAATAGACTGTGCTGAAAAATGTATGAAAAGGGGACCTTGACAACCTTGTCCTAAACACAGTGCTGCGTGGTAATGAAGACAGCAACTATTTATTAAGGGCTTAACAATGTGCCAGATACTGTTCTTAGCCCTTTTACATACATTATCTCCATCCTCATAAGTATAAGGTGCAGAGGCAGCAGTCTCACTGCTCAGAGAGGGTAAGGAAATTGTCTAAGATCACACCATAGGACTCAATCCCAAGGCTAACCAGTTCCAGAACCAGCTTCCAGTAACGTGCGCAGTCCCCATTTATGAATTTACATTATACCAATCTAGACATTTTTCCAGGTCTAGACTCTGCAACACCATCCAAATGCAGAGGAAGAGAATTATCCCAGGCCTAAGAAACAGGCACCATCCTAACTACCCTCTCCATTCCTGTAACTGTATTAGAAGAGAAGCAACAATTTCTTCTGATCTGGGACATTTTTCCAGAGTTATAGCATGATCATGTTGAGCTCTTTCACCTGTATGATACAGTGTCATGTGACAGGTACAGCATGATGCTATTAATACAATTTTTGGAAGTGACATGCTATTCCCGTGTGATCTTTGTCTGTGATGACCACCAGATATCTGGTCTGCACTGAGGGCATTTTATCAGTTCAAAAATGGAGGTGATTCCAGGCTAATATAAGGGTCAAGTCTAGTCAGCATCATCCAATAGAAGTTACTTTTATTGTCAGCCTCTCTATGCTACCTCATGTGCACAAATATAATAGCTTCACATATCCCACTACCAAGACAATAAAAGGTTACCTCCAGTATTCGGTAGGTGGCTGAGGATCCAGGAAACTCATCAGCACAAATTTCCAGGTCACTAATTTTCTGAGTTACATTCTCCTCCACAGGAGGTGTCTGTGTTTTATGTTCAAGGCTCTTCGAAGAACACTTGTGCTGTTCTTCCATTATTAAACCAGGTCCATCCTCATTGTTTCTACATTCACATACTTCACTCTTGTTCTCCAAGAACCAATCCTTCAAATGATTTTGATTTTGGCTAGGTGCCAGCTCAGGGAATTCGGTAAAAAGCCAATGTCTATCCTTGAAAAACCCATTTTCGTGGATTTTGTAGAAGTCATTCCAGTATTTGTGGGCATTGATCTCATAATCAACTGTAAATATTTAAGAAAAAATTTTAAGAACCAGCTCTCAAATATTTTATTTATATCTAACGTCAATTATCCTGCTTTACCAAATGTCACTTTAATACTAAAATTATCCTCAGGTAGAGCCACAGTCCCAGAACTGAAGGCATTTCTGAGGTCATTTAGTCCTGCCATCTGGCATTATACCCAAATGCCCCATCCGTCATTATAGGAGTCTAAATTCTGTTTGAACAATCAACCAGAGAACTTACTATCTATCAAGTGTCCTCCTACATCTTTGGATGACTTTTTTTTCTTTTTGAGACAGAGTCTCGCTCTGTCACCCAGGCTGGAGTGCAGGGGCGCAATCTTGGCTCACCACAAGCTCCACCTCCCGGGTTCATGCCATTCTCCTGCCTCATCCTACTGAGTAGCTGGGACTACAGGCCCACGACCACGCCCGGCTAATTTTTTCTATTTTTTAGTACAGACGGGGTTTCACCGTGTTAGCCAGGCATGGTCTCAATCTCCTGACCTCGTGATCCACCCGCCTCAGCCTCTCAAAGTGCTGGGATTACAGGCATGAGTCATCGCGCCCAGCCAGATGACTTTTAACTATTAAAAAATCCTAGAAGTAGCCAGGTGCAGTGGCGCATGCCTGTAATCCCAGCACTTTGGGAGGCTAAGATGGGCGGATCACGAGGTCAGGAGATTGAGACCATCCTGGCCAGCATGGTGAAACCCCATCTGTACCAAAATACAAAAAATTAGCCAGGCATGGTGGTGCACACCTGTAGTCCCAGCTACTCGGGAGGCTGAGGCAGGGGAATCGCTTCAACCAGGGAGGAGGAGATTGCAGTGAGCTGAGATCGCGCCACTGCACTCCAGCCTGGTGACAGAGCGAGACTCCGCCTCCAAAAAAAAAAAAAAAAGTATGGACAGTTTAAATGAAGGCTGTTTTTAAGGTGATCATGACAGTCCCAGATTTCAGTTTACTGCTCTTGCCAGTTCAGGGGGCCTTGACTAGTGTAGTAGAAAGAATAAAAACCTAACAAATTGAGCAGGACGGTGACAATGGAAGTTGGAATCCACTAAGAAGTGTGTTAACAACTCACAACTCACCTGCTGAATCAACCAAGACTCCCTAAGAAACAGGATTTTAGTTCCACTACTGCTACTACTGACTGCTTACCTCTGGGAAAAGCACTTAATGTCCTGTGGTCCAAGTGTCTTTAACTATAAAAAGAGAATATTGAACCACATGATTTTCAAAATCCCTTTTAACTATTAACTTGCTTTGATCTAGTTGCTGTCAGACTATGCAGGGTGAATGTTTTGTAACTGGAACCTTTTTGTTGTACAGAACTCTTTCAGCAGGTACTAAATTTGTAGTGCTATCTTCAATTGTCTGGAACAATCAGTCCTAGTTTTACTATCTAGGGATATTTTGCAGTGAAATCATCAACCTCTCAAGCAGGGGCCTCCTTTTCTTTGGCCAGACTTATCTCCACTCTGCTGCATCCACCTTTCCTTGACTGAAGCCCTAAATTCTCATAACCATCACACAAGTAATAGACACACAGTCACCAGTCATTAGCCCCCCTCCCAACAATATTTAGAATCTAATCACTTAAATGAAGCTTCAATGGAAACATCTCCTCATGGAAAATGCAAATCATGTAAAAAGTACAGGTTCTAAGATGATCGCGTGACCACACAGTTGTCATTGGCTAGCCATATCAACGTGGATCTACTCAACATAATTAAAGACAAAATTACCCTCCTCCAAAGTAAAACTATATATTAAAAAAACCCTCTACGACTTAAGATTTTGTTACAATGCAGCCCTTTTCCCTCCTTGCTCATCCCCTCCCTGTCCTGCTCTACTCCTGAGATCCGCATCAGGCCAGGAATAAAGGATGTGGGCGGCCGCGGTTCCCTGGCCTCTCCGGGAGGGCGCGTTCGGCAGTACGCTGGCTGTTGATACCAACGAGAGCCCATTTAAGCGCACCTTGTTTCTCCTGGCACACCCGCTGGATACTGTTCTCCTGGACTTTTCTCTCCGCCGCCGCGGCTTGCTCTTCCGACCACTCCACATTGTCCCTGAGAAAATCAAACGGGCAGCTTAGGGGCTTCACGTCCTGGCTGCGAGCAGGGTGAGTCGCTGGCCTAGGAGTTTCTCTCCCCTTGGAGAGTGCCTCGGGTAGGGCAGCTTGACTCGTGGCCGGCGGTCAGGGGCTTTTCGGAATGCTCCGAGGCGGCGGGACAGACGGCCAGCGACAGGCCGGGCGAGGGGGCAGGGTGATTACCAGGCATTGTGGTGGAAGACGCGCGCCGGATCGCTCAGGAACCGGCTTCCGAACTGCTGCCTCTTATCGGCGAGGATTGCAGGTGCACCTTCAGGGTAGGAGCCGGCCATGACACCGGAGCCGGAAACACTTCACTTTCCGTAACGCGAGAACTTCCTGCGGGCCACGCCCTCTTTCAGAAGACGTGGAGTCTGGGCGGGAAAAAGGGTGGCGGGACAGGGCGGTCCTGGAGTCTGGTCCGGGTGGCGCTCGGGAGCTGTCGTTTGGGGCTTTCCCAGGGTTGGCGAAGGGCTCTCTAGGGAAGGGGACCAGGCAGGGGGAAATTCTCCCCGGAGGAGTCGTATCTCATTGATGAGGTGCTGATGGACGTGCAGGTTAGGCAGAAAGTGGGAGACATTCCACTTGAGGCCCAGTTCATTGCTGGGATCCTCTTAACAGGTTCCCCAGCTTCCCTCAAGTTGTAAAACAGGAATAATCTTGAATCATTATAAGAGTTGAGGCTACCTAGTTCCACTGCGGAGCCGATGTCCAGAACTGAAGAAGGTAGCAAGCAGCGGAAAGAAACAGGGCAATTTCCAGCTTCTATAGTCAGCTCTTCATAGTGTGGGTGTATATGTATACACAGTGTGTATATATATTTTGGTTGGGGTGGGGGAGATGGATATATGAAATTAGAGAACACGAGGCTTAGCAAATCAAATGGAATATCCAAGGACAATTTTTTTTTAATTATAACCATCTAACCTTTTTGAATCATCCATATTATATTTATTATAATTATCCTTATTAGCACAATTAAGATTGTAATACACACATACAGTTTGTCATAGTAATACATTTCAGCCTTACATTTCTATTTCTAGATCTAATACAAATAGACTCTCAAAAGAATCTAGAAGAAAGTATGTTATAGACATAAGGTTATTTGAGAAGACTTCCAAGAGAAGCATGATGAATACCACTTGGAAAAGAAGGAAAGGGCAGAGACCAAACAAGGACCAGCCCAATATCTCTTGGACTTTATTTAATGTCATAATGTCAGAATAAAGGGAAAGATGAATTTTTTTAAAAAAGGAAAGGGTTAGTGCAGTGCTAGACATAGCACATTGGTAATTAGTACTTTTTTTTTTTTTTTTTTGAGACGGAGTCTTGCTCTGTTTCCCAGGCTGGAGTGCAGTAGCTGGATCTCAGCTCGTTATAACCTCCATGTCCTGGGCTCAGGTGATTCTCCTGCCTCAGCCTCCTGAGTAGCCGGGATTACAGGTGCGCGCTACCACACTCGGCTAATTTTTGTATTTTTAGTAGAGATGGGGTTTCACCATGTTGCCTGGGCTGGTCCTGAACTCCTGACCTCAAATGATCTGCCCACCTCGGTCTCCCAAAGTGTTGGGATTACAGGTGTGAGCCACCGTGCCCAGCCAGTAATTGTTTATTCCATTGTAAATTCTTTCTGTAGGTAAAACTACAGGGAGCAATGAATGATTCTATACTTTTCCTCCAAAGAAATGGGAACAAGCTCTAAGCCTCTCTAATCAGGAAGAAAAATACACAAGTTAATCAAAAAGATAGTAAAGAAGTTGTACTTCATTTGAAGACAATATGCTTTTGCCATTCTTGTGGTCTTTGGAAACATTTTGAACACAAGCTCCATACCCAGAAACAAGTACAAGGAATTTTTATCTTTTCTCAAGGCCAGCTGTTTGCAGATATGGTGGTTGATTTACATTTATTTCTGGCATCTTGTTTTCTCATCTGTGGGCTTTTATTCTCCCCTCACTAAAAGCTGTTAGTGTTCCCAATCAACAGTCCCACTGGATATTTTCTTGCAGACAGCTCATTGTCTTCACTTGAATTTACTATATTAGTTCCAATGGAGACATTTTAAATGTCAAACAGCTTTGGCCTTTTTTCTATGAAATGTGCTAAAGTATCCTAAACTTAATTTTATTTTTTATTTTTATTTATTTATTTATTTATTTATTTTTGAGACGGAGTCTCGCACTGTCTCCCAGGCTGGAGTGTAGTGGCGTGATCTCGGCTCACTGCAAGCTCCCTACTTCCCGGGTTCACGCCATTCTCCTGCCTCAGCCTCCCGAGTAGCTGGGACTACAGGCACCCGCCACCATGCCCGGCTAATTTTTTGTATTTTTAGTAGAGATGGGTTTTCACCATGTTGGCCAGGATGGTCTCAATCTCCTGACCTCATGATCCGCCCACCTTGGCCTCCCAAAGTGCTGGGATTACAGGAGTGAGCCACCGCGCCCGGCCTAAACTTAATTTTATACAATTATATTTGATTGGCCTGTAAAACCTATTTTTCGAAGCACCTAAAATAATTTTGCATAAGTTTGACATGGCTGTGAGTTCTCTGGTGTCAGACTTTATACTGGATTGTAGCTTCAGAAACGCCACGTTTCAGAGGAACTAAGGGTCCCTCTGGTGGTAAGTAAGGAGAACTCTTATAGCTCAGTGGGTGGCATGGGTTTAATGCTTGTAAAGGTTAAAAACTCTCATTCTGGATTATTGCCTTAGGTTGTTAGCCAAGGACAAGGGTAGTTAATTGTTTTTTTTGTTTTTTTTTTGTTTTTTGGTTTTTGTTTTTTGAGACGAAGTCTTGCTCTGTCGCCCAGGCTGGAGTGCAGTGGCATGATCTCGGTTCACTGCAAGCTCCACCTCCCGGGCTCAAGCCAGTCTCCTGCTTCAGCCTCCAGAGTAGCTGAGATTACAGGCCACCGCCACCACACCCGACTAATTTTTGTATTTTAGTAGAGACGGGTTTCACAATGTTGGCCAGGCTGGTCTTGAACTCCTGACCTCAAATGATCCGCCTGCCTCAGCCTCCCAAAGTGCTGGGATTACAGGCATTAGCCACCCCACCCGGCCTTTCTTCTCCTTTTTTTCTTTGAGATAGGGCATCACTCTGTCACGCAGGCTGGAGTACAGTGGCACGATCACAGCTCACTGCAACCTCTGCCTCCCAGGCTCAAGTGATTCTCCCACATCAGCCAACAGAGAAGCTGGGACTAGAGGTTTGTGCCACCATACCCGGATAATTTTTGCATTTTTTGTGGAGACAGTGTTTTGCCATGTTGCCCAGGCTGGCCTCGAACTCCTGGTCTTGAGCAATCCTTCTGCCTCGGCCTCCCCAAGTGCTGGGATTACAGACATGAGCCACTGCACCTGGCCTGTGTTTTCTTATTGCAAAATAAATTTTTTATTATAGAACGTTTAGAAGATATCGATAAAACAAAAGAAAATACTTCTTCCCACCATTAATTTGACTCATTAATGCTTTGGCTTATATCATCCTAGTGCTTTCTAATTTAGTTATGTAAGTGACTTTACATTAAAATAGTTTCAGAACAAAATGCTTTGTGCTTTTTTTTTTAAACAATTACATTCATCTGGCCGGGCACGGTGGCTCACACCTGTAATCCCAGCACTTTGGGAGACCAAGGCGGGTGGATCACGAGGTCAGGAGTTCGAGACCAGCCAGACCAAGATGGTGAAACCCCCATCTCTACTAAAAATACAAAAATTAGGCTGGGTGTGGTGGCTCACGCCTGTAATCCCAGCACTTTGGGAGGCCGAGGTGGGCGGATCACGAGGTCAGGAGATCGAGACCATCCTGGCCAACATGGTGAAACCCCATCTCTACTAAAATACAAAAAATTAGCCAGGCGTGGTGGCACGCGCCTGTAGTCCCAGCTACTTAGGAGGCTGAGGCAGGAGAATCACTTGAACCTGGGTGTTGGAGGTTGTAGTGAGCCGAGACTGTGTCACTGCACTTCAGCTTGGGCGACAGAGCGAGACTCCTCACACACACACACACAAATAATAAATAAATAAATGATAAATAAATAAAATTAGCCGGGCACGGTGGTGGGTGCCTGTAATCCCAGCTACTCGGGAGGCTGAGGCAGGAGAATCGCTTGAACTCAGGAGTCGGAGGTTGCAGTGGGCTTAGATCGTGCCACTGCAGGCCAGCCTGGCAACAGAGCAAGACTCCATCTCAAACAACAACAACAACAACAAGAAAACCCAATTACATTCATCCATTTTAAGTGTACAGTTCAATACATTTTCATTAAATCTGTATTTGTGTAATCAGCGTCACAATCTAGTTTTAGAACAACGCCTTGAAGTTCTCCCATGCCACTTAGCAGTTGTAGTCTGCTTTTTAACTTAATAATAACTTGGGGACATTATTCTTTTGTTCAAAATATTCTTTTACAACATCACTTAATGTCCTTCTGGTATTGTTTTGTATAGCTATATCATGCTTTATTGGACATTTAGGTCACTTTAAGTTTCATACTATTAAAAATTTAACGGCTGGGTGCAGTGGCTCACACCTGTAATCCCAGCACTTTGGGAGGCCGAGGCAGGTGGATCACGACGTCAGGAGTTCAAGACCATCCTGGCCAGCATGATGAAACCCCGTTTCTACTAAAAATACAAAAATTAGCCAGGTATGGTGGTACGCACCTGTAGTCCCAGGTACTCGGGAGGGTGAGGCAGAAGAATCGCTTGAACCCTAGAGGCGGAGGTTTCAGTGAGCCAAGATCACGCCACTGCACTCCAGCCTGGGCGACAGAGTGAGACTCTATCTCAAAAAAAAAAAAAAAAAAAAAGAAAGAAAAAAAAATTCAACATGGTGTACATCTTTGTAATGAAATAATTTTGTACATTCATGATTATTTCTTTATGATTAATTTCTAGAAGAGGAATTGCCGAGTCAATGGTTATAATTAGCTCCATCACTAAGCTCCGTGAGGTTAAGTCATTTTACTTGTTTGTTAACTGTTATATGTCCAGGTCCTAGAACTAGGTCTGGCACACAGTATGCAACTCAGTAGATAATTGATGAATGAATGGATGGGTGTGTACCCTCTTGCTATACCATATTTCAGCACAGAGATGCCAATTTACACTGTCATCAACAGTGTGTGACAATTTAATAGAAAGAATGTATTGCTGTACATTTTAGATTTTCCAGGACAGATCCTACTAAAAATATTCTGCCCTGTTATCTCACTGATGCAAGGAAATATTCCAGGAATTGTAACATTTTGGCATCCAAATTATATCTCCTAGATTCCCTGTTATACCCACAGCCATATGAAAAGTCTCTTGTCAAGTCATAAATCTTGTTTTTAGCTAGAAAATATGGCTGCTTATCTATCTATAAGGTTAGTTCTTCTCTCCAACATTGTATCTTTATAAATAATAGCAGGTATATTTAGACTCTTTTGACTATTCATGGTAACACTCACAAAATTACCTCAAGGCCATTTCAATAAACAGTTTTGGGGGCACTATCCTCATTGCTTTTTCCTGGCATTTTATAATTTTACAGCAGGGCGCAGTGACTCATGCCTGTTATCCCAGCACTTTGGGAGGCTGAGGTTGACAGATCACCTGAGTTCAGGAGTTTGAGACTAGCCTGGGCAACATGGCGAAACCCTATCTCTACTAAAAATACAAAAATTAGCTGGGTGTGGTGGCATGCACCTGTAATCCCAGCTACTTGGGAGGCTGAGGCAGGTGAAACGCTTGAGCCCGGGGAGGTGGAGGTTGCAGCGAACTGAGATCACGTTGCTGCACTGCAGCCTGGGCAACAGAGTGAGACTCTGTCTCAATTTTTTTTTTTTTTTTTTTTTTTTACATTATGAGGCATTGTCCCCATCAATATTGGACATATCTTTTCCTTTTTCTGGGTCAAAATTTTTCTAGAACAGTGATTTAAAAAGGATTTGTTCTATATGTTGAGTGTGATGGACTGGTTTGCACCCACACACCTGCAAACCAGCCTCTCGGACAACATTTACAAATAGTTGATCTCATCCCTTACATTTTTTTTCATCCCTTACATTTTTAGATCAGAATTGTCACAGGAAATAAAACACTTTGCCATCCTGACAGTAGATCAGAAGGTTAATATAGATTTAGTCTTGGTACATCCAGATTTCCTGAGTCCAAAAGTGGTCTGTCTCTCTGTGGGCAACCCTTGAGAACCACAGAAAAATACCCCAATGGGACTGGGCACAGTAGCTCATACTTGTAATAACAACAATTTGGGAGGCTGAGGTGGGAGGATCACTTCAGCCCAGGAGTTTGAGACCAGCCTGAGCAACATAGGGAGTCCGTGTCTCTACAAAAATAAAAAAAAATTAGCTGGGCATGGTGGTGCGCCCCTGTAGTTCCAGCTACGTGAGAGGCTGAGTTGGGAGGATTGCTTGAGCCCAGGAAGTTGAGGCTGCAGGGAGCCATGATTGTGTCACTGCATACCAGCCTGGGTGACAGAGTGAAACCCTGTTTCTAAACAAACACACACGCACACAAAACAAAACAAACCAAAACAAAAAACCCAGTAATGGATGATACACACTTAAACATGATTGAAAGGGCAAATTTTATGTAATGTATATTTTACCATAATAAAAAATTATAATCCCCCAAACTTGTAATATGGTTATATATGTGCTTCTTTATTAAATGCATTAAAGAACAGCAACAATAAATACAATGGATGTGATCAGCTATTCATTTTGTTTGTCTTGTTTTGAGACAGAATCTTGCTCTGTCACCCAGGATGGAGTGCAGTGGCATAATCGCAGTTTACACTCACCATAAACTCACTGCACCCTCCACCTCCCAGGTTCAAGCAATTCTCCCGCTTCAGCCTCCAGAGTAGCTGGGATTATGGGCATGTGCCACCACGCCCGACTAATTTTTGTATTTTTAGTAGAGACAGGGTTTCACCATGTTGACCAGGCTGGTCTTGAACTCCTGACCTCAGGTGATCCGCCCGCCTCAGCCTCCCGAAGTGCTGGGATTACAGGCATGAGCCATCGCACCTGGCTGTGTTTAGCTATTTGTAAGAGCAATCTAAGTGTGCAGGTGTGTAGCTAAGGAGCCTTGGGAATACCCAAATTTAATCAAGGTTCTTTAGGGCTTGCTGATCTTATTCCCTGAAACTGAAAGGTCATCCTCGTCTGCTGTCTCTGGTCTCTTTCACAAACAATTGAAAACCTAACCCAGTTTACACTCACCATAAACTCAGAGGTTTATTGCTTGGAGGGCCCTTAGCTCAGGCCAACTTTTCTCCTTCCTGATGAGGCTTAGGCAGTCTTAAGCCAGGTAGGGGCAGCAGAGTGCAGCTGGTTGCTAGGGAACTAACAGCCCAGCATCTATTTACTAGTAAAGATTTAGGAAAGGGGGCCGGGCGCAGTGGCTCACACCTGTAATCCCAGCACTTTGGGAGGCCGAGGCGGGCGGATCACGAGGTCAGGAGATCGAGACCATCCTGACCAACATGGTGATAACCCCATCTCTATTAAAAATACAAAAATTAGCTGGGTGTGGTGGTGGGTGCCTGTAATCCCAGCTACTCGGGAGGCTTAGCCAGGAAAATGGCTTGAACCCAGGAGGTGGAGGTTACAGTAAGCCAACATCATGCCACTGCACTCCAGCCTGGTGACAGAGGAAGACTCTGTCTCAAAAAAAAAAAAAAAAAAAAAAAAAAAGATTTAGGAAAGGGAAACCATTTCCTAAATGGTTTAAGGTTTTTTACTGGTCAGAATCCAAAAGATGTCAACATTTCCAGCTTCTAAGAATGTACTTAGACAAAAGCAAGAAACAATAATTTTGATAACTATGAAAAAGTAGTTTGTGATGAGCTGTTTAGAAAATGTAGAAATTTCATTGTTGAAATCCCTTTAAACCTTTCTGTTTTCTTTTTCTTCCTGAGTCTGTGTCACATTCACTGGTATCTGATGAGGAAGAGGATCTGCAGTTATGGGAGGAATTTCTATTCACATAGGCATCATATAACCTTAAGTCCTTAGGAGAAAGTAATTCTTGGCAAACATTCCAGGACCATGTATAAGTAGAAAAGGTGTCATAAAAGGCCTCATTTCTAGAGTCTATCCCAATCAAATCCCCTCGGATCTTCTGCCAGAGGTTTAGCATTTCTTTTCGGTGTTCAAGGGCAATTCCCAAATTATAGGTATCAGTAGCTCTCTTCACCTGCAGTGAGAGACCAGAAGTTTATTGTAGTTACCTTAAAGTAGCTTTGATTTGTGGACCACAATGATAGATACCCCAAGAGTTATGTCCCTGGGCTACTCGAAAGTCACTGAATCTATACATTGGGTGGTGCCTCGTGAGGACATGTGAGCTAGGAGTTGATGGACAATCAAAATGTACTGCTTGGGAATAATGAAGTAATAAGAAATTTTATAAGGATATGAAAAATACAATGGACTAAAATAGGCTGAAGTATGGTATGGAGATAGGCTAGGGATATAACACGAGGGCCAATGCAGCCACTCAGTTCAGCCTAGGATATGGAGAACTGACTGGGAGAAGATGCTGAGCTGAGTAGGTCCTCAAGGATGTGATCAAATTGAGGGAGTAAGTGGTAAGGGGAAGGTGTTCCAGGGAGAGGGGACAGCATAAACAGCATAAACAGAGACCCCAAGGCAGTAAATATCCTGGAGGTGTGGTAGGAGGGTTCAGGCACTTGGTATTGCTGGAGTGTCAAGTTTAAAGTGGGAGGAATAAATAATGACAAAGGACAGGCAGCCCTTACACTTAATAAGTCAGTAATCTCTGTGAGGCTAGCAAAAGCCTGTTCCTCAGTGAAAATCATGCTGTAGCAACCCACTGTTTCTAATGAAAGTGAAATAAATCTCTTAAGCGGAAAATAGAGTTGAAATTGCCATCATTGAGAGGGACGTGTTCACTTTTAAGCAGGACAGTGCCATGGTTGGCTCTTCATGTTGGATCATTAGCAGCTGTGTGGAGAATAGTTGGAGGATACCAGGTTGGAGACTGCCTCATCTAAGGCAGTGGTAATGGGGATGGAATGAAAGGGACAGATT
The DNA here is from genome assembly GCF_000001405.40 of Homo sapiens. Taxonomy (NCBI): domain Eukaryota; kingdom Metazoa; phylum Chordata; class Mammalia; order Primates; family Hominidae; genus Homo; species Homo sapiens. The sequence goes on along the minus strand of NC_000007.14, from coordinate 128,467,987 downwards.
TGAAAAATGTGGGATTTTTTTTTTTTTTTTGAGACGGAGTCTTGTCCTGTTGCCTAACCTGGACTGCAGTAGTGCGATCTTGGCTCATCACAACCTCTGCCTCCTGGGTTCAAGGGATTCTCCTGCCTCAGCCTCCCAAGTAGCTGGGATTACAGGCGCCCACCACCATGCCCGGCTAATTTTTGTATTTTTAGTAGAGACGGGGTTTCACCATGTTGGCCAGGCTGGTCTCAAACTCCTGACCTCAGGTGATTCGCCTGCCTTGGCTTCCCAAAGTGCTAGGATTACAGGTGTGAGCCACCATGCCCAGCCCTGAAAAATCTTTAAGAGAATGACAATCGGCCAGACTTGGGGATTAGCAGATGTGAGGAATGAGGAAAAAACCCCAGTTAAGGATAGCTCCTGGCCTTCTAGCTTCAGTGACTGAGTAGATGCTATCAACTGAGACACATGCAATATACTCTCATAACAAACCTGCACATGTACCCCGTGGATCTAAAATAAAAGTTGACCTTATTTAAACACACACACACACACACACACACACACACACACACACACACACACACAAAACAAACAAACAAAAAACACCTGAGATACAGAATTCCCAGGGGAGAACCAGTTGGCTGCAGAAGATGATGAGTTTTGTTTTGGACACGTTGAGTTTGTTATGTTATGAGACCCTGCGTAGAGGCAGAAATAGTCATCAAGTGGTCAGTGAGATAGGTCAGAAATAGAGGAAAGAAGTTAGGTTAGTGACAACTTTAACAGTAATCAGTACATAGGTGGCAGCTGAACCAAGGAGGATAGATTGAGATAGCCCAAAGAATACTTGCCCTAGCTGTTCTTTACCTAATGCCAAGATTTCCAATGTATTAATACCAAACTATTGATCTTCTCAAGCTTCTTAGCCCTGGTGCAGCTGGTGCCCCAGGGCTAGAGGCCTCAGGATGTAAGATTCTTTCACCATGAATCTCTGAGTACACTACTCACTGTGACTGTTGGTTAACTACCTTAATTAGTTTGATATTTCTGGAATAACACAAATGAATGTCCCAGAAATAACAGTGAGTATAGCTGCATAGGTGAATAGCAGGATGAATCATAACACTTAACATTTGAATCCATTTGATTATAGAGAAAGAAATGGTGTTATTACAATGGGTAAACAAGAGAAACAACCTTGTCTCATTTTAAAGACATAGAGCAGATAAAAATTCTCTTGGTTTTATGGTGTAGTATTGAAGTGGACAATATTTTTGTCAGTGATTTCTGGGAAGGAACTCAACAAGGAATACTCACATGTTGTTTAATAGTAGTTGCATCGGCCACTATACAAGTCTGCTTTTTCTTGAGCATTTGATCAATGGTGAGGATGTTATTTGAATAACCTGAGGCAGGGTCCATAGACTTCATATTTGCTGCCTTTATGCATATTTAAAAAAGAAGGTAATACATTTTAATTTGAATTATACAACAAAAAGACATAATAAATAAGTATATTTTATTATAGAAGGATTTGTATATAATTTATGAGGTTATTGCCAAACCATTTGTTTGTTTGTTTAGACTTTTTTCTGGGTCCCTCAGGAGTGGCATTTGGCATATGTGCAAAAATATCTGTATATCCTAGATGGTGCCCTAGGACTGGAATTGCTAGGTCAAAAGGTGTGAAGTCTGTTCTTTTGGTAATTATTGCCAAATTTCCTCTGTAGAGGGTGAACCAATTTACAAACCTATCTGTAACTTATGAGTATACCCATGTTTTTTCATCTTGGTCAATATAATATGAAAAGATAAATATCTGAGGAGAGTTTTAACTTGGATCTTTTATGAGGAATGAGGTTGAATATTTTTTAATGTTTCTGAGAACTGTCTGTTCATACCCTTTGTCCATTTTTATATAGGTTATTTTTTTCTTATGAATTTGAAGTTCTTTGAAGTTAGCCTTTTATGTTATGAGTAGCAACTGTGATTTTTTTTTGGCCATATGGAGATTTTTGATCTTGAAGCAGTGGAATTAATATCTTTTTATTTAAAAATGCATTTGACTTTTGTATCACAGTTAGGGAGGCCTTCCCAGAGTTTATTTCAGTATGTTTAAGGTTTCTTTTTCTTTCTCTCTGACCCTCCATTTATTCCTTTTACATTTCATCCATTTGCAATTTGTATATGAAGTGTGAATCTCATTTTTTTCCTCAGATGCCTACTCAGTGCACTATTTGTTGAATAATCTATCATTTTCCTGTTGTGTTGAAATGTCACGTTTTCCTTAAGTTAAAATTCTCCACATAGCTCTATTTATTTTGGGACTTTCTATTTTCTTCCTTGGGTCTGTCTGTTAATATCTTAATATCACACTGTTTTAATGATTGAGACTTTTTTTTTTTTTTTGAGACAAAGTCATGAAAGTGGCTCATGCCTGTGATTCCAGCACTTTGGGAGGCTGAGGAGGGTGGACTGCTTGAGCCCAGGAGTTCAAGACCAGCCAACATGGCGAAACCCCATCTCTACTAAAAATACAAAAACTAGCTGGGCATGGTGGCACGTGTCTGTAGTCCCAGCTACTAGAGAGGCTGAAGTGGGAGGATTGCTTGAGCCTCGGAGGCAGAGGTTGCAGTGAGCTGATATCACATCACTGCACTCCAGCCTGGGTGACAAAGTTGAGACCTGTCTCAACAACAACAACAAAAACCCTTGGGGAAAATTTGAAAAATCACATTAAAGTTATAGACAAGCAAGAAAGAACACACCCTTATAAAGTCGAACATTCTTTTTTTTTTTTTTTTTTTTGAGACAGAGTCTCGCTGGAGTGCAGTGGTGGGATCTTGGCTCACTGCAACCTTCGCCTCCCGGGTTCAAGTGATTCTCCTGCCTCAGCCTCCCTAGTAGCTGGGATTACAGACACGCGCCACCATGCCTGGCTACATTTTGTATTTTTAGTAGAGACGGGGTTTCACCATGTTGGCCAGGCTGGTCTCGAACTCCTGACCTCAGGTGATCCGCCTGCCTTGGCCTCCCAAAGTGCTGAGATTACAGGTGTGAGCCACCATGCCTGGCCTTGAAAGTGTTTTTATTTACTCTTCCTCTTGAATGATAGCTTAGCTGGAAATACTTTTCTCTCCTCAATCTATAGATATTATTTGATTGTCTTCTGGCCTTTATTTTTGCATGCATGAAGTCTCCTGTTAGTCTACTTTTTGTTCCTTTGTAAGTTATTTTTTCTGTCTGGTTTCCTCCCGTCTTTCCTTCCTTCCTTCCTTCCTTCCTACCTTCCTTCCTTCCTTCCTTCCTACCTTCCTTCCTCCCTCCCTCCCTCCCTCTCTTTCTCTCTTTCTTTCTTTCGAGACAGAATGTTGCTTGGTGGCCCAGGCTGGAGTGCAGTGGTGCAATCTCGGCTCACTGCAACCTCTGCCTTCTGGGTTCAAGAGATTCTCTTGCCTCAGCCTCCCAAGTAGCTGGGATTACAGGCATGTGCCATCATGCCCGACTAATTTTTGTATTTAGTACAGATGGGGTTTCATCATGTTGGCCAGGCTGGTCTTGAACTCCTGACCTCAGGCGATCCACCTGACTTGGCCTCCCAAAGTGCTGGGATTACAGATGTGAGCCACTGTGCTTGGCCTCTGGTTGCTTTTGAAGTGTTTCCTTTGTCTTCATTTTCAACTGCAATGTTTCAAGTTGTATTTTCTCTTTTTTTTTTTTTTTTAATTTTGTTAGTATTTATTGATCATTCTTGGGTGTTTCTCCGAGAGGGAGATTTGGCAGGGTCATAGGACAATAGCGGAGAGAAGGTCAGCAGATAAACATATGAACAAAGGTCTCTGGTTTTCCTAGGCAGAGGACCCTGCGGCCTTCCGCAGTGTTTGTGTCCCTGGGTACGTGAGATTAGGGAGTGGTAATGACTCTTTAACGAGCATGCTGCCTTCAAGCATCTGTTTAACAAAGCACATCTTGCACCGCCCTTAATCCATTTAACCCTGAGTTGACACAGCATATGTTTCAGAGAGCACGGGGTTGGGGGTAAGGTTATAGATTAACAGCATCCCAAGGCAGAAGAATTTTTCTTAGTACAGAACAAAATGGAGTCTCCTATGTCTACTTCTTTCTACACAGACACAGTAACAATCTGATCTCTCTTTCTTTTCCCCACATTTCCCCCTTTTCTATTCGACAAAACCGCCATCGTCATCATGGCCCGTTCTCAATGAGCTGTTGGGTACACCTCCCAGACGGGGTGGCAGCCGGGCAGTGGGGCTCCCCACTTCCCAGACGTGGCGGCTGGGCAGAGGCGCGCCCCCCACCTCCCAGACGGGGCGGCTGCCGGGCGGGGGCGCCCCCCCACCTGCCAGACGGGGCGGCTGCCGGGCAGAGGGGCTCCTCACTTCTCAGACGGGGTGGCCGGGCAGAGGGGCTCCTCACTTCTCAGACGGGGCAGCCGGGCAGAGGCGCTCCTCAGTTCCCTGACGGGGTGGTGGCCGGGTAGAGACGCTCCTCACCTCCTAGACAGGGCGGCCGGGCAGAGGCGCTCCCCACATCCCAGACGATGGGCGGCCAGGCAGAGACGCTCCTCACTTCCTAGACAGGATGGCAGCCGGGAAGAGGCGCTCCTCACTTCCCAGACTGGGCGGCCAGGCAGAGGGGCTCCTCACATCCCAGACGATGGGCGGCCAGGCAGAGACGCTCCTCACTTCCTAGACGGGGTGGCGGCCGGGCAGAGGCTGCAATCTCAGCACTTTGGGAGGCCAAGGCAGGTGGCTGGGAGGTGGAGATTGTAGCGAGCAGAGATCACGCCACTGCACTCCAGCCTGGGCAACATTGAGCACTGAGTGAGCAAGACTCCCTCTGCAATCCCGGCACCTCGGGAGGCCAGGGCGGGCAGATCACTCGTGGTCAGGAGCTGGAGACCAGCCCGGCCAACACGGCGAAACCCCGTCTCCACCAAAAAATACAAAAACCAGTCAGGCGTGGTGGCGCGCGCCTGCAATCCCAGGCACTCAGCAGGCTGAGGCAGGAGAATCAGGCAGGGAGGTTGCAGTGAGCCGAGATCGCAGCAGTACAGTCCAGCCTCGGCAACAGAGGGAGACCGTGGAAAGCGGGAGACGGAGACGAGGGAGAGGGGGAGACCGTGGAAAGCAGGAGACAGAGACGACGGAGACGGGAGAGAGAGAGGGAGAGGGAGAAGGTGAGGGTGAGGGAGAGGGCACATTTTTGCTACTTTGTCCCTTGAATCTAAAAACTTCCCAACCTACAAGCTAGGTTGTTAATAAGGCAACACTTCATTTAGAAAACGTTTGTTTGGCCTACAGTGTGCCAGGATCTTTGTTCTTTGTAAAAAAACTTAATATAGATCTATGACCTCATGAGAATACGGCCTGAATAAGATTAACTGTCAGCAGTTCATCAACATTCTTTAATACAACACATCATTAGCATGGCTCTGAGAAAGTGTTATATTCTGTTCTTTTGTTGCAGATTGGACTACTAGAGTGAAGCAAATTGCCAAATTGTGGAGAAAAGCAAGCTCACAAGAGCACCATATGTGGTATTTTAAGAAACTCCTATCTTTTAAATATTTAAATACAGTGCTTGAACCTTATTTGTATTAGGTTAATAAAAAAACAAATTTCCATTTCAGAAAATGCTTGTTAGTACCTGTACAACAAGCAACTTTATTTTTACAGTGATTTTCTAACTCCTTATGTCTTAATACAGAGTGTGACATTTTTATAAGCAAGTTAACAGAAAAGGATCCCAGCACAGACACCAAGGTGGGCAGATCACTGGAGGTCAGGAGTTTGAGACCAGCCTGGCCAACATGGTGAAACCCCATCTCTACCAAAAAAAAAAAAAAATTAGCCCAGCATGGTGGTGGGTGCCTGTAATCCCAGCTACTCAGGAGGCTGATGCACAAGAATTGCTTGAACCCAGAGGCAGAGGTTGCAGTGAGCCGAGATTGTGCCACTGCACTCCAGCATGGGCGACAGAGCAAAACTCTCAAAAAAAAAAAAAAAAAAAAAGCACCACCAACAAAAACTAAAGAAAATGTGTGGCAAATCCAAGTAGAGACATATTTTAAGTATAAAATGCCCACCAGTATACAAACTTAGTATCACAAAAAAAGTATTTAACATATCTCATTAATAACACTTTATGTTATATTTTGGAATGATATCTTGAATACATTGCGTTAAATATGTTAAAAATATCTTCAGTTTCTTTTTACTCCTTAATGGGACACTAGAAAATTTTAAATTATATATGTAGTTTGCATTATGTTTTTATTGGACAGTGCTGGGCTAGATCTTATCTTCCAGCCCTTAATATTCTCATAGTTATCTTAAGCTTCAGAGGTAGTGTCATTCAAATTCAGAAAGCATTACACAGCATACAGTATATAAAATATTCCCTTCTTTAGGGTCCACTAGGTGGCACTAGAGTTCAGGCCACAAGCTAGTAAGATTTAAAATTTGTACTTGCACTTTGAAAAATTATTTATTTTTATTTATTTATTTTGAGATGGAGTCTCACTCTGTCACCCAGGCTGGAATGCAGTGGCACTATCTCAGCTCACTGCAACCTCTGCCTCCCAGGTTCAAGCAATTTTCCTGTCTCAGCCTCCCCAGTAGCTGGGACTACAGATGCTTGCCACCATGCCCAGCTAATTTTTGTATTTTTAGTAGAGACAGGGTTTCACCATATTGGTCAGACTGGTCTCGAACTCCTGATCTCAAATGATCTACCTGCCTTGGCCTCCCAAAGTGCTGGGATTACAGGTGTGAGCCACCGTGCCCAGCCTTAATTTTTTAGGAGACAGGGTCTAGTTCTGTCACCCAGGCTGCAGCACAGTGGCATGATCATGGCTCACTGCAGCCTCAAACTCCTGGGCTCAAGTGATCCTCCCACTTCAACCCCTTTGGTAGCTAGGACTAAAGGTGTGCGCCACTATGCCCAGCTAACGCTTAAAAAAATGTTGGGGGAGTAGTGGGCCGGGTGCGGTGGCTCACACCTGTAATCCCAGCACTTTGGAAGGCTGAGACGGGTGGATCACTTGAGTCCAAGGGGTTCGAGGACAGTCTGGGCAACATGGTAAAACTCCATCTCTACAAAAAATACAAAAATTAGCTGGGCATGGTGGTGTGCACCTGTAGTCCCAGTTACTGGGGAGGCTGAGACAGGAGAATTGCTTGAGCCCGGGAGGTGGAGGTTGCAGTGAACCACAATGCCACCACTGCACTCCAGTCTGGGTAACAAAATGAGACCCTGAATGGAAAAAAAAATTTTTTTAAATAATTTTTTTTAAATAAAGACGGGGTCTTGCTCTGTTCCCCAGGCTGGTCTTGAACTCCTAGGCTCAAGCAATCCTCCTGCCTAAGCCTCCCAAAGTGCTGGGGTTACAGGTACGAGCCACTGTGCCTGGCCTGTACTTGCAGTTCTCTTTTTTTTGAGATGGAGTTTCACTTTTGTTGCCCAGGCTGGAGTGCAATGGCGCATCTTGGCTCACTGCAACCTCCGACCCCCAGGTTCAAGTGATTCTCTTGCCTCAGCCTGCTGAATAGCTGGTATTACAGGCACCTGCCACCACGCCCAGCTATTTTTTGTATTTTTAATAGAGATGGAGTTTCCCCATGTTGGCCAGGCTGGTCACAAACTCCTGACCTCAGGTGATGCACCCGCGTCGGCCTCCCAAAGTGCTGGGATTACAGGCGTGAGGCACTGCACCTGGCCTGAACTTGCAGTTTTCTAAATGAGCTGTGCATAGGCTCATCTCCATGCCTTTGCTCCCGTTGTTCCCTCCGCTGAGACACCTTTTCCTAAGTTGGCCAGCAGCCTACAACCTACGCATTTTTAAAAAATTGAGATCCTCTAAGAAGCTTTTCCTGAACACCCCTCTCCTGCCTACAAATAACTTTATATACCCACTATCCTGTATACGTATTTCTATCACAAAACCATGACACATTATTTGTTCACATGCCTTCCTCCCAATACCTTGTGTACATCTGAGGCAGGTAGCGATGAGGTATTAGCTGATGCCTGGCATCCAATAGGTGCTGTACACAATGTACCAATCAGGATAAGCTAAGTTACACTTCAGTTAACAAAACCCCCAGATATCAGTAGCACAATTCCTGTGCTACAGTGCGGGTATCAGTCACCTTCCCAAAACAGGCCCAGTCCTTTTGCAGGGGGTGGGGGGTAATGGGAAATATAAGAACATACCCTAGAGAAAGCAACATGTCTAGAAGTCTCTCCCACATCACAGTCAGATTGGACAGATTAAGGGCCCTGCGCCATGCATCCTCATTCCAGGACCTACACTAATGAACAGTTCCATAGGAAGCACTGCTGGTCACTGCACAGAGGGAAAAAGAGGTCCTCGCAGGTTTCTCCAGCACTGAAATGCTCTCACGTAGAATTAACGCAAGCCACTACCACTCACAGCTCATTGGCCAGAACTAATGACATGGCTCCATCCAACCACAAGGGGGTGGTGGCACACAGATCACTTCAATTAAACTAAGCCACTTGGAGGAGAGACTTAAGGTGCAGGCTCTCCAATTGAAGGTTCAAAAATACCCCAAATTAGAAGCATGAGAATGAGAAAATATATCAAATATAAGAAATATGACTAGAAGAGGGTAACTACTGGCACATGAAACTGAAACCAGAGAAAAAGCCAAATAGACTTTTGAGAGTAGTACTATGCTAACAAAGTAACAGTCATATAAACCCTGCCAGCCACAAGGGGACCAATTTACCATGTACCCGAAAGGTGGGAAACTGGAAATACTTGATAAATAACACTAGTGACAACCACTGTGCAATAAATGAAAGTGATGCTTAACCCACAGGCTTCTAGGGTAGTGACATTTTAAGAACACTCAGGAAGCAAAACTGGCTTAACAGAAGACACTGTACTTCATTGTTGCGCTTTAGCAAAAGTCAGTCAAGTTAATAAAATGATGCACACGCCCAGATGGGAGTGTAAATAAATATATTCTGAAGGGCAAAGGAGTGAATACAATTGTACGTGGGACAGGAAGTACAAGAGTGATGGATACAAGAAAAAAAAACCCCTCCAACTTTTGAGTAAAGGCCAAGTTGCTTAGATCTGGGAGAGCAGATATAATCATCTGTGTGGTGTGGACACTTTACCAACTGACTTTGAGAACAATCTGAATTAAGCAGCCTTTTTGGTGGGTAAGTAAAACACGCTGAAGAGTACAAAAGAAAAAGCCCACAGCCTCCTGGACTGATAGTCCTCTTTGCCCCAGAGACTCAAGGAGAGGGGCTGGAAGTGGTGATCATTTTTCTTCTTCTTTACAGATCTAGTCATGACAGGCCTGCAATAATCGTGGCCTAGGCTCACATAACTGGTTGATACATGGCAGACCCAACTGCCTCTGCCCCCAAATTCAGAAGTCTACTGATACTATGTTTTAAACAAAGTGATTTAAGCACTTTCCTGCTCCAAAGTATTGAGATGTTAAAATTAAACCTCAGGTCTAGAAATTAAGACCCTCCCTACCACGAATTTCAAGAGCAGAAGTCAACATGACACACAGTAGAAATATATATTCCACTTTATTAGTTAGAAAAAATCATTTAAGCCACATGGTGGCCACAATGTCCATAACTTGAGCAGGCTTTGGCATCCCACCACCCCCTTCAGACCAATACACACTATGTTGGAGGAACGACTTTAAAATGTAAAATGAGAAATGGGCACTGAACACTCCATCCTCACTCCCAACAGCCCACCCACACAACCTCTTCAACTGCTATCCAAACATGGAGGAGCTCTTGTGGAAGAGAGGCTCAACACCAAATAATTGAGCATAAGACATTCAAGACTAAAGGAACCCCAGACAGATGTTTAGGAAGTAGGGTTGAAAATATCACCATCTCCCAACAGCTGAAGTTGGGACATCTAAGAGATGTCAGAGCCATACTGCTGAGGAAAGCACAGCATACACCAGACCCCGGGGTAAGGGCGAGATCAACCTATCTCATAGCCATAAGCAATCCACTCACACCTGTGCATTAAACAGGCTTTTTCTTTTCTTTTTTTTTTGAGATGGAGTCTTGCACTGTGGCCCAGGCTGGGTACAGCAGTGCGATCTCGGCTCACTGCAACCTCCGTCCCCGGGTTCAAGCAATTCTCCCGCCTCAGCCTCCCAAGGAGCTGGGATTACAGGCCTCTGCCACCACACCCAGCTAACTTTTGTATTTTTAGTAGAGATGGGGTTTCGCCATGTTGGCGAGGCTGGTCTCGAACTCCTGACCTCAGGTGATCCACCCACCTCAGCCTCCCAAAGTGCTAGGATTACAGGCATGAGCCACCGCAACCGGCCTAAACAGGCCTTGCCCAGGCAATGAGCATCCAGTTAGACAGGTTCTTCAAGGCCTAGTAATAGTTCTCTGGTTACAACGGTGCTCAGCTTGTCTGCTAGGAATGGGACTCCCATCTGGACATGTCTAGGTCAGTGTTCCAAAATATGGCCAGTATGGAAGGAGGTCTTATCACATGCTTCTGGATGGATGGTCTGGAAGGCCCTTGGTGGGCTCTGTGTTGGCTAGTTGGCTTCTGGTGGTCCAGGAGGTCCCAGGCGATGGGCTCTCTAGTAAGCCCTCTAGGGACTCCATCACTCTAACGAAGATGGAGAGTAGGGTCAGTACCACACCTAACAGGTAGAGGTTCAACACATGCTTCATGGCTGAAAGGACCCTACTCCTCTGCAGAGAAACAGAGCTGCCTTCTCCTTCTGAAAGGCCTCTGGACCCTGAGAAAAAAGAGGAAAGGATGAATCTATAGCCTTTTGGGGATATGCATGCATCCAGCCCTGACTCTTCTGTCCTCTCACAGGGCTGAAGGAGAGGCTTAGCCAGTGAGGGACACAGGGACCAGGGAGTTGCACAGCAACTCTCCAAGAATATTTTACATTGCAAACTTCATGGCTGCGGAGCCAGTGTTGCTTCTTGGACTAATTCAAGAACACTTCTTAAAACTTTTACTTTCTTAGGCCAGGCGCGGTGGCTCATACCTGTAATCCCAGCGCTCTGGGAGGCCGAGGCGGGTGGATCACCTGAGGTCAGGAATTCGAGACCAGCCTGACCAACATGGTGAAACCCTGTCTCTACTACAAATACAAAAATTAGCCGGGCATAGTGGCACATGCCTGTAATCCCAGCTACTCGGGAGGCTGAGGCAGAATTGCTTGAACCCGGGAGGCAGAGGTTGCAGTGAGCCAAGATCGCGCCATTGCACTCCAGCCTCGGCAACAAAAGCAAAACTCCGTCTCAAAAACAAACAAACAAACATTTACTTTATTGAAAATTTTGTTCCTGCAAGGCACAATACACAACCCCTGTGCTACAGTGCAGGCATCAGTCACCTTCCTGAAATAGGCCCAGTCCTTTTGCAGGGGGGTGGTGGGTAATGGGAAATATAAGAACATGCCCTGGAGAAAGGAACCTGCCTAGAAGTCTCTCCCACATCACAGATTGGAGTTAACTACAAACTTTTTGCAAGTCCAAATAACTCTATGAGGGTCAAATCTATCAAGTTCATTTATTTAACAAACATACCATGAATATCTGCAATGTGTTAGGTACCCTGGAAGATACTAGGGCCACATTGCAAACCTTATAGACAAAGGGTAGTTAACACGCAACACGCTAAGTGTTGGGACAGCAAGGAGATCGTGAAGGTGCTCTGGGAGGGCATGGCAGGGATGCCTAACTCAGCACCTGTGGGCGTGGGATGGGCCACGTGGATCCTAGTTAGGACCACCTTAGGACAAAACAGGGCTGACGGCTGAATGGGGACCCCAGATGGGGCGTGGGCGATCAGAGAGGATCCCGGCGGCGCACCCCCAGCCCTGGAACGCGAGGCTGCTAGCGCGGCGAGCACTCTAGCGATGGGGGTGGGGAGCCGGGGAAGCCCACAGGGCCGCTCACCTCCGGGGGAACAGCCGGGAGTGGATCGCCGGCTGTAGGAGCAGGTCGTGCAGGAGTCCGGAGGAAAGTCGGTTACTAAGCACCAGCGCAGAAGCTTCCCGCCACAAAACTCACCGGAGACAAAAGCGCCGTCAGCCGCAGAGCGCAGAGCAACGCCGCCCAGCCTCCGCCCCTTATAGCCGCGAGCACGCCCCAGGAGGGTACGCGCACGCGCACTGGAGGCCGCACGCACGCCCGGGACGCACACGACGTGGCGCACGTCCGCGGCCCCACCCCGCGGGCAACGGGGTTTGGGGATTGTCCCGGGTGCTCTCCCGCGGAGCTGTTTCCAAAAGTACACGTCGTGCGGTTTTGAGTCATTGTGTTCTGGAGTGAGACGAGGCGTGTGTATTAATCTCGACTGCCATCTCTGCTGTAGAAAACATTTGAAGGAGTCAGAGAGCACATATCCCTTCTCCCCAGTAGGTGAAAAACACCGATGGCCTTCGTGTCCGTGAAGCCCCGCCGTGAAGGGTGGGTTCTTCCCCAGAGATTTCGGGTGCACTAAATTGTCAGAGGGCACCAGACCCCTACCCCACTCGTTATTTTCTTCATTTCAAGGACTGAAGAGCTGGTTTTGTTTCACTTCATAGCTGTACCAAGATTCCAAATCCCGAGTTTCAGTTGCCATCGGTATCTCTGGAATGGTGAGGCCCTTGTGCAACATATTAAGCTCTGCAAGCTCTGCTTTCTATGAGAGTTTGTCGTGTCGCTTCAGAAAACGTGAAATACTCCTGGCCCTGGTGTGGGATCCTAACTGCATATGGGCAAGTCACTTGGTATTTAAATGGGCCTCGGTTTTCTCATCTGTAATGAAGACATTGGCCACTAGATGATTTTTCTTCTTCTTCTTCTTTTTTTTTTTTAAATAGAGACAGTCTCGCTATGTTGCCCAGGCTGGTCTCGAACTCCTGATCTCAAGCCATCCTCCCACCTCTGCCTCCCAAAGTGCTGGGGCTACAGGCGTGAGCCACCGCGCCCGGCCGCTAGATGATTTTTAAGGGTGCTTTCGGCTTGAACTAAAGAGCCAGGAGGTCACAGACCAGCCTTATGTCCAGATTTGGGGGGCTAGGCTGCCTTACTAATCACCCCCGAACCCACCCAGCCAAGACTGTGCGGTCTGTCTTGAGAGCACGCAACGGGGGATCTCAGAAAGTAGAGTCCCGGAGAGACACTGGGAATGGGGAGGACCCCCGGGAAGGGGTGTACACGCCGTGGAAGGGAAGGCCGCTGGTGGCTTTAGAACTGGCGGTTCCGTGTACCCGGGTCAAGTGCCCGTGCCGGATGGGAAAGAACCCTGTGACTTTCCACATCTCAGCGAGCTCGGCGGGCTCTGCTTAAGAAGGGCTCTAAGACGGGAAGGGAGGAGCCATCCCCACTGCGACCTTTCCCCTCCTTTCCTGGCTGGCTGGCTGTGGTCTGTCGGGAATGAGGGGGTGGGGAAGCCGGGAAAGCAGAAGGTTGGGGCTGGAGGTCTGCTGGCAGGCAGGCAGACATTTGGAGCCAACTTTCCTGCTCAGCCCGCAGAACTTTTGGTCCTTCGCTATACCAGAGTTTCGTCTGTTTTTTTGCTTGACTGTGTGACCCTTCTCTCACACTGTTATTAAATAGGTCTCAAGCTGCGAAATCACTGCCAGATCCAAACGCCACTACTTTGCCAGGTGAAGGCCTTGGGCGAACCCTTTAACCTTCTTGTAGTTCTGTTTCCTCAGCTGTTCTGTGAGATCATAACAGTCTTAACCTGATATTAAATGAATTAATCCATATAAAGCGCTTAGAACAATGCCTGGCACATAAAAAACATTCTATGAATCTTAACATTATCTGTATCATCAACTACAAAACTCCCAGTGAGGGGTTTTGCTCATTAGCAGCCTAGGCTTGCTGAATGAATGCAGGAATTCTACAATGACCATTTGAGTTCTACTTAGTTTGAGTTCTAAATTTATACTTCACACAGCTGGAAGAAGGGATGGGCACCTCTCCAACAATTCTTTCTCCCCATATTCCCTGCCATTGTCTAAAGGTCATGCCAGTTGGAAATAAGAAGGGTTTGGGTGAGGGCAGCTCTATGCTTTACCATTCTGTCAGCTACAAATGTAGCTACCTGCATCAGGATTTAGTCCTGCCTTCAACACCTTGGCCAGGCTAACTGACCCCTTTGAACTTTAGTTTCCTTATCTGTAAAATGAGGAAAATAATCTGTAAAACAGGGTTGTTGTGAGGGTTGGAAATAATGCCCATAAAGAGTATGTCATATATGCTCAACAAATAGTAGCTATTATTTTGCTAAAAAGTATAAAGCCAGATTCTTGTTCTAAATAAGCTTGTCACCTGGTTGAGTAAACAAGACCTGAATAAGATAAGATAACTAACAACCCAAGGCAGTGTGGGGTAGAGTTTAGAAGTAAGTACATAAGTAGGGTGGTAATGTTTTGCTTGGGGAACTGGGATTTTAACATTCACTATGGTTATTTAAAAAAAAAAAAAAAAAAGAGCTGGGCATGGTGGCTCACACCTGTAATCCCAGCACTTTGAGAGGCTGAGGCGGGCAGATCACCTGAGGTCAGGAGTTCGAGACCAGCCTGACCAACATGGACCAACATTCTCTACTAAAAATACAAAATTAGCCAGGCATGGTGGCGCATGCCTTTAATCCCAACTACTTGGGAGGCCGAGGCAGGAGAATCACCTGAACCTGGCAGGCAGAGGTTGCACTGAGCTGCGATCAGACCATTGCACTCCAGCCTGGGCAACAAGAGGGAAACTCCATCTCAAAAAAAAAAAAAAGAAGAAAGAAAGAGTGGAAACAAAATAAGCATTCTTCAAGTAACTGATACGTGCTGAACATTTTGCTAAATGCATTACATGTATTATTTAATTTTTCTAACGATGCTATGAGGTAGGTATTATTGCCTCTCTTCTTTATTTGTTGTTGTTGTTGAGAAAGGGTCTCACTTTGTTTTCCAGGCTGGAGTACAGTGGCACGATCACTGCTCACTGCAGCCTTGACTTTCTGGGCTCAAGCTATCCTACCACCTCAGCCTCCTAAGTAGCTGGGACTACAGTTACACACCACCACACCCAGCTAATTCTTTCTTTTTTCTTTCTTTGCCACCACCACACCAGCTAATTCTTTTCTTTTCTTTTCCTTTTCTTTCCTTTCTTTCTTTCTTTCTTTTTCTTTCTTTCTTTCTCTTTCTTTCTTTCTTTCTTTTTCTTTCTTTCTCCCTTTCTTCCCTTTCTTTCCTTTCTTTTCTTGCTTTTCTTTCTTTTTTTTTTGTAGAGATGGGGTCTCTCTATGCTGCCCTGACTGGTCTCAAACTCCTGACCTCAAGTGATCCACGTGCCTCAGCCTCACAAAGTGCTGGGATTACAGGTGTGAGCCACCATACCCAGCCTTCTTTATTTGTTAACTATGCTTTTTCTTCCAGAGGAAGAAGAGACTTTCTTCACCTAGTCTTTTACTCATCTTTCATATCTCAATTCAAACATATTTCCTCTGGTCACCCTTGCTGACCCTCGGACCCTGTTCCGGGCTCCAGTGGCATGATAGGCATTTCTTTCCCAGTGTGTTACTTTACCCTTAGTTGTATTAATGTCTGTGTCCTTTCAAAAGCCTGAAAATGTCAGTGAAAGGAGTGTTTGGTCTGATTTTGTTTCCATTCCATCTCCAGCAGCTAGCACCAAATAGTAGGCTTTTGATAAATATTTGTTGACTGAAGGAATAAATGAATGAATATTTTACCCAGCATCTTCAGTGAGTACCCATTGTTTCATCAAGGAAATGTAGATAAGGGCGCCAAGAGAAGCCGTTTTCAGGTGCTACCTCCTCCTTGGAGCTGCAACCAAGGAAAGCTTTTTATAAGCTGCCCTTCCCCCAAAGCCCCTAAAAAGAAGTGATTCTGAAGTCAACCCACACAAGAGTACCATACTAAGAACACAAGTATTTTCACAAATTTGATCTTATCATCAAGTGTTCATTTAAATAACATGTACTTACATTTCTGGTAAGTATAAACTGGTACATTCAGTATGGAAATCAATTTGTCAGTAATTGTTACCCTGACCCCCACTTGTTTTTTAAACACCTCAAGACCATTGAGGTGTTAAAAAAGACCACTGACTACCATTTGGCAATGTCTATAAAAATAAAAGCATACACATGCCCTTTAGCCCAGAATTCCACTTTTAGGATTTATCCTTCCACATGTAGAGAATGGAGTGTTTAAAGGTAGCACTGTTGCAGCACTGTTTGTGATAATGAAAGACTGGAAAAAACAGCCCATCAGTAGAGAACTGGTTAAATAAAAGATGGTGCATTCAGACAGTGAATTACCATAAAGCCAGAAAAAAGAGAGTAAGTTCTGTATATATCGACAAGATCTCCACAATATATTGTTAAATGAAAAGGGTTTATAGTATGTGAGCAGTATGCTACATTTATGTTAAAATGAACATAAAAAATAGAATACAATGAGACACCACCTCACACTCACTAGGATGGCTATAACACAAACAAGCAAAAAAACCCAGAAAAGAACAAATGTTGATGAAAATGTAGAAAAAACAGAACCCTCATACATTGCTGTTAGAATGTAAAATAGTGCAGCTGCTTTAGAATAGTTCCTCAAAAAGTTAAACATAGAGTTACTGTATGATCCAGCAGTTTAGCTCCTAAATATATACCCAAGTGAACCGAAGATGTATGTTCACACACAAACGCTTATACACAAATGTTCATAGCAGCATTATTCATAATAGCCAAAAAAGTAGAAACAACCCAAATGTCCGTCAACTGGCTAAAGGATAAACAAAATGTGATACAATGGAATATTATTCAGCCATAAAAAATGAAGTATTGATACATGCTACAATATGGATGCACCTTGAACACATTATGCTAAGTGAAAGAAACCAGAAACAAAAGGGTACATATCGTATGATTCCATTTATATGAAATGTCAGAATAGGCAAATCCAGGGCTGGGCGTAGTGGCTCCCACCTGTAAGCCCAGCACTTTGAGGATCCCAGCACAGAGACCAAGGTGGGCAGATCACTGGAGGTCAGGAGTTTGAGACCAGCCTGGCCAACATGGTGAAACCCTGTCTCTACCAAAAAGACAAAATTAGCCAGGCATGGTGGTGCTGACCTGTAGTCCCACCTACCTGGGAGGCTGAGACAGGAAAATCGCTTGAACCCAGGAGGCAGAGGTTGCAGTGAGCCGAGATCACACCACTGCACTCCAGCCTGGGCAACAGAGCAAGACTGTCTCAAAAAAAAAAAAAAGGCAAATCCACAGAGACAGAAAGTAGGTAAGTGGTTGCCAAGGGCTGGAGGAGAGGGGACTGGGGAATGACTGCTAGTGGGTACAGGGTGGTTTTTTTTTTGGTGTGTGGGCTGGTGATGAAATGTTCTAAAATTAGTGCTGACAGTTATACAAGTCTATGAATGTACTTAACCATTGAATTGTATCCTTTAAAACGGTGGATTTTGATATGTGAACTATATCTGAATAAAGTCATTATTTTCTTTAAAGGAGGGCAAGTTGAAGACATCGTCAGATGACAAACAAAAACAGAGTTAGCTGCCGTAGGCCCTTACCGTGGAAACTACTGAAGAATGAACCTAAGACACAAGAAAACTGAACCCAAAAGGAAATAGGGAAATGCAAGAAAAAATGGTAAGGAAATATTTACAAAACATATGGATGTATCTAAACAAATTATGACTACTCAAAACTATTTTTAGTAATAATGGTTGATTTAGAAAAGTAAAAATAACAAGATAAACTGAAAAATTGGTAAACATTTCAGATGGGAACAGTGAGCAAAGATGAAGTTTAATATGTTTTTATTTGGGAGGAAAGTAAATATTGATTAATGTTAGACTTTTTTTTTTTTTTTGAGACAGAGTCTTGGTCTTGTCACCCAGGCTGGAGTGCAATGGTGCAATCTCGGTTCACTGCAACCTTCGCCTCCCAGGTTCAAGTGATTCTCCTGCCTCAGCCTCCCGAGTAGCTGGGATTACAGGCACCCACCACCATGCCCAGCTAATTTTTGTATTCTTAGTAGAGACATTTCACTATGTTGGCCAGGCTGGTCTCAAACTCCTGACCTCAAGTGATCCACCTGCCTCAGCCTCACAAAGTGCTGGGATTACAGGTGTAAGCCACCACACCCAGCCAATTTTAGACTTTTTAAGTCTGTATATTAAAATGTTAAGAGTTGGTTGGGCGCGGTGGCTCATGCCTATAATCCTGGAACTTTGGTAGGCCAAGGCAGGTGGATCAGTTGAGGTCAGGAATTCAAGACCAACCTTATTAAATAAATAAATATATTTATATTTATTATTTATTTTTATCTTTTTGAGACAGTCTCACTCTGTCACCCAGGCTGGAGTGCAGTGGTGCGATCTCAGCTCATTGCAACCTCCACCTCCCGGGTTCAAGCGATTCTCCTGCCTCAGCCTCCCGAGTAGCTGAACTACAGGTGCCAGCCACCACACCTAGCTAATTTTTGTACTTTTTTTTAGTAGAGATGGGGTTTCACCATGTTGGCCAGGCTGGTCTCGAACTCCTGACCTCAGGTGATCCACCTGCCTCAGCCTCCCAAAGTGCTGGGATTACAGGCATGAGCCACCGCACCCGCCAAAAAAAATTAAAATGTTAAGGGTAGCTCTTCCTCTTCCTTCTCTTCCTGTACAATTCAGTCTTCAGGCCATTAGGTAAAATAGTACAAGGTGTCTACAATGAAGAGGAGGGCCGGTGGCCCAGAGTGGAATGTCACTTTTATTCACTATTATGTCCTCAGTGTCTGAAACATGTTCACTCAATATTTGGCTCACTGTGTCACTTCCTTCTGGACCCTGATCAAATGTCATTTCTCAGGGAGGCTTTCCCAATCATTTCATGTACAGTAACACTCACCACCTACTCTTCTCCTTTACCCTGTTTTATTTTTTCTTCATAGTACTCAACACCAACAAACCTGTTTTATATTTATTTGTTGATTATCTATCTTCCTCCGCTAGAATGTAGCTCCTTGAGAACAAGGACTCGGACTATTGTGTCAATTATTATGTTCCTAAACCCAGAATAGTGCCTTCCATGTGGTATATGCTCAACAAATATTTGTCGAATGAACGAATCATGTTTATGTATCTGAGATATTTTATAACTGAAAGGAAACACACCAAGCATGGTGGCTGACGCCTGTAATATCAGCACTTTGGGAAGCTGATGTGGGAGCATTGCTTGAGCCCAAGAGTTCAAGACCAGCCTAGGCAACATGACAAGACCCCGTCTCTAAAAAAATTAATAATAATTATGACAGAGCAGCTGATCAATTTCTAATTCTATTTATTGATGTTTGTTGCACAGCATTTTTACAGTGATCATCTCTGGGTGATATAATGAACTCCTTTTTTCCTCCTATTTTCTCCCATGTGCATCTGTTACTTTTACGATCAGAGAAAAAAATTAAAATTTACTAACATTTTGTAAATTTACAGCTTGAGCAACATTGTGACAATGAAGGGAAAACAAACACAGGAGTTTGGATGGGGAAATTGGGTCAAAAGCTTGGAGCAGCTAGTGGGAGGCGGGAGTGGAGTGGGAGGGCCTGGCAGTATGGCACCAGAGGAAGGTGCCCACAGAGAGTTGGCCCTGGAAGTTGGGCAGAGGGCACCCAAGGCAAGCAGTGGCTTCTTCACCTCGCACCTGAGCCAGCAACCTAAATTCTGAGTCTGGTTGTGGTACTAACTAACCACTCACCTGGGGCCAGCCACTTCTTCAGGCCTCAGTTTCCTCATCTGTGAAGCTCAGGTCTGAGGGAGACAAGCTGTCTCTCTCAGAGCCTTTCTACCTAAGAGGTGTGTGGTCCTAGAACCTGCACTGAGAAGCTGTGGTGTGGGTGGGGGACTCCCACTGACACAGCAGGCCTCTGCTCTCAAGCTCTGTCTGCGAAATACTGGATGAACAGTGTAGAATAGGAGAAAAACAGTATTCAAAACTATATGGGCTCTCTAAGTTATCCATGATAAATGCATAGAGAGAGAGAGAGAGAGAGAGAGAGAGACTGACAGTGTATCTACTCTTAAATAGTAACATTTTTCACTGGGCAGGGTCCTCTTATTCATTAGTCACAATAAGCACAGTTCCTGGGGCCTATAGACTTTTCAGGGACTCTCAAACATATTTGAGATATAGAAAACAAAATATATTGGCTTCAAAAAATTTTAAATGACAGAACTAAAATTCATAAACATTTAATCAAAGGTCTGCAAAATATATGTTAACTAGACAGTTTCCTTCTTTTCTTTTCTTTTTTTTTTTTGAGATGGAGTTTCGCTCTGTCACCCAGGCTGGAGGGCAGTGGCATGATCTCGGCTCACTGCAACCTCTGCCTCCCAGGTTTAAGCAATTCTCCTGCCTCAGCCTCTTGAGTAGCTGGGATTACAGCTGCCTGTCACCACGTCTGGCTAATTTTTTTGTATTTTTAGTAGAGATGGGGTTTCTCCATGTTGGCCAGGCTGGTTTTGAACTCCTGGCCTCAAGTGATCCACCCACCTCAGCCTCCCAAAGTGCAAGGATTACAGGCATGAGCCACTGTGCCTGGCCAACTAGACAGTTTCAACTCAGCACAGTAACTTCAGATGTGAGATGTGGGTGCATTTTAACATGATGGGGCATCCCATAGCAGGCATATCTGAGGCCTGTGGAAGTAAAGTGAGGATGGGGTGGATTATGGAGGTTTTATAGTTTCTTGAGTTTCAATTTTTCTACTATGAGCATGTATTATAAGAAGAAGAAAAAGTATTGTGAATGTTTTGAAAAAGTCTGTAAATAAAACCTTAGGAAAGATTTGGGGTGAAGAAGTCCCTACTTTCTCATCTCAGTAAAGGCTTGGGGACAGTCCTCTGTCTTATGGAGGTAATTAGAATCAAAAAGGAAACTCACTGGAAACATGTATTTAAGAGTTTACTCATTCTATGCTGTTTTCCAAGTTATTTCCATCCAGCAGTTTAGGATAAATCTGTGTATTGACATGTTGCTCTCTCTTTCCTTCATGGAACCATAAAATCATTGAATGTTAGAACATAGCGGGAGCCTTCCTCCTTGCTGTCACCTTCTCTTGGTGGTCACAGTGGGCTCTATGAGCATGGGAGAGCCCAGGTTAGCTGCAAAAGGGCCAGGCCTCAAATGAGCTCCGTTGCTGCCTGGTAGATGGTCGAGGTGCTACCAGAGGAGATGGGTGTCTTGCTCCAGGCAGGGAGGCAGAGTCTGAGTCTCTGGGTTGGGAGACAACGGGGTTCTCCTGGTGTCTGTGCTGTTGTCATTCACAATGACAACAGCTGCTCTTCCCTCTGCTGCATGTGTTCACACACACATGCCCTACCTTTACACACGTGTGTGTGCACATGGGCACATTTTCTCTCTGCCTAGACAGCTGGCACCTCTCCCCCAGACACAGATGCCCAGACATTTCTGCTGCCAGCCAACTCACTCCGTGGCTCTGTTCCAACTCGGCTAGAGCAGGGCAGGGGGCTGTTCCTGCTGTCTCTTATCTTAGCCAAGAAGGACAGTGGCTGCTGTCAGGAGAGGGGGTAATGAGGGGTAGAGGACAACTGGTCTTTGAGGAGACTCCCACCGTTTTTTCCTTCTCCCAGTGATCCTTCCTCCTTTGGCTAAAGGACTGGAGAAAAAGCTGTCCAGTCAGAATCCCTCCTGTCAACGATGAAGGCCCAAAGCCCTACCCACACCGAACCCCTCAGCCCCTCGCCTGACAAATACTCAAAGTCAGCTAAAACTATTGGTGTCTCAGGCTCCCAGCTCTCCCATTTGACCCTGGAAACCTCCCCAGTCCCCCATCCTGGGTTCTTTTGCATGTTGGAGTATCGCTTGCTGATACGGCGTTCGATGTTTATACCTCTCAGTTGATAAGCATGTTCCGTCTAGAGAACGTCTTGTATATTATTCTTAAAAGTTCTTACCAGGGACTCCAAAGGGTGTCCCTTTTGAAAAACTACTCACTGAGTGCAGTGTTCACTGTTCGGGTGATGGGTTCACTGGAAGCCCATTATGCAATATACTCATGTAACAAATTTGCACATGTACCCACTGAATCCAAAATAATTTTTTTTTTTGAGACAGAGTTTTGCTTTGTCACCCAGGTTGGAGTGCAGTGGTGTGATCTTGGCTCACTGCAACCTCTGCCTCCTGAGTTCTAGTGATTCTCCTGCCTCAGCCTCCTGAGTAGCTGGGATTACAGGCACCTGCCACCATGCCTGGCTGATTTTTATATTTTTAGTAGAGACAGGGTTTCGCCATGTTGGCCAGGCTGATCTCAAACTCCTGACCTCAAGTGATCCACCCGCCTTGGCCTCCCAAAGTGTTGGGATTACAGGTGTGAGCCACTGCGCCCGGCCAGAATAAAATTTTAAAAATGTATTGTAAGCATCATCCTTATTCATCGCTCTGTTAATTAGTTATCTCCTGTAACTTTGAGAGGGTTGTTTTAAGATTTAAAAATATATTTGCTTCTCAGTCTGTGCCTTGTGCAAACCAGATGCTCAGTTGTTATCAGTGGACCAATCTTTATCACTCACATGCACTAAAGATCAGTAAACCAGGCTGGGTGCAGTGGCTCACGCCTGTAATCTCAGCACTTTGGGAGGCCAAGGCAGGTGGATTACCTGAGGTCAGGAGCTTGAGACCAGCCTGGCCAACATAGTGAAACCCTATCTCTACTAAAAATACAAAAATTAGCTGGGTGTGGTGGCACACGCCTGTAGTCCCAACTACTCGGGAGGCTGAGGCAGGAGAATGGCGTGAACCCGGGAGGCAGAGGTTGCAGTGAGCCGAGGTTGCGCCACTGCACTCTAGCCTGGGTGACAGAGCGAGACTCTGTCTCAAAAAAAAAAAAAAAATCAGTAAGCCAACCCCACCCCTGAGCTAACTAAATTCTCTAGCTAGACTGAACCTGCCCATCCCACCTGTATCATCAAATTCAGCCTCAGCCACTGCCCAGCCTGGGGCACTGGGTAAACTTCTTTGCTTCTCTAGCCTCAGGCTCCTTGTCGTGAAAACAAACTGACTGAGCTCGATAATGGCTCTAAGCATTCCTTCTAGCCGATTAGATTCTATAACTAAGTGCTTTTATAGAGTCTTTTGCAGCCTTGGTTCCTCAGCCTTCTGGAATAAAATCACCATTGTCCCTTGCCACTTCTCTATCTGCACAACAGGGAGAAATCAGGGAGAAGGAGGAATAGAGGGATGTGGAGAATCTCCTTTGATAGCAAGGAAAATGAGCAGCCTGGGTACTAGCTCTAAAAGGGGATTCTACCCAAAATAAGGAGCTCAGTGCATCATGGGATGTGTACTGCCCACGGGGCTCTGAGTATGTAAATCAGGACAGGTGTGTGTATATTAGGGCAAATGTGTGTACCCTAGGAAACTTTGCACCTGTCGGTGGCCTCAGGCCTGTTGATGTTCTCATTGTTCATGTGACTCCTGGTACCCCAAGGGCCTGGGCCTGGTTGTGCCGCTTTCACAGCCTCCTGGGGTAGGTCTCTGAGTCAAGAGGCATGTGACTCTTGTTGGTTTTGTGTACCTGAGACTGTGTGTTGGCCTCATTACTGCAGGAAGTTCAGGTTCTTTGGTTGGCTTAGTGAATTACCCAGGAAACAGTAGATATAGGCTGGCTGAGCTCTCCTACGCTTCCCAAGCCAAGAAAGGAGGGAAGTGCCCTTCCTGCACTCCTAAAGGTCAGCATACCCTTCCCACAAAGGGGGCACACTGTGAAAAGTCACCCTTGTCTCCTGAGGATGAGGCTTCACTTATGAGGCCCCTAGGGGGAAGTGTGTAAAGCCAAAGTCATTCCAAGATCTGGAGACAGGGCAAAGGCCGGTAACCAAGCACAGTAACCAGGCCTGCAGTTGGCTAAGCCCCAGAGTCACATCACCTGGAAAAGCTATTTTTATGTGCCAGACAGGACTGAGAAGTTGCCGCTGTCATCAGAGCCCAGGTTTCCCCTAACCCTGTCCCGGAGGCTGGGCCACTGTGACCCACCCATCAGGGAGGAACAGAGCTGGCCTTACTCTGGGTAGGCCCTTTCCCTTCTCCTCCTCCTCCAGCTATCTCCCCAGCTCTGCTGTTGGGAGACTGCTGTCTACCTGTAGAGTTGGATTTCCTCCTCAAAGGGTAGCTTCCCAGCAAAGCCACATTACTGCTTCCAAAGCAGGGAGCTCACCAGTGTATACTTCCTGATTTTTCTGTCTACTTTCCCTAACTTGGGACATCTGATCGTTCTGCCAGGCCATGCAGCAATTCCTTTCCTGTCCTCCTGTTCATCTGAAAAAGGCTTAAGCCAGCTCTGCAGCTGAGCTCTTTGCATTTTCTAAGTCCCCCTTCACATACCTGAGGTCCCCTTGTCTTCATATGATCCCCGATGTAGTCTGGCAAAATTAATGTGTTAGTGTTACAGCGCTTTGAGAATTTGTCTAGCAGGCCTTTGGGTCTTTACTGGAAAACCCCTAAAAAAAATTAACATGTTAAATTTCAGGAAAGGTATCTCTCTATTAGCCCCCACTTATTCTTTCATTTATTCATTCTGCATTTATTTAGCATTATCATTTTTCTATTGAAGATTTCATGCTTTTCTGTTCAATTTCCCAAGTTCCTGATATAGTAAGAAATTGAGACCTTGTTATTGTACTTACGAAAATATTTCCCTGCCTATTTGCTTTAAGTTTTTTTGTTTTGTTTTATTTTTCTTTGAGACAGAGTCTCACTCTGTCACCCAGGCTGGAGTGCAGTGGCATGATCTCAGCTCACTGCAACCTCTGCCTCCTGGGTTCAAGCAATTCTCCTGCCTCAGCCTCCTGAGGAACTGGGAGTGCAGGTGAGTGCCATGACGCCAGCCAATTTTTGTATTTTTAGTAGAGATGGGGTTTCACCATGCCAGGCTGGTCTCGAACTCCTGACCTCAAGTGATCCATCTGCCTCGGCCTCCTAAAAAGTGCTGGGATTACAGGCGTGAGCCACCATGCCTGGCCGCTTTTAGTTTTTTTAAAAATAATTTTTATTATTTAGTAGTAGAGATGGGGTCTTGCTATGTTACCCAGACTGGTCTTGAACTCCTGGGTTCAAGCAGTCCTCTTGCCTCAACCTCCCAAAGTGCTGGGATTACAGGCATGAGCCACAACACCTGGCCTATTTGCTTTCAATTTTGTTTATGACTATTTTCTTCTTTTTCACAGTCATTTATTCAACAACTATTTATTAAATGTCAACTATGAAAAACCACTGGGCAAGGCATTTTGGAGACTGAACTACTTGCCCTTAGGACACTTGTTCCCTCCTACCTCCTACTTATTTAACTGATAGATGTGGAAGCTTTATAGTATCATCACACCCTTAGATGACAAGGCTCTGGGCCTTATTACTCAAATCACTTAAGTTTATATATGACTCGCGTATAATAAAAGTTAAAAATTAATAAAAATGGCCAGGTGCAGTGGCTCATGTCTGTAATCCCAGCACTTCGGGAGGCCAAGGCAGGTGGATCACCTGAGGTCAGGAGCTCAAGAACAGCCTGACCAACATGGTGAAAACCCATCTTTACTAAAAATACAAAAATTAGCTGGGCATGGTGGCAGATGCCTGTAATCCCAGCTACCCAGGAGGCTGAGGCAGAAGAATTGCTTGAACCCGGGAGGTGGAGGTTGCAGTGAGCCGAGACCGTGCCATTGCACTCCAGCCTGGGCTACAAGAGCGAAACTCCATCTCAAAAACAAATAATAATAAGAATATACTATATAATATATACAGTTACAATAACTCAAATTAGTAAAAAACACACAGAAAATTGACTATAAGCACTTATTAATTAACTTCAATTTATTAAATTACAGGGAGAAATAAACCTGCCAGGCCTTGTGCTTATTGATTAGTGAGTGTTTTCTTTTCTCTGTACAAAAGTCTGTTTGGGGACTCAAAAGACAACAGGAAGTAGCCTGAAGGTATAGAATCTGAGCTGGGGGAGCTGCCTAGGGAATTGCAGAGGCAAGTGTCACCAAGCTCCAATAACCTGCTGTCCTCACTGTCCCTGCAAGAAGAGACACACTAAGAGGACCGGATTTCTCATGTTGGCATTTCAGGGCATCTTGGTTAAAAAAGTAGTGGCTTCCAGGACAAACAGACGTGAGTTCAAAGCCAGCCTCACACTCTCTGACTGGATGACCTTGGATAAGTAACTTAATCTTTCTGAGGCTCAGTATTTGCATCAGTTTTCTCTCAATGTGATGTTGAGGCACTCCCTGTAGGAGTGTTTGGAAGATGAAATGAGATTATGCAGGCAAAGCAGTTGCACATTGTTTGGCACTGAAGCTCAACAAATGTTAGTTCTATTTTATTATTATTATTATCACCACTATTATTATTATCCTATGTTGTGTGCCAGAGGCTGTGCTGGGTGCTGGAAATGCAGCAATGGATAGGACACATGGTCCCTGCCCCATCCCACCTCCAGGGATCTGATTGATCAAAGGAAGCTCAGTTTTTCAGCACCAGACTCAGCCTCATTTACACACATGGTCTTATTATATCCCTTCCTGCATTGCCTTTTTGAGAAAAGTCACTTTAAATCAAGGAAAATTTTAGACTATGAATTATTTGAAGCCAAAAATTTAACTTAATTCTTTCTCCGCTAAAGAGTACAATAATACATATTTAGAACATTAATGAGTCCTAATAATCTCTTTTATATGTAGAAGGCTGTCAGTCCCCCAAGTACTTTCATACTTATTTCATCCTGGAAAACAATTAAGTTAGAGAAACAGACATTTGGCCGGGCGCGGTGGCTCACGCCTGTAATCCCAGCACTTTGGGAGGCCGAGGCGGGCGGATCACGAGGTCAGGAGTTTGAGACCATCCTGGCTAACACGGAGAAACCCCATCTCTACTAAAAATACAAAAAATTAGCCCGGCGTGGTGGCGGGTGCCTGTAGTCCCAGCTACTGGGGAGGCTGAGGCAGGAGAATGGCGTGAACCCGGGAGGCGGAGCTTGCAGTGAGCCGAGATTGCGCCACTGCACTCCAGCCTGGGTGACAGAGTGAGACTCCATCTCAGAAAAAAAAAAAAAAGAGAAACAGACATTTTAGAAAAATTACATAATGGAGAAGTGTTAATAGAACCGCCTGTGAAGTTGTGATACCTAGAAGATTCTACAAAAACAGAATTCAATTAGATATATACTTTAACTTTTTATTATGGAAAATTTAGATCATACACAAAAGTAGACAGACAAGCAGACTAGCTTACACATATCCAATCTTCAGCCACCAGCAACCCTTAACCTATGGCCAATTCTGCCCCATTCACACACACGTGCTTTCCCTCCTCCTGTATTATTTGAAGTACATCCTATACAGCCTGTCAATTCAGCTGCAAATATCTGTTATGCATCTGTAAAAGCTGAAGACTTGAGGCCAGGTGCAGTCGCTCGTGCCTATAATCCCAGCACTTGGGAGGCCAAGACGGGAGGATCGCTTGAGCCCAGGAGCTCAAGACCAGCCCAGGCAACATTGGAAGACCTCATCTCTACAAACAAATTAAAAAATGAGCCGGGCCTGGTGGCAGGTACCTGTAGTCCCAGCTACTCAGGAGGCTGAGGCAGGATGATAGCTTGAGCCAGGGAGGTTGAGGCTGCAGTGAGCTGTAATTGCACCATGGCACTCCAGCCTGAGTGACACAAAAAGAACTTATCTCAGAAAAAAAAACAAAAAATAAATAAAGTTTACACATTTTTAACAAAGCTAAAACACTGTTACACAGCTAAAATATCAACAGCAATTCCTAATACCATCAAACAATATTCAAGTTTCTAATTGTTTCATAAAAGGACACCATTTTAATATCTGCAAGTGGGTTGTGGTTCTAAGAGAAGGAATCATAGGTAAAAGTAAAGAATTCAGTTGAATTGCAACCTCTTTAAGAGCAAATAAATTCTCCTTTGTATTCATTTAGAATGTTTGTGCTTCTTTTTACTGTTTTAAACAAAGTTGCAATTAATATCTTTATACTTACATTTTTGTACGCTTGCCCAATTATTTCCTTAAGATTAATACCTATGAGTAAAAGCCAGAAGGCATGCCTTTGTTTTTTTATTTTGTTTTATTTTTGAGACAGGATCTTGCTCTGTCACCCAGGCTGGAGTGCAGTGGCGCCATCACGACTTGTTGCAGTCTCGACCTCCTGGGCTCAAGCGATCTTCCCATCTTAGCCTCCCAAATGGCTGGTACCATAGGCACACACCACCACTCCTGATACTTTTGTTCTTTTATTTTTGTTTTTTGTAGAGACAGGGGTCTCACCATGTTGCCCAGGCTGGTCTCAAACTCATGGGCTCAAGCCATCTTCTTGCCTCGGCCTCCCAAAGTGTTGAGATTACAGGTGTGAGCCTCTACACGCAGCCAGCACACCTTTTTAGGCTCTTGTTCCATACTATGAAATAGCCTTCCTAGGCACACTGTGTGAAAATGCCCATTTTCCTATGTTCCATGCACGCACAATCCTAATAGTATTCTCTATATTTGCAAATGAGGATATGGAGTCGGGGGCACTGGATTAGGGTGGGCCCTAATCCCATGTGACTGGTGTCCTTATAAGAAGAGGAAAATTTGAACACAGACAGACAGAGGGAAGATGGCCATGTGATGCCAGAGGCAGAGAGATTAGAGTTAGGGTGCCATGAGCCAAGGAATGTGTGGGGCCACCAGAAACTGGAAAAAACAAGGAAGGATCCTCCCCTAGTTGGCAGCGTGGCCCTGCCAATGCCCTAATTTCAAACTTCCAGGCTCCAGAACTGTGAGAGAATAAATTTATATTGTTATGAATCACCTAGTTTGTGATACTTTATTACCACTGCCCTAGAAAACTAATACAGATGGAGCGGAGTGGTTTGTAAAATAGGGAGGGGAAAGGATTTCGACATGAGTTGACACCATCTACACATTTGCTGGGGATATGTCAGACTAACTCCTTTTAGGACACCAGAAGGCTGTATTGGATCATGGGGAAGGGATGGGAAGAAGGCAGGCAGATAGTGCTATAGGACACTAGCTACCACAAGGGTGATAAGAGTGGGTGTCCTCTGTACTTCTAGGGGGTATAGGATATCTGGGAGCAGACCAGGGTGAGCTGGGAGCGGAGGTGCAAGGGACCAGAAGAAACAAGGCTTCAGAAGAGCAGCTCCCTCATCAGTATTACCCAGGGAGTAATTCTGGGTACAGGCCACACTCCTGGGTTCCCCTGAAGCACACATTTCTACTCTTCTCACACCAACAACTCTTTTTTGAGATGGGGTCTTGCTCTGTCACCTAGGCTGGAGTGCAGTAGTGTCATCATAGCTCACTGCAGCCTTGAACTCCACAACTCAAGGGATCCTCCCACCTCAGCCTCTTGAGTAGTTGGAACTACAAGCGTGCGCCACCACGCCCAGCTAACTTTTTTATTTTTTATTTTTGTAGAGACTGGGTCTCTCTATGTTGTCCAGGCAGGTCTCAAACCCCTGAGGTCAAGTGGTCCTCCTACCTTGGCCTCCCAAAGTGGTGGGACTTCAGCCGTGAGCCATGCAATGGGCCTATACTTTTTAGATTCCGTACAAAGGAAGAGTATTCTGGACATTTCATATAAATGAATAATTTAATATATGACCTTTTGTGTCTGGTTTTGTTAATGGATGGTACTGTATAGTTCCAGGCTCTTGGTGTCCCAAACAAAGAACTGGACGTGACACAGATAGCATAGCAAAGCAGCAAAAATTTGTTATGCATAGTAACACTCCCAGAGAGGAGAGAGCGGGCTGACCCGCAAGTGGTATCAGTCCCAGTTTGTTACATTTCATGGCCTTTTATATGTTTTTTTTTTCCACTTGCTCAACCTTACTGTATCTCTTTTGACCAAATTGTTTATCTTTACTTTTATTTTTTGTGACCAAATTGCTACTGCAAGTCCTTCTTATTTTTCTTATCTTGCATGTTTCAACTCACTGCTTACTCCCTTATGTACATACTGCTTACTTCCTTATTTTATATATTCTACTTCTGCTATTTTGCATGTTTTGCTTTTGCTACTGCTTAAGCTAACTTACGTCCAAGGATCCGCTTCGCCCCCAGCTTGCTCTGCTATTCTCCTGCCTTAGTTTCTTCCAACTTGCACAGCGTTCTCAAGTTTCATCTATGTTGTAGCTTGTATCAGAATTTCATTCATGTTCAAGTAATATTCTGTTGTATGGATATACCACATTTTGTTTACCCATTCATCAACTGATGGACATTTGGGTAGTTTCCACCCTAGCTATTATGAATAAGGCTGATATGAACATTTGTGTACATGTTTTTGTGTAGATATATGTTTTCAGTTCTCTTGGATCTACAACTAGGAGTAGAACTGCTGGGTTATGTGGTATCTCTGTGTTTAATATTTTGAGGAATTGCCAAACTGTTTTCCAGAGTGGCTGCATCATTCTGTAATTCTACCAGCAATATATAAAGGTTCCAGTTTCCCCACATCCTGTCAACACTTGTTATTGTCTTTACTTTTTTAAATTTTAGCCAGCCTGGTGGTTGTTAAGTAGTATCTCATTGTGGATTTCATTTGTATTTCCCTAATGACTAATGATGTTGAACATCTTTTTATCTGCATATTGGCTATTTGTAAGCCTCCTTTGGAGAAATGTTTATTCAAATTCTTCACCCAGTTGTAGCCGGGCATGGTCGCAGGCACCTGTAATCCCAGCTACTTGGGAGGCTGAGGCAGGAGAATTGCTTGAACCCGGGAGACAGAAGCTGCAGTGAGCCGAGATCACCCCACTGCACTCCAGCCTGGGTGATGAGCAAGACTCTGTCTTAAAAAAAAAAAAAAAAAGTGGCTGGGCACGATGGCTCACGCCTGTAATCCCAGCACTTTGGGAGGCTGAGGTGAGTGGATCGCCAGAGGTCAGGAGTTCGAGACCACCCTGGCCAACATAGTGAAACCCCGTCTCTACTAAATATACAAAAAATTTAGCTGGGCGTGGTGGTGGGCGCCTGTAATCCCAGCTACAAGGGAGGCTGAGGCAGGAGAACTGCTTGAACCTGGGAGGCGGAGGTTGCAGTGAGCCGAGATTGTGCCATTGCACTCCATCCTGGGCAACAAGAGCGAAACTCCATCTCAAAAAAAAAAAAAAAAAATCCTGTGCCTATTTTCAAATCAGGTTATATGACTTTTTATTTTTGAGTTGTAGAAGTTCTTTATATAAAGAACTTCTGGATACAAGTCTCTTATCAGATACATGATTTGCAAATACTTCTCCCATTCCATAGGTCCTCTTTCTTTTAAATGTTATCTTGATTAAGTATAAAATTCTAGTTTGCTAGTTATTTACTTTTTTTTTTTTTTGAGACAGGGTTTTTGCTCTGTTAACCAGGCTGAATTGTAGTTATGTGATCTCAG
Organism: Homo sapiens; assembly: GCF_000001405.40. Taxonomy (NCBI): domain Eukaryota; kingdom Metazoa; phylum Chordata; class Mammalia; order Primates; family Hominidae; genus Homo; species Homo sapiens. The sequence goes on along the minus strand of NC_000007.14, from coordinate 128,436,489 downwards.
CTCACTGCAACCTCTGCCTCCCAGGCTCAAGCAATCCTCCCACCTCAGCCTGCCAGGTAGCTGGGACTACAGGCATGCTCCACCATGCCTGGCTAATTTTTTTTTTTTTTTTTGGTAGACAAGGGGTTTCACCATGTTGCCTAGGCTGGTCTCAAACTCCTGGGCTCAAACAAGCTGCCTGCTTCAGCCTCCCAAAGTGCTGGGATTACAGGTGTGAGCTCCCATGCCCGACTTGTTATTTACTGTTATACATTTAAAAATATTCCTTTGTCATCTAGCTTCCTTGATGATAGAAGGTGAGGGTTTTATGTCATTCATTGCTTCTGGACAATTCCAGCCACTATCTCTTAGAATATTGCCTCTCTCTATTCTGTTTTCTTCTTACAGTACTTCAATTGGATGCATGTTCATCTTACTCAGTCTGGTCTTCATGTCTCTTAATATTTCCTTCATATTTTCCAAGTTTTTGGCCCTCTCTGCTTCATTCTATATAACTTTTTATATCTTGTAGGGGAGGGGGTTTGGCCTATTTTTGTTTCTGTATTTTTTTTAATTCACTAATTCTGTCTTCTGTCCTATCTAATCTGTTGTTTAACTTGCCCATTGAGTTTTTAATTTTGATTATCGTGGCTTTCAGTTTTAGATGTTCTATTGATTTATTTTTTTCAAATCTCATCTGTTTTGATAGCATATGGCTCCTTTGTCATGTTTTCAGTTTATTTTTATTTTTCTGTAAACATTTTTTAAATTCTTATTTTTTACTTCATACCTAATAATTCTGTTATAGGAAAATGGAAAGGATATTATGCAGCTGTTTCTTGGGTATGCTGGCATTTGCTCATGTAGGCTTGTTTCTGTGTGATTTATTTTTTGCATTTGAGCTTTACTTGTCCAAACTTTTTGTGTGGGAATCATACATAGCCTGGGTTAACTGCAGCTCCTCCAGAGAAGCTTTGCGCAAAGCTTCTTCAAGGAACTAACAATCCACCGCTAATGTTTGTTCATGTTTGATCTTGTGTTTGCCCATACCAGGCACAGTATGCATTCTGTTTGCAAATACGCCTGAAGCCCAGGATTGCAAATTCTCAGTGGAAATGTTTTTTCAGGTCCAGAATTATGGCTGAAGCAGATACATTTTCCCTTTCTCCCCCTTTTGTTGATGGGCCCCAGCTTTATGCCAGGCTTTGGTTATTAACATTACTGAACAGCCCCCTCCCCGTCCCCGCCCACCCAAATCCAGCCACAGCTTCAGGGTTCTCATTTCTTTGCTTTGTTTGTTTGTTTGTTGTCCCTGTAGCTTTCCCTTCCTCCTCCACCCTCAAGCTCTGCTATGCATTTAAAGGAATGTTTGTCATGCTTTAGGTGGGAATACTGTCTGATTATCTAGTTCCTATACTGCCTGAAATTGAATCCAGGGGGAAATAGTACAGATACAAACGCAGATAATTTCTAGTGTTCTCAGCCCCACTGGAGCCCATTATGGATCCATGTGCTCCAGAAGATGAGTTAATCAGACAAGATCAGGCATTCAGGGTGGTATGGCTGTAGACAGAAGATGAGTTAATCAGATAATGGAATTCCTATGCTATTAGATAATTGATGTATGACCTCTCTGGGTAAATTAGAACCTTGACCCAATCAGAATGCACTAGTTGTATTTTTTAATTTTAATTTTTTTATTTTTTTATTTATAGAGACAGGGTCTCAGTGTTACCCAGTCTGGTCTTGAACTTCCAAGTTCAAGTGATCCTCTTGCCTTGGCCTCCCAAAGTGTTGGGATTAAATGTGTGAGTCACCACACCCAGCTTTATTTATTTATTTTATGTATTTACTTACTTACTTTTAGAGACAGGGTATCTCTCTGTTGCCCAGGCTGGAGTGCAGTGGTGCAATCATAGCTTGCACCTTCAACCTCCTGGGCTCAAGTGATCCTCCTGAGTCAGCACCCTGCCCCACTCCCAGTAGCTGGAACTACAGGTACGTACCACTGTGCCCAGCTAATTAAATTTTTTTGTTTGTAGAGACAGGGTCTTGCTTGGTTGCACAGGCTGGTCTCAAACTCCTAGCCTCAAGTGTTCCTTCCACCTCAGCCTCCCAAAGCACTGGGATTACAGGTGTGAACCGCTACAGCAGCCTAGATAGAATGCATTATTTTTAAGAGGGATTATATGGGTTGGCTGTGTCCCCACCCAAATCTCATCTTGAATTGTAGTTCCCATAATCCCCATGTGTCCTCAGAGGGACCTGGTGGGAGGTAATTGAATCATGGGGCAGTTACCCCCATGCTGCTGTTCTCAAAATAGTGAGTGAGTTCTCATGAGAACTGATGGTTTTCTTAGGGGCTTCTCCCACACTTCTTGCTGCCACCAGGTGAAGAAGGATGTGTTTGCTTCCCCTTCCACCATGATTGTAAGTTTCCTGAGGCCTCCACAGCCATGAGGAACTGTGAGTCAATTAAACCTCTTTATAAATTACCCAGTCTCCAGCTGTTCTTTATAGTGGTGTGAGAACAGATTAATACAAGGGGTTTGAAGATGGGTAATCAGTGCTAAATCTTGCAGGTGGCCAGGAGGAGGGATGTTAGCCACAAAGGTTTGTTTTTCTGAGACCCTTCAATCAGTTACCCTCATGCTTAATTTTCCTACATGGAGCTTTAGGGGAAGCCATGAGGAACATGGTGTCTGACGCATAGTAAGTGTTCAATAAATATTTGCTGACCAGATGTAGTGGAAGTGCCTTATCTTCCAGTCTGTTTGGTCTCAGCTGCAGAAGTGAGATGATGAAGGGAATCTCATCGTTTGGAAAGCATCACAGTAAGACACACACATTGTGCCACCACTGTGGCTCTAAGGCCCACCACCTCCAGAAGACGACCTGTGGCAAATGTGGCTACCCTGCCAAACACAAGAGGAAATATAACTGGGTGCCAAGGCTAAATGGCGAAATACCACCAGAACTTGTTGAATGAGACACCTAAAAATTGTTTGCCACAGACTGAGGCACAGATTCCGAAAAGGAACACACCTAAACCCAAGAGGGTAGCCGTTGCAGCATCCAGTTCATCTTAAGAATTTCAGTGACTAGTCATGTGACAAATGTTCTAGTTTTAAAAAATAAATAAATAAATATTTGCTGACCGAAAGTTGAATGCATAACTGAGTCATTGTGTCACAAAACGACTCCCTAATTTTCTGCAGTAAGCTTCCCTCTCTGTTGATGTGACAATCCCCAACCCAGAGTTGGAGAATAAATTTGTAAAAACATTAATATTACGCCTGTAATTCCAGCACTTTGGGAGGCCGAGGTGGGCAGATTGCTTGAGCCTAGGAGTTTGAGACCAGCCTGGGCAACATGGCAAAGGCGAAACCCTGTCTCTACAAAAAAAAATACAAAAATTAGCCAGGCATGGTGGTGTGCGCCTATAGTGCCAGCTACTCAGGAGGCTGAGGTGGGAAAATCACCTGACTCCAGGAAGTCCAGGCTGCAGTGAGCCATGATTGCGCCACTGTCCTTCAGCCTGGGTGACAGGAGTGAGACCCTGAGACACACACACACACACACACACACACACACACACCAAAAGCCAAAACAAAACATTGATACAAATGAGAGTGCGTGAATACATTGGGGTGATGTGTGACAGCCATTTCAGATTAATTGAAGAAAGCTTCCTGTGCAAAGTGGACTTGGAGTTGAATGGTGAAGGATGGGCTGCCCCAACACTTACATATGAATTGGGAACAGTAATATCTATGGGGTACTTACTATGCCCCAGCACTATACTAAGTTCTCTCCATCTATCAGAGCATTTAATCCTCCCAACAACCCTTAGAGGTGGGGACTATTATGATCCTATTTTGCAGATGAGGGATCGAGACACACAGAATTTAAGTAACTTGCTAATAAGTGATGGAGCTGGAATTCAAACCCAGGCAGTGTAGCCGCGTGTTTGTGTGCCCAGCTATCATGCCATATGGTTCTGCTTGGGCCTGTGTTCCTATACACAGAGCTACATTTTGTTCTACGGAGCACCATGTCATGGGAAGCCTCTGAGCCTTGCTTGTACTGTTCTCAAAACTTGAAATGACCCTTTCTTTGTCTGTTGAGCTCTTATTCATCTTTTCTGCCTCCACTGAGATTTTTGGTGCCTCCAGAATTTGACTGTAGTTTGGGCAAGGGCAACAAAGACAAAGAGGAAGGAAAGAATCTATAGTCTATGATTAGAAAAGATCAATAGACTCTGATTTTTATTATATAAAGGGAACAAAGAGACATCCAGGTTGGCTCCTGGCCTGTGGCTCCAGGGGACCAAGATGCAACCTCCTGTGTGTGGACAGAGATGGGGATTGATTGAGGCATGTTTAGGAGTTTTAGGAAATGCTATTTGCATCCTAGTTCCCAGCTTGTCTCTAATTAGGACTGTTTTATCCAGAAAAGAAACAGAAATGGTGGCAGGAAGCACGCTGTAGTCTATTCAATATAGTGTGGGCAGCAATACAAAACCTGCCTACCCAAACATACCTTCCACTTTGTGTGAAATCTCCACCCATCAGGATTAAGTGTTATCCTGAAAGGCACATTTTAAAGCCGTGTACTGAGCTCCTGTTCTGTGCCAGGCACCATCTAAGAATGTACCATGTTTTGTCTCATTTAATTTTCATAGTAATCCTAAAAAAAGTGCCATCATAATTGTTAGCCATTTTACAAATGAGGAAACTGGCCTCTGAGAAAAAGAACTCACCTAGAATAACAGAGCCCCCAAAAATGGCAGAATCAGGACAAGTCCAAGTTAGGATGCTAGAATCTGTGCTTTTAACTATTTCTCACACTCCCTCTCATTGTTACGCCTCCTGTGTGTGTTTATACCCTTGCCCCCTGCCTCTTGAGAGTGGAAGGGAGCCCTCATGGGGAAAAGTCTTTCCTCTTAGCAGTAAGTAATTGCTTTACTAGCAAAGCCCGGAGCCAGGGAAGTAATGCAAATGCTGGGATAACACTGTTTGTCCCAGGAGGAGGGGGAGATCTCAGCAGGTGCCCTGACCTGCAGGGGTTGAGCAGCAGTTCAGGGCAGCCTCCAGGGTAGCCAGACCTCCCAGCTCGGGGAGGAAGTGAGCGGGCCAGTTCTACCACTGGCCAGAGCAGTGCTCTCCCCATGGGGCTGACTCAGCCGGAAACCGCCCTGGGCCACCCACAACGGGAAGGAGGGATCTGTCCTCACCTTTACCCTGCAACTGAGACATTGAGGCAGGGAGAGGCTGGGTGGACATAGGAACCAGAATCCCTGCTTGTGGGGCGGGGGCGTGAGCTGGGGCGGGTGGGCTCCTTTGCCAGGGATTGTGATTTGGGGCTATCAAGTATGCCCCGTCCCATAGCCAGGAACAGTCTCCCGGTCATCTCAGAAGCCACCCTCAGGTCCTAGCTGGAGGGTCTGTGGGTGCCTCTGCGGTCTCGTAGATTGTTCTCCAAGTGGAGGGGCCTCCAAAAGGGATGGTCCCAGAACTCAGGGAGGCAACCACTCCCGCCTCCTGAAGGTGACCACATCATGACCTGTGCCTTCTGTTGGTGCGGCCCAGGGCTCCCTGAGGAGGAATGCCAGGTACCCCTGACACTAGACAGAATTGTAAACTCCTTTAGGATGGTAGAGCCCAGTCCAGTTCCCCCAGGGCCCGAGAGGAGTCTTTGTGTGACAGCCTGACTGCCATATGCAGGTGCCTTCCTGCACCCTTTAGGGACCTATAGGTGCAACAGGGAAATAGGTGAAAGGTCCCTCTCCAGGTAGGTCTCCACCCTCACCCATGAGGTCAGCAACCTGGGCTAGGTGGGTGGGCTGAAGTGACTGAGTCTTTCCCAAAAGCTGGGAAAGGAATAGGTCTTGCTCTGGTCACAAGCAGGTCAAGGACTGGTGAGCTGAAAGGCTTCTTGGAAGCAGTGTCTCTTTGGGACGGGGGAGTTTCTATTCTGATGAATTTTGCTTATAACAACTTGTAAAGATGGTGGTGAGGTTGGTGTTTTATATTAGGTCACTCAAGGTCCCAAGGTGGGGACAGGGGTGGGCATCAGTCCTGGCCTGGGGCATCATACCTGGATGTCATGCCACCACGTGGACATTAGATGACAAGCATGTTGAGAGTGGATTTCTAGCCGCATCCACCCCAACCTCCTGTCTTGCACACCATGGGCTCCAAAGCTCAGTGATTAGTTTTTAAGTGAAAATTTTTGGCTAAATTTTGGACTTAAAAAAAATGGTCCTGGCCAGGTGCTGTGGCTCATGCCTGTAATCCCAGCACTTCCTGAGGCTGAGGCAGGTGGATCACTTGAGGTCAGGAGTTCGAGACCAGCCTGGCCAACATGGCGAAACCCCATCTCTCCTAAAAATACAAAAATTAGCCGGGTGTGGTGGCGGGCACCTATAATCCGAGCTACTTGGGAGGCTGAGGCAGGACAATCACTTGAATCCAAGAGGCAGAGGTTGCAGTGAGCCGAGATCACTCCACTGTACTCCAGCCTGTGACAAAGCAAGGCTCTGTCTCAAAAAAAAAAAAAAGTGGTCCTAACCATGCCCCACATTTGTGTTGAGGTGCACCCACGTCCCACACACTATGCTTCTTCATCCCTGGACTTTTTTCCTGTGCTGTTCTGTTTTCTCTACTTGGAATGGTCATACCTCCTTCGTGGTCCTAACTCCTCATCCTTTAAATTTCGGTCTAGACGTCACTTCCTTCAGGAAGTCTTTGCCAATGCTCTGAGTCTTAGTTCAGTGTCCCTCCTCTGTGCTCCCATAATTCCTTCCTGGATTAGCATACATCACATGGGACTTGTAATCACCTGTTTCCTAGCCTTGGTCCTTCATTAGATTAAAAGCCTTGAGGGCAGTGACTGGGTCTTGTTCATGTCCATGCCCCTGTGCCTAACACATAGTAGATGCTCACTAGATATTTATGGGATTAATGTGTTAGGGACACTCCTTCTTCTATTTCCTCCTCAGTAGCTGACCTAGAGTTCAACCATCTGCTGAGTGAGACATAAGATTTACCTCTTGTAGAGAGAGGTCTATTTTATAAAAGCCTTCAAGCCCAAAGAAATAATATCTAAAGATGAAAGCCAGCTGGGCACAGTAGCTCACACCTGTAATCCTAACACTTTGGGAGGCTGAGGCAGGAGGATCACTTCAGCCCAAGAGTTCATGACCAGCCTGGGAAACATAGTGAGACCCACATCCCTACAAAAAAAAAAAAAAAAAGAAAATTGTTTTTAAAAATTAGCAGGATGTGGTGGCACACATCTGCAGTTTCAGCTACTTGGGAGGCTAAGGTGGGAGGATCACTTGAGCCTGGGAGGTCGAGGCTGTAGTGAGCCATGATTTTACCACTGCACTCCAGCCTGGATGACACAGTGAGACCATGTCTCAAAAAAAAAAAAAAAAGATGAAAACCTAAACACCTTGGCGGGTATAGGTGTTCCTCCTGCAAATAACACCTGGGGGTGGTGGTGATAATCTGTTCTGGAACTGCTGCTGTTAAGAACCAATGGTAGGGCTGGGTGTGGTGGCTCACACCTGTAATCCCAGCACTTTGGTTTGGGAGGCCGAGGTGGATGGATCACCTGAGGTCAGGAGTTCGAGAACAGCCTGGCCAACATGGTGACACCCCGTCTCTACTAAAAATACAAAAATTAGCTGGGCATGTTGCCACATGCCTGTAATCCCAGCTACTCGGGAGGCTGAGGCAGGAAAATCCCTTGAATCCAGGAAGCAGAGGTTGCAGTGAGCCGAGATCACACCACTGCACTCCAGCCTGGGTGACAGAGTGAGACTCCATCTCGAGGAAGAAAAAAAAGAGAACCAATAGTAGGGGTGTGTGCATGTGTGGAGATGAAATGGAAGGCATTTTTAGGTCTAGAGTGTCTCTTTGGTCCAGTGGCATATGTACAGTGACATAATGGGCAACTGGGAAGGTAGGCAGATGTGGATTGACTGAGCCTGCACAATACTTGAGGCTGGCAGAGGATCTCCCAATGGAGGACGTGGAGGAAGGAGAGCAAGTTCAAGAGCTTATTTTATTTGCTTCATTGTTCTATTTGTTTTTGTGCTTATTTAATCAGCCAAGGTGTTGTGATTGTATGTATATATGTATGTATGCATGTAAGTATATCTGCATTAACAATATGTTTGAGACTGAGGATGGTGTATAGGCAGTCTGGTGGTTGCATGTGTGTGTGTGTGTGTGTTTCACACCTACTTGCACACTTGTGTCCCCTCATGTCTTCAGGTCTGTCATGGAAGTGAGGAGGGGAGAAAGGGAGAGAATAAACTCTTAACAGAGTACCTGTTCTAAACCAGACACTTGATGATTTTTAGCTTGTTTAATCTTCACAACAACCCTGTAGTGTAATTTTGTCATCCAGCTTTACAGATGAAGAAACTGAGATTCAGGGATGTTATGTAATTTGTCAAAGGACATTGTGCTCACTTATGGTCTTGACAGTAGTGTTTAATTTATGTCTGCTCTGTCATTTCCAGGTTGACCCCTAACTCAATGCTGAGGGTTTGGCATCCAGGACAGGGCACAGAAGAAAATCACTGATTGAGCGCAGTTCAAAGAAATGGTTAAATATTTGGGCTCGGGTCAGACTGATCAAATCCTACTTCTGCCCCTTTGTCATGTGGCCTCGGCATTAGGAAGGTGCCCTTTGTGTGTCAATGCCTTTAAAAAAAATACCACAAATTTACCTTCAAGTAAATTGTTAGGTCCAAACAACTTAATAAGTATTTATGTCCTAACAACTTGGCTATTTAAAAAGATAATGCACATAAATAGAAAAAAAAATTGTTTCTTGCTTAAATTACCAGTTACTTACTAATGGGATAGCTATGCCTATTGGGCACTGTACTACTTCCCCAACTTGGGAATCAGATTGACCACCACCACACTGATATCCTATTCCATGCCGATTTTCAGGCTGAAAAATCCAGTTTTGCAAAGATATTATGTCATTAGAAGGAATGCATCGCCATCTACTGTAAAAATGGTGAACTACCATAAGCTAACACAATAGTTCCCTTGGTGCCCGGTCTCGGCTCACTACAACCTCTGCCTCCCAGGTTCAAGCAATTCTCCTGCTTCACCCTCCTGAGTAGCTGGGATTACAGGCACCTGCCAGCATACCTGGCTAATTTTTTTTTTTGTATTTTTAGTAGAGACGGGGTTTCACCATGTTGGCAGGCTGGTCTCGAACTCCTGACCTCAAGTGATCCACCCGCCTTGGCCCCCCAAAGTGCTGGGATTACAGGCGTGATCCCCCACACCTGGACTTTCCTTGATATTTTTCAAATATCATGTGGAATCTCTGTGAATCCATTGTGGAGACTTGGAACACCTTAGTGAACAGTTTGGGAATTGTGGTATTAGGGGCTATCTAAGGTCAGCTGGGCAATTTACGTATCCTATCAGCACGTGGCTGGTATACCTAGCTGATGGGATTTGTGAGGAGGTTTAAATGAGAAGGTGTTTATAAAGCCCCCACACATGGCACTTGGTGCTGTACATTAGAAACACCTGGAGGAGCTAATGAACCCACAGATGTCTGGAACTCCACCCACGGATTCAATGTAATTGGTGGAGGAGGGGCCCAGATAGGAGAGTTATTTAAGAACCCCAGGAGATTTTAGTGTGCAGCAAGGTTGAAAATCACTGACCTACCACATAGTAAATAGAATATTGTGGAAATAAAGGTAATATTTTTATTATGGTTAGGAAGAAAGAATGCAAACCCCATATCCAAAGGCCTGGGTTCTAGAACTTCTTTCCCATTTACTGGCTGTGTGCTCTTGGGCAAGCCACTTACTGTCTCTTAACCTTTATTCTTCCGTGTACAAGGAGGATAATCATTTGTGTCTCATCTTAAGTCACAGGATTATGATGACATGTGAAATAATGAGTGTAAAACTGTCCTTTTTTCCTTTTTTTTTTTTCCCCCCAGACAGATTCTTGCTCTGTCCGACCAGGCTGGAGTGCAGTGGCCCGATCTCAGCTCACTGCAACGTCCACCTCCCGAGTTCAAGCAATTCTTCGGCCTCAGCCTCCTGAGTAGCTGGGATTACAGATGTCCCCCACCACGTCCGGCTAATTTTTGTATTTTTAGTAGAGACGGGGTTACACCATGTTAGCCAGGCTGGTCATGAACTCCTGACCTCATGATCTGCCCACTTTGACCTCCCAAAGTGCTGAGATTACAGGCGTGAGCCACCACGCCCAGCTGAAACTGTTCTTTAAACTGGGTAGCCTATACCAATGTAAGGCAATGTTGAGGAGTAGATGCGGCCTCTTTCCTCAAAGAGAGATCCAGAAAGGCTTCTGAAAACCCAAGACACTTGAAGACCATTGTCCTCTAGCAGTCTGAACACCATGGAGAGGCCCACAGCTGTGAAGACAGAAAGGGATGGCCCCGGTTCTACCAGGGCCCCATTCCAGTGAATGAAGGCAAAGAGCCTGCCTGAGCAAGGAGTCACTGCAGTACTGGAGAGTCCCAGAAGGGGGCAGTCTTGTCTCAGCACCCCCCGACATGGATTCAGGTGCAGCCATCCAAGCCAATTTGCTTTGAAAAAGTTTATGTGACTGTTTACAGATTTAACTTATTTTTATTAGCCACTGTACCATGGTACACAAAGTAATTACAAACTCAAGATTAAAATTAAGGCCATGTTGTAAAAACTAAAAAATTAAAGCTAATTTTTGTTTTTTTTGAGATGGAGTCTTGCTCTGTCGCCCAGGCTGGAGTGCAATGGCACGATCTCGGCTCACTGCAACCTCCACCTCCCAGGTTCAAGCGATTCTCCTGCCTCAGCCTCCTGAGTAGCTGGGATTAGAGGCGCCTGTCACCACGCCCGGCTAATTTTTGTATTTTTTAGTAGAGACAGGGTTTCACCATATTGGTCAGGCTGGTCTCGAACTCCTGACCTCAGTTGATCCGCCCGCCTCGGCCTCTCAAAGTGCTGGGATTACAGGTGTGAGCTACCGCGCCTGGCCTAAAGCTAATTTTTAATGTGCTTAAGGTTCTTCGGTAAGAGAGTTTAGCAAAACAATTTCTCTAGATTTCTTCTTTTTAATCACCATTTTGTCTTTGATTATGACATCTGTATTCATACTAGGCTTATATTTCATCCATGCAAGTTAGGTGTGCACATGTAATGAAAACAATAACAATGAAATCATTCCAATAGTTAGGAGATAAAACACTAGTTTTAGTGAATTAACAATAATACTTCATCCTTTCACTCTGAACACAGCCCGAGGTCAAGTGAAACCAAGTCTCAGGCTGCCAGAGCTCATGTCTGCAGAGTGTGTATGAAAATTCTCAGGGCAGCTGTTTGGCTTCAACTATCATGGTAATAATAGCTTTATGAAGCAACTGCTATGTGCCAGGTGTTTACTTAATATTAATAAACTGCTGTTCCTCATAGCATGTTAACAGAAGTCACTATCATCCTCATTTTTCAGAGGAAGAAACAACCCAGAATGCCTGTCCATGGTCATATAGCTAATATGGAAGGAACTAAGGGTTTCAGCCAGGCTTCTGTCTGCCAAGCTCATGGACATTCACCACATCACTCAGCTAGTCCCCATAACTTTGGCCAAGGGACTCTCTGGGATCTACTCCAAAGCCTCAGGCAGGACTATGGAGGAATATCTTTTCCCACAGCTCCCTGCTCCATCCCACATGATTTGCCCTACAGCATGATGAACCTCAGGTCCAGGGGGGTACCTGCCACCTACTCCCAGAAGTGGAATTAGGGCATGGCTGCAATAAGAATATGAATCCAAGGAATGGAGTAAGGGGCATAAGAGTTGGATTTCCAGCCTGTTTGTTGCTGGACTTAATGGGAACTATGTTTATAAACCATGTGGGCTCTTCCTGAATCTAGAAGAAAGGACAGCTGAAGGGCCTGTGTAGTTGCTGGGCCTCTGCACCCAACCAAGGCTTTCTGTGGCAACTGTGAAGAGGTTGTTGAAGATCCTGGATGGGATTAATCTTTGTAATAATGCAACTCTTTATGGTCGGGCACGGTGGCTCACGCCTATAATCCCAGCACTTTGGGAGGCTGAGGTGGGCAGATCACGAGGTCAGGAGATCAAGACCAGCCTGGCCAATATGGTGAAACCCCATCTCTACTAAAAATACAAAAATTAGCTGGGCATGGTGGCATGCGCCTGTAGTCCCAGCTACTCAGGAGGCTGAGGCAGAAGAATCACTTGAACCTGGGAGGCGGAGGTTGCAGTGAGTCGAGATCGTGCCACTGCACTCCAGCCTGGGTGACAGAGTGAAACTGTGTCTCAAAATAATAATAATAATAATGCAACCCTTTATAAGCACCCTTTTCACTTAGTGTTGCCCTGCATCTTCTAAATCATCAACAGTAATTAGTAATACACATGGTACACATTAAAGCTGTTCACCAAATTTTTCCTCCTCTCTGCCTTCTGGCCACTTGAAAGGATTGTATTCCCTGGTCACTTGTGATTGGGTGTGGCCATGGACTACAGTAGTTGTGGCCAATGGGATTAAGTGGAATTGATGGTATCACTGCTGGCCTGGAGCATTTTATTGACTTTGTGAGACCTTCAGAGCTCTCTTCCCCTCTGCCACAGCTAATGGCACGGTTCCAGATAGTGATTGCTCCATCAGCCTGGGTTTTAGAGTAGCCCCATCTGACCCACAATGGACATGCAGAGTAAATGAGAAATGAATTTTTGTTATGTTATGCCAGTGAGTTAGGTTTTTGCTGTTCTTACTGCAGCATAACCTAGGCTATCCAACTGGTAGATTGGATTTATTAGCCACCTGGCACTGTGCTCTCAGTTAAGGTGGAGTAAATGAATCATTTAAGGAGCAGTAGGTGTGGTAGAAAGAGAATGGATTGGCTGGGCTCCGTGGCTCATGCCTGTAATCCCAGCTCTTTGGGAGGCCGAGGTGGGTAAGTCACCTGAGGTCAGGAGTTCGAGACCAGACTGGCCAACATGGTGAAACCCCATCTCTACTAAAAATACAAAAATTAGCCGGGTGTGGTGGCGGGTGCCTGTAATCCCAGCTACTCAGGAGGCTGAGGCAGGAGAATCACTTGAACCCGGGAGGCAGAGGTTGTAGTGAGCCAATATTGCGCCACTGCACTCCAGCCTGGGTGACAAGGGTGAAACTGCGTCTCAAAAAAAAAAAAAAAATAGAATAATGACTTGTGTTTGTGTAGTTGTTGACACGTTTCAAAGCACTTTTAAGTAACTTACTTCATTGGTTACCTCACCTAGCATTTAATATATTCCACTGCAATGACAATCTTCAGAAAAAAGGGTGTAAACCACTAGGAAACTGAGGCCGAGATGTGACAGGGTCAGGGCCAGGGCAGGGGAAGCTGACACACTCATGCAGAGGGGCCCTGCAGAGAGAGAGCTGCTGCAGAAGCCTCCATCTGCTCACGAGGCCTCCTTCCTCCCGCCTGCCAATGCCAGGATAGGTGCCAGGCCTGGCTCCCATGCCAGCACTCAGGGACACAGTGGCATAGTAGCTATGCATGCAGTGGGCTTGTCACACATATCCCACCCCAGACCCTCCCCTGCTGGCTCAGGATGCTAGGGGCCACAGACATTTGCTCTGTTGCAGGTCGGTGGTGACAGAAGCTTTCTAAACCTCTTCCTAAATCCGCTCTCAGTCTGAGGAGAATCCTTTTTGATATTGTTGGCTAGAAATTGAACAGGACAGTATCTCACAGCATGTCAAGACTACAGGCCAGGTGCAGTGGCTCACGCCTGTAATCCCAGCACTTTGGGAGGCCAAGGTGGGCAGATTGCTTGACCCCAGGAGTTCAAGACCAGCCTGGGCAACATAGTGAGACTGTGGCTCTACAAAAAAAAAAAAGTTTTTAAAATTGCTGGGAATGGTGGTGTGTCCCTGTAGCCCCAGCTACTTCGGAGACTGAGGTAGGAAGATCACTTGAGCCCAGGAGGTTGAGGCTGCAGTGAGCTGTGTTCGTGCCATTGCATGCCAGCCTGGGCAACAGAGGGAGATTCTGTCTCAAAACAAAACAAAACAACAAAAACAAAAAAGACTGCAGATACGAAGTCCTTTTCTCTTTTTTCAGTGTATGCAGGGAGAAGAAGTCCTAGGGCATCCATTCTCCCTCTCTCTCTCTCACACACACACCCCCTACACACACTTACACACACATACAGACACACACTCCTACACACCACACCACATAACACACACACACACCCCACACACACATACACACACACACCCCTACACACACCACACATACCACACCACACACATACACACACACACCCCCCACACACCACAAACACAGACACACACACCCCCACACACCATATCCCCCCCCCCCCACACACATATACACTTTTAGGCCTGCCTGGAAGGTAGGGTAGGATTATGTCAAGGGTTCCACAGCCCTGATGTGGGATAGGGTGAAAAACCACATGGGACTTGTAATGGAAGGGTGACAAGGAGCAGTGAAGAGTGCTTCCTGTGCTCCCAATGAGATCTCACATGGCCTGGGGTCATCAGGCCCACCTCTGTACCTTCAAGGGGGTAGAGGTGTTGCCTGCCCTCCCCACTTCACAGGTGGCTCTGGGCTGAGCTGCAGAGGCACCTGAGCGGGGGTGGGGGGAGGGGTGGGGAATGGCAGTGCTGTGGATACAGCTCCTGGCCTCAGGTAATTAATTAGATGGGGCTGGAGGCCTAGGGCAGGAGGGCCTGGGGATCAGCCAAGAGACCCAGGTCTCCAGGCAGGAAACCCTGGGCACCCACTCACACCCACAACCACCCTGAGGACCGAGGGGTGGAAACAGGAGCACAGGGAATTCCTCTCCAGGTATTGGCTCCTGGGAGGGAGTAGGTTGGGCAGGAGGGAGATAGAACAGCTGTGGGAACCAACAAGGTCTCAAGGCCTGGAAGTAGGGTGGGGAGGTGTCACTTTCAGATGTGCCCTTGGACTGATCAGGCAAGTGGGAGGCTATGCCTGGGGATGGAGGGAGGCTTGGGGGAATGAGGTGGGCCTGTGACTACCTGTCATGTGGCTGGGACCCTACCCTTCTCCTCCCTCTCTCCCACCTTGAGAAGGAAGCCCCGTTCCACCTCCCTGCCCCCTGCCCTCTGTTCTAAAACACAGCAGCCTGCTTGTACCCTATGACCTGCCAAGAGGCAGGGACTTAGGCGACATGGAGGGAGGGTGGGGTTCTTTTTGAACTTGGGGCCCAATTGCCCTCCTGAACATGGACCAGAACAACTTCTGACCCATTTGCACCCTTCAGACTGAAAATCACCCACAGCAGCACCTCCTCCAGGCCAGGCAATGCAGGGACCAGGATGGGGGCCTGCCTTGGTCCCACACATTAGCACCAGCACCCTGTGTCCCTCTGCTTTCAAGCCCTGGGCTGGAGGCAGGAGTGGGTTGGTGTGAAGGCCAGGGTTTGTTGTGGTTCTGATAATGTCAGGGCCTCTCAGGCAAGAGAAATGTGCAGTCTGCACATTGCTTACATTTTTCTTATGAGGCCAGGTTAGGAAATGGTTGAAAATGAAAGCGAGGGAGGGTGAGCACACTATCCTTAAAGACACACTCTTGGTGCCCCCTGTTTCCCTGGGGGTGAGGGAAAGGGTGTCTTGGTGGGGATCCAGGGCAGAAGCAGCTGTGGGCACAGGTGGGAGGAACTGCCATAGCCTCGGCCTAGATGTTTCCTGGATCGGAGATCTCCACCACTGCACCAGCTCTTCATAACCCCAACTTCATCCTCACTGGAGATTGAAAAGCATGCATAGCTGGATGAAACACAGCCAGGCTTTTGGATTACAGTGGTCCCCCTTATCCTCAGAGCATACATTGCAAGACCTCCAGTGGATGCCTGAAACCTCAGATAGTATTGAACCCTACATATACTGTGTTATTTCCATCTGATAACCGGGATGGCTTCTAAGTGACTAAAGCAGGTAGCAGTAGTGTGGATACGCTGAGCAAAGGGATGATTACACCTCTCCAGCAGGTGCAGCGGGATGGCATGAGATATCATCCCACTACTCAGAATGGCATACAATTTAATTTTTTAAAATTAAATTAAATTTTTTTTTTGGAGATAATGTCTCACTATGTTGCCCAGGCTGGTGTCGGACTCCTGGACTCAAATGGTCCTCCTTCCTCAGCCTCCCAAAGTGCTGGGATTACCAGAGTGAGCCACCATGCCCGGTAATGGCTTGCAACTTAAAACTCACAACTTTTCTTTTTTTCTGAAATTTCCCATTTAATATTTTTGAATCTCAGTTGACCGTGGGTAACTGAACCTCAGAAAGTGAAACTGAGGATAAGTGGGGACTACTGTATTTCAGCCCTAGAGGCCAGGGCTGCTGGGATGAGGAGGGGTGAGGGAGAAGAGTCATAGCACTGGTGCCTCGGTCCCTGCTTGCTCCCATGAACCCCCATCCCCTGGACATGGGTGGCTGGCAGGTGTGGGAAGACAGGCCCAGGTTTGGGGCTCCACCTCCTGCATGTCTCTTCGCAGCTGCACCTTCTCCACTGACTTCACCCAGCTCTTCAATGTTTGGCACAGGAGTCAGGGCAGCCCCTGGCAATCCACTTCTTTCTTTCCCCAAATCCCATCCCCTTCTGGCCTAAAACACCTCCAGTTACTTGTTCTTTTATTCTGCCTTTCATTCTCCTTTCCACCCTTTCTGACTATGCTCCAGGCTGCTTTACCTTGGGGTCCCTAAATGTAGAATGGAGAAGAGGGACCCCTGGCAGTCAAAACAGACCCTCAGGAACTGAGGTTGTATAAGAATTCCCTAGGGACCTTGACTGCTCCCTCCTCAGATGCGCACAGGCCTTTGCTCTTCTGTCTCCTCGGAGTGTCTGAGTGGGAAGTTCCCAGTTACCCCTTCACTCCACCCAGTGAGGTTTCTCCCCATTGCTCCTGCTCTGGCAATGCTGAACACCCATCTGCTCCCGCTCCTCCTTTCCCCCACTCTCCCACGCTTGCTGGCATCTCCATTCACAGTGACTGTGCCTCACCGGCCAGAAGCTGTTCCGTGGCTTCTGTACCAGCAGATTCTCTTCTTAACTGGTATTCCATACTGTGTGTCTGTGCTCTTCGGAACATGATTCCATTTTCTACCTGCCTCTGTATGTGTGTGTGTGTGCTGGAGTTTCTACAGGATATCCTTTCAAATAAACAGACACTGAGGTTCCAGAGTAGGACTGCTGGATTTGGGGTAGAAGAAAGCCTTTGTCTGGGCAATGCCCCTGACGGTTTCATTTGGCTCCTGGTGGCTGGTATCAGCACAGGGTGGGCTCAAAGCTCAGGTGAAGTAGATTATACTGGGGAAAGGTCTGGGCCTGGGCAACAGGTGGACTGGCCTCTAGCTCTAGCTCAGAGACAATCACAGGATGCTCTCTCAAGCTTTCTGTGACTTGGTTTCCTCATCTGTCATGTGGAGATAATGTCACCTGCTGACCCACCCCTCAGGCTGTGGAGTGGAGAGAATGCTCCATCCAGGACGGCCTGCTCACTGCTCCCAGAAACCTCCCAGCTCACTCCCCTCCAGCACTCTGTCCATGTTCCCTCCTTGGACTGTTCTCTCTGGGCCCTCTCCCTTCCTAAATCCTAGCTCTTCTTCAAACACAGTCCAATCCTTTCTTCTCTATAAAACCTTGCCTGACTACTCCAGTTGATAGTGTTGGGTTTCTGCTTTCAACTTCTATAACACTCAAGAGTTGGCACTACTCAATGAGCATGTAATTCTTATGTCAGGATTTCTCAACCTCAGCACCATTGGCATTTTGAGCTAGATCATTCTTTGTTGTAGGGTGTCACCCAGTGCATTGTAGGATGTTCAGCAGCACCATTAGATGCTGCCAGCACCCCTCCAGTTGTGACAACCAAAAATGTCTTCAGACACGGCCAAATAAATCCTGGGGGAAAAATGACCCCCAGCTGAGAATCATTACTTTATATTGTTATTTAGCTATTTAGCTTTTTGTTTGTTTTTGAGATGGCGTCTCGCTCTGTCACCCAGGCTGGAGCGCAATGGTGCAATCTTGGCTCACTGCAACCTCCACCTCCCGGGTTCAAGTGATTCTTCTGCCTCAGCCTCCTGAGTAGCTGGGACTACAGGTGCCCGCCACAATGCCCAGCTATTTTTTTTTTTTGTATTTATAGTGGAGACAGTGTTTCACTATGTTGGCCAGGCTGGTCTCGAACTGCTAACCTCAAGTGATCTTCCCCCTTCGGCTTCCCAAAGTGCTGAAATTACAGGTGTGAGCCACCATGCCTGGCCTGTTATTTAGCTTTTAATGTTTCATTTGCCTGGCCAGATTTCTTTGTATGCCCTCATGTGCCTAGCACACTATACATGTCATATGCTCCGTAATTATCTGTTAAACAAATCAGTATACTCTTTTCAAGCATTAAAAGTGCAAGTAGAAAATTAGCTGGGCATGGTGGTGTGCGCCTGTAGTCCTAGCAACTCAGGAGGCTGAGGCAGGGGTGACTGGTTGAGCCCAGGAGTTTGAGGCTGCAGTGAGCTGCGATCGTACCTCTGAACTCCATCCAGCCTTGGTGAAAGAGCGAGATCCTATCTGGAAAAAACAAACAAACAAACAAACAAAACAGGCCAGGCATAGTGGCTCACACTTGTAATCCCAGCACTTTGGGAGGTCGAGGCAGGTGGATCACCTGAGGTAGGGAGTTTGAGACCAGCCTGAGCAACATAGAGAAACCCTGTCTCTACTAAAAATACAAAATTAGCCAGGCGTGGTGGCATATGCCTGTAATCCTAGCTACTCAGGAGGCTGAGGCAGGAGAATCGCTTGAACCTGGGAAGCGGAGGTTGCGGTAAGCCAAGATTGTGCCATTGCACTCCAGCCTGGGCAACAAGAGTGAAATTCCATTAAAACAAAAAATTGCAAGTAGAAGTTATCACAGCTACCTTAGGCCTAAGTTATACTATATGAGATGGAGACATTCATATTTGTTTCTAAAACATTAGTTCACTGTCTTCCCACAATCAGATTGTGGGGAACAATTGTTAGCAAGGAATTTTGCTATGTCTACTGCAGAAATTCCGTTACAATAAGTGTAATATACAACAAAAATATTTCCAAGCTAAAACCCACTTATTTCAAGTGCTATTTACTCAGATTGAACTCTGAATCACAAAATAATTGGAACCATCCTTGGAAGGCCACTGCACTGGGCTGTGATTTGTTTTAGATTATCTGCTGATGTGTTAGGTTCTGTACGCTGGAAGAGGAGAGTTAGTAAGAAGGTATTTAAAAGAATGATTAGCGTGTCTACCTGCCCAGGAAATCTCTCTTGTTTTCTCTCCAGGTTGGGCTATCTCCCTCCTTTTGACCATAAGAGCCCTTTGTGCCCTCTTTTGGCACTGCCTAGGCAGTAGAAGTTAGAAAAGACTCACGAGTTGGAGCAAACAGTCCGGGGGTCTTACCTGGCCTCCACCAATCATCGTTGTCTGACTGTGGAAAACCTGCTTAAGCTTCCTGAGCTTCAGTTTCCTTGCCTGAGAAATAGACATAAATAATAAAATGCAGTGAGGATTAATGAGGAAAGTATGCCAAGTGCCTCTCCTTGTGTCTGACACATACTCAATTGACATTGGTCTTCTTTCTACCATTAGTGTTGGTCTCATAGCTATCCTTGCTTTTTCCATCCCCCTCATTCTTTGCACTCCTCTAACACCTAGCACAGTGCCTTGCCCATAGTGGGAGCTCCATACAGGAGCATTTTTGATGAAAGGACTCAGCTCTTGACTCCAGGAAGTCTGGAAGGTGAGGGAGTGCAGACAGACTAGCACTTGGACTGACCTGACTATCACCCCCTCAATCTTGTAGCCCATGTTAATTGATTTTTTGTTTGTTTGTTTGAGACAGGGTCTCACTCTGTCGCCCAGGCTGGAGTACAGTGGTGCAGTCTCAGCTCACTGCAGCCTCAACCTCCCAGGCTCAAGTGATCCTCCCGCTCAGGCTCCTGAGTAGCTGTGACCACAGGGTGCGCCACCATGCCCAGCTAATTTTTGTATTTTTTGTAGAGATGGGGTTTTGCTATGTTGCCCAGGCTGGTCTTGAACCCCTGAGCTGAAGTGATACTCCCACCTTGGCCTCCCACGGTGCTGGGATTACAGGCGTGAGCCACCATGCCCGGCCTGCATTCTAATCCTATAAGTATATTCGACTCATATATTTTTTCCAGCTGGAAAGAACTTTCTACATTATTTAATCCAAGAATCTCATTTCTCAGATTAGGAAACTGAGGCCCAGTGAGGATACATAGCTCTTTCATGTACAAAAGATTGAAACAGTCTATTGTCCTCATGCCTTTAGAAGATTAAATAGTTTGCTTTAGTTCCAATTTTTTTTTTTTTTTTTTCAGACAGTCTCGCTCTGTCACCCAGGCTGGAGTGCAGTGGTGCAGTCTTAGCTCACTGCTGCCTCCACTTTCCATGTTCAAGCAATCCTCCACCTTAGCCTCCTGAGTAGCTAGGATTACAGGTGTGTGCCACCATGCCTGGCTAATTTTTGTATTTTTAGTAGAGATGGGGTTTAACCATGTTGGCTAGGCTGGTTTCAAACTCCTGACCTCATGTGATTCGCTTGTCTTGGCCTCCCAAAGAACTGGGATTACAGGCATGAGGCACTGCACCGGTCTAGTTCTAGCTTTTGTCTAGTAGTTCCTCTAGACCAGAAGCTCTCAATCTCAGCACTATTGATATTTGGGGTCAAATAATTATTTATTGTGAAAAGCCATTGTAGGATATTTAGCAGCATCCCTGGCCTCTACCCACTAGATGCCGTGAATACACCCTTTCTCCCCTTAGTCATAACAATAAACAATGCCTCTAGACATTGCCAAATGTCCCACAGAGAACTACTGGCTTAGCCATTACTGTAGGTAAAATCCCTTCATATGAAATGCTGAGGCCCTCAGGTTATTCCATCACAATATGATTGCTTTAATGAATAGTTTGCTAGCAAATCTCATTTGTAGCCAACCAGCTCTGGAGATAAGGCAGAGCTGCTCTGTATTGCGTGCCAGGTCTCAGCCACTACTCGAGTACTCTCATTATGTATGTGTGTTCATTTATGTGTTATATTCTGCCTACCTCCAGGAGCTTTTAAAGTGGCCCCAAAGCATTTCTTTCTCAGAACATCTGGCCCTGTCTGTGTGTTGCCTGGGTGTCTGGGCTGTGTGGAGGGGTGTCCTTCTCTGCTAGAGCACTTCCCACATTGTCTTCTAGTTGCCTGCTCGTCTCCCAGCCCCCTGGACTTTAAGGCCCGTGACAGTAAAAACAATGAACATCTTGCTCACCATTATACTCCCAGCATCTAGTTGGCACATGAGAGGTGCCCAATAAACATTTGTTGAATGGCTATATAATAGAAATTATGTATTATATTTAGCTGGGGGTCAAAAGTATAGAAGTTAGATACAGCTTACTTAGTTTACAATAATCATTACTTGCGTTTATTAAGAGCCTACTATGTACCAAGAACTTTACATGTGTTATCTTGTTAATTATAAAACAACCTTATAGACAGTATTAGCTCCATTTGAAAGATGAGGAAACTGTGGCTCAGAGAGAGTTCATGACTTGGGTAATTATATAGTAAGCCCAGATTTGGACCAAGGCCCACCTAATTGCAGAATCTAGCCCTAGTCTGCTTTGATATATGATGGGTCTTCAAAAAGTTCATGGAAAATGTATATTATGAAAAAAACTATGCCTGGACTTCAATTTTTTTGCAACAAAATACATTCATACTAACTTTTTATAACATGTCTGAACAGGATCTAGTTTGAGGCACTGCAAAGGATAAGACATCAGATTGAAAAGAGCTCTATCGGCCGGGCACGGTGGCTCATGTCTGTAATCCCAGCACTTTGGGAGGCCGAGGTGGGCAGCTCACGAGGTCAAGAGATCGAGACCATCCTGGCTAACACGGTGAAACCCCGTCTCTACTAAATATACAAAAAATTAGCCGGGCGTGGTGGCGGGTGCCTGTAGTCCCAGCTACTCAGGAGGCTGAGGCAGGAGGATGGCATGAACCTTGGAGGCGGAGCTTGCAGTGAGCCAAGATTGCACCACTGCACTCCAGCCTGGGTGACAGAGCTAGACTCTGTCTCAAAAAAAAAAAAAAAAAAAAAAAGAGCTCCTATCAAAGCAAAGGAATTCTGCTAATATTGAAGCAAGAACAAACATTAAATATATGATGAAGTTTAGGTGGAAGAATGATGAAATTCCTGATGCTTTATACACAGTTTATGGGGACAATGCTCCAGCGAAATCAGCAGTTTACAAATGGATAACTTGTTTTAAGAAGGGTTAAGATGTTGAAGATGAAACCCAAAGCAGCAGACCATCTACATCAACTTGCAATGAAAAAATTAATCTTGTTTGTGCCACAACTGAAGAGGCTGATGATTAATAGCAAAAACAATAGCCAACATCATAGACATCTCAATTGATTCAGTTTACACAATTCTGACTGAAAAAAATTAAAATTGGGCAAACTTTCCACTCAATGGGTGCCAAAACTCTTCCTCAATGGCAGGTAAGGGATGTGGAAAATCTATTTTTCTCCCATCTAAGTTGAAGTCTGTTGAGTAGGCAAAGGCAGATGGATAGTATCTTCCACCTATCTGGCCCTAGCTTGGGAGGTCTGTGCCCAAAGCAGCCACAGATAAGAGCAGAGCTTTCAATGGAAATTTTAAAAACATGCGATCAAGATGCTGAAGCATTTCTTTGAAGACTTGTAATAAGAGATGAAACATAGCTTTCCCATTACAATCCTGAAGACAAAGCACAATCAAAGCAATGGCTACTAAGAGGTGTAAGTGGGTCCAGTTGGACTGGTCAAGAGCAAAGGTTGTGGCAACAGTTAATTGAGATGCACAAGGCATTTTTCTTGCTGACTTTCTGAAGGGCCAAAGAATGATAACATCTGCTTATTTTGAGAGTGTTTTGAGAAAGTTAGGCAAACCTTTAGCAGAAAAATGCCCCGGGGAAAGCTTCAACAGAGAGGGCTCTTCTCCATCACAGTGCTCTTGCTCACTCCTCTCATCAAACAAGGGCAATTTTTCAAGAGTGTTAATGGGAAATCATTAGGCATCCACCTTACAGTCCTAATTTGGCTCCTTCTGACTTGGTTTTGTTTCCTAATCTCAACAAAAATCGTGGCTGGGTGCAGTGGCTCACGCCTTTAATCCTAGCACTTTGGGAGGCTGAGGCGGGTGGATTGCCTGAGGTCAGGAGTTCTCGACTAGCCTGGCCAACATGGCAAAACCCTGTCTCTACTGAAAGTACAAAACTAGCTGGGCATGGTGGCTCACACCTGTAATCCCAGCTACTCAGAAGGCTGAGGCACGAAAATCTCTTGAACCCGGGAGGCAGGGGTTGCAGTGAGCCAAAATCGCACCATTGCACTCCAGCCTGGGTGACAGAGTGAGACTCTGTCTCAAAAAAAAAAAAAAAAAAAAAAGACTGCATTGACATGCTTAAATTCCAAAGACTTTAAGTTCTTTAGAGATGGACTAAATGGCTGGTATCATGGCTTACAAATGTGTCTTGAATTTGATGGAACTTATGTTGAAAAATACAGGCCAGGCGCAGTGGCTCACACCTGTAATCCTAGCACTTTGGGAGGCCAAGGCGGGCGGATCCCGAGGTCAGAAGATCCAGACCGTCCTGGCTAACGCGGTGAAACCCCGTCTCTACTAAAAATACAAAAAAAAATTAGCCGGGCGTGGTGGCGGGTGCCTGTAGTCCCAGCTACTTGGGAAGTTGAGGTAGGAGAATGGCGTGAACCTGGGAGGTGGAGCTTGCAGTGAGCAGAGATCGCGCCACTGCACTCCAGCCTGGGTGACAGAGCAAGACTCCATCTCAAAAAAAAAAAAAAGAAAAATACAGTTTATTTTTTCTTCTTATCTTTTAATTCCATTTTTCCATGAATTTTGTTTATTTGTTTGAGACAGTCTTGCTCTGTGGCCCTTTTTTTTTCAGTACATTGCCTTCATGTGACAACATTGTTCACTGTGTTATAATGCATTTAATTATGTTACAGTTATCTTTCATGTCATTCTTACTGTCCTGGTAACTTTATTTGGATTTGGGTTTTCTCCGCAGTTTAACATGTTTACAGACAGTCCTTTAAATTTTAGGCTATAGCTAGTTCTAAGTTTCATCTGTTGAGTAATTGATTGGTTTTGACTAGTTTCTCCTTCAGAGTCTTTATAAACACATATGGGTACCTTATCTGCTTATTTCCAAACAGAAACCTTTGGCTTTAGGGTAGTATTTTTTAAATGGTGAGTCCACAATCTATTGGGCCCCTCACCAAAAAAGGGACAGAATACAAAGTACCAGAGGACACTGAATATAATCAATGAATTAATTTTAGCTTTTTTGTTGTTGTTGAGACAGTCTCACTCTGTCATCCAGGCTAGAGTGCAGTGGCCCGATCTCGCTTCAGTGCAAACCTCGGCCTCCCGGGTTCAAGCTATTCTCATGCCTCAGCCTCCTGAGTAGCTGGGACTACAGGCGTGCACCAACATAGCTGGCAATTTTTTTTTTTTTTTGGAGACAGAGTCTCACTCTGTCACCAGGCTGGAGTGCAGTGTGCGATCTCGGCTCACTGCAATCTCCGCCCCCCGGGTTCAAGCGATTCTCCTGCCTCAGCCTCCCAAGTCGCTGGGACTACAGGCGCACACCACCATGCCCAGCTAATTTTTGTGTTTTTAGTAGAGACAAGGTTTCACCATGTTGGCCAGGATGGTCTCAGTCTCTTGACCTCGTGATCCGTCAGCCTCAGCCTCCCAAAGTGCTGGGATTACAGGTGTGAGCCACCGTGCCCAGCCTAATTTTGTATTTTTTAGTAGACATGGAGTTTCGCCATGTTGGCCAGGCTGGTCTGGAACTCCTGACCTCAGGTGATCTGACCGCCTCAGCCTCCCGAAGTGTTGAGATTACAGGCATAAGCCACTGCGCCCAACCTAAATTTTAAAAAACTTAAATAAAAAAAGAATCCTGATTCTGGGGAGTGGGTGTGTATGTGCATAGGAAGAGGCACGATGAAGGATAAAGTCCAAGATCTTACTGTTGCATAAATTCAGCTTCCTTTGTGAAATCGTTGCTGAAAGTCTGACCCCTAATACATCTTAGCACTCCTCAATCACGCAGTGTTTACCATTTGTTCCCTCAGACTTGTCAGACAAAAGTCCAGATGCGCCGGGCGCGGTGGCTCACGCCTGTAATCCCAGCATTTTGGGAGGCCGAGGCGGGCGGATCACAAGGTCAGAAGATCGAGACCATCCTGGCTAACACGGTGAAACCCCGTCTGTACTAAAAATACAAAAAATTAGCTGGGCGTGGTGGCGGGCGCCTGTAGTCCCAGCTACTCTGGAGGCTGCGCCAGGAGAATGGCGTGAACCCGGGAGGCGGAGCTTGCAGTGAGCCGAGATCGCGCCACTGCACTCCAGCCTGGGCGACAGAGCGAGACTCCGTCTCAAATAAAATAAAAAATAAATAACATAACATAAAATAAAATAAAATAAAATTTCCAGATTCTTCTCGACTTAAAGATGGGGCTACCTCAGGGTAAATCCATCTGTAAGGTTGAAAAATCTTAAGTCAACCATTGTAAGTCGAGGACCATCTGTATATGGCATGAGAATTATCAGCTGTTTATTTTCATCTACTTTGTCTCCTGAAATAAATTGCCTGAGGGCAAGGACTCTTACATTTCTTTGCCATTTTTGCTAGGTGTTCAATCACCGTTCACAATGATAACAGTAGGAAAAAGTGCGCCTTCTAGTAAGTGGACAAACAAGTTTGAGTACACTGCTCTGCCCCACTCCCTTGTTACGGGGTAACATAACAAGGTAAAGTACCTCCACAACGAGGCAAGACTAGGTCCTGTTCCTTAAGGAGCCCGCAGCCTTGTCTGTTCTGTTCGTTCCCTGGCAGATTACAGGCTGTGGAGATCCCTCTCCCCGCTCTCTAACGTGGAGTCGGCTGAGCACGACTCTCTCGCCCCAGCGCGGGAGGTCTGCGGTCTGCGGGTATGAGGCGCTCCAGGGGACCTGGCATCGTCGGCGTGCAAGAGAGGAGCGGACCTGAGACGCAAGGAGAAGCCCTGCCTCTGGAGTCCAGCTCCTTTCCTCTTCTGGTTTTCCTCGGAAGGGGCCAGGAGACACTGGAAGGTCCGGACGGCAGGGAAGGGGACGGGGTTCTTTCCAGTCCCACCCGTGTAGGGACACCTCTCCCCCTCATCCCCCGATGTACCCTCGCTGAATCTGGGATGGGAGAGACGAACCGAGTCTAGGCATCTGCGTAGCAGCGCCGGGGAGAGCGGGGAGCCCAGGGCGGAGCCCAGTCGACTCCCGGATTCCCCTGCCCCGCCCCCGGCACGAGGCCCCGCCCCGGCGGCCCCGCCCCTCCTCGGGACTCGACCGGGCTGCGCTCACTGCCCAGCCGGGGCCCCGGGAGCCTCCAGGCTCCCGCCCGCCCTGAGCTGCGGCCTCCGCATGGAGGGGCCACTCACTCCACCACCGCTGCAGGGAGGCGGAGCCGCCGCTGTTCCGGAGCCCGGAGCCCGGCAACACCCGGGACACGAGACGGCGGCGCAGCGGTACAGCGCCCGACTGCTGCAGGCCGGCTACGAGCCCGAGAGGTGACGCCCAGGGCAGAGCGCGCGGGGCGCATCCGGGGCGGGCGGCCGAGGAGGGCGCGGCGGCTCCGGGAACCCGGCGACGCTGCGGGGGAGGGGCAGGCCCCACAAACCCTTCCCCTATTACCGCCTCAGCCTCTAACTTCCCGAAACGCCACGCTCCCGGCTTTGGTTGGGGGATGCAGACGGGCACTGTGCGAAGGGTTAGGTGCTTCGTTGCACGGGGGAGCGGAGGAGAGGGAACAGGTCGTAAAAACCTTCCCTAAAATCTTAGCCCTAGATTGGACCTCGCTACACACCCGACGACACCCCGTTCAGGTGGCTCCAACTCCTGGGGTTCAAACAGTGCTTGCTGGAGTCCTGTCCGACTGACTTGGCTTACCCCTCCTTAGCTGTTTCCTCCTAGAACTATCTTCAGTGGTCTTACTGGCAGGTGTTGGTGTCCAGATGGATCGCCTTCGCAGGGCTAGGTGAGGACACTCTCCCCTCCTCACCATGCACTGAGATCTGAGAGGCTGCCAGTGCAGCTCACCTCAAGGTCTCTCCGAAGACGCAGGCCCCCATGCTGGGGTCTGTAGGGGAATGAGGGACACTGGAGGAAGAGTAGGGTAGTGAGCTGGGCCCCAGGGGGACTGGCTGAAAAGGAGACAGCAGCTAATCTCTGGATTGTATCGCAGCTTGAAATGCAATCCCACTGTCCTTCCGGTCCAGAGGATTTGGACTTCTTTCTCTGCCCATCTGCTGGTGTTCAGCAGCTTGGGGAGGTGACCTGGCAGCTGGGTTAGATGGGGGTGGTCTGGGGGAATTAGCCCGGCAGCTCTGCCCAGGGGTTGGCCGCTTATGTAAGAACTTTTAACGGCTTAAGGGGCTCCTCGGCAGTGGGGCTGCTGAGTTAGGCCCCCCTGTCCTGGCAGGCTGCCTCTCTAGAATTGACTCAGGCTTAGGCAACTCCCAGCCTTTCTCCTGTCCTAGAAATCCAGCTCCTGGGGTTCAGGCCGCAGGGCGATAGGGAGGGGCCACAGGGGCTGAATGAGCCGGTTGGGGCTTGACAGAGGCAGTGCTTGGTTAGAGTAGGGGTTGCAAACATAATGTTTCAGAGCTCAGGCCGGAGCCATGTGAGTGCATCCTTTCTCCAGATTGCACTTCTGCATCAAGGGGCCATCCCTACCCCCACCCCCAACCGACCCGCACCCCCCACTTGGGCTCAGGGAGCCTGTGTAAACCTGAGCCCCAGCCAGGTGGTGTAGTGAGATTCAAAACCTGCTGGCCAGACCTCCACCTGCCTTCGCCAACCTGGAGCTGTGGGAAGAGGACAGGATTCTGTGAGCAGTCCTGGGTTTGAATCCAGTGTTATTGCTCTCTGGCTTGAACTTGGACAGGCTATGCCCCCGACCCAGCTCAACAGTGCTAATGTTACTACCTTTTCTGCCCTTCCCCCATCTTCCCCTCAAGAGTGTTTTGAAATCTTGTTCCTTCAAATAGCCCCAGGCCTGATAGAGCCCTCGGGGTTCCCTGCCTGGACCTCAGTACCCAGCTGGGCACTGTTGCCCTGCTACCCTGAGGAAGGGGCTTGGACCTGCCTTCCTATCCCCACAGCTGCTAGGTGGGGGTCTCAGGGAACAACAGCCCTTCCTCGGCTTCGGAGGCCGACTGGTTGCCTCGGTGTCTCCTCCCCATGGAGGAAGCAGCTGGGGAAGATCAGGAAGAGGGTGTATGAGAGTGGGGGTTGAGGGTGGATTAGCGGAGTCTCTGGAAAAGCACAGCCTAACCCAGGGCTGAGCCCAGCAGCTTAGAGTGATGAGGAGCCCAACACAGGTTAAAGTGGGAGGTGTGTAGGGGAGCAGGAGAGGGGAGTGGGGCCATGAAGTCTGTAATCACTGGGAAGGTGACCCTCCCCATGCCTCAGCCAGGCAGCCTAAGAAGGCTGGGGCAGATGTCACAGTCAGGTCACCTGAGATGGTAAAATCCAGCTGCTCTCCTGGGCCCTGGCTCTGGTTGAATCCTGAATAGTACTCTAGCCATTCCTAACTCATACTGTAGGGGACAGTGACCCAGAGCAGGTCCTTTAGTGACCCAGTAACCCAGAGAGACCACTGGGCTGGTCTCTGCTGTGTGCCAATCTCTGCTCTGTGCCTGCAGTTGGCATGATAGCTCTGTTCTTCTGTGGCCAGAAAGGTACCCCAGAGCAGCTCTGAATGGTCAGGCACTTTCTGTGGCTGGTCTCACTGCTCTGCTCCACGTGGCCAGTGAAAGGTCCTAGTGCTGGTGCTCCTCAGGACGCTCCCCTGGTCCCCCATGTGGCCCGGGCTCCCTGCATGAGCCCAAGAATGCTGAAGGTTCAGAGGTGCTTCCCACACATCGCTGGCAATCCGGCCCCAGCCTCCCCTCTGCACACAGATGGAACAGTCTGTGTTTTCCTGGCAGGGTCCCGGGGGCATCAATGGGGGAGGCTGGGCATCCCAGGGAACCTCGTGGCTTGGAGGCCAAGCCTCCCCTGGGCCTAGCTGCCATCACACTGCTGAGAAGTAAATAAACCCAGCCTCCCAGGGCCACAGCCAGCCACCAAGCCAGGGAGGGGACTGTGTCCCACACCACCTTATTCTCTTCTCCCCAAGTGAGCTGTGGGAGCCACAGGAGGACACAGGGAGGAGGCTGTGGAGTCTGGGTGGGGGGACCCACTCTTGGTCTGGGAAGAGCACTGGCAGTTCTGGTCCCATAAGAGGGAAGGGGATCTACTTCCTACCACCCCACCTTTCCCCATGTGAACCTATCTGTACCCAGTCACTGCCCCCATGTAGAAATCTGGATCTTGCTGGGCACCCAGGGCCACCAACTTCTGCTTTGGGGATTTTTCAGAAGTTCCCTAGCCCCTGTTCTTATTTGTATGCACACTTGTCTAAGCCAGGCTTATGATCCTCCCCCATCTTCCCACCGCAGGACCCTCCCAAATAACAAACCGCTCTCTGAGATTAAAAGCCCTGGTACCAACACCATTTTCTCAGCCGGAGATAGGGCGGTGAGCCGAAGCACTGGGCCATGAATCAGAAGCAGTACCCCTCCCTTCCTTTCCGAACTATAGATTTTGCCTCTGTCAAGGGAATGGGTACCCAATACTTGTCAATTAATAGATTGTGGAGTTAATGTGCTCATTTATGAAAAATGCTTTGTAAACTGCAGAGGGCCCCAAGGCCACCCAAAGGTCAAGGAGTGTCATTATGAAGAATGCCGGCTCCCTAGGATGTCGGGATGGGGCATAGCGATCCAACCTCAAAGTCCTTAGTGCTGGGTAGCTGAGAGCCCAGACCGGTTTCTCAGGGCTCCGGGCCTTGATCAGGGTCCGCGGAAGAGTATTGGGGATTGGGGAACGGCAGAACCGTGTTAGAGGTGCCCTGGGGAGAAGGGCAAGGTGGGTGGCCCCGGCTGGGGGAGAACTCGGGGGTGGGGGGGGTGGGGGGTGTGGGGGTGTGGGGGGGTGGGGCCTCTGCTGGGGGGTCCTGGGTGGCTGGATGTAGAGCGGCGGAGGGGGCGTGTCCCGGCCTGACCCGGTACTCTCCCCCGCAGCCCCACACCTCCTACCCGGTCCGGGCTTGCGGGGTCGCAGCGCCGCTGCAGGCAGCTGGGGGCGTGCGCGCGGCGCGGCTGAGCCCTTTGTGCGGCGCGGGCGGAGGCGGCGGTTTCCGCGGGAGGGGCGAGAAGGGCGGGAGGGGCGGGAGGACAGGGCGGCGCCCTGGCCCGCCCTGCCGCTGCCGCAGCCCCCGCCCCCGCCCCCGGCCCGCCCGGCCCGCGGCAGCAGCGTGGCCGCGGCGCGGCGTCAGCAGTAGCAGCAGCAGCAGCGGCGGCAGCGGCGGGCGGCCGCGCGGGTGTTTATGTCGGGTCGCGGGGTCTCGCGGCAGCATGGCGGACTACCTGATCAGCGGCGGCACCGGCTACGTGCCCGAGGATGGGCTCACCGCGCAGCAGCTCTTCGCCAGCGCCGACGGCCTCACCTACAAGTAAGCGCCGGGTCTCGTACCCCTAGGTGCGCGCATCCACGCGCCGCGACCCCCGGGCCGGCCCTGCACGTGCGCGGCTCCCCCGGCGTTCCCTGCCCGGTGCGAGTGCCTGCTGTGGGCGCTGGGGGCTGGGCACGGGAAGGAAGGAGGCCCGCGCCGGAGCAGACGGACGTGGCACGGCGACACCGCGGCCCTCAGAGCCCTGACCCGTTTCTGGCCAGATCCGGGTTCGGCCTGTCCCCTTCCTCCTCTCAGCGGCATGGAGGGGCCCTCGGGCGTGTGGGAACTGGAGATGTGGGCATTATGGGGAGACTTTTCCCAGCCGCTGGTCCAGGACGCCCCCTCCCAGCCTCACCACGAGGGCAGAGGGTCCCCGGAGCCAAGCTTAAGCAGCCGCTTCCGCATGGCCCCAGGAGAGGCCCAGCCAGGTGGTTGGGGTGGCTTCTTTTCCAACTGTCTAGTCCAGCGCTTTTTCCAGTTGTGTCCCTCCCTGCCCACAGGTTGGTATTGGTGCCCCTCCCAAGGCGCGAATTATTCTGTGACTGCTACCCCTAAGCCCACCCTACATGGGGTTTTGGAGGAGGACACAGACCCACCCGTCTGCCTCTGGCTTCATTTGCCTTTTCCGTGGTCCCTAGGCCAGTTGCCCTGCGTGCTGCAGGCCTGGCACTAGCTCTGCCTCCTGGCTGCAGGACTGTGCCCCTGCCAGGAAGGAGCATCAGAAGGGGCAGAGTGGGGATGCTGGCCAGTCAAAAGCATCCCTGCCTTGTCTCCTGCCAGCCCTGCCCTGGCTTGTAAGCACTCCTGCTTGGCCAGCAGTTTCCCTAAACACCAGGATACCCAGTCACTCCTGAGGAGTGTCTCCTCCTGCCTGCCCGTAGGCGACGGGTGTATAGAACACCTAGAAAATGCTATGAGGCCCAGACTCCAGCATTTCTTCTGTGGCCTCTTTGCTATACAGAAGAAGGGCTGCCAAAGGCTGGGAGCAGCCGAAATTCTTTGTTTTTTTGGTGGTCTTTGGTGATGAGATTGAAAGCCCACCTTTGATACAGTTGTCATTGAAGTCTTCTAGGAGAACACCCTAGGGGAACGCCTAGGAGTTTCTCTAGGCCTTAGGGCAGATTAATGACCCACCCCCCTCCACCCTGTGGCTTTTCCTTCCTGCGCTAGGGATGCCTGCTGCTTTGCTTAGCTCAGTTCATAGTGTTCCTGAAGTGTGGGATATTTGCTTTTGGGTGTGTCTCTCAAGGCCTGCTGTGATTTTAGCAGGTTGGGGCCCCTGAGCTGTGACCCTGCACCTAGATGTACCCATGCAGGCCTGCACTTCCCTTGCGGAGTTTGCTGTGACCGTGGCCCACCCTAGTGTTGGTAGCTGCCATGCTTTGGCTGGGGACCCAGTGTCCTGGTCCCACCTCTAAGGCCTCTTTCCTCCCCTTTCCCGTCCTGGCCATTTCTGTTCTGCTCTGTCAGAACATGCCCTGCACTCAGCCCCCTGGGGTCCCTCCATGCTGTTCCGAGCCCTGTGTGACTCAGCAGCCCAGGCACCGGGGCATGCGGACTGTCCTGTGCTGGGTCATGTTCATACTGTGTTGAGCGCCACAAAATTGTTCTCAGGTTTGTTCCCAATGTTTACTTATTTTCTCTCCCCATCAAGATTGAGAAGTTTTCAAAGGCAGGCACTGTGTCTGCTGTGTGTGGCGATATGGGAACTTCTGTGTCGCTTGACAAACTCTGAGACTTAAAGGCAATGGATATTTTGGGCCTATTACCTTGATGGTACCCCAGTAGACCTTTCGCTGTCTTTGGCTCTAGCTCTGGGGGCTGGAGTTTGCCAGACTCTAGTGAGGTGCACGAGGTGGGAACTGCCCTGATGGGGCAGTAGGGATGGGGGGCTGTAGCCTCTGCTCCTCTAGGCTTTTCTGTACCCCCCTGCTGCCTCCTCTGGCATGGCAGGCTCTGCCCCTTTGGGGCACCCCTCCCCACTAATAACACTCACTTCTCTGTCTTCACAGCGACTTCCTGATTCTCCCAGGATTCATAGACTTCATAGCTGATGAGGTGGTGAGTACCTCTTCCTTTGACAAGGGGAGGGGGCTGTGTATGTGGTGGAAGAGGCTGACTTCTTGCTCAGGGGCAGGGCATGGAGAGATGGAGAGACTTTTCTTGGGAATGGGTGGATAGGATATAGTCCTTTTTTTTTTTTTTTTTGGAGACAGAGTCTTGCTCTGTCACACAGGCTGGAGTGCAGTGGTGTGATCTCAGCTCACTGCAGCCTCCACCTCCCAGATTCAAGTGATTCTCCTGCCTCAGCCTCCTGAGTAACTGGGATTACAGGCACATGCCAAAACCCCCCGATAATTTTTGTGTTTTTAGTGGAGACGGGGTTTCACCATGTTGGCCAGGCTGGTCTCAAACTCCTGAGCTCAAGTGATCCGTCCGCCTCAGCCTCCGAAGACGCTGTGATTACAGGGGTGATTCCACCCAGCTGGTATGGGTGGATATAGCCTTTATTGTTGCCAGAGAAACAGGCAGAGATCAAAGGGTTATACCTGATGGGGCAGAGGCAGCTATGGGAACACAGGAGTGTCCTGAGTGAGGCCTGGCCCAGGGCTGGGTGGCTCTCTGTCAGTGACAGAGCCTGTGGGCAGGTTCAGAAGAGGCCTGGGAAGGGGTGGGCTTGGGAGTGGGAACGGTGGGCTTGGGAGTGGCTGCCTTATTGTAGAGACCATAAGGATTGGATTTTGTCTGGAATGCTGAACAAGGACATGATAGAAGCCAGTGAAATTATGGAGATTTGAAACCGGTAGACAGACTTGTTCACTGATCCACAATGTACAAGAACTGGCAAGAGGGTTTAAAAGAGTTACATTTTGGATAAATACAAGGAAACGCAGTGCCTTGCTTTCCCAGAGGGGCTCATCAGTGAGCCGAATCAATGAACAATTAACATATGATAAACTCAGAGAAGCCCAGATGGGTAGTGATGATGGTGTAAGTCATTTCAAGAAAAAGTGCCATGATTCAATGATGAATTCATATACATTAAAAAAAAAACATTTCTTTTCTGTTGCTATTATTATTGCTATTTATTCTGGTCTGATTCTCATGAAAGGCCAGAGGGCCTGAGTGTGCCTGGATCACTTACATGTGAGGGAAGTTCACATCCAGCTGGTGTTTAGCCAGAGCTGACCCAGACAGATTTTCAGGGGGAAATTCGAATGATTCTGGTTGTTTCCCTTATGACAACAACCAGGAAGCCTGCTTGGTGCAGCTGTTCAGTTTAACAAAGTTTACTGGCCAGTGTGGCTTTGTGTCAGACCCTGGGCTGGCTGCTAGGAAGGGAGGGATTGAAAAGACCCCTACCAGCTGGGCGTGGTGGCTCATGCCTGTAATCCCAGCATTTTGGGAGGCTGAGGCAGGAGGATCACCTGAGGTCAGGAGTTTGAGACCAGCCTGGCCAACATGGTGAAACCCCATCTCTACTAAAAATGCAAAAATTAGCTGGGCATTGTGGCGGGCATCTGTAATCCCAGCTACTCGGGAGGCTGAGGCAGGAGAAT
The DNA here is from genome assembly GCF_000001405.40 of Homo sapiens. NCBI lineage: Eukaryota > Metazoa > Chordata > Mammalia > Primates > Hominidae > Homo > Homo sapiens. The sequence continues at coordinate 128,402,206 of NC_000007.14, read as the reverse complement.
CACTTGAATCTGGGAGGCGGAGGTTGCAGTGAGTCGGGATTGCACTACTGTACTCTAGCCTGGGTGACAGAATGAGGCTCCATCAGAGAGAGAAAAAAAAAAAAACCCTGCCTGGCCGGCAAGGATCTCCTTGTCCTGTGGCTTCTGTCAGGAAGGCTGTGGCCCTTCTGTGGCATGACAAAAGAGAAGATGGTGTTTTCTAGATCATGGGGCCAGAGGTCTGAACTAGGGTTAGTGATGGGTTTCAGGGACTTTGAATCTAAAAAAATTACATAGCAAAGTCTGCACAAATGTCTTGGGGACTGGGATCCACTACTGTTGGCCTGACCCTCAGAGGGGTATGTGCTCTGGCCTTTCCTCCATGGGCAGGTGGCTTTTAAATGGATACTTGCAATCCTGACCACTCTCCTGAGCTCCAGACCATTCGTTGCTTGCTTTCCTGGATGCCTAAAAGACTCTTTTCCATGCCTACCCCCACCTCAGCCCTTGTCACCCAGAATCCATTCTCCACCTTGGAGCCTGAGTGACCTTTTTGAAACATAAATCAGATCATTTCTCTGTCAAGACCCTCCAGTGGCTTCTCTCCGAATCAAATCTGAGCTTCTGTCCGTGGTCTTCACGGCCATGCATGCTGCCCCTGCCTTCCTCCTGCCTCTCCCTTCCCTCCACTCCCCTGGCCTTCTTTTTCTTTCTTAAGTGTGCCTCCGAAAGAACTGGACCCTGAGGCGGGTTTGCACTCAGTCCCTCAGCCGAGAGTGACAGCCCCTCTGACTTCTACTTAATCGGCTCCCACTGGTCACCTCCCAGGAAAGAGGCTTTCCCCAGTCACCTTGTTGCCAGTGGTCGCTTGGCCTTTTTGTTTTTCTCTGCAGCCTTCATCCTGACTGAAGTCATCTTGAGCATATGTCCTGTGTCTGTCATTTTTCTTTCCAAGTAGAACATAAGCTCCATTAGATGAGCTGGGAACTCATCCACCTTGTTCACTGCCATGTCCCCAGGGCCTGTCCTGGTGCCGGTGCATGTAGGAGCTCAGTGAGTGAGTGTCCAGTGGGTGATAAACTCTTTACGTGGGCTGTGCCTCCATCCTCAGGACCTGACCTCAGCCCTGACCCGGAAGATCACGCTGAAGACGCCACTGATCTCCTCCCCCATGGACACTGTGACAGAGGCTGACATGGCCATTGCCATGGCTGTGAGTTACACACCTGCATGGGGACTCCAGGGCACACAGGAACTGACCATGGTGGGCTGTGCTGAGGGGCAGGGCTGAGGAGGAATGGGCCCCGGCTCTGACCACACTTCCCTTCTACATCAGCTGATGGGAGGTATTGGTTTCATTCACCACAACTGCACCCCAGAGTTCCAGGCCAACGAGGTGCGGAAGGTCAAGGCAAGTACCAGGCCTGTCCCCAGCAAGATGCCACCTGGCAGTCCCCACCTCAGAGGCCCTCCCAGCCTCCCCTGCCAGCCCTGCACTGCTACACTCCCTGCGTGTCCTTCCTCTCAGTGGAGCCTTGGGGCCGAGCCCTCATTTTCCCACTGGCTCCTCATCCCACTGAGGGTCCTGGCTTCTCTGCAGCACAGCTGCATCCTCTGTTCCCTGTGGCCAGCCTGGACATCATCCCTGGCTTTCTTCCAGCCTTTTCCTCCCCCATCTCTGCCCGCAGAAGTTTGAACAGGGCTTCATCACGGACCCTGTGGTGCTGAGCCCCTCGCACACTGTGGGCGATGTGCTGGAGGCCAAGATGCGGCATGGCTTCTCTGGCATCCCCATCACTGAGACGGGCACCATGGGCAGCAAGCTGGTGGGCATCGTCACCTCCCGAGACATCGACTTTCTTGCTGAGAAGGACCACACCACCCTCCTCAGTGAGGTACCTGCAGGGCAGGGGAAGCAGGGCTGGGTGTAGAGAGGACCCTCACGCTGGGGCCTCAGACTGGTGCCTGTGACCAGGGACCAGAGGGAGGCCTGGCTCCTTCTCTCTCACCTGCCAACCTGCAGGCAAATGTTCCTGGCCCCACAGGTGATGACGCCAAGGATTGAACTGGTGGTGGCTCCAGCAGGTGTGACGTTGAAAGAGGCAAATGAGATCCTGCAGCGTAGCAAGAAAGGTACCAGGGAGCTAGTTGAAAACTCAACCCCCAGCCTGACTCCCTGTCCACAGTCCCGTTGTTCCTTCACAGCCTTACAGGTTATCCCAGCAACCAGACTGAGCCCTGGGGAAGGTTCGAATAACCTCAGGCAGGCCAGAGCACAACTCCTGCCATCCTTCTCTTAGCTTAGGGAAGCTTGCCCCTAGTGCAGCATCTTCATAGTATGTTTCCCAAAACTAGTCCTATGCGATGCTCATCAGAAAAAAATCCTGAGCAATAACTCCTTTCTCTATCCCCTATCTTGCATAAAGAATTGCACATTCACTTATTAAAGGCTCTCAGAAGTCCTGCAGTTAAATTTATTTGACACTAGAGCTGTTTTTATAATATTTTCCAGCTAGAAACAACTTTAGCTTTTTTTTTTTTGAGACAGAGTCTCACTTTCTCACCCAGGCTGGAGTACAGTGGCGCAATGTCAGCTCACTGCAACCCTCGCCTCCTGGGTTCAAGCAATTCTCATGCCTCAGCCTTCTGAGTAGCCAGGATTACAGGCATGTGCTACTATACCAGCTAATTTTTTTTTTTTTTTTGTATTTTTAGTAGAGATGGGGTTTCACCATGTTGGCCAGGCTGGTCTTGAACTCCTGGCCTCAAGTGATCTGCCCTCCTGGGCCTCCCAAAGTGCTGGAATTACAGGCGTGAACCACCATGCCCTGCCACAACTTTGGCTTCTATTTATTTATTTTTGAGACAGAGTCTTGCTCTCTCATCCAGGCTGGAGTGCAGTGGTGTGATCTTGGCTCACTGCAATCTCTGCCTCCTGGGTTCAAGCAAGTCTCCTACCTCAGCCTCCCGAGTAGTTGGGACAACAGGCACACACCAACACACCCAGGTAATTTTTTTGTATTTTTAGTAGAGATGGGGTTTCACCATATTGGCCGGGCTGTTCTTGAACTCCTGGCCTCAAGTGATCCACCTGCCTCGGCCTCCCAAAGTGAGGAAGCTGTGAGCCACCACACCCGGCCAACTTTCGCTTGTTAGAAAAAAAAAGGAAAAATTAAATATTCACCAGGTCCCTGTTGGCTATACTGGGAAATGCTTCCCTGGTCCATACTGGAGGGTTCTTTGGTGTCTGTATTGGACAGGGCACATGCTTCTCCCTGCAGGACAGCATCACTCCTGGCTAGGAGATTTCGGCCACTGTGGCCCAGCAGGTGAAAGGCTGCCAGTGCTCGGGCTGCCCATCCCAGGCCACGGGGATGCCCATCCACAGACCCCCAGGAACCTGCTGGGCTGAAAGATTTCTTTGCTCCCTGTTCCTTGGGAAGAGGGCTAGGTCCCTAGGAACACTTCCTGGGGGCGGTGCTGTCACCTAGTGGCTGACTGGGGTACTTCAGTGGAATCTCTGGAGTGGTCCACTTTCATCTTCACCCTCCTAAACATCTCCCAAACTTCTCCCCACCAAGCCTGCTTCATTTCACCCCTGCATTCCTTGTCAGGGAAGCTGCCTATCGTCAATGATTGCGATGAGCTGGTGGCCATCATCGCCCGCACCGACCTGAAGAAGAACCGAGACTACCCTCTGGCCTCCAAGGATTCCCAGAAGCAGCTGCTCTGTGGGGCAGCTGTGGGCACCCGTGAGGATGACAAATACCGTCTGGACCTGCTCACCCAGGCGGGCGTCGACGTCATAGTCTTGGTAAGGCCCCCGCCTGAGTGGTGGGGGAGATGGATGAGTGGTTCAGCAGAGTGGAGGTTTATGAGGACCCAGGTTCACCTCTGATTAAGCCTGTGCCCCTCCCTTGCTACTCTTCCTCTCTCTTTCTGAGTGCTCCCTGGTGTCAGAATTAGGAGGGTGGCAGCAGGATTGCCTGAGCTCAGAGGTTCAAGGTCACAGTGAGCTAGGATCGTGCCACTGCACTCCAGCCCTGGGGACAGAACGAGACCCTTTCTCAAAAAACAAACAATGGTTTGTGTCATCTGAGATACAAAGAAAGAAAACAAACAAGTTAAAATTCTCCAGTGGCACAGCCATAAGAAAGAATGAAATCCTGTCCTTTGCAGCAACATGGACAGAGCTAGAAGCCATTATCCTTAGTGAACTAACTCCAAAGCAGAAAACCAAATACTGCATGCCCTCACTTATAAGTAGGAGCTAAACAGAGAGTACACATGTTCATAAAGATGGAAATAATAGACGCTGGGGACTCCAAAATGGGAGAGGGTGGGAGGGGAACGAAGGATGAAAAATTGGCTATCAGACACAGTTTTCGATATGTGGGTATTAGGTACACTTGAAGCCCAATTCTCACCAGTATGCAGTATTCCATTTAAGCAACAAGCACATGTACCCACTGAATCCTTAAAAAAAAAATTGACAAATTGTTGCAAGCAACAATTGCAAATCAAGACTCTCCCCCACCCCCCGATAAAGGGAGGTAGAATAAAGATAAAGGCTTATTGATCCCTTGTGAGTGATCTGGACCATACATCTAGATTCATCTGTATTCTATAACTAGGAGGAAGAGAAATTAGGAAGGTCACTGGCACCCTCTCAACAGCTCACAACAGACTGCAAACAAAGGCCTCTGAGGGCCTTCTTGGCTCATAAGTTGACCCTGATAATTTAGCTCACGTTTACTGAGAACCGCCTGTTTGCCAGGCACTGCGTCAAGACCTTAATGTATATCAGTCCATTGAGGAACAGTCGCCATTCCATTTTCAGATGAAGAAACAGGCTTAAAGAAGTTAAGTCATTTCATTTGGTTAGTGAGTTGGTGGGAACAGGATATGGCTCCAGGCAGTGTCTCCTTGCTTTAAGGATCAGTCTGTACAATGGATAGGAAAGGCCTTATGTACTCTAAGACTGCATTAGTTGTGGTTAACCTTTCAGGGAAGCAGTCCCCTTTGAGAATTGACTGAAAGTTGTCAAGTGAATTTCCAGAAAAAAAAAAAAAAAAACAACCAGAAGGAAAGAGCATTCTCATAACAGTTTTCATAGGATTTGAGGGGTTCATCCACTCAGGCTCTCCCTCCTGCCTTGAGAATCCTCAGCTGTCTAAGCCCAAGCTCTTCCGTCCTTTCTCACAGGACTCGTCCCAAGGGAATTCGGTGTATCAGATCGCCATGGTGCATTACATCAAACAGAAGTACCCCCACCTCCAGGTGATTGGGGGGAACGGTGAGTGCGGGGTCGCCTCCCACCCGCCTGCTCCTGCCCCTCCAATGAGTAACCCTTTTCTGTCCTTCAGCATCCCTAGGTGATGGTATGGCTCCTGGCATGGGTGGCAGGGAGCATGATGGGCTTTGGTCACTGTAGGGGGGTTGGGGGGTGCTAGACTGGGGTCCCAAGAGGCTGTTGGGCAGGCAGGGGCATCCCATCCTCACATTGTTCCTCTGCCCCATCCCCACCCCCAGTGGTGACAGCAGCCCAGGCCAAGAACCTGATTGATGCTGGTGTGGACGGGCTGCGCGTGGGCATGGGCTGCGGCTCCATCTGCATCACCCAGGAAGGTGGGTGTCAGGAGGTGAGCGAGTGCCCGCTGGCCCCGGGGCCTCGCCTTTGTTCCCCAGATGTATATCAAGTACTCTCTCTGCCAGGCCCTGTTCTGCCATGGTAGGCTCCGGGGTGACCCAGGCATGGGCCCCACCCCATCGGGCCCACTGACTTAGGGGAAGGCAGGTGTAAGCAGGGTGCAAGAGCTGCAGCCTGCTTCTCAGAGTGCGGTCAAGGGGGCTCTGCCTGGGGCTTGGGGCCTGGGGCTGGTGTGACTGTCCATGGGGCTTGTTGGAACCTCAGGGTTTGGATTTGATTTGTGACAAGGCAGATATTTAAGACACAGAGACGACATGTCCCTGAATATATAAAGATATGTTATACACCTGCTTCACCATGTGGTTGGGCGTGGGGAGTTCCACCCAATTACAAAGCCCTTTTGCAGGGTGGGTTCCTGAACATGAAGTGGGAAGGGGGGAGCCTGGCATGTGTCCCCCATGTGGTTATTGAGGAGGTGCTCCCTGGAGGCTGGTATCTGACTTGTGGGGTGGCTGCCTGGAAGACTTGGGTCCTCACTTGGCCTGAGGAGATGTACCCGGCCCCTCCTGTGAGGGCAATTTCTCCAAAACACTGAGTGATGCATTTGGCCTTTCCTACCCCAAACAGCTCCCCCTTTTGGTCCTCAGAGCCTCTGCTATTTAGGTTTGTGCCCTTCGCCTTAGGTGGCCACCATGGTGAAATGAGGGCCCTCTCTCACCCACTTAACAAATATTCATTAGGCACCTACTTGTCTCAGGCACTGTTCAAAGCTTTGAGGTAGAGTAGGGACAAAACAAATGAGAGGCGCCATCTCTGGTTTATCCAGCTTTGCATCCGTCCCTAGACAGGTGTGGTTCCTTGTAGTCCCCACCTAAAACCTAACACTGAAGGACCTTGGACACTTAGACTTGAAGAAATGCAAACCAGTATCCCAAAGGGGACCATAGTACCTAACCCTGGTAACGGTTTTTGCAAACAAAAGCCTTGAAGGGGAACTTGTGCCTTGAGAGCAGGTGAGGCTGGGGCCACCTGTCTGGGGGCATTGGGCTCTGAAGGCCGCTTCTGGTTCCCCCGTCAGAATCCCCTGTCATGCTCTTAGGGGTGGGGTGGCCCAGATCCCTAGAGTGACACTCATCCTGGTGGTATTTGCCAGCACCTATGTTATGCCTCAGACACACCATCCAGCCCTGTCCCTTTTCCTGAGTAGAGGTAGTGCACAGGAGGAAGAGCTGGGCTGGCCCCGCTCCAGGCCCCGGAGTTGCTGTTGACTCTTCTCTGCCTTGTGCACCCCACCCTCCCCCAGTGATGGCCTGTGGTCGGCCCCAGGGCACTGCTGTGTACAAGGTGGCTGAGTATGCCCGGCGCTTTGGTGTGCCCATCATAGCCGATGGCGGCATCCAGACCGTGGGACACGTGGTCAAGGCCCTGGCCCTTGGAGCCTCCACAGGTGAGGGGAGAATGTGCTGGGGATTGGGCAGGCGAGGGCTGGAAGCTGGGGGGGTGGCACTAGTGGGCTGGAGGCACTAATCCCTTGCCCACTGTAGTGATGATGGGCTCCCTGCTGGCCGCCACTACGGAGGCCCCTGGCGAGTACTTCTTCTCAGACGGGGTGCGGCTCAAGAAGTACCGGGGCATGGGCTCACTGGATGCCATGGAGAAGAGCAGCAGCAGCCAGAAACGATACTTCAGGTTCCCTGACCCTGGGCCCCACCTGGGCAGATCAGCCCACAACCCTTCAGGGCCCGCTCATGCCACCGACTTCCCCAGATGGCAGCCAGTCCCCATATGGTGGTTCTGGAAACTGAGGCACAGGGCTTAAGTAGCAGACCCAGGATCTGTCCCTGGGCCATCTGACTCAGCCCAGTGAGGGGTGGCCTGGGGGACCTTCCTGGGCGGTATCCCGTTTTTGCCCTTAAGAGGTGGGGTGGGGTCCTCTGAGCTTCAAGCTGCTGGGCTCAGTCTTCCACCCTCCACGCAGCGAGGGGGATAAAGTGAAGATCGCGCAGGGTGTCTCGGGCTCCATCCAGGACAAAGGATCCATTCAGAAGTTCGTGCCCTACCTCATAGCAGGCATCCAACACGGCTGCCAGGATATCGGGGCCCGCAGCCTGTCTGTCCTTCGGTGAGTGCTGAGACTGGGGGTGGCTCCTGCTTCCTTTCTCTCGCTCTTCTCCACCCTTGGTGGCCCTGATCTGCTCCACCTACCTTCCTCCTAGGTCCATGATGTACTCAGGAGAGCTCAAGTTTGAGAAGCGGACCATGTCGGCCCAGATTGAGGGTGGTGTCCATGGCCTGCACTCGTAAGTGTGGTGGCCTCCTTGCTGTCACTTGGAGGCAGTGGGTTGGGCAGGTGGGGCCAGGGTTCTGAGGTCAAGCTGAGGTTCCAGGGACCCCATGGACCACCTGCAGCAGGGACAGATGCTGCTGCAGGATGGCCCCTCACCCTCTCTTCGGGGGCCCAGCCCCCTGTTCCTTGTCCTTTAGTCCCCATGCAAGCAGGCCCTCCCCTCCCCTCGGGCCTCTCCCGAGCAGGGCACAGGAGGTGTGGCCAGTCACTGCACCTGGACTCCCAGCCCTTGCTTGCTCAGGAAGCTTGGTGGCTGGTGGCAGGGGCTGTGGTGGCACCAGGCAGCCAGGCAGAAGATGCGGGTGTGACCCCTCTGGCGGGTACAAGGGCAGAGAGATGGACGCCAGGGCCAGCGCTGGGGCAACCGTGGGCGGGGGCAGTGCTCGTTGGCAGCAGTAGTTGCAGGCATGTGCCCCACCCTGGTCAGGAGCCCTGTCCCCAGGTATCAGCGGGCGTCTAACCTGTGTCTCTTTCCGCCCCACCCTTCCGTAGCTATACCTTTCTGCCGTGTAAGTAACCGCGCTGCCCGGGCCAAGCGTAGAGTAGAGCAGGGGCAGTCTGGGTGGGACCTGGGCTGGAGGTGGGGGTGGGTATTGGGTGGGGGTAGGAGGGTGCTGGGGTGTAACCATGAGATGTGGACCCTGGGTTTGGGCCCCCCCGGCCCCCTAACTCCAACACCATGATGGAGGAAACCAGCAGTGTCCCCTCATCCAGCTGAAACACATATCCCTTTCTGGCTGCAGAGAGATGCCCGTGACCTCAGGCCTAAGGCTGCCCCATTTTAGACTGGACCCAGTGACCACAAGCAGCCTAGGCCACTGTGCCTGCAGGGCTGGGGCTGGGTGCGGACATGGGCAGCAGAGGTTCGGCTCCAGGTTGGAGTTTGCTCCATGAGGATGGGCCATGCCTGCCTGAGCTGTCCCTCCACCCTGGGCACTGAGGACATCCACTCAGATGTGGCGATGGCCCAAAGGAGCATGGCCATCTCTGCACCCAGCATGGTTCTTCAGGGAATGCTGGCCTGGGGGAGGACAGAGGCCTAGGGCCTGCTCCAGGCCCTCCTCCTGCGCCGTACGGCTGAGATCTCAGGGCTTCTCAGCTCTCTGTTCTCTCCTACATCTGGGGGCCCTGGGGAAAGGGTTTTGGGAAGGAGCAGGGTCCACACACCCACTCTTGTTCCCCCTCTTGCCTTGTCCCCACAGTTACGAAAAGCGGCTGTACTGAGGACAGCGGTGGAGGCCGAGGTGGTGGAGGGGATGCACCCCAGTGTCCACTTTTGGGCACAGCCTCCCTCCATAACTGAGTGGTCCACAGATTTGCACTACGGGTTCTCCAGCTCCTTTCCAGGCAGAGAGGAGGGGAGGTCCTGAGGGGACTGCTGCCCCTCACTCGGCATCCCCTGCAGAGTCAGGACTGCTCCCGGGGCCAGGCTGCCCTGGGAGCCCCCCTCCGAGCCCAGCCAGCCAGGCTCTCAGGCCCTGCGCCTGCCTCAGGTCTTTCTTGCTGCAGCCTGCTCCAGCCTGGCCCCCACCCCAGGGGCAGGCGGCCCCTCCTGGCTTCTCCTGTAGGGCACCTCCCTGCCCCTAGCCTCCCAGGAAATGGTGCTCTCCTGGCCCTGCCTCTGGCCCTTCCCGGGCCGCTGCCCCTCAGCCATGTGGCACTTCTGAGCTCCTGACCTAGGCCAAGGGGAGGTCTCTGCCCCCTTCCCCGGCCCTGGGCTACCCTTGGGTCCTGCTCCTCAGGCCGCTCCCCTGTCCCTGGCCATGGGTAGGAGACTGCCCTGGTCATGGCCGCCTGCCTGTCATTCCTGACTCACCACCGTCCCCAGGTGAACCATTCCTCCCTTCTCCTCAGCTGCAGTCGAAGGCTTTAACTTTGCACACTTGGGATCACAGTTGCGTCATTGTGTATTAAATACTTGGAATAAATCAAGCAGGTCTCAACGCCTCCACTATCCTGTCTGTATGCCCTGTCCATTGGGTGGCTGGAGCCCCATCAGAGTTGGGCTGGGGGGTATGGCACCAGGCCCTGCCTCCCCAGGAAGGTTTGAGGGTGTTGAGGTACTGGGGGTGGGGTGGGGGTGTGCTGGTGCAGGTGGGCCCCATGTCAGGAGGTCTCCCAGGCTTCACCTACTGCAAGCCACTCAGCAACTCCTGCAGCCAGGCAGCATTGTTGAGGGGTCATCATGGCTGTAGAATTCCAGCATCGGGGCCTCACACCCAGCTGCCGGAAAACGCCCTCCGCAGCCTCATCATGCCACATGGTGCAGCCAGGGCACAGGTGGAAGTACAGCATGGCCAGCGCCTGTGGTCTCATCTGCCGAAACACACCTGTAGGTACAAAGCAGAGTGGGTCAGCTCCCACTGTTTGTATGTGGCTCAGGACCTGCCTCCCAGCCTCAACCCCGGCTGGTGGAGACAGTACTGTCACGTGGGCTGCTGAATACCCCTAGAGTTGAGGGGTTTTGGAACATTCACATTGCCTTCCTGTGCCTCTGTTGTTGGGCAGTGGGCACAAAGCTGTCCATCAAAGGTACAGATACCACTCAAGTGGGCAGAGGCACGGAAGATGGCCAGGGGATGCTCAGGTGGCGGGAATGAGCAGACCAAGGAGAAGATCTGGATACACTCCTATGGCTAAGGGAGGGGCCCCTCAGCTCCCTGCTGCCATGCCATGCTAATACCTGCCTTCTCCCAGGCCCCTTCTGCCAAAGAGCTACTTGCTCAGGGGCCAGCCTTTCACTGCATCATTTTTTAGCTTTGTGCTTCTAGGGACAAAAAGGAAAGAGCTGGACAGCAGGACTATCAGGTGGGCTCAGAGCTGGTTCAACATCTGCTCCAGGAGTTCTTGCAAAGTGAATGGGTCATTGACAGTCCTGGGAGGCCTTGTGCCCTGGAATCTGGCCTTGATGAGCACCTGAGTCAGAGGTGACCCAGCGGGGAGGGAGGACAATGCCCAGGTCCCAGGGGATGGTTGAAGATGAGAGGGGATGGATCAAAACATGGTTTCATGGTTTGTCTTGTTTCATGGTTTGTCTTGTGCATTGGTTTACAAAAGTCATGCAGGAAGCACCTTGACCAGCTGTTGAGATGGGAAAGATCTAAGGGTTTTCAGATAAATGCCAAGTCACTCTGAATCAAGAGCGTGAGTGGTTCAAAGGGAGAAGTTCCGTTTTGAACTAAACCTAGTTGGTTAATAGAGCTGACCAATGGATGAATTACCTTGTAAGTCAGTGATCTCCACCTTAAGGTATGGTAGCATTAGTATGGCCCTTCTAGAGGAGGTTTTAGCACAGTGGCTCTGCAAGTTTGGTGCATGTCAGAATCACCTGGAGAGCTAATAACAAGTCCTAGGCTTGCCATAGTAGGATGGGGTCTGAGCCTCTGGGTTGCTACTCAGCCGCTCAATTCTGATACGTTCTAAAGTTAGAGAATTACTGTTTTAGAGGAATTCCATGCATCTAGTTATATGGTCTGAGACTTGCCACAGTACGCGTCCTAAGAAAAGCAGATGACATAGCACCCACCTCCAGGCTTCATTGCAAGGATTATGTGAGAACGAACGAGGAAGGTTACAGGTGCTCAGTAAATGAGTCTTTTTTTTTTTTTTTTTGAGATAGAATCTCCCTCTGTCACCCAGGCTGGAGGGCAGTGGCACAATCTAGGTTCATTGCAACCTTCACCTCCCGGGTTCAAGCGATTCTCCTGCCTCAGCCTCCGGAGTAGCTGAGACTACAGGTGCCCACGACCACGCCCAGCTAATTTTTGTATTTTTAGTGGAGATAGGGTTTCACCATGTTGGCTAGGCTGGTCTTGAACTCCGGACCTCAGGTGATCCGCCCGCCTCGGCCTCCCAAAGTGCTGGGATTACAGGCATGAGTAAATGAGTCTTACTGTGTCCTATGGGCCCTCCCCTTGCCTGGGTAATAAACGCATGTAAGTCTGGACTCAGGAAACACACTTACTGTGAGATGCAAATTCAGCCACAGTGCAGGAGGCTTAAGTGGGACAAAGGGAGAGACACTCTGGGTAGGAAGGCCACAGCAGGTGGATATTCAGAGGCAGCCCAGAGCCACATTTGGGAGAAATGCAGATCAGAGATGCCTTGGTCAGCAGTACTACCTGCCCCCCTGAGGTCCAGCCAGGTCTGTGCAGCACAGGTACCCCCTCACCCCTCCCTGGCACACACCCAGCACCATGTGATCCAGGCTGCTCACCACCAGATTGTGGAAGATGTGGCCCCACAGGCGCTGAACCACGCTGCTGTGGTGACCCAGGTTCCAGCTCATGGGCAGCGGCATCTGCGCAAAGGTGTAGCCACCCAGGGAGAGGGTGCACTGCCAGCGTGCAACCAGCCAGTGCCCCAGGGTCCTTGCAGCAACATTAGCATTCAGGCAGCCTGCACCAGGCCACTGCAAAAGAAATGGCTCAGTGCACTCTCCCAGCCAGCGCGTCAAAGCTGCAGGCCAGGTGGAGCTGCAGGGACTTAGCCTAGGCAGCTGGCTTCGCCCCCAGCCAGGGCAGGAACAGGAGCAGCAGGTAGAGCCAGGGGACTGGGAGGCCTGGGCTTCAGTGCAGGCATGTGGAGCAGGAGAGTCAAGTTACTCTCACAGGGGGTAGCAGTGGGGCCATCTCTGGTGCCCCCTGGGGGACCAAGAGGAGGAGGAGTGGGTGGCCCTCACCTCTGGCCTCACTGTCTCCCAGGCTCCAAGGACTGCGAACAGGGCCCTCAGATGGCATGACCCAATCATTCAGGGGGACTGGACTAGCCCTCTGAGGCTCCTTTCAGCTTCTGTGGCTCCAGTGCCAGTCAGGAAGTGGCAGTCAGTGTGGAGGGGAGGCAGGGGCAGTGCCCCAGCTGTGAGGCACTCAGCTCCCCTCAGTCTCTCCTTCCACCTCTCTCCTCACATCTGGAGTCAGGGCTGGAGAGGAAGGACCCAGCCATTGGGACGTGGTGGGTTGGGGGAGGTAGCTCCTCCCTCTCCCCTTCCTTGGAGCTTTTTATTCTTTCAGGATCCCTTCTGGCTTGTAAGGGTCACATTCCAACCTCAGCCTCTTTGACCCCACTATAGCCTGACACTCAGACTCAGCTAATCAGGAGGTTGGGGGGCCAACCCTGCCCACCTCACCTTACCCCTGAAGCCCTCCTGCTTCCTGCTGAGGAGAGTTTGGAGGCAGGGAACCTGGACAGAGGGCAGCGGCCAGGTTGGAGCCTCCAGCCACATGCAGCCTCTTCTAGGCCAGAGCACCCAGCCCCACCTCTCACATCTATTGTCCTCAGGGCATGGCTTCTCACTTGCAGGGTGCAGGCATCATCATCACCAGCCTCCTCCTTGCTTACCCTTCTGGCTCAGCTCAGGAGGGAAAACAGGTGGGTTTAGGGACCCAGGAGACCTGGTCCCCAGCCTCCTGCTCCACCTGCTCTTAAGCCCATTGACAACATCAGCTTCTGGGCTGAGGGCCAGGGTGTCAGCTTCCAAGTCAACTTTGCCCCCCATCCCCACCCCAGCCCAGCTAGAATTGGAGAGGGGACATCTGGATAGCAAGATGTGGTATTAGCCTGGAACAGGTAAAGAGCAGCCTTTTGCTCACTCTGTGCCTCAGTTTCTCTACTTGTGATCCTAAAAGGGAAAGAGGCACACCCCCACCCCCAGGCATCCCAACCTCAGATATTTCACTTCCCCCTTCACCTTTCAGGGCAGGCTGATCTCAGGGTGGCCAAGCCCAGGGTCTGCCTTGGGTGGGTATTGAACTCAGGAATCCTAGTCTCATAGTAGGCACCTTTCTGCTTCTCCCTCTTCTGCCAGTGGGCAGGACGATCTGAGGCTCCAAGGGGTTCACCTGGCAACTGTCAGGTGGGTAGGAAGGTTCTCCCAGAGAAGAAAAGGGGACTCCGGTCTAGGAGCAGTGGGAGTTGAGTGGTTCCCCAGGAGGGGATGTTGCACCAGGACCTTGGGGTGACCGACATGTCACTCTCCTACCTCAACTTTAACCTCTTCATTTCCATGCCTCCCTCCCTGTGGAAAGGCAGATAGTGGGAAACAAAGTTTCCAAGTGGATGGCAAGCCTCAGGAAAGCAATTAAGGGAGAGACTTTCTTGGACCTCAGGCTACCAGGAGTCCTGCTTCCCTGTCCTCTTTCTTTCTGTGTAGAGAAAGACATCGCTCCCACCCTCCACAGTACTTCAACTCCTTCCCATGCCTCTAATCTCTGGGAAAGCCTGGCGGCAAAAGGAGCAAAGAGCTTTTATGTGGAGATGTCGTGGGGGAGAATGGGCAGGGGAAGAGGAGTGTTCCCTGCTACAGGCTGTGGGACTCCGGGTCTAGGAGCTTCAGAAGCAGTGTGGTACTGTGTCCGGCAGATGGCGCCAAGACCCATCGACCGTTGGGACCCCAGGGAACCCGGAGTGGGGCAGTTTCCTAGGCAACAAGCAGCCCTTCCTTTCAAAGTCCGGCCCTTGGCAACCATTCCCTGGTTGCCTGCATCCGTAGTAAAATTTGGCTTCCAAAGGACAGGCGGGGCTTGCGGGTAAACTAATCTCATCTCCGAGAAAGGAAAGAGGCTGGCTAGGTGGGGAGAGGAGCCTAAAAGACCTGTTTTCTGCCGCCGTTCATTACTATGCTGTACAAGGTGCATCTTATCCTCAGCAACCCTATAGCAGTAATGCCTGTTCCTTTATGATGAATGGGACAACGAGACTCGGAGAGAGAAAGTGACTTGCCCGAGTCGCCAGCAGGTAGGGCCTGGGCCTGCCTGGATGTCCTTGGGTCCATTCCATTCTTTCTCCCAGCAGCTGTGAAGTGTCCAAGCCCTGTGAGGGCGCTGATGGAGAGGCTTGCGAGGAAGCCAGGAGCTGCAGGAGTGGCTGGAGAGAGGCGAGAATGAATCCAGCCCCTTCCAGCTGAGCTCTTTCCTTGCTTGGCCTGGTGGGGGGAGACTCCTCTGCTCAGGGTCTCCCCTGACCTCGTGGTGGGGGCTTCTCCTGGCAAAGGACCACAGAGGGACAGGGAATAGCAGTTCAGACTGTGGAGGTCATGTGGCCCCTCTGCAGTTTCAGGACAGGGGAGCTTGCCAAGGAGGACACAAAGCTGGAATCCAGGACTACCTGGGGAGAGGAGATGCAGGAAAGGATTCCATTCCAGGGACTGTGCAGAGGAGAAAACCGACTTCAAGTAGGTCAAGGGACAGATTTGGAGGATTCAAATCCAGTTCAATTACCTACTCTCTACTCCCTTGAGCTCTCCTCTCCCTGCCTACTCCACATCTCACACTGACCATAACCAATGCTGAATTTCGGACTCCCTGTAGTAGTCTGGGTTCTCCAGAGAAACAGAACAAATCATACAATATTTTTCTAAAAAAAAAATGCATGTGTTTGTGGAGAGACAGAGAGAGAGACAGACTGTTATAAAGAATTGGCTCACATCATTGTGGAGGCTGACAAGTCCCAAGACCTGCAGTTGCCAAGCTGGAGACCCAGGAGAGCCAATGGTGTAGTTCCAGTTCGAGTCCAAAGGCCTGAGAACCAGTAGAGCTGATGGTGTAAGTCCAGAGTCCAAAGGCAGGAGAAGACTGATGTCCCGGCTTGAAGACAGGCAGAAAGAGCAGATTTTCTCTTACTCAGCCTTTTTTGTTCTATTCAAGCCTTCAATGGATTGGATGAGGGCCACCCACATTGGGGAGGGGTGTCTGCTTTATTCAATCAGCTGATTCAAATGTAAATCTCATCCAGAAACACCCTCCCAGACACACTCAGAAATATATTTAAACAAATACCTGGGCACTCTGTGGCCCAGTCAAGTTGACACATATAATTAACATCACACTCCCTGCCACCCTCCCAGACCTGGTCCTCCTTAAATTTACCCTATCTTAAAAACTAGCAAATTCATTCCTCTGGTTGCTCAGATAAACAAAACAAAACAAAAACCCTTGGAGTCATTCTTGACTCCACTTTCTCTCACTATTTATTTATTTACTTATTTAAGAGACAGGGTCTTGCTCTGTCTCCCAGGCTGGAGGGTAGTGGCGCAATCATAGCTCACTGCAGCCTTGACCTCACAGGCTTAAGCAATCCTCCTACCTCAGCCTCCAGAGTAGCTGGGACTACAGACATGCGCTGCCACTTCTAGCTAATTTTTTATTTTTGTAGAGACAGAGTCTCACTTTGTTGCCCAGGCTAGTCTTGAACTCCTGACCTCAAGTGATCCTCCCACCTTGGCCTCCCAAAGTGCTGGGATTACAGGCATGAGCCATCATGCTTGGCACACACTTCATATTTAATCCATCAGCAAATCCCGTTAGCACTGCCTTCAGTCTGACCACTTCCTCCAGTCTCTTCTGCAACAATGCTGCTCCAACCATCACCATCTTCCACCTGGGTTACTGCAAAGGGCTCCAATTTTCCTAGCCCCCACTGTTGCCTCCTTCCAGAATTTTCTCAATACACAGCAGCCAAGGTGATTCTTCTAAAATGTGAGTGAGAGCAGGTTGTTCCTCTGCTTAAAACACTCCACTGGTTTCCCTGGGGTCAAAGTAGAAGTCAGTCTTTGCTGGGGCCTACAGGTCCTTCATGATCAGGCCTCCACTGTCTCAGGCTTTCTCTTGCTTGTCCCCTACCCATACTGTCCTGGTCATGCTGGCCTCCTTGCTGTCCTCCAATGCCAGTGCCCTCCTCTTCACCCCAGGCCCTGTGGCTCACTCCCTCACTTTCTTTGGGTCTCTGCTCAAGGGCATCGTGTTAGACCTTCCCTGAACCCCCTTGCCACCCCGACACACCCTCACTCTCTGACCCCATCCCTGCCCCTCCTGCTTCATTTTTTTCCATAACACAACACAAACATACCCTCTCTTTGTATGCATAGAGCCTGGCCTGTGCGGCGTGTGGCTCCTGCCTATAATCCCAGCACTTTAAGAAGCCAAAGCAGGAGGATGGCTTGAGCCCAGGAGTTCGAGACCAGCCTGGGCAACACAGTGAGACTCTGTCTCTACAAAAAAAAAATAGGCAGGTGTGGTGATGCCAGCCACTCAGCAGGCTGAGGCAGGAGAATCCCTTGAGCTCAGGAATTCAAGACTGCAGTGAGCTCTGATTGTGCCTCTGCAGCCTGGGCAATAGAGCCGGACCCTGACTCTAAAACATAAATAAATATGTGCGGAGTGTTTGTTTTCCCTTATATGTTTTTATCCCCTAAAACACTGTCACCCATAAATACCTGTTAAATGCTGAATGAATACATAAAACATATTCATCACCCGGTCCACAACAGGAAGTATATAGCAAGGCTGAGGATATAAAGATATCAAGAGGACACGTGCTCCCTTGAGGAACCAGCCAGCTGGCAGGGGAGACCAACCTTCTTTTGTATTTGTGGGTAATGCAGCGTATACAGGATCATAACACAAAGATGGCACTTGGAGGGTTGGCTCTACGCTGGACACTGTGTTAACATGCGTGGTGCCATTTAATACAGCCCTGGGAAGTGGGGACTAAAATCATCCTCATTTCCAGGGGAGAAAACAGGCTCAGAGGGCCATAGTAATTTGCCTAAGGTCACCCAGCTTCTCAGCCACTGAGCTGAGGTTGTGACCCAGCCTCATTCTTTCTATTTTTATTTTTATTTTTTTGAGAGAGGGTCTCACTCTGTCACCCAGGCTGGAATGTGGTAGCATGATTATGGCTCACTGCAGCTTTGACCTCCCAGGCTCAAATGATCCTGTCACCTCAGCCTCTTGATTAACTGGGACTACAGGTGCATGCTACTACATCTACTAATTTTTTCTTTGTATTTTGTGTAGAGATGGGGTTTCACCATGTTGCCCAGGCTGGTCTCGAACTCCTGGCCTCAAGTGATCCTCCTGCCTCAGCCTTCCAAAATGCTGAGACTACAGGCATGAGCCACCGCCCAGCCCACAGCCTCAATCTCTAGCCCCAAAGTCCCTGCCCCTCCCACTCTCCCGGGGTAGGGCAGAATAGCCTGGGGATGGAGAAAGGAAAGAGAAGAGTGGGGTGGAGGTTCTTCCTGTCAGTAGGAGAGAGGTAGAGAAGGACTGAGCTGGCAGGGGGCCCTGGGCGACAGGGCCCCGTGCCAGCCCCACCAACCTCCTCCCTCCCCTTGTGTGCTCTGCAGCCCTGGGGCTGATTGGACTCCCTCTCTGGCATCAAACTTCTTTGTCACACCCCCACCCTTGCCTCAGGACTGGCTACACAGGGATCTCTTTCTGGTCCAGTCAGGCATATAAGCCCAGGCTGACAGGCATCCGGGTGCCAGGGCAGCTTCAGCTGGCCAAGGCTGAGGTCATAGGCTGAGCACTCAGGGCCTGGCCCCTCCTCCCTCTCATTGCAGGCTCAGCCCTTGCCCTGCCCTTCTGCAAAATTCCCCTCTGACCTCCCTCCTGCCCCACAGCTGCCCCACAGCAGGCTCTGGCTTCTACCTGACAAGGCCCAGTGTATTAGTTTCCTTTGGCTGCTGTAACAAATCACTATACATTTAGCAGCTGAAAGCAACAGAAATGTACAATCTTACTGTTCTGGAGGCCAGAAGTCTACAGTGGGTCCTCCGGGCTGCATTCCTCCTGGAGGCTCTAGGGGAGAACCCATTTCCTTGCCTTTGCTGACTTCTAGCGGCTGTCCCTTCCTCCATCTTCAGAACCAGCTACATAACATCTTTAAATTTCCCTGTCTTTCTACCCTGCTTCCATTTTCACACCTGCACTGACTCTGACACTCTTGTCTCCCTTATAAAGACCCTTGTGGTTATATTGGGACCACCTGATAAACTCTGATAATCTCCTCATCTCAAAACCTTCAACTTAATCACACCTGCAGAGTTCCTTTTGGCATGTAAGGTAACACATTCACAGGTCCTGCATTATGGACATCTTTGTGGGGGTCACACCTAGCTAGGATGGCGACCTCTTCCCTAACTAGAGGAAGTAGTTCTGAACACGTTACCATGATCTCATGCTATCCTTGTGGGCAGCATGGATCCCCACAGTACAGATGACAAGCCTAGGTGACTCCAAAGCCTGTGGCCTTGTTGCAATCTCTAGGTTGCCTCCCAGATTGGAAATAAACCCCTCCCTCCTGGAGCTCCCCCATGGACCCTCTGCTTTGGCTTGCTTCCCTTGGGTTTGCATCTTGGTCTGGCCTACAAGCTCCCTGAGGCAGAGGAGCCCTGGCATGGGGAGTGGAGGAGGAGGCACTCAGGCACCATCAGAGTAGAAGGAAACAGAGGATTTTGTGGGCTGTGGGACAAGTGGGCTCTGGAGGATCTATGATTCCCCTGCCATATTTGCAACATTGTGTGTCTGTCCATTTTTCTGGCAGAGGGAGCAGAACTTCCACCAGATTTTCAGCGGAAGCTCCACCTCCAAGGATCAAGATAACCCCGTTCTGGGCTGCCCCTGATCCTCCCTTTCCTGGGCTCCCTTCTCTGAGCCTGCCTGTCACCAGGGCTCACTCAGCACCAGGGGATGAGGCGGGGGACGGTGGAGAGGGAGTGAGATGAGAGGCTGCTCCATGCTGCCCCCACTCCGCACCTGTTGTGCATTCCAGAAGGACCCACTCAGATCTGTCTGGCCAGAAGGCAGGGGAACTTTCTGGGCCACCTTAAGCCAAGGCAGGTCACCAAGGCAGCTGAATATGTGCAGGGACATGGGTGGGGATGGCAGTGCAACCCTGCTGTCTCCTCTAGATTGCTCACATCTGTCTGTGAGGCAGGCGGCCCCTTGCTGAAATGCAGATTGCAGGGGTAGGGGGCAAGAGTCTGCTTTTCTTTCTTTTTTTCTTTCTTTCTTTCTTTCTTTCTTTCTTTCTTTCTTTCTTTCTTTCTCTTTCTTTCTTTTTTCTTTCTTTTCTCTTTCTTTCTTTCTTTCTTTTTCTCTCTCTTTCTTTCTTTCTTTTTCTTTTTTTTTTTTGAGTTGGAGTCTTGCTCTGTCACCCAGGCTGGAGTGCAGTGGCGCGATCTCAGCTCACTAACTTCACCTCCCAGGTGCAAGTGATTCTCCTGCCTCAGCCTCCCAAGTAGCTGGAATTATAGGCACTTGCCACCACGCCTGACTAATTTGTATTTTTGGTAGAGACGGGGGTTTCACCATGTTGGCCAGGCTAGTCTTGAACTCTTGACCTCAAGTGATCCACCCACCATGGCCTCCCATAGTGCTGGGATTACAGGCATGAGCCACCGCACCCAGCCAAGAGTCTGCTTTTCTAACAAGCATCCGGTGCTGCTGGTCCATGGCCACACTTTGAATACGAGGACCTAGAGGACCTGGGCCTACTTCTGTCCCTTTCTCCTCTGCATTCGTTCAATGATTTGTGTCTTTGGAGCTCCCACAATATGTCATTCTCCACTTTCCCCCCACCAGCTTCACCCCCTGGCACTGGCTGTGAGGGCCTGGCGGGGGGTGGGGGGAGTTGCTGCCCACTCTCCTTTCCCTGGCAGGGTCTGGTCCCTCGGGGGCCGGGAATGGCCTTGCTCAGGGCGCCGGGATGAAGTGAGCACTCCTCCGCTGGGCTTCCTCGTCACCTTCCATGCTTCTGCCAGCCCTGCGTCTCTGTGGTCTCCGCCCTCCCAGCTTTTCCTGCCCTTGGCCCTCAAAGACATGACTTCACTCGCCTATCAACCAGCAGTGACCCCGCCTGGAAGAAGGAGGGTAGAGCGGCCTTCGCAGCTGTGCCAATGCAGAACTGGAACACAGCTCTCTCCATTGCCAGGGAAGGCTGATCCAGACACTTTATTAGGATTTCAGAATTTGGGGTGGAGTTCGATGAATGACTTATTACACCTTGTAAAACAGGAAGTGTGTTTTGAGCAATCTGCCCCAATAGCTGGAGGCACTAGTATTTCGGGTGTGTCCCCTTCACCCAAGCCCTCATTCCTAGGCAGGTCTCAGAAAGGGTTCCACTAGCGCCCCCTACAGGCCACATGATCAGGGCTCGGCTTGTGGTGGGGTGGGGAGCGCAGAAACATGCAGACCACAAGCTGTTTGCACGCATAGCCTGCACTCCAGATATCCAGCAGCCCACCCAATACCCAGGAGAGGGCCGGGGGGCCAGGGGAGAGAGAAAAGGAATGGAGGGCTTCGGAAGGGCTCCTCTCTTCTCCCCCAGCAGCCCCAGGCACAGAGCATGTCCCCCACCAGCCCCTGCCCCCAGCCTCCCTGCCCAGACAGGCTCTCTCACAGGTCAGGGAGTTAAGTGGCCCCAGCACCAACATTGCCATTTAGCAGTCCTGCCACTTACATCACGAAGGCCTCAGATCTCAGAGGAGACAGGGAGGAGGGCTGAGAGGAGGAGCCAGAGATTGCCATGAGGTTCCTTCCCAGCTCTTGGCTGCAGGGAGTGGAGAGGCCTGCAGAGGTGAGCTGGGGGCCTGTACTGGGGCTCCAGAGGGAGCATAAGGTGTCTTCCTTTATGCATCGACACCCTGACTAGGCCTTATGTGGGTGCTGACCTGGTGGCTTTGTTGTGGTCCTCCCCCTGCCACAGGCCCCTCAGCTGCTCCTCTGTTCTCTGAGGACCTGAGGGATCATGACCTGGGAGGGGAGGGGGTCACAGGCAGGAGGTCTCCACTCTTCTGATGCAAGAAACAGCTGAGTTCGCCTGGCACCTGTGGAAAGCCTTCAGGCTGTCAAAAGCCAAAGCCTCACTGAGGTTTGTTCCTACTTTGGTGTTGGTGCAGGAGAAGGGGCTTGGATCCAAGCCCCCAGTGCTGACATTGACCTACCACCCCATCCCCCTTACCCTGTGCTTGGGTGGTCCAGGGGTCTTTGGCAGGGTGGGAGGGGCAGGAGTGGGGGACTCTGCTCTAAGTGGGCAAGTTGTGTGCCTTTTCACAGTGACAGGAGAACAAGGACAGTCGGCCCTGGGGCCTACTTTGCCCTACAAAATAGATCAGTCTTGCAGATGGTGCATAGCTCCTCCCAGCTGCCAGCCCCCTCACCTCTTTACCTGCTGGTGAGAGTACACCTTGTGGCCCAGCCACTGGTAAGACTCCTCTCCTGGCCGCTTGCATCTCTTCCTTGCCCCCGGCCCTGTCCTGGTGTCCCCCACTACCAGTCTCTCCTGTTCACTGACCCAGATTTCTCCACCCCCTCCGCTGCACCCAGCGGCTTCATCTTTCACTCCTTGGAATCCTAGTCCTGTAGTAAGAATAGTAGCAAACACTCAGACAGCATTTCTATGTGCCGGGCACTGTTTAAAGCACTCTGTGTATATTGATTCATTTAATGGTGGCAGTAACTCTAGGAGGGAGAGACAATTATTATCCCAATTTTGCAAATGAGAAATCTGTTACATTGGGAAACAGTAAGATTGAGTTAAGCCTAAGGGCTGAAGAAAGAAGGAGATAGAGACCAGCAAAGCAGGCCTTGGGAGCAGTCATCCTTATCCAAAGATGAAAAGACTTGTTTTTTGTCATTACAAAGTAATGTGTGCAGCAGACTTCCCTGACCCTTGCCCTACCTACTCCTGATCCCCAAGAGCTACAGACACAAAGGGATGAAAAACAGGCACCCAGGGCTGGGCACGGTGGCTCATGCCTATAATCCCAGCACTTGGGGAGGCTGAGATAGGCGGATCACTTGAGGTCAGGAGTTTGAGACCGGCTGGGCCAACATGGTGAAACCCCGTCTCTACTAAAAACACAAAAATTAGCTGGGTGTGGTGGCACATGCCTGCTGTCCCAGCTACTTGCGAGGCTGAGGCACGAGAACCACTTGAACTCGGGAGGCAGAGGTTGCAGTAATCAGAGATCTTACCACTGCACCACTCTAGCCTGGGCTACAGAGGGAGACCCTGTCTCAAAAAAAAAAAAAAAAAAAAAAATCAGGTACCCACTGGAGGGCCCCTCTGCTGGCCTGTTCCCATTCTCCAGTCCTAGAATACAGGGCAGGAGGGGAGAAGGCCAGGGACCAGAGCCAGGAGGGCTCCTGGGTTCCAGGCTCTATTCCTCAAGCCGCCCCCCTCACCACTCTGCTTCTTGTTCACCTCCAGTTTTCTTCATTTCTCTTGGGAGAGAGCGGGACCTGGCCCTGTGGGTGCTGGGAAAGGTGTTCTGGCCTGCCTGGGAGGGGGCAGCCCCAGAGAGCTGGGCTGAGGTGCCCTCATTCCAGACCTGTCGTGTCCTCATTCCAGGCCTGTCTTTTCTTGACATCCCTGCCGTGGTCCTTCCCCTCTGCCTTCCCTTCGCTCTGACTCCCAGACTCAAAACAAACTCTACTCTCAGGTGGTTGGTGCCTGAGTCCCGTGCTGTTACTGGTCCACTGTCCCCTCCCAGAAGGGATTCAGCTGCAGGAGTATCCCTAAAATGTAGCCTCACTCTCTGCCCCTAGAGAAGGACAGAAAGCCTCAGAGTGTGGTTGAAAGAGGGAGAGAGTGCAAACTGCTGAGCTCAGAGAGGCCAGACGAGGAAGTGGCTGTTGGAAAGATGTTAGCCAGGGCCACTGGGAGGGGGTGAGGGAGATCAGAGTCTGGGACCCAGAAAGATGACAGGGCTCTTAGATGACAGAGCTGTTCAGGGTGTTGAGATATACACCTGGGTGATTTGTTTGGTATTGATTCTAAATATCACTCTTTAAATTGTGATTACAATGTAATCTATGGGCTGGGTGCAGTGGATCATGCCTGTAATCCCAGTACTTTGGGAGACCAAGGTGGGAGGATTGCTTGAGGCCAGGAGTTTAAAAACCAGCCTGGACAACATAGGGCTAACTTAAAAAAAAATTAGCCAGGCGTGGTGGCACACACTTGTAGTCGTAGGTACTTATGAGGCTGAGGCAGGAGAATCCCTTGAGCCCAGGAGTTCTAGGTTACAGTGAGCTATGATCATGCAACTATACTCCAGCCTGGGCAATTGAGGGAGACCCTGTCTCTTTAAAAAAAAAAAAAAAAAAGTGGTCTATGGATAAGCCATGACTGGGAGAAAATATTTGCAAAGGACGTAGCTGATAAAGGACTGTTATTGAAAATATTTTTCTTTGTTTTTCTTTTTCTTTCTTCTTTCTTTCTTTCTCTTTCTTTCTTTCCTTCCTTCCTTCTTTCTTTTCTTTTCTTTCTTTCTTTTTTTTTTTTTTTGTTTATTTGAGACAGAGTCTCGCTCTTTCGCCCAGGCTGGAGTGCAGTGGCGCGATCTCTGCTCACTGCAAGCTCCGCCTCCCGGGTTCACGCCATTCTCCTGCCTCAGCCTCCCGAGTAGCTGGGACTACAGGTGCCCGCCACCACGCCCGGCTAATTTTTTATATTTTCAGTAGAGACGGGGTTTCACCGTGTTAGCCAGGATGGTCTCGATCTCCTGACCTCGTGATCCGCCTGCCTCGGCCTCCCAAAGTGCTGGGATTACAGGCATGAGCCACCGCGCCCGGCCTTTTCTTTCTTTCTTTTTTTTTTTTGAGACAGAGTCTCACTTTGTTGCCCAGGCTGGAGTGCAGCGGTGCAATTTTGGCTCACTGCAACCTCTGCCTCCCAGGTTCAAGCGATTCTCCTGCCTCATCCTCCTGAGTAGCTGGGATTACAGGTGTGTGCCACCATGCCTGGCTAATTTTTGTATATTTAGTAGATATGGGGTTTCACGATGTTGGCCATGCTGATCTCGAACTCCTGACCTCAAGTGATCTGCCTGCCTTGGCCTCCCAAGGTGCTGGGATTACAGGCATGAGCCACTGTTCCTGGCCAAGAACCCTTAACACTCAATAATAAGAAAAAGAACAATGTGATTTAAAAATGGGCAAAAGAGCTGGAAGGATAGCCCAGCAAAGAAGATATACAGACAGACAATAAGCATATGAAAGATTCTCAACATTGTATGTTATTAAGAAATGGCAAATTAAAACAACAGTGAGAAACTACTACATACCCACTAGAACGGCAAAAATCCGAAACACAAAATGCTGGCAAGGATGTAGAGCAACAGGAACACTTATTCATTGCTGGTGGGAATGCAACATGGTACAGCCACTTTGGAAGAGAGTTTGGCAGCTCCTTATGAAACTAAACATACTGTTACCATATGATGCAGCAATTGTGTTCCTTGGCATACCCCAATGAATTGAAAACTGTCCACAGAAAAACTTGCACAAGGATGTTTACAGCAGCTGTATCCATAATTGAAAACTTGGGAAGCAACCAAGATGTCCTGCAGTAGCTGAACGGATAAATAAACTGTGGTACATCCAGGTGATGGAATATTATTCAGTGCTAAAAAGAGGTAGGGTGGGCATAGTGGCGCATGCCTGTAATCCTACCACTTTGGGAGGCCGAGGCAAGCGGATTGCTTGAGCTCAGGAGTTTAAGACCAGCTTGGGCAACATGGTGAAACCTTGTCTCTATAAAAAAAGATACAGAAATTAGCCAGCGTGGTAGCATGCACTGGTAGTCCCAACTACTCGGAGGCTGAGGTAGGAGGATCACTGGATCACTTGAGCCTGGGAGGCAGAGGTTGCAGTGAGCCAATATCACACCACTGCACTCCAGCTTCAGCCTGGGTGACAGAGTGAGACCCTGTCTCCAAAAAAAAAAAAAAAAGGGGGGGGAGCTATCAAGCCATGAAAATACAACATGGAGGAAATGTAAGTGGATATGACTAAGCCAATCTGAAAACATGCTATGTGATTCCAACTATATGACATTCTGGAAAGGGCAAAACTATGGAGGCAGTAAAAGGATCATTGGTTGCCAAGGGTTAGAGGGGAGGAAGGGATGAGTAGGTGGAACATGGAGAATGTTTAGGGCAGTGAAACTGTGCTGTATGGTACTACAATGGTGGATACGTGTCATTATACATTTGTCCAGACCCACAGACTATACAGTCCTGGAGAGATCCCTTATATAAACTATGGATTTTGGGTGATAACAATGTGTCAATGTAGTTCATTTATTGTAACAAATGTACCATTCTGGTGAGGGATGTTTATAATGGGGGAAGCTGTGCTTCTGTGTGGGCAGAGAGCTTATGGGAAATCTCTGTACTTTCCACTCAGTTTTGTTGTGAACCTAAAACAGCTGTAAAAAAGTAAAGTCTATTAAAAAAATTGAGATGGAGTCTTGCTCTGTCACCCAGGCTGGAGTGCAGTGGTGTGATCTTGACTCACTGCAACCTCCGCCACCTGGGTTCAAGCGATTCTCCTGCCTCAGCCTCCTGAGTAGCTGGGATTATAGGTGCCCACCACCTGTCCTGGCCAATTTTGTATTTTTAGTAGAGGCGGGGTTTCATCATGTTGGCCAGGCTGGTTTTGAACTCCTGACCTCAGGTGATCCATCCACCTCCACCTCCCAAAGTGTTGGGCTTACAGGCAAGAGCCACTGCACCCGGCCTATTTAACAATTTTTTAAAGTATTGAGTAAAAAAGGAAACAGAATGAGGCCAATTACCCAATGCCATTCATGTAAATTAAAAGCATAAATACAAATAAAATAGTATTCCATGTCAAAAAAAAAAATCTATGTTCAGGCCAGACAATTAGGAATACACAGAAAAATAAATGTAATAATTGTGATGCTATTGTATATATGCTTTTATGTCTTGCTTTTTTTCTCTTTTGCAGGCTTAGTATTTTAGTTCCACCTGGCTTGAAAAATTAACGTTGTAACATAATTATTTTTCATTTTATTACAATCTTTAACACTTTATTTATATTATTATTATTTTTTTTTTTTGAGACGGAATCTTGCTCTGTCACCCAGGCTGGAGTGCAGTGGCTCAATCTTGGCTCACTGCAACCTCCGCCTCCCAGGTTCACGCCATTCTCCTGCCTCAGCCTCCTGAGCAGCTGGGACTACAGGCGCCCGCCACCACGCCCAGCTAATTTTTTTTGTATTTTTTAGTAGAGACGGGGTTTCACCATGTTAGCCAGGATGGTCTCAATCTCCTGACCTCATGATCTGCCTGCCTTGGGCTCCCAAAGTGCTGGGATTACAGGCGTGAGCCACCATGCCCAGCCTAACACTTTATTTTTAATAGTTGCATTACGGTTGTTCCATAATTTATTTAGCCATTTCCCTATTTTTTTTTTTAATTGAGACGGAGTCTGGCTCTGTTGCCCAGGCTGGAGTGCAATGGTGCAATCTTGGCTCACTGCAACCTCTGCCTCCCGGGTTCAAGTGATTCTCCTGCCTCCGCTTCCCGAGTAGCTGGGACTACAGGTGTGCGCCACAATGCCCAGCTAATTTTTTTTGTATTTTTAGTATAGACAGAGTTTCGCCATGTTGGCTAGGCTGATCTCAAACTCCTGACCTCAGGTGATCCACCCGCCTCGGCCTCCCAAAGTGCTGGGATTACAGGCGTGAGCCACCGCACCTGGCTGCTATTTCCCTATTGTTAGACCATGTGGTAGTGTCCAGTGTTTTGTTGTTATAAATAATGCTGTAAGAATATCCTTAAGCTTTTTTGTTTGTTTGTTTGTTTGAGACAGTATCTGGCTCTATCTCCAGGCTGAAGTGCAGTCGTGCCATCATAGCCCACAGCAGCCTTGACTTCCTAGGCTCAAGCAATCCTCCTGCCTCAGCCTCCTGAGTAGCTGGGACCACAGGCATGTGCCACCATGCCCAGCTAATTTTTGTATTTTTTGTAGAGGTGGGGTTTCACCATATTGGCCAGGCTAGTCTCAAACTCCTGGGCTCAAGCAATCCACCCACCTCCACCTCCCAAAGTGCTGGGATTACAGGCTGAAAGGAAAATGTCTTTTGGTAGAGAGATTGACTATTGCTGTTGTTGTTTTGGTAAGAAATGGTTGAGAAAAAATAGTTCTATTTTGAACATGACAAGTTTGAAGTATCTCTTAGATAGCCAGGTAGAGATGTCAGGTAGGTGGTTAGATAAGATTAGTCTGTGGTTTAGAGGTCGGAGTTGGCATTTCCTAGATAGATGAGATTACCTAGGGAAAACTATAGATGGAGGAGGCAGAGCAGCAAAGGAGGAGAGCCAAGAAAATGCAGTGTCTCTGAAGGCAAGACAGTGAGTCTTCAAGAAGAAAGAGTAAATGATTGTGATGGTTAATTTTATGTATCAACTTGACTGGGCTCAAGGGTGCCCAGATAGCTGGTAAAATATTATTTCTGGGTGTGTCTGTGAGGGTATTTCAGGAAGAGATTAGCAGTTGAATCAGAAGACTGAGTAGAGTTTACCCTCACCAATGGGAATAGCCATCATCCAATGGTTTGAGAGGTTGAAGAGAACAAAAAGTCAGAGGAAAGATGAATTTTCTCTCTGCTTGAGCTGGGCATCCATCTCCTCATACCCTTGGATGTTGGTGCTCCTGTTTCTCCAGGCTTGAACCAGGACTTACACCATTGGTTCCCCCAGTTCTCAGCCTTCAGGTTTGGACTAGAACTATACCACCAGCTTTCCTGGGCCTTCAGCCTACAGACAGCAGATTGTGGGACTTCTCAGCTTCCCTAATTGCATAAGCCAATCTGTCATAATAAATCTCTTCCTACATACCTACATATATCCTTTTGGTTCTGTTTCTCTAGAGAACCTTGACAAATACAGTGATCAGTGAGATCTACTGTTTCAACAATGTCAAGGAAGAAGACCCAGCTCCACTGGACACAGCAGCCTAAAAGTCAGAATGACTTGGCAAGAGCTATTCGGTAAAGCAGTAAGATGGATGCCAGACTGGAGTACGGGGTGAGAATGTGGAGACAATACATGCAGACAACTCTGCTGGGAAGAGCAGGGAAATGGGGTGGGAACTTGATTAGTGCTGCTTCCCATTGCTTTGACCTTCCTGGATTCTTATGCCAGCATCACAGTTTTTGTTTGTTTGTTTGTTCATTTATCACAGAATCATTGTAGCTTTGTAAGTATAGTTTAACGAAATGAATATATACAAACCGTCCAAAGGAGCAAGTTTCTGCCATACATCCCACTTGCTACTCTTCTTTTTCAAAAGGGTTTATTTTCCCCCATTATTCTCACCAAGGAGCTTTAAAATAATTATTTCAAACTTTAAAAATATGTTGATAATTTATTTTATCTTATTTTATTTTATTTGAGACGGAGTCTCACTCTGTCACCTAGGCTGGAGTGCAGAGTGCAGTGGTGCGATCTCGGCTCACTACAACCTCTGCCCCCAGGTTCAAGTGATTCTCCTACCTCAGCCTCCCGAGTAGCTGGGATTACAGAGATTACAGGCCACCACGCCTGGCTAAATTTTGTATTTTTAGTGGAGATGGGGTTTCACGATGTTGGCCAAGCTGGTTTCCAACTCCTGACCTCAAGTGATCCGCCTACCTCGGCCTCCCAAAGTGCTGCGATTACAGGTGTGAGCCACCGCTCCTGGCATATATTGATATTTTAATTGAAATAGTACTAAAAATAGAAATCAAGTTGGAGAGAATAACTTTATAAAATTTTGAGGGCCTCTATCCATAAATAAGAGTTGTTTCTCCATTTATTGAAGCCTCTTTTATCTCTCTCAATAAAGTTGTATGGTTTTCTTCACAAAAGTTCTTTTCGGCCGGGCGCGGTGGCTCACGCCTGTAATCCCAGCACTTTGGGAGGCCGAGGCGGGCGGATCACGAGGTCAGGAGATCGAGACCATCCCGGCTAAAAAAACGGTGAAACCCCGTCTCTACTAAAAATACAAAAAATTAGCCGGGCGTAGTGGCGGGCGCCTGTAGTCCCAGCTACTTGGGAGGCTGAGGCAGGAGAATGGCGTGAACCCGGGAGGCGGAGCTTGCAGTGAGCCGAGATCCCGCCACTGCACTCCAGCCTGGGCGACAGAGCGAGACTCCGTCTCAAAAAAAAAAAAAAAAAAAAAAAAAAGTTCTTTTCATTTTTTGATAAACATAAACTTATTTGTCTTTAATGCACTTTGTTTATATGGAATATTTATATGGAATATTTGTTATATGGGATATTTAGCTTTAATCTAATCACATTTTTTTCTAATAGTTTTCTAACTGTTTCACGAAATAATTTTTTTTTTTTTTTTGAAACAGAGTCTCGTTCTGTTGCCCAGGCTGTAGTGCAGTGGTTCGATCTCGGCTTAGTGCAACCTCTACTCCCTAGGCTGAGGTGATCCTCCTGCCTCAGTCTATCTGGTAGCTAGGACTACAGGCATACCCAGCTAATTTATTTATTTATTTATTTTTTGAGAGGAAGTCTCACTCTGTTGCCCAAGCTGGAGCGTAGTGGCACGATCTCAGCTCACTGCAGCTTCCGCCTCCCGGTTCCAGCGATTCTCCTGCCTCAGCCTCCTGGGTAGCTGGGATTACAGACACGTGCCACCACATCTGGCTAATTTTTGCATTTTTAGTAGAGAAGGGGTTTCACCATATTGGCCAGGCTGGTCTCAAACTCCTGATCTCAGGTAATCCGCCTGCCTCAGTCTCCCAAAGTACTAGGATTACAGGCATGAGCCACCTCACCTGGCCACTGCCCAGCTAATTTTTATATTTTTTGTAGAGACATGGTTTTGCCATAATGCAATTAGCCAGGTGTGGTGGCATGTGCCTGTAGTCCCAGCTACTTAGGAGGCTTGTTTAGCCAATAATAATATTTTAACTTTTCCTTTATTCTTTTCCAATATTTTGTGCTTATTTTTTCTCCTCCTCCTTCTTTTTCTCCTCCTTAATCTTCTCCCCCTCCTCCTATTTTCTTTATCCTCCTCCTTGTTCTTCTGGTCTTATTGCATTGGCTACAAATTGTAAAACAAAGTTAAACATCAATATTGATAGAATCTCCATTTCTTTCTCTCTCTCTCTTTTTTTTTTTTTGAGACAGAGTCTTGCTCTGTCACCCAGGCTGGAGTACAGTGGCGCAATCTCAGCTCACTATAACCTCTGCCTCTCGAATTCAAGTGATTCTCCTGCCTCAGCCTCCCGAGTAGCTGGGAATACAGGCACACGTCACCATGCCTGTCTCACTTTTGTATTTTTAGTAGAGAAGAGGTTTCACCCTGTTGGCCAGGCTGGTCTTGAACTCCTGACCTCAAGTGATCCACCCACCTCAGCCTCCCAAAATGCTGGGATTACAGGCGTGAGCCGCTGCACCCGACCCTTTTTAGTTTTTTAAAAATGTACAATAACTTATTGTTGACTGTAGTCACCCTGTTGTGTTATCAATACTAGATCTTATTCATTCTATCTAATTATATTTTTGTACCCTTAACCATCCCCACTTCTTCCCACTGCCACTACCATTTCCAGCCTCTGGTATCCTTCTACTCTGTATTTCCATGAGTTCAATTATTTTCATTTTTAGCTCCCACAAATAAGTGAGACCATGGGAAGTTTGTCTTTCTGTGCCTGGCTTATTTCACTTAACATAATGACCTCCAGTTCCATCTATGTTGTTGCAAATGACAGGATCTCATTCTTTCATGTGGCTGAATAGTACTCCATTGTGTATATGTACCACAGTTTCTTTTCTTTTTAAATTTTTTCTTAAAAATTTTTTTATCAACGTTTAAGTTCCGGGGTATATGTGCAGAATGTGCACATTTGTTACATAGGTAAATGTGTGCCATGGTGGTTTGCTTCACTAATAAACCCATCAGCCAGGTATTAAGCCCAGCACCCATTGGCTGTTCCACCTGGTGCTCTCCCTCCCCCAACTTCCCTGATAGGCCGCACAATTTCTTTATCCATTCATCTGTTGATGGACACTTAGGCTGCTTCCTAATTTTCTCTTATGTGAACAGTGGCACCATAAACATGGGAGTGCAGCTATCTCTTTAATATACTGATTAGTTTTCTTTTTTTCTTTCTTTTTTTGAGACAGAGTCTCATTCTGTCGCCCAGGCTGGAGTACAGTGGCTCGATCTTGGCTCACTGCAACCTCTGCCTCCCAGGTTCCAGCTATTCTCCTGCCTCAGCCTCCTGAGTAGCTGGGATTACAGGCCTGCACCACCACACCTGGCTAAGTTTTGTATTTTTAGTAAAGATGGGGTTTCACCATGTTGGCCAGGCTGGTCTCAAACTCCTGACCTTGTGATCCACCTGCCTCAGCCTCCTAAAGTGCTGGGATTACAGGCGTGAGCCACTGCACCCAACTATATACTGATTAGTTTTCTTTTGGGTATATACCCAGCAGTGGGATTGCTGGATCATATGGCAGTTCTAGTTTTAGTTTTTGGAGGAACCTCAAAACTGTTCTCCATAGTGGTTGTACTAATTTACATTCCATTTCTACCAACAGTGTACAAGAGTTCCCTTTTCTCCATATCCTCTCCAGCATTTGTTATTGCCTGTTTTTTTGGATAAAAGCCGTTTTAACTGTGGTGAGATGAGATCTCATTGTAGTTTTGCTTTGCATGTCTCTGGTGATCAATGATGTCAGACAGATTTTCATATACCTGTTTACCATTTGTATGTCTTCTTTTGAGAAATGTCTGTTCAGATATTTTGCTCATTTTAATTTTTTTAAATTTAATTTATTTTTTTTTGAGACAGAGTCTTGCTCTGTCACTCAGGCTAGAGTGCAGTAACATGATCTTGGCTCACTGCAGCCTCCACCTCCTGGGTTCAAGCAATTCTCCTGTCTTAGCCTCCCGAGTAGCTGGGACTACAGGTGCACACCACCACGCCCAGCTAATTTTTGTATTTTTAGTAGAGACAGGGTTTCATCATATTAGTCAGGCTGGTCTCGAACTCCTGATCTCAGGTGATCCCCGCCCCCGCTCCGGCCTCGGCCTCCCAAAGTGCTGGGATTACAGGCATGAGCCACTGCACCAGGCCTAATTTTTAAATTAGATTATTTGATATTTCCCTATAGAGTTGTTTGACCTCTTTATACATTCTGATTATTAATCCCTTTTCAGATGAATAGCTTGCAGATATTTTCTCTTATTCTTTGGGTTGCCTCTTCACTTGGTTTTGTTGCTGTGCAGAAGCTTTTTAACTTAATGTGATCCCATTTGTCCATTTTTTCTGTTGATGTCTGTGCTTGTCAGGTATTACTCAATAAATCTTTGTCCAATTCAATGTCCTGGAATTTCCTCAGTGTTATCTTTTAGTAGTTTCCTAGTTTCAGGTCTTAGATTTAAGTCTTTTTTTTTTTTTTTTGGGAGAACGAAAGCTCACTCTGTTACTCAGGCTGGAATGCAGTGGCGCCATTTCGGCTCACTGCAATCTCCGCCTCCCAAGTTTAAGAGAGTCTCCTGCCTCAGCTTCCCTAGTAGCTGGGACTGCAGGCACACGCCATCATGCCCGGCTAATTTTTGTATTTTTAATAGAGACGGGGTTTCACCACATTTGCCAGGCTGGTCTCGAACTCCTGACCTCAAGTGATCTGCCTGCCTTGGCCTCCCAAAGTGCTGTGATTACAGGTGTGAGGCACCACACCCGGCTGATCCTTTGCATTTCTGTGATATCACTTGTGATGTCTCCTTTTTCATCTCTGATTTTATTTATTTGGGTCTTCTCTCTTTCTTCTTAGGTAGTCTGGCTAAAGGTTTGCCAATTTTGTTTGTCTTTAAAAAACAACTTTTCAGCTGGACGCGGTGGCTCATGCCTGTGATCCCAGCACTTTGGGAGGCCAAGGCAGTGGATCACCTGAGGTCAGGAATTCAAGACCAGCCTGGCCAGCATGGCGAAACCCTGTCTCTACTGAAAATACAAAAAATTAGCTGGGCATGGTAGTGCATGCCTGTAATTCCAGCCACTTGAGAGGCTGAGGCAGGAGAATCACTTGAACCCAGGAGGCAGAGGTTGCAGTGAGTTGAGATCGAGCCACTGTACTCCAGCCTGGGCAACAGAGCAAGACTCCATCTCAAAAAAAATAAAATAAAAATAATTTAAAAACTTTTCATTTCATGGATCTTTTATATTGTTTTCCTTGTTTCAATTTCATTAATTAATTAATTAATTTATTTTTTAGTCAGAGTCTCACTCTGTCACCCAGGCTGCAGTGCAGTGGCACGATCTTGGCTCACTGAAACCTGGTCCTCCCGGGTTCAAGCTATTCTCCTGCCTTAGCCTCCCAAGTAGCTGGGACTACAGGCTCATGCCACCATCCCTGGCTAATTTTTATATTTTTAGTAGAGACGGGGTTTCACCATGTTGGCCAGGCTGGTCTTGAACTCCTAACCTCAAGTGATCCACCCACCTCGGCCTCCCAAAGAGCTGGGATTACAGGCGCAAGCCACTGCGCCTGGCCTCTGCTCTGATTTGTATTATTATTTTTCTTCTACCAAGTTTGGGTTTGTCGCCTTGGCTTGTAAAAAAAAAAAAAAATAAGAAAAAAATGAAAGAAGAAAAAAAAGTTTGAATTTGGTTTGCTCTGGCTGTCCTAGTTCCTTAAGATGCATTAAGTTGTTTATTTGAAGTTTTACTACTTTTTTGATGTAGGTGCTTATAGCTATAAACTTTCCTCTTAGTACTGCTTTTGCCGTATCCCATAGGTTTTGGTATGCTGTGTTTCCACTATCATTTGTTTCAAAATCTTTCAATTTCCTTCTTGATTCCTTGATTCACCCACTGGTTATTCAGGAGCATTTTGTTTAATTTCCATGTGTTTGCATAGTTTCTAAAGTACCTCTTATTGATTTCTAGTTTTATTCCATTGTGGTCAGAGAAGGTACTTGATATAATTTCAGTTTTTTTTTTTTTTTAAATTTTAAAGTCTTGTTTTGTGGACTAACATACAGTCTGTCCTTGAGAATGATCCATGTGCTGAGAAGAATGTGTTTTCTGCAGCCATTGGATGAAATGTTCTGTAAATATCTATTAGGTCCATTTGGTCTGTAGTACAGAACAAGTCTGCTATTTCTTTGTTGATTTTCTGTGTGGATGATCTGTCCAATGCTGAAACTGGGGTGTTGAAGTCTCTAGCTATTATTGTATTGGGGTCTCTTTAGCGCTAACGATATTTGCTTTATATATCTGGGTGTCACGGGTATGCTTAAAAAAGATAAGAAAATGGGCTGGACTTGGTGGCTCATGACTGTGATTCCAGAACTTTGCAAGGCTGAGGTGGGAGGGTCAGCATGAGCCCAGGAGGTTGGTGCTTCAGTGAGCTGTGATTGTGCCACTGCCTTCCAGCCTAGGTGACAGAGCAGACTCTGTCTCAATAAAAGAAAGAAAGAGAGGAAGGAAGGAAGAGAGAAGGGAAAAGAAGAAAGAAAGAGAGAAAGGAAGAAAGAAAGAGAGAAAGAAAGAAAGAAAGAAGAAAGGAAGGAAAGAAGGAAGGAAGGAAAGAAGGAAGGAAGGAAAGAAGGAAGGAAGGAAAGAAGGAAGGAAAGAAGGGAGGGAGGGAGGGAAATGAACATCCATGTATCTGTCTCATAGATTAAGAAATAAAACATCACTGGTATCTTAGAAGCCCCTTGGGTTCCCCTCCTGAGTCAAAACCACTCCCTCCTTGTCTTCTTTACCCCAGGCAATGACTCTCTTGACTTTTAGGTTAATCCTTCCCTTCCTTTTGTCTATGGTCTTTACCATATATGTGTATATTCCTAAACAATATTGGGAAGCAAACATAATCCTAATATGAAAGGAAAGGACAATTTTATACTAGATGAAGACTCCCAGGATTATTTTAATCTACAGTCCTGGGAAGCACAGGACTCCTTGCAATGAGGGCATGTGGCCGGGCTGTAGCATCAGCCAGACCTTGGACATCTGGGTGGAATACGGTCAGGGGCAGCTGGCTGCTCTGTGCTTTCTGCCTGGGAGCTCACTTCCATCTCCTTCTTTCATGGGCAGGTCAAGTG
Organism: Homo sapiens; assembly: GCF_000001405.40. Lineage (NCBI taxonomy): Eukaryota > Metazoa > Chordata > Mammalia > Primates > Hominidae > Homo > Homo sapiens. Next base: position 128,366,577 of record NC_000007.14, on the reverse strand, counting down.
CAAACTTCCTGATCAGGCAGCAGGGTGTGGCAAGAACATGAGCTCTATAGCACTTGGTCAAGTTAAGGCTAGTACAATTCAGTATCAGGGCCAGACTCACCAGACATTCTGATCTGAGTCAGGTTCCAAAAATGGTACACTGACAGCAGTGGTCTTGGTGGTGATAGCTGCCAGTGTGCCTGTCTCCTGAGTTAGTAACACTGTTCCAATCTGAACTGGGATCCCTTTGCATGTGGTGCACAGCTGCTATCTTGGGATCCCCCTCCAGTGTCTTCCCAGGGCCTCCCTTTGTTTCTACCCTGTGGCGGGTCTCTATTTCTTGCACCCTGTGCTTTCTACTTTCCTGTTTGACTCTCTGGTTTTGGTGGAGCACTTTCTCCGGTAGCTTTTTCAGGTACTGTGCATGGGAGGCAAACCTTTTGAAATTTCATACATCTGAGAATGTAAATACCTGTATTCTAACTTCTTACTTGATTAATAGTTTGAATGGGTATAAATTCTCAGTTGAAAGCATTTTCTTCAAAATTTTGAAGGTATTGCTTTTTACTTCCAGTGTTGCTGTTGAGAAATTCAAAACATTTATGATAATTGAGTCTTTGTATGTTATGTTTTTGTCTTTCTATCTGGAAATTTCTAGACTCTTCTCTTTAATTTGTCTTGGTGTGGGTTTATTTTAATCTACAGTGTTGGGGACTTGGTGGACCATTTTATGGTCTAGCAACTTGTGTCCTTCTGTTCTAGAAAATTTCTTCATATTCGATAATTGATTATTTTCTCTCTTCCATTTTCCTCTGGTTCTTTATTTTTTTCAGTTTGTTTTCTTTCATCATTTTTCATTTTTTTAATAGCCCTGGGAGGAACCCAGAGCCACAAATGCATTCGAAGTGTCAATGATCAACTTGATGCAGGACTCTTTCTTTCTTTCCTTTGTTTCTTTGTTTCTTTTTTTCCTTCCTTCCTTCCTTCCTTCCTTCCTTCCTTCCTTCCTTCCTTCCTTCCCTCTTTCTTTCTTTTTTTGGCAGGGTCTCCCTTTGTCCCCTAGGCTAGAGTGGAGTGGTGTGATCATGGGTCACTACAACCTTCACCTCCCAGACTCAATTAATCCTCACCTCAGTCTTCCAAGTAGCTGGGATTACAGGCATGTGCCACGAGGCCCGGCAAATTTTTAAAAATTTCTTAGAAAGACCAGGTCTCACTATGTTGCCCAGGCTGGTTTTGAACTCCCAGGCTCAAGTGATCCTCCCGCCTCGGTCCCCCAAAATTCTGGGATTACAGACATGAGCCACTGCACCTAGCCCTTTTTTTCTTTTTAGAACATTTATGTTGATGCTGAATTCCTGGAATTATCTTTTAATGCTCTTATCTTTTCTCTCCTATATTTTCTATCTTTTAGTATGTTTACTTTACTTCCTCGGGAGATTTAATCAACTTTATCTTCTAATCTTTCTATTGAGGGTTTTTATTTCTGCTGTCATGATCTTTTTTTTTTTTTTTTTTTTTTTTTTTTTTTGAGATGGTCTTGCTATGTTGTCCAGGCTGGTCTTGAACTCCTGGGCTTAAGACGTCTTGCTGTCTCAGCCTCCTGAGTAGCTGGGATTACAGGCATGGGGCCACTGTGCCTGGCTTATGCTGTCATTATTTTATTTTCCAAGACTGTTACTGTTCTCTGAACGTTCCTTTCTATAGCATCTTATCCTTGTTTCATAGATACAGTATCTTCTCACATCTCTGAGGATATTAACAATGATCTTATTGGTGCCCTCTTCTCTTTGTATAACTTGTTTCTCTAAGTTACTTTTTCTGATTGTTTTGTCTCTCACTTCTGTGTTAGAAAATGTCCTGCATGTCTGGTAATCTTTGGTCATGATTAAGGTTGAGGGATGGGGGTAGGAGGTTGGTGGGAAACTCCAAGCTCACATGTTGGGTTTGCTACAGTAGGGTGATCTAACTAGGTTGTTTTTGGAGAACCCCCATGTCAGAATCTTTAGATCTTTCCTCTTAGGCTGGTAAAATGCCCCAGTATAGAATCTTCTAGTCTCCAGCCTGGAAGCAAATGTCCTGCTCCTACGACTTTGGGAACCAGTTCTGGGAGAAGGCTCAGGGTTTCTGTATTCAGCATTCAATATGACTTGGTCACTTAATCCCCTCATTTTCAGCATTTTCAGTCTGGCTTATCTGTTCACAACTGTGCCGGAAGTTTCCCCAGTCCAGATACCTTCAATCTTACCTTCCTCAGAGGAAAATCCTCCAGACTCTTGCGATATGAGAAAGACTGTTGCCCAGTGGTTTGGAGTTAGGGAAGAGGTCTAGGGACCTAACTGTATTTCAGCTCAGTCCCTACTTTAGCAACCTTTCCCGTAGTTCTGGAGATACCTTGGAATGCCAGTTTCTGTGCCTTCTGAGAGCCTTGCAATGTAAATCAAGTTGGCTCTTGGTTTTCCCCACTGCCAGTTTGGGATGTTTTTTTCCTCGGGGCTGGTAAGTCAGTAACCCCATGACTGCCTGCCATCCTGTCTCAAAAATACTATTGCTATTGTCTCCTTTCCTGGTCTTTGCATCCTTGTAGGTTTATCTCTTGATTTGAAAATCTCTTTACTGGAGTTTTAGTGGGGTTTTGGGAGGTAATTGAATATACATTCAATTACCATCTTAACCCAGAACCCTTACTTCCTTTTTCAATATATTTTAAAAATTATTCCTGGGAATAAGCCCACTGGGTCATGGAGGATTGCTATCTTAATGTACTGGGATATGTTTATTTCTGTCTTTCCACTTAGAAGTCTTTAAGTGAACATGATTAGCAGGAAATGGGCTTTTCTATGAGGAGGATTCAAAGAAAATGTCTCCAGTAGGATAACTTTTATTAAGCATATGAGAGAAAATTAGAGGCTGAATCCCAGTTTGCAGCCTCCGGGCAGCCCCTAATGGACTTGGGGGTGGGGGCAGGTTATGATAACCCCTGGGGGTGCATCTGGAGATGTCCTTTGCAATGCTTTGTTAAGGGACCTGGAATAAATCCCAGACTTTATCGTTGATGGCCCTGAGAGTAGTTCAGTTGGTGGCCTGATTTGATTTTACATGAATTGGCGGGGCTCTGTGATAAGGAAGATGCCTTTCTGAAAAGCAACCCATTGCCCATATGGACCCCAGAACCATTCATCATTATTCACTTATCAAATAGGCATGGACCATATCCACAAAGTGCTAAGCTAGCTCTCAATTACTGAGACAGAATCTGCCCTAGGTAACTCTTTAAGCAACACCAGCACCCGCCCCCCGCCGCCCCACACCCTGCAACTGCCACAACCTTCAAGAGAAGAAGAGAAGGGATATAGATGGAAAGGGAATTCAGGGTCATATAAAAGGCTATAACATGGTGACAATAATTTTTCTGTCTCTGTGGCTCGTGGTGACGAATAAGTAAGGAGACTCTTATAAAGCATCCACCATCATTCTTGGCACACAGTTGGATGTTTAGATTTTGAGGGAAAGTTTTAAATGGTGCAGGGAGACAGAAGTGTTTCATGTTCTGATACTTTTAAATTACTATCATTGTTTGAAGAAAACATGAAGGGATTTAGAGACTCAAAACCACATGAATGAGTCAGTAGTACTTCAGTTAGTCACTACTACAACTTAACAGGTTCCATGAAGTATACATAGTGACTGCTCGGTTTTCTTGGTCATCTTCAACCTGTGTCAGCTTTTGCCTGAGCTCTCTTACTTTCTGTGAAGGGGCACGCTCTTTTTTCTTTGTTTTTCCTTTTGAGACAGGGTCTTGCTCTGTTGCCCAGGCTGGAGTGTAGCGGTATGATCACAGCTCACGGCAACCTCCACCTCCCAGGCTCAAGCAATCCTCCAGTCTCAGCCTCCCAAATAGCTGGGACTACAGGTGTCTGCCACCATACCCCATCACGCCCAGATAATTTCTTTCTTTCTTCTTTTTTTCTTGCTTGCTTGCTTGCTTGCTTGCTGTTTGTTTGTTTTTATTTTATCTTTTGCTATGTTGCCCAGGCTGTTCTTGAACCCCGGGGCTCAAGCGATCAGCCTGCCTCAGCCTCCCAAAGTGTTAGAATTACAGGCGTGAACCACTGAACCCAGCCTTTGATTTTACTGTTCTCCTCACACCTCTTACTAGAAACCAGTTGTAATCCACTTCTCACAAGCAGCTTAGCTCACCATTCTTTCTGGCAGACATTTCTGAAACAGTATTTTTGAGAGATCAGTTTTAGCGAAAAGACATGTCACACAGGGATTGGCATTTGGCAGTTCACCGGTGAAGTGTTGGAGGCACTGCTGTGTAGCAGTGCAACTGTTGAAAACCACCAGGTGGTGGAGAGGGCCGGCAGGGAGACGGTTCGAGTTTCTACCAAGCTGTGCAATCTTGGGCAAATTCGGTAATTTTCTGTGTCTTCATTTAATTGTCTGCAAAGTGGCGACATACACAGGGTTGCGGTGAGGACTCATGAGATAAAGGAAGTAGAATTGTCCATTGTACTTCTACTTAGCAAACGGTGGGACTCTTATTGCCCGGGGTGCCATCCTGGGGCAGGCTGCCATGTGTGCGCGTGTGTGCGCGCGCCCTCTGACCTGCGAGTGTGTTTCCTGGCGCGCGTGTGGATGTGTGTGCTGGGCCGCCCTGGGAGTGTGTGATTGCTCTCGCCAGGCTCACAGCGAGGCGCCCGCCGCGGCTGATTGACAGCGCTGGGTGAATGAGCGCGCGTGGAGGCGCCCGGCACCGAGGTGGCCGCGGCTCCGCGCTGCTGTGAGCGCCTGCCTGCCCGCCCGGGTGTGGGGGGACCGCGGGTGGCGGGCTGGGTGGGAGGAGGAGGAGGAGGAGGAGGAGAGAGGGCGCGGGAGCGAGGGCGGGCGGACGGGAGGGCCGTCAGAGCCGGCTGCCGCGGAGCCCCGGCGCGGGCGGCTTCGCCGGGGAGCGAGGCTCGGAGCCAGGAGGCGGCGCCGCTGGGAGGGAGCGCGGAGTGCGGAGTGCGGAGCGCGGGGCCTGGCCGCCCGCCTGGTGAGAGCGCTGCGGGCCGGGGCTGGGCCGGGGGCGGCTCAGGGGCAGCGGGGCGGCGAGGCTGCGGTCTCTGGACTAGGCGAGGGGCCGCCGGGGGCTGGAGGTCCGGATCTTCAGTCGGGGCGCTGGGCACAACAGAGAGAAGCGGTGAGATACCACGAAGCGTTGCCCAGCTGGGCGCCAGGGCCGCCACGACCGCCCCTTTTCGGAGGCTCGGCGAGGAGACCTGCCTGCGGGAGAGACCCCGGGGAGCAGGTCGGCCGGTCCGGGCTGGGGGTGTGTGTGCGTGTGCGCGCGCGTGTGTGCATGTGTGCCTGCGAGGGGTGGTGGGCGTGTACGAGTGTGGGGGGATGGCGGTGTGTGGCATGTCTGTGTGTGTGAATGTGTGTAGGGGGTGTGCATCTCTGTACAGTACATGCCGTGTGTGTGTGTGTGTGTGTGTGTGTGTGTGTGTGTGAGAGAGAGAGAGAGAGAGAGAGAGAGACAGGGGAGGCCGGGGGCTCACAGAGCTTGGGTTTGAACCCATGCAGGGAGGAGAGTGGCTCGGCAGGACGGAGTGTGTGTGTGTGTGTGCGCGCGCGCGTGCAGGGGCAGGGGGGTATGTGACGGGTGAGTGTGTCACGGGCGCTAGATGTGGCTATGTGTGTGATGTAAGGGTGCCGGGTGCATGTGTGTCCCTGGCTCACCCTCCCTTCCCCCACCAGATGTGTGCGCACAGAGGAGAGAGTTCTGGGGAGGGGGTAGGAGTCCGCCGCAGCTGCCTGCAGTTCGCCCAGCTTGCCTGCCTGGCGTTCTCCTCCAGGAAGCCGGAGATCGCCAAGCTGCCCCTCCCCCGAATACTTCAAGGGTCCTAGGGAAGGGAACAGGCCCAGCCCCAGGAAACGGGAGGGGCGGGAGGGAGGGTGCTTCTGCCAGATTGGGAACCTTGCTTCTCTGGCCAGAGCCTGGGCGGCCTTCTGACTGGGCCAGATCACTCAGCTCTGGCTTTACCCCTCCCGAGGCCCTGTGCCCCCTGGGGTCTGAGAGTGAGGGCGCCAGCACTTCTGGCTGGGGCGGGAGGTGGGGGTTGGAATAGGTCAAGACATCGGAAGGGCTTGCTTGTTCACAGTTATATGCCCAGAAGGGTGCTTGGCAAACGGTAAGCCTGCGTAAAGACTTGAGGCTCAGCAGAGGGAAGGAAGAGAGGAATCCATGTCTGGAAGCCCAAGTCCATCCCTTTTGCTACTAGTTAAGGATGAGGGCCCCTGGTTGCAGTCAGACCCCAGCTTCTGCATGAGCAGAGGGGGAAGGAGGAACCCCCAGGCAGGGATTTGTGCTGGGGCCTGAAGGTACAGGAAGGGCCCGGCAAGAAGAGCCAGAGCCATGGACAGGACACTTTGCATCCTGCCCACACTACCTGCTTCTCTGAGATCAGAAGCCTCTCTCTGGGACATCCGATCCTGGGAAAGGGAAGAGGGGGGCCACAGCCAGGGCTCACAGGGCCTCTCCTCTCTCCAGGACCTTCCTCCTCAAAAGCTGCTGAACAACTGAGTCCCTGCCCACCAAGGCCACCCGAAGCCAGGTGGGGCCATGGCCAGGCATGGCTGTCTAGGGCTGGGACTGTTCTGCTGCGTCCTGTTTGCTGCTACTGTGGGCCCCCAGCCCACCCCCTCCATCCCAGGTGCCCCTGCCACCACTTTGACCCCCGTACCTCAAAGTGAGGCCTCTATGCTGTCTCTCAACCTGGGACTTAACTTCAAATTCCATCTTCGGGGACCTGCTGCTGTCTGGGGGAGCCCAGTCACAGAGACCCAGCCACTCTCTCTTGGGCCAGGCCAGGAGCCAGGGGAAGAGGTGGCCAGTGGGCTGAGGACTGACCCCCTTTGGGAATTGCTGGTGGGCTCCTCAGGGAACTCTCTCACTGAGTGGGGCTCCACCGAAGGTGGCTCAAAGCCCCGGGCCTCCTCCCTGCTTCCGGAGTCCACATCCCGGCGCTCTGGGCCCAGCGATGGGCCCACTGCCCCCTATCAGCCCAGGAGGAGCACTGTGACCTGGGACACTGCTCTGATGGTGACAGCACTTCCATCCAGTGCTCCCAGGCCCCACCAGAGCGAGCTGGAGCTGAAGTTTGACATGGCACTGAGAGCAGGTGCAGCCCCCACGCTTGGGCATCGAACGCTGCCCCTGCTGCCCAGCCTGCGGGCCAGCCTGGCAGAGATTGCTGGGCGCCTGGGACCCTTTGGTGAGTAACCACCCCATCCCAAGGAAAGCCCCTGCTGGGCACCCCTGGCAGGTAGGAGGCAGCTTCAGCCTGGGCTTCTTTTGCAGGATTCTTTGGCACTACTCTGTCCCCACTCCGGAACTTCTCCGGCCTGAGCCCCCCAGGTGAAACTACATCCACAAGCTCTGCCTCTGGAGTTTCGGGTTCTCTGGGTGAGTTTATTTCATTGCAATAAACTATTGTGGAACACTCTACGTGCCAAGCGCTGTGCTAGGAGCCTAACAAGTACCTTTCTTTTTTTACTTTCTTGCATTGCTTCTTCCAGGCCCTAGGATATGGGCTACTACTTCCACGGAAGGAGTATTCTCTTTGCCATACTGAATCTGGTTTGCTCTTTGTAGCTTAGCTCATGGTGTACATGAGCTTAGCATGTGGCTACAATTCCTGGGACAGTGACTTCCTTAGGACAAACTCTGGGGAAGGACATAATTTTCTCCAAACTCCCAGAGGCAAGGCTGGTTGGTGGGGTGGCACTTGAGCCCCATGTGCTCCCTTTGCAGGGTTCCTTGGTACCACTCTGTCCCTGCCCCCATACTCCCTGGAGAGGAAGCTCTCCAGCCCAAGTCCTCTGGACCCAGCTGCTTCCCTAAGTTTTGCCTCGATTGCAACAACATCATTAGGTAAGTATCCAATTCATTTGAACTTGACAATTATTTATTGAGCACTTACTACATGCTAGTCACTCATCAGTGTTCTGGGACCCTTTTATTTCATTGTCATCATAATCATAATCATCATTCTCTTCATCATCACCGTGGAGATATATATGAATGGTCTGAGAGAAAGTATTGCTGGAGAAAGTCCCACACAGAGTTAAGTAATGGTCCCCTGAGTGTTTTGCAATGAGAGGCAGAGCAGGATGTAGACAGATGTATCAGGGACAAACAGACACAGGAACTTCTTCATGATTTCCACAGCCCTGGCACTAACCCCACCCTCCACTCCAGTCTGCCTGACCTGACTCCCCACCAACCTTGGGGCTCTTTCCTTTGCCATCTGATCTGACATGACATGCTGTCAGATATGGGAAGAGCTGGGTTTCTCATTGGGAAGACACTGAGGAGGAGACCTTGAGCAGGCAGATGCCACCTTCGTTCAAGAAAGCCTTTCAGAACATGCACACGGACAAGCTGGTGGTACGAGGAAAGACCACAGGCTCGGGAATCTTGAGACCTGGCTTTGAATCACAATTTATTTACTCACTAGCTAGTGACTTTAGGCACGTTATTTAACCTCTCTGAACCTAAATTTTCTCATAGACCCAGGGTTTAATAATAGTACTTGCTAGTTATTGCAAAGCTCTTAGCATGATGCTGGGCACAAAGTAGAGGCTCATTAAATAGTAGCTATTAACCTTGCTTCTGTCCCCCACTGCATCCCAAATCCACTTCCAGACCCTACCTCTCAGAAACCTCAGCCTTGGCCCCAGGCAGTGGTGGGACAACACAAACCACACAGCAGAGGGCACAGGAGCTGGAGGAGAGGTTCTGGTGGATGAGGCAGGGAGTCATGGAGAGGGACTGAGGGGCTTTCAGGCCCAGCTTTGCTCTGCAAAAGGTTTACTGTGGCTGTGAAACTTCTCAGTCACCCCTCACTAGGCTCAGCAGTGGAAACCACTGGTCTCCCCAGCTTCTTCCAGCTCCAGACTTAACCCATGACCTGGTTCTCTGGCTCACTCCAGCCACAGTCACTGCACTCCCTTGGATGGTGGGTGAGGGGCCTGCTATGCCTCTGTCCAGCCCAGCGTGCAGCAGGGGCAGGATGTGATTGGGGGTAGGGGGCAGTTTCTGTGCCTCAGGGGAAGGATGCTGGCTGGCAGTCTGTCGGCCTTGGTGACAGCGCTGGCCAGGCAGGTTTAATGAGTCTGGACAGTATCAGAGGCAGTGCAGCCGGGCAGGCTGGCGGCCCCACCTCATTCCCCCTCCTCCCTGGTAGCTGCAGGAACCCAGCCCCTGATACTGCACCTCTAAATAAACCCAGGAGAGCTATAGGCCTCCTGGAGAGAACGCCAATGGGCCTTGCTCTTGCCAGCAGAGAGAGAGAGAGAGAGAGAGAGAGAGAGAGTGTGTGTGTGTGTGTGTGTGTGTGTGTATTTGTATCAAGCAGTTACCATACAAAGGGAGTCTCTCTGTGTTGCCTCTAGAATCTTTCTAACCTAAGTGCAACTAACCTTTGACTCCTAGGCCCTCCTTGCCTTAGGTCCCCTTCACCTCAGACAGAGCCTGTATTCAGTCCATACATACCAGAACAGTTATCAAGTTAATCAGTGTGCAGCTTTCATACCAGTGAATCAGTGCCCACCTCGCTTAGTCCACAGAGGGTTCCCCTCCACTCCCTGACCACTCTGGCTGGTGTCAGTTCTGATTGGCTGGCACCTGTGCCAACTCAGTTGCTAGACATTTTGAGTGTCACCCCTACAAAGTGTAACCACCCTCCATGAACCTGGAGGTGGGGGTGGGGAGAGGGATGGGGCCAGGCCACTGAATGGGCTGTAGCTTCCAGCATCCAGAGTGGAGACATGATTCCTAGCCCTTTGATCTGGGCAGCTGGTGGATAATCAGGCCTGACTTTTCCATGAATCAAACTGTTCCCTCCCACAACCCCTCCCCAGCCAGCGCCTGCCTCACCAGTTATTCACATTGATATCTCCTCTCCTCCTGGCCACTGAGGTCAAGAGGGCCCACAGGGCCAGAAAGGGACCTCCCAGTAAAGGAGGCTTGCTCAGGAGAGAGATCCTGGGAAGGGAGGAACAGAGATGACTATCTTCTGGACTCTTCTGGGGAAAACTGAAGGCTCTTTCTGGAGAAGCCTCCAATGGGGAGATGGGTGATGAGGTCAAGAGGACCCTACAAAGGCAGAAGCCAGGTTTTTTTTCCACCTGTCCCCATTCACACCTGGACCAGTGTGGGGCATGCAGAGCATGGGATCAGTGTTTCTAATTCAGAACTCCTTTTATGACACTTGAGCCACCCCTGTACTTTGCCTATTATCTGGTTTTTATTCCTTTTCTGGATTTATTTTATTTTATTTTTTATTTATTTATTTTTTTGAGATAGAGTCTTGCTCTGTCACCCAGGCTGGAGTGCAGTGGTGTGATCTCAGCTCACTGCATCCTCCGGGTTCAAGCGATTCTCCTGCCTCAGCCTCCTGAGTATCTGGGACTACAGGTGTCTGCCACCATGCCCAGCTAATTTTTGTATTTTTAGTAAGAGTCGGGTTTCACCATGTTGGCCAGGCTGGTCTGGAACTCCTGACCTTGTGATCTGCCCACCTCGGCCTCCCAAAGTGCTGGGATTACAGGCGTGAGCCACCAGCCCAGCCTGGATTCTTATGAATGTTGAAATTTGCTGTAGTTGCCATGGAGCTTAGGTATAGAGATGAGAGATAAGGTTTCCTGTGGCCCATGGGTGAGAAGTAAAGATGGAAGAGGGTGAATTGGAGCTAACCTCTGACAGCTGCACTTACCTGTACAGTGAATAAAGAGGGTGTGGTAAGGGGGTGACAGGCTGGGGCAGACCGTGGGCTCCTAGGTCATGTCTTCCTGCCCCTCTGCAGAGGCCACAGAGGCCAAAGAGAGATGGAGCAAACCCAATCACTTTGCAGAGGAAGTGGGTTGGGCAAGGGCATCTGAAGGGACCAAAGAATGAGGGGTGAGGTGGTGTGTGCATTTGATCCTGCCATTGCCAGACCTATGCCACCTGATCAGCAAGCTCTCCATTCCCAGCTAAGTAGTTTCTCGTTTAATTGATGGCTGGTGTCTTTATTAGTGTTAAGGGGTGGGTAGGCCATCAGAAAAGTATTATTTGGCCGGGCGCGGTGGCTCACGCCTGTAATCCCAGCAGTTTGGGAGGCCGAGGCAGGTGGATCACAAGGTCAGGAGTTCGAGACCAGCCTGGCCAATATGGTGAAATTCCATCTCTACTAAAAATATAAAAATTAGTCGGGCATGGTGGCACGCACCTGTAATCCCAGCTACTTGGGAGGCTGAGGCAGGAGAATCACTTGAACCTGGGAGGTGGAGGTTGCAGTGAGCTGAGATCATGCCACTGTACTCCAGCCTGGGCAATGAAGTGAGACTCTGTCTCAAAAGCAAACAAACAAACAAACAAAAAACCCAAAGTTATTAGTTAAACAGAGTTCATAAAGTGAGACAATGTGTTGATGTTCACTCTTTGACTAATCGTTGTCTTTCTACGCAAGTTTAGGACTGTGAAAGGCTTTGAAAACAGACCGCAGCCTTTAGTTAATTGAATCAAGAAACTGTTTGAGACCAGAGGTAGTCACACTGACACATACACAAACAGATGATGGATCAGTGATGAACATTAGCTGATGATCATGATAACGACACAATCTTGACTGAAGGATCATTATGCACCAGGTTTTCCAGAGTTTTACACACGTTGTCTCATTTTTCTCACAACAGTCCTATGCAGTAGGTACTCTTACTCATTTCAGATTTGAGGATGTGATGGAATGGGAACCAGGGCGCATGCTGCCACTTGCAGTTGGCAGTGAGCTGTGTATATTTAATGTTTTGGCTGCTTCCTTTCTGCCCTCCCCAGTTGTCCAATTCCATCTTCCCTTTCCTTCTCTCAGAGCCACCTGCCAGCCCCCTCACTCCTTCCTTTTCCTTGTTCTCAGAACTCTTATGTTTTTTGTTTATCTTTTACGCATTTATTATTTTTAAGAACTGTTGTGTGTGTGTGTGTGTGTGTGTGTGTGTGTGTTTTTTTTGAGCCAGAGTCTCGCTCTGTCACCCAGGCTGGAGTGCAGAGGCGCGATCTCTGCTTACTGCAACCTCCGCCTCCCCGGTTCAAGCGATTCTCCTGCCTCAGCCTCCAGAGTAGCTGGGATTACAGGCATGTGCCACCACGCCTGGCTAATTTTTGTATTTTTAGTAGAGATGGGGTTTTGCTGTGTTGGCCAGGCTGGTCTCAAACTCCTGACCTCAGGTGATCTGCTCGCCACGGCCTCCCAAAGTGCTGGGATTACAGCCATGAGCCACCGCGCCAGGCCTAGAACTGTTATGTTTTGAGTGTCCCCTGCATGAGCTGACCCTGCCTGTGGCTGGGGGTGCTCCTGGGGTCTTCCTGTGTTGTCCAGCTAGGGCATGGCCAGGGCAGGGCCAGGCAGTTGGGTGATTATCAGGCACCCTCCTCTCACATTCCATATCTGTCTTTGGTCCACCTATCCATCCCTGCCAGGCTGTCCACATCCTTCGCCACCCTTTCTTCTTCTACCCTTGCCTGTGGCTGCGGTCCTGCTGAATCTGTAGGTGAGGGCAGATAGAGGTTCAGCTTCCAGCATCTTCCCTTGCTGCCTGGCCCTGGGGAGAATCCTTGAGTCTAACTCTACCCAACTCTTCTCTTGCTCCAGAAGAGTAGAATTAAGGATCTTACTCCTCACCCTCTCTTAGGTGACTTCCCTTTTTCCAAGGGATATGGGAAGGTATTGGAGCACAGGATGGGGCTAGGGACCCAAGATAGCAAACCCCAGAGCAACTGAGGGGCTCACTTACTTAGATGGCATTTTATCCCACTATGATGTCCCCAAGAGTTTCTCCCTGGGAGTTCCTAAGGGCACCTTTTGAGACCTGGGGGAGTCCATCTCAATGTCACCTTCCGTACAGTGTGGGGAGAAGCATGGAGCCATCTATATTAAGACAGTTAGACCAATGGCTTTGTGGATGAGGCAGGATAGGGGTCACTGCCATGGATAGGCTAAGGGTTGGGGTGTAGCAGGCAGGAAGGCCAATGAATAAGGAGAAATGATGTTTTCCTCAGAGTGCTGAGACAGCATTGTCTTACCTCTCCCCTGATGTACGTGTGTGTGTGTGTGTGCGTGTATGTGTGTATGCACATGTGTGGGCTTTTCCTTGAGATGGAGATAAGGTGGGGGAGTAGTTGAAAAAGGGCAGGGAAGCTCCTCCTAGCACTAAGTTGGGGGTTGGGAGTCAGGGGTGCAGAACAAGAGATAAGCACACTAATGTTAGAACGAGGCTTTGGAATCACAGAAAGGGGCTCAGACTGATGTTCAGACCTGGGTTCTAGGTGCAGCTCTGCCCATTTGTGACCTTGGGCAGGTCACTTTGCCTCTCAGAAGAGCTTCAGTATCTGCATCCGGCAGTACAGGGATTCATTTAGTCAATGAATATCTGCTAAATTCCAACTGTGTGACAGAAACTAATTTAAGTATGGAGATTCAGATGTGAGCAAAGAAACAAAAATCCCCGTTCTCATAAAGCTTCCTTTCTGGTGGGGGGATTGAACTGGAGGGGGTGTCTAAGGCTCCTTCCAGTTGTAAAGTTCTGTGACTTCAAAGAAAAACTCTTTAATAGAATCACAAACAAGCCAAGCAGGGAGCTGGGGGGCCGAGGCAGAGCGCGAGAAGTAGGAGAAGGAAGAGGGGAAGGATGACAGCTCAAACTCCAGCGAAGACATTGAATAGGGGCGCGGGGGAGGGAAAGGTGAGAGGCCAAGAGGTGGGGTGAGTCTCATATGTAAGACAAGTGTGTCCTGGATACGGTAGGGGACTCTGACTGGCATTCAGGCTACTGCTTGTGGGGTGGGTAAGGGGAGGGCTGCATCATTGCCTCAAGCCAAACGTTCTTTGCCCACAGACCCCACAGTCCCCATCTCTGGCCCAGATGACCTCTCTCCTCCCGCCAGCCTCGGGAACCCTTCGGGGCAGCCAGAGTGTGGGCCAGGGTCCTGCAGCGTGGGAGAATTGCCTGAACGCGAGGGGCAGCCTCCCGAGGCGCCGAGGCCCCTCTTTTTCCTGACCCTGGAGGCCGACTGGGCAGAGGCCAGGGCTCGCTGGGGGCTGGCCTGGGAGGCCCACGTGTACGGGGTAGGCGCGCTCTTCGGCCTGGTTGCCTTGCTGGCGCTGCTGGCTCTGGCCCTCTTGCCCTGGCGGTGCCCGCCCGGCGCCCCCTGCCTGGCGCTGCTGGACCTGCTGCTGCTGTCGGCCGGGACCACGCGGGCCTTCCCGCTCTTCTACGACGCCTATGGGCACAGGGATCGACTGCCCGCGCTCGCCTGGCTGCTGCTGCAGGACCTTCCGCTGCCCTGCTTGGCTGCCGGCCTGGGGCTGGCCTGCCTGCTGCTGGCCCGGCCGCGCCCGCCGCGGTGCCCCACCGGCCTGGCTGCGCTGCTGCTCCTGGGGCTGGGGCTGGCGGCCGCCGCCGCCCTCGGGAGCGCCGCGCATCGCCCGCTGCGGCCCCTGCGGCTCGCCTCGCGCGGGCTGCACGCCTTTCTCGCCGCTTTCCTTTCCGGGCTGCTGCTGGCGCTCTCCTGCTGGGGCGGGCGGCGGCGGCGGGCCGGGGCGCCCCTGGGAGGGTCGGGCTTCAAGGGCGCCACACCCCTGCCGCAGGGGCGCAGCCCCTTCGCCCCTCGGGAGTCCTGGCGGCGCGCGGCGCGCACGGCCCCGGTGGCGGGCACCTTCGGGCTGCTGAGCGGAGCCCTGCAGGGCTATGAGGTGCTGCACGCCCTGGGCTACGGCGGCCAATCCGGCCTGGAAGGGCCCTGGCCCTGGTGGGCCTTCCAGCTAGGCCTGCGCCTGGGCGAGGTGGGCGTCGCGCTCCCGTTGGCGCTGCTGGGCCTCTACCCGGCGCTCTGCAGTCCTCGCGTGCCGCCGCGCTGCTGGGCCAAGCTCTTCCGCTTGTCCCCGGGCCACGCGGCTCCGCTGCTGCCGGGAGGCTGGGTCACTGGGCCCCCAGACAAGGAGCCCCTGGGGAGCGCCATCGCTCGCGGGGACGCGGAGCTGCTGCAGCTGTGCGCGCTGGCAGGGCCAGGCCCAGACCTCCTACTCCAGGGCGGAGGTTGCCGGGGCTTCGAAGGCGCGGCGGCCAACCCGGCCCCGTCCCCGGCTTCCTCTCCCTGCAGCGATTACACCGTGGACTTCCGCCCGCCCTCCCCAATCAACCTGCGACGCAGCATCGAGGAGGCCCTCTGCAGCGAGGCCCTGCTTGCGCCTGGCCTCTTCCAGGGCCCTGCCTTCGAGGACGCTCTGCCTGGGCTCGGACTCTACCGCACCGCCTCGCTGGGGACCGGGGGCAGGGCCAGTGAGAGATCAGGGGAGGCCTCTGGCCCCGCTGCGCCCCCGGAGCTCCCCTCCCCTGGGGCTTGGCCCGCAGGCAGCAGCGTCTCATCTGGCTCGTTCTGCGGACTCTCGCGGGACAGCTCGTCCATGCTGCTGTGTTCCAGCCCCGACAGGCCCCCGCGCTGCCCTCTGGTCTGCGTCCTCAGTCCCCCGCGGCCCTCAGGAAGCAGCCCCAGCCTCCCGGCCTCAGGATCCTACCAGGCCCTGTCCCCACCCTCTCGCGACTCCCCAGAGCCTGCTTCTGAGCTGCAGGCCGAGGAGGCCTTGCTGCAGGAGCAGTTCCTGGACGCCTGCCGACAGATCGACGAGCTGAGCGTGGGCAGCGACACCATAGACCTGTGAAGAGGTGGCCACCTTGCTACCCTGCGATATGCCCCTTTCTGGCGCCTGCCCTGCCCGAGACCTGCACACTGTAATCCTTCCCCAATCCTCCCTGGCTCAGATACCTCTCCAGATTCCTTCCCCATCCAGGGGTCCCTGGGTGGGTGGGTCAGCAGCCAGGCTCTATCGATTGGGAATCAGTGCCACCTTCTCTGGAGCCCTGGGTGCTGATGCCCTCAGCTGCAAATCTAGGTTGGCAGGGGTCCCATTTTCCTTGGCATTCACCAGCAATAAAGCTCCAAGGTGCTCCACTCCTGACCACCACTCCCCACTCTGGTGCTGAGTGAGAGGGGCTGTCCTCAGAGGACCCTGGGACCTGCCTCAGGCCCCCCTACCCACCTCTGCCATGCCTAGGAATCCCACCCCTGTGTGAATGGGACTCCCTTTCCTCCATGTGACACCCACAGGGGTCCATGACCCATCTAGGAGACTTTATAGCAGTTGGGTGGGAGGGGAATGCTCTTAATTTATCAATAAAATATTTTCAGAGGAGCAAGGTCTGACTTTTTTGGGAAAACTCAATTGAGCAACAGCACCAGTGATTCCATCACTAGTGGAAGAGAAGCAGCTCTTGGGTGGGGTGGGTCCATTCCAGACCCCAGGGACCTTCATACAAGACCAACGAGTCTTGTCCTGTTTCTGGGATGAGTGGGGTTACTGGGAGCAGCCCCTTGAAGACTCTTCTGAATCGTTGGGAAGTGGCTTTTCACAGAGATGGGACATCGCCCTGGGAGGTGAGGCAGAAACTCTACTGTCATTGGTGGAAATGCCTGCATTCTTAGGAGTTGGCTTCAGGTCCTGGTAGACAATTGGCTGGGGACTAGTTAGGAGTCAAGTCCTTCATGGAAATATTGAGACGCATGTAAAAGGTCCTGGTCACCTTGAGCTGGGATCCTCAGCAGCCTCCCTGCCATGTTCCCACAGTTTGGGATCCACAAAGAGGAAACTACCTTTCTACCTTTTCACCCACCAACAGGGGCTCTTCAACCCCCTCCCCCTTCTCCTGAAGAACTCTCATCTCTAATAGGTGCAGATCCTCCCTGGAGAAAGCCTGTCCAGCCCAGCCAGCTCCTGTAGCAAAGTTCACAGTGAGAGACCCACAAACACATCCAACCACCAGGCACTCTGTAATCCCTCCCTTGCCTGGAGCATTTGGCTCTGCGCTCTGTGGTGTGTGTTTGTCATTTGGCTAAAATGCGGTGGTTCCGAGTAGCACAAAAACAGGGTTGTGGATTAGGTTTGAAAACAAAAATCTGACAGTGTTTTGGCAGCTGTCCTGCATATCACAGGGAGACCTGCAGGAGCATACACACTAGGCTCAAAGTGGAAGCACAGGAACCTCGTGATTTTTTTCTTCCAACTTTGCCCATCAGCTCCTGGGGACTGGAAGGGAGGCTTGGGAGCCAAGAGGGAAGCAGGCAGGGAAGCCAGGAGAGGGTAGAGCCCTTGGCCAGACCAGGTCCAATGCAGGAGTGGAAGAATTCAAGCACTACTCTCCTTGCAGATGAACATCTGTCTTGGCTGAGAGGAGCGTCCAGGGCCTGGGACCTCAGATGGAGGAGGAGAATCAGTTGTGTTTGGAGGAGAGAGAGAATCATAGTGGGGAAGAGAAATGGGAGGGAGGTGGTGCCGGTGCGGTGGAGGGATGGGACTAGAATGGTTTTGATTGCGTCTCCTCCATCACCTGGCTCAGAAATTCTTGCTGCATCCTCACTCTGGGCTGAGGCCCAGAGAACTGCCAACCTCCTAATTACAGGCATTTCTCACTGGTGTCATAGTGGCTGCAGTGGGCCCAGCATCAGAGTTGCTTTGTGTCATGCAAGGATTGTTGCTGCTCTGAGAAACTGCTCCCTTTCTTTCCCACTCACTCTTCTATCTGCCTCTCATCTGCCTCTGCTCACACTCAGCTCCTCGATGCCATCTCTTCCTCACACTGGTCCTTGCCAGCTCCTGTCTCTCTCACTCACTCTCCCCAACAAGGGTCCTTGGGTTCATGCACACACTTCCCGAAAGAGCAGTCCAAGCCCTGAATACCCTAGCCAGTCTCTCTGTTGGCCTGTCTATTGGTCTCTCTCTCTCTCTCTCTCTCACACACACACACACACACACACACACACTTCTGCACATACACTCCTTTTCTGTATGGCAGCTCTAAATGGAGTTGGGGGGAGGCAGGAGGGAGTTGAGGGAATACAGCTCGGTGTTCACCAGCTCCAACACTTCTTTGATTTTCCTCAGCAAGGATAACCTCAGCCCTTTTACTTCATAAAGAGGCCAAGATTTTGTTTAGAGGATCCTTTCCTTTTGTCTCATGCCTCATCCCTTACCCAGAGTGGGTTTCCCAGGAAGAATCCAGGTAGATCCTAATGCCTACACCCTTCAGTTCCAAGTCTTGGTATTGTGGGGACTGAAAGACAAACTCACATTCATTCATTTATTCATTCATTCAATCTCTTAAAGAATATTTACTGAATGCCTATGACGTACTAGGTGCTGGGAATAGACAGGTGAACGAGGTAGACACCAGCCATGAATTTACGAAATTGAAAGCCTGTTGGGGGAAGGCAGATGTTAAACAACTAATGACATAAATAATCACAATAGCACAAGTAATTAATTATAGTTGTGACAAGTGTTAAGGCCAAGAACTATTCTGTATTATAAGAAGGTTTAGCTTGCCAGGGGGAGTGGAGCTAGAGGGATGGGATCTGGAAGAGGCTGGCTGAGAACAGCCCAGGCCTCTCTTACTTCCTTTCCTGGCTCCTGCACAGTGATGGATG
Source organism: Homo sapiens (assembly GCF_000001405.40). Classification (NCBI taxonomy): domain Eukaryota; kingdom Metazoa; phylum Chordata; class Mammalia; order Primates; family Hominidae; genus Homo; species Homo sapiens. Next base: position 128,348,036 of record NC_000007.14, on the reverse strand, counting down.
AGGAGGAGGCCAGCAGTTTATTTCCCCTGGAAGCCACATTGCTGGTGTGATGCAGGGTAGCACAGCACCTGCTATTTAATAAAGATTGCTGCATGTGTCTTGGGTAGATGGATGAGCAAATATTCCTGAGGAAAGAACCATTGCCTGCCCTGATATAAATGGATTGGAGGGGATTGGGCTGAGAGACAGATCGGGGAACCAGGTCTGAACCGTGGGGAGGGTAGAAAGGGTCAGCTGCACTGTTGTCCTCCCAGAAGGGCACAGAACCCTGCACTGTGGGTGGCTGCTGCCCCCTGATGGGCATAGAGACACAGTTAGATTTGTCCTAAATTAAGGAAGATTTGGATCAGAGCTATTTAAAACTTAGCATTTGTGGAGGGTCTCACAAAGGAATATTGGAACAATCTTCTCAGGATTGTTTTCCTTGTACAGACTGCAGCCAGGACTAGGAAGGCTTCCCCTTAGCTGGGGTTCTGAAGCTCACAATTTAATCTTTGGGGGTGGAATTTTAATTCCTAAGGTGATAGGAGTGGGCAGGAGGGAAGGAGAAGGAAGAGGAGGATGTGGAGTCCCAAACCAACTTTGTTACATGATCCATCCCATTGCCTTTATCTGTTTGTTTCTCTTTATCCTGGATAGGATTAACATAGCAACCTTAAAAATCTGTTTTGTATTTCAAAGCTTCCTTTCCTGAGTAATATTTTTAAATTTATTTTTAAATTTTTATTGTTATTGTTTTGAGATGGGGTCTCACTCTGTCACCCAGAGTGCAGTGCAGTGGCACGATAGCTCACTGCAACCTCCGCCTCCCCAGGTCAAGCGATCCTCCCACCTCAGCCTCAGAGTAGCTGAGACCACAGGTGCATGCCACCACAGCCCAGCTAATATTTTGTACTTTCGGTAGAGATGGAGTTTCATCATGTTTCTGAGGCTGGTCTCAAACTCCCAACCTCAGGTGATCCGCCCGCCTTGGCCTCCCAAAGTGCTGGGATTACAGGCATGAGCCACCACACCGGGCCTACAAGGCATTTTTTTTTTTTTCTGTCTGACTTTCTGGAGGGCCAAAGAATGATAACATCTGCTTATTGTGAGAGGGTTCTGAGAAAGTTAGCCAAACCTTTAGCAGAAAAATACCTAGGGGAAACCTTCAACAGAGAGGGCCCTTCTCCATCACAGTGCTCTTGCTCACTCCTCTCTCAAACAAGGGCAATTTTTCAAGAGTGTTAATGGGAAACCATTAGGCATCCACCTTAAGGTCCTATTTTGGCTCCTTCTGACTTAGTTTTGTTTCCTAATCTTAAAAAATCTTTAAGGGGCTCACATTTTTCTTCAATTATATATATATATATATATATATATATATATATATATATATATATATATAGAGAGAGAGAGAGAGAGAGAGAGAGAGAGAGAGAGAGAGAGAGAGAGAGAGAGACTGCATTGACATGCTTAAATTCCAAAGACCTTAAGTTCTTTAGAGATGGACTAAGTGGCTGGTATCATTGCTTACAAATGTGTTTTGAACTTGATGGAGCTAATGTTGAAAAATAAAGTTTAGGCTGGGTATGGTGGCTCATGCCTGTTATCCCAGCACTTTGGGAGGCCGATGACGGCTGATCACTTGAGGTCAGGAGTTCAAGACCAGCCTGGCCAAGTTGGTGAAACTCTGTCTTTACTGAAAATACAAAAATTAGCCAGGCATGGTGGTGGGTGCCTGTAATCTCATCTACTCAGGAGGCTGAGGCAGGAGAATTGCTTGAACCTAGGAGGTGTAGGTTGCAGTGAACCGAGATCGCACCACTGCATTCCAGCCTGGGTGACAGAGCGAGACTCTGCTCAGAAAAAAAGAAAAATAAACTTGTATTTTATTTTCAGAAGTCTCGAACTCCTGAGTTCCAGTGATCTACCCATCTTGATCTCCCAAAGTGAGTTATATATTTTTTTGAGATGGAGTCTTCCTTTGTTGCCCAGGCTGGAGTGCAGTGGTGCAATCTCGGCTCACTGCAACCTCTGCCTCCTGAGTTCAAGCGATTCTCCTGCCTCAGCCTCCCGAGTAGCTGGGATTACAGGCATGTGCCACCATGCCCGGCTACTTTTTGTATTTTTAGTAGAGACGGGGTTTCACCATGTTGGCCAGGCTGGTCTCGAACCCTTGATCTGGTGATCCACCCACCTCGGCCTCCCAAAGTGCTGGGATCACGGCCGCTCCTGGCCGTGAGTTGTATTTTTAAAAAATAATCGTGAAGTTTTATTTTAAGCATAGATTACTTACTTCGAACTAGAGCTCCATAAATGTGATGTTTAGCGTCCCCCTAATCTCCACTCCCATCACTATCAACCAGTCGTCTAGCCATCCAAAATGTATTGAAAGTGAATGGGGCTTGAGGAGATCATGAAACTTAATTTTCACCATAGTGCCTTATAAAAGGTACTAAAACTGTAAAGTTTTTGAGTTTTCTATCTGCCATGTTACTATCATTTAAAAGTAATGATTTGGCTGGGCTCAGTGGCTCACGCCTATAATCCCAACACTTTGGGAGGCCGTAGTGGGAGGATTGGTTTATCCCAGGAGTTCAAGACTAGCCTGGGCAACACAGGGAGAACTGTCTGTACAAAAAAATAAATAAATTGGCCAGGCATGGTGGTACACACTTGTGGTCCTAGCTTCTCAGGAGGCTGAGGTGGCAGTATTGCTTGAGCCCAGGAGATCAAGGCTGCAGTGAGCCATGATGGTGCCACTGCACCCCAAGTTGGGTGACAGAGCAAGAGTCTGCTAAAAAAAAAATTATTTAAAAAATGGCCTTGGGTACTTTTTTTTGAGCTAGTTGTTCTGCAAGGTGTAGCTCTCTTGCACCTATTCAGGTCCTGAGCCCAGTGGCATGGCAAACACTCTCTGTGTTCCAGAACCAGGAGCACCCAGATTTCCTAGCCAATTAAGAGCTCTCAGCTTTGGGTCTGTCTGATGAGCTGACTTGAGACAAAGATCTTCTGTTTCTAGGAGGACATGGGTTCTAGGTCTCTGTGTATAAGTTGGATGTTATGTTTGCTTTGAGTGTGTTTGATGTGGTCCTGCAGTGTGTGTGCTGTGATTTATTTGTAAGAATTTTTGGACTAATAGTCTTCCCAGCCAGGTGTGGTGGTTCACACCTATAATCCTAGCACTTTAGGAGGCTAAGGGGGGCTAATTGAGCTCAGGAGTTTGAGACCAGCCTGGGCAACATGGTGAAACCCTGTCTCTGCAAAAAATACAAAAATTAGCCGGGTGTGGTGGTGCACCTGTAGTTCCAGCTACTCAGGAGGCTGAGGCAGGAGGACTGCTTGAACCTGGGAGGTCGAGGCTGCAGTAAGCCGAGATCGTGCCAGTGCACTCCGGCCTGGTTGATAAAGTGAGGCCCTGTCAAAAAAAAAAATCTGTTTCCACCATTAGACTGTAATCTCTATGAGGGCAGGGACCCTGTCATTTCTTTGCTCACCAGTTTTATCCCTAATGCTTGGCTCATAGTTAGAGCTCAGTATATATTTATTGAAATAATAATTGTGTACTATCTGTGTCTATGTGTATTTTAGTAGCTACAATTTGTTTGTGAGGCTGAGGTGACAGACAGCTGGTGTTCTCCGAAAATGAGAATCGTCCGAATGATGTATATGATATATCTATGTCTACGTGTTAGTGTTCCGGTTGTGTTTTATGCACGTAATCTGGGAATTTGTGGAGGCACTTCAGAAAATATCAAACACCCACAGTATATCAGATCCTGAGTTACGCCCGGGGCAAAAACGACTTCTTCTGCCTGTCCTGCTAACTTTGGGGAGGATCTGGAGGTGAGATTTTTAAACAGGGTAGAAATTATTTATTTTTATTTTGTATATTAAGAAAAAAAATTACTTTTTGGAGGCCTTCCGGCAAAAACCAGAAAGCCTGCTAGGCAAATTCTAAAAAAGCTGTAACACTAGGGTAGAAATTATTGATGCCAAGTTTACACAAAAGTGGCGAGGGCGATGCTAGGGCAGGGGGCGGAGCCCCGCTCCAGAAGCTACGCCCCGGGGCGCCATTATTTTTTCATTCCGGAACCTTTTATCCCCCTCCCGACCATGTTTTCCTCCGGTCTCTTTTGGGCAACGAGCACTTCCGGAATCTCTCGGCGTGTGAGCTTGGTTGTCCTACCAAAGCCAGCGTTTCGGCTCGCGTGCGCCGGCCTAGTTTGCTCGCGTCCTCACGCGCTTTGGGTTTCCCGGTCTCATGGCCGGCCTGACCTTATTTGTGGGCCGCCTCCCGCCCTCGGCCCGCAGTGAGCAGCTGGAGGAACTGTTCAGTCAGGTGGGGCCGGTGAAGCAGTGCTTCGTGGTGACTGAAAAAGGTAGGGGCGGGGCGGTCGAGGATAGGGCTGGGGTTTCCTGCGATCGAGGGCACCTTCCCAAACTTCAGGGAGCCGTATCATTCTTTACCCTCCCCGAAGAGAAGGGACAGGGAACTGAGTTTCTTTTCCAAACTGATTCTGCTTTAGATGCGTTCATAGGAGTCAGTTTATGAAGGGCAAAGCATTCCCTTACGTTTCTATAGCGCTTTCTGTTGATTATGCGCGCTAAAAATGAAAATAGTTAACTAGAGCATCAGTAAGACTTATTGAGAGTCACCTGATTGGCAGGTACAGTGATCAGTTTGATACAGGTTATCTCATTTAATTTTCTCAGCAATCTTACCGGATGGAGAGTCTTAATGTCATTTTACAGACAGGAATCCGGGATTTAGGGGAATTTAGTAACTTTAAGTTTGTACGGCTGTTAAGTAGTGGACCCCCGATTTGATCCTCAGACCTGGACATCTTAGCCAGGATGCTATCCACTTGTTCATTCATTTATTCAGCAAATACTTAATACCTACTGTGTGCCAGGAAGTGTTGTAGGTCCTGGGGATGCAGCAGTGCACAACACCAAACCAAAAAAATCTTTGATTTTATGTCTTCAAGGTGGGGAAGAGAGCCAATAAACGAGCCAATAAACAAGCCAACCGTGAAAATGATGTCAAATGCTAAGGAGAAAAATAAGCCAGGGAAAGGGGTTAGGAAGTCTATGTGCATGTGTATAGTGGGGAGAGGGGGTGAAGAGTGGCAATATAGATAGGGTGGCCAGAGAAGGACGGACTGAGGTGAGAGAGTGAACACATGCCTCTCCGGAGGAAGAACAATTCAGGAAGAGAAAACAGCAAGCTCAAAGGTACTGAAACAGAGGTGTTTTTGGTATATTGGAGGAGTAGTAAGGAGGACAGGGTGACTGGATTGAAGTGAGTAAAGGGAAGAGAATTAGGAGATGAGATCTAGAGTAGCAGATCATGTAAGATTTTTTTTTTTTTTTAAAGACTGCGTCTTGCTCTGTCGCCCAGGCGGGAGTGCAGTGCCACGATCTCCGCTCACTGCAACCTCTGCCTCCTGGTTCAACCCATTCTCCTGCCTCAGCCTCCCAAGTAGCTGGGATTACAGGCGAGTGTCACTACACCTGGCTAATTTTTGTATTTTTAGTAGAGACGGGGTTTCGCTATGTTGGCCAGGGTTGTCTGGAACTCGAGACCTCAGGTGATCCGCCCGCCTCATGTAGGATGTTATAGACCATTGCAAGGACTTTGGCTTTTACTCAGAGATAGGAAGCCACTGATTTTAAGCAGAGAGCAGTAAGTGTGATCTGGCATTCGTTTTGAAAGATTCTCTCTCTGGCTGGTGTGTTGCCAATAGACTGTTGGAGAATAGGACAAAAGCTTATGTACTTAAAATAGGGACCGAAAGTCCTGTACAGTAATGTTTATTAAACTGCAGATTATTACCTATTAGTGGGTCTTGAGTGGGTCATGACTAGAGTTTGTTTTGTTGTGTTTTAGAAACAGGGTCTTGCTCTGTCAACCCTGTTGACAGTTGGAGTGCAGTGGTGCGATCACAGCTCAATGTAACCTTAAACTCCTGGGCTCAAGCAATCCTCCTACTTCAGCCTCCCAAGTAGCTATGACTACAGACGTGCTTCACCATGCCTGGCCAATTTTTGAATATTTTTTGTAGAGACAGGGTCTCACTACGTTGTCCAGGCTGGTTTCAAATGATCCTCCTGCCTTGGCCTCCCAAAGCACTGGGATTACAGGCATGTGCCACCACGCCTGGCCTAGAGTTCTTAAAAAATTAAATAGTATAGGAGTACGTCCATATATGGTAAAGGATAAGTATTTGTAAAACTTTTAAGTTTTAAATAAAGAATATATGTATGTACTGGGTTCCAGTGTAAGTAGCATTCCGTACCCAGGTGGTTGTATTCCAGGGAAGAATAGGCCATTGAATGGGAGTTCTCCTTTGAGTCCTCAGAATATAGGCTACATGCAATCTTACCTTACACCTTGTGTACTTGGTCTAAATCCTTAAAAATCTCTTACTTCCTTTTAAAAAACTATGCACTTTCCTATCCAGACAGCTGATATGTACTGGAAAGAGTGCTGCACTCAGTGAAACGGGAGGGAGGGTATGTGGAATGAAGTCTTCCTCAATAGCAGTGCATGTCACTTCACCTCTTTAAGATGGGAATAATTTCACAGGGTTGTCAGGGACTCTAAATGTATGTGAGCATGCTTTATGCAGACATGTAAAATGTGTGGTATTTACTGTATGTCCTTTCATTTGGGTGTCAAACTCTTTTACATTTCAGCTGCTTTACTTTTGGTTGTACTGATCATGAAGGGCTATGAATTTTCTTGTGCTCATTTTCTGAAAGGTGAGTGGGCAGCTTTTATGATAAGGAGTTCAAGAGAAGAGAAAAATTGATGTTATGTTGCTTTAACCAGTTTATGTAGATCAGTGTCCTGTGTCAAAGGGCTTATACCCTGAAGGAGATTCAAATGCAGTGGAAAGAGAAGCAGAGCATATGAACTATGTGTCCTTTTCAGGTAAAGGCAGACTTCTTGATCTGTCCTTTTCCTTTTTGATGCAATAAATTATTTAAAATTTTACTATACAAAATGTTAAACCAAAAAGGGCAAAGGTGGGTTACAGTTGATATTTGTAGTTTTCATCTCCTTGGTCCTAATATTATTCTTTGTGGAGTCCTATGGAAGAACATGGGGGCTGGTGAGGAGGAGTTAATTCAGCTACTAACACCCTGTGTGACATTAACCAATTCACTTACTGTCTTCCATCTCAAATTACTTACTTGGAAAGAAGGGGTGATAATATTTGCTTTACCTATTTTGAGGTGTTCTAAAGATAAAATGAGACAAGAATGCACAGCTGCTTTGGAAAGGTTTAATTTGATATCGACAGCTAAGGCGTTGGTAATAGTGGTCATAACATCTGCAGTCTCTCTGAGCAGTATTTATTGTTTGAGGTTCTTTTGTCTGGGCCTCAGGCATTTATTGCTGATCTATTTTGAGGAGTAACTGCATTATTGTGTTCTGATTTTTGAAGCTACCATACTGTCTTAATTCATTTTCTGTTGCTTATAAGAGAATACCTGAAACTAGGTACTTTGTAAAGAAAAATTTATTTCTTAAGTTCTGGAGGCTGAGAAGTCCAAAGTTTAGTGGCTGTATCTGGTGAGAGCCTTCTTGTTGGTGGGGACTCTGCAAAATGCCCAGACAGTGCAGGGTGTCATGGCGAGGGGGCTGAGCATGCTAATGTGCTTGCTCAGGTCTCTCTTCCTCTTCTTATAAAGCCCCCAGCTCCACTCTCATGATAGCCCATTAATCTATTAACCCATTAATCCATAAATTGATTAATCCATTCCTGAAGACAGAGTCCTCTGATCCAGTCACCTCTTAAAGACTCCACCTTTCAATACTGCTACATTGGGGATTAAGTTTCCAACACATGAAATTTGGGGGACACATTCAAACCATAGCATATACTTACCTTTCCTGCCTTCTTTGGTGATGTTTTGTTCTTTTTGATGTTGAGTTCTTTGAGGGCCTCATATGTCATGGATTCTCTGTTTTCTTGGGATTATCAAGAAAGGGGGAAGAAGGGGAGCTAACAGCAAAGACACTAAATTAAAAGAGGAGGAAGGCTAACAGTTTCTAAGCAAAGTGGGGAGGGAACCACTGATACCACCCTTGTTTCTCGCCCTCCTGAGACTTTTGGCAAACTGATAGCAAGATGGGTTGGCAGTATATCCTCTAGCTTAGGCTTTGAGGATTTACTCATTTAGTGCTCTTGGCTTATGATTCTCTCTCCTTTTCACACTGCCCCTCCACTCCCTCCCCACTCCATTATTCCAGGGAGTAAGGCATGTCGAGGCTTTGGCTATGTCACTTTTTCAATGCTGGAAGATGTTCAGAGGGCCCTCAAGGAGATTACCACCTTTGAAGGTTGCAAGATCAACGTGACTGTTGCCAAGAAAAAACTGAGGAACAAGACAAAGGAAAAGGGGAAAAATGGTGAGTTTCTAGTAATTGAAGGAAGTTTTTCTCCCAGGGTGAGGAGGAGCACTATGAAAATGAAAGAGGGAGGCATGGAGGTAGCTTCTAGAACTTAAAGCTTTTTGCATTTCTTTTTGATCTCCAAAATCATCCAGTGTATTGTGATACTCATTTTAGTTCTTTGGAAAAATCTGGTATTCCTTGGTATTATTGCCACACTTAACCCTGTGGTAAATGCCATCTGTCGCCAGTAGCTTTTTTTTCTGTGATGTTCTGGCGTAGAAGTGGGTGATTTTCGAGTACTTATTCCATTACCTCTTATTTTTTAGAAAACTCAGAGTGCCCAAAGAAGGAGCCGAAGGCTAAAAAAGCCAAAGTGGCAGATAAGAAAGCCAGATTAATTATTCGGAACCTGAGCTTTAAGGTAAGTGAGAGAGAAAATGAACATTGCATGTTTTGAAGGCTTTTAGAGCCAAGATGTGATCATTAGTAGAACTCCTCACCAAGATGGTATAATTGGGCTTAATTCCTTCTGGGAATCAACCTTACCCCTGTTGAATTCAGAAAGTGGGCCTGTGTAATAAGGGCACTAAGTGTGAAGCTGCTTTCCTTTTTGGGGAAACTACTACTGAGAAAGAAAAGGTAGAAAAAGTTCTCAGACGTCTGTGTTTTTGCCTCTTAGGTACAAAGTAAAATGTCTTCTATTTAGAAACATTTGATGTCCTAGTATCAAAAATAAAAAAAAGTAAACATTCATGTTTTTCATAATTAATGAATTTAGTAGTTGATGTTTTATGTTAATTTGCTGTGATTGTGTTTCTCTTTTTCTTTCTTCACTTTTGGCTTCAGTGTTCAGAAGATGACTTGAAGACAGTATTTGCTCAATTTGGAGCTGTCCTGGAAGTAAATATCCCTAGGAAACCAGGTACTAATAAACCTTCACTTGGTGTGGATTACGTTAGTTAACATATTACCCTTGAACAAACATATATGATATATATGAAGTATTTGGCACAGTGCTTCACATCTAATGAAAACCCAAATAATGGTTTTATTCCCCTGATGATATTTTCTGTTGGATCAGAATTAGTTTTAGAAGGCGAGTTAGTTTGAGAAAGTGTTTTGCTCTCCCCAAGTCCAAGTCAGAGTATACTCAGTAAGAAGATGTAAGCAATTGCTTTGGGGAAGGGCCTGACCTGCTGGCAGAATTTGGGCCATCTTGTGGGCCTGAATTGCAGTAATTTACTTCTTAGTATTCTGGCTACCTCCTGCTGCCTCTCACTTCTTTCTTTGTGCATTTGCACACAGATGGGAAGATGCGCGGTTTTGGTTTTGTTCAGTTCAAAAACCTCCTAGAAGCAGGTAAAGCTCTCAAAGGCATGAACATGAAAGAGATAAAAGGTAAGCTTTCTATACCCATATCATTGACCCAGATATTTCTGGTGTTTTGGTGAATTAGTGTAGTAACCCACTTTCTGCATTTTCAAAAGATGTTTGCATTATTAAGAGTCTCATTGCTAATACGGTAGCTATTTAGGTGAAATACTCTAGAACTTGATCTTGGGGTTAAACTTGAAAGAACCCTTGCCAGTATTCTTTCTTTTATCTGGTGAGAGTGTCCTTTTAAATCCCTAGTGAAAAATGTCCCTGAGATAATTGCTGATAGATGCAGGTTGGTATCTAGATTCCTCCTTGGTTATATCACTGTTCAGCATCTGTGGGCTATTTATTAAACTGACTGTGATTTATATATTGACTTATCAAGTACTGTGCCTAAAGAAGTTATTGCCGGCCAGGTGCGGTGGCTCACACCTGTAATCCTAGCACTTTGGGAGGCCGAGGAGGCAGGTGGATCACCTGAGGTCAGGAGTTCAAGACCAGCCTGGTCAACATGGCGAAACCCCGTCTCTACTGAAAATACAAAAATTAGCCAGGTGTGGTGGTGCATGCTTGTAATCCCAGCTACTCAAGAGGCTGAGGCAGGAGAATCGCTTGAACCTGGAGGCGGAGGTTGCAGTGAACTGAGATGGCACCACTGCACTCCAGCCTGGGCGACAGAGCGAGACTGTGTCTCAAAAAAAAAAAAAAGAAGTTATTGCCGTAGAGATGTCCTAGCTTCCAGGTAGGGTGCAGATGATTCCAGAATGCCTGTTTTGATTCCTGATAGTCTAACTGGAAACATAGTTCTAATTCTTTATTTTTTTACTCCATCTTATCCCAGGTGTGGTGGCTATGTAGAAAGGCAAAATTTCTGTTCATTGATAAAAAGGTTAAGGGTTAAAAGGAGTAGGCAGTGACTAGGAGCTTTATTTTAAGACCAGCATTCCCTGAATTGGCAGTTTCTTTGTCTCCACTGGTTCCATTATTGTCTGTGATGACTAGGGGTCATTTACAGAGGTAGGGTTTTTAAAAGGAGAGCCTTTCTGATGCCACTTTTCTGCTTGACAGGCCGGACAGTGGCTGTGGATTGGGCCGTGGCAAAGGATAAATATAAAGATACACAGTCTGTTTCTGCTATAGGTAAGATGTGGTAGTGTTGGGTGAGTAGGGGCGTTGTATAACCTGGGTGAGAGTATTGAAACAACTCCTGTGTTCATGATAAAAGTGTAAGAAAAAGGCTGGGTGCAGTGGCTCTTGCCTGTAATTCCAGCACTTTGGGTGGATTGCTTGCAGTCAGGAGTTTGAGACCAGCCTGGCCAACATGCAAAACCCCATCTCTACTAAAAATACAAAAATTAGCTGGGCTTGGTGGTGGGCGCCTGTCATCCCACCTGCTTGGGAGGCTGAGGCAGGTTCTTGAACCTGGGAGGCAGAGGTTGCAGTGAGCCGAGATCACCCCACTGCACTCCAGCCTGGGCAACAAAACGAGACTTCGTCTCAAAAAAAAAGTGTAAGAGAACCTGCTTATCAGAGTAAGACTATTGTGGAAGATTAACCAAAAGAATGAGACTGGGCTTTCAGGGAAAACTCTGAATTCCTGCTGGCTCAGAAGTGAGTCCAGGTCTGTTTGTCAATTCATATTGTACCATTTGGTGCTCTGGTCCCAAAACCTAGGCTCTTTTGAGTCTAAGCCCCTTCCTGGGAGTGGCTGTGAGTGAGCCTGAGTTCACTGTCCCCTTTACTTGCTGTTGTTTCCAGGCTGTGCATAATAGGAGTGATGGAACATTAAGAATAGAGAAACTTAAAACTTGAGGTTTATTTAGAAAACAATTGGCTGGTAAGCCACCAGGGTCTCAGAGAATAGAACGCACTGAGATTAAAGTTCATGGCTTGGCTTTGCCCCCTAGTGAGCATTTTGCTGGCTATGATGTACGAATGGTAGACTGCTTGGAGAGGCTCAGTTGCCACTTCTTTCAGTCTGGGCCAGATGAACCTTCAGACTGATGAATGGGACAAACTCTAAAGGAATCTGGGTGTTGAGAGTTTTGTTTATTTCTGTTTTTGCTTTTTCTTTTCTTTATACTTTCTCCTGTTATATGCAGTAAGAAAAATATACGAAATTCTGTAAAACCGATGAAACCAAGAACTTGGAGTATTGGTTACTTTTGTTAAAATAACATTGTTTTGGATATTAAATGAATTCCTCCTTTCTTTACCTCCCTCCATAGGTGAGGAAAAGAGCCATGAATCTAAACATCAGGAATCAGTTAAAAAGAAGGGCAGAGAGGAAGAGGATATGGAAGAGGAAGAAAACGATGATGATGACGATGATGATGATGAAGAAGATGGGGTTTTTGATGATGAAGATGAAGAGGAAGAGAATATAGAATCAAAGGTGACCAAGCCTGTGCAAATTCAGAAGAGGTAAGCAGCTCATCCTGTTCTGAGACAGCAGAGGAAGATTCAAGATTGTCTCCGAGAGGAAAAATTCTCCTTTTTCTGCCTGCATCATTGCAGAATTGACATGTGTAATGAAATTGAATAGGCCCTCTGTCAGCCCACCTCCTTAGTTCTGATCTGTGCCATTGCAGAGCAGTCAAGAGACCAGCCCCTGCAAAAAGCAGTGATCATTCTGAGGAGGACAGTGACCTAGAGGAAAGCGATAGTATTGATGATGGAGAGGAACTGGCTCAGAGTGATACCAGCACTGAGGAGCAAGAGGATAAAGGTTTGTTTGGATTTTCATAAATGTCTTTAGACTTTAAAAAAGTTACTGAAGTTACGGAAATGAGCATCAGTTCTGCTTAGATCTCTTTTTAAATAGGACTCTAAGGTGTTCTATCAAATTTATGTTTAAATGCTGAAAAGGAAACCTTTATACTCCTTTCTTCCAAAGGTTTTTTTGTTGTTTCCTTTTTGTTTGTTTTGTTTTTTAAGTGAGTTTTGGAGTGGTGTTTGAGGGTTAAGATTCTTAGGGAATTGAAAACCTAGCTTAATGCTGAGGTTCTACCTCTCTCTGGATTGTCCAACTTGATAGAATAACCAGGTAAACAGCATCTTATACAGATAATATAGATGAAACAGATGATATAACCATCTCAACATCAAGCTAGATTTTAAACAACTCCTTGGAGTTGAGATGGGGATAAAGAACTGTTTAGTCAGTTTGGACTGACATAACAAAATACCATAAACTGGGTGGCTTAAACAGCAGAAACTTATTTTCTCACAGCTCTAGAGGCTAGAAGTCCCAGGTGCCAGCTGATTCATTTTGGGTGCAGCTCTCTTCCTAGCTTGCAGACTGCTGCCTTCTCGCTATGTGCTTGCATGGCCTTTTCTTTGTGGCTTGACGAGGGGAGAGAGAGAACAAGTAACAGTGAACTCTGGTCTCTCTTTTCTTATAAGCACAGCAATCCTATCAGATTAGGGCCCAACCTTAAGACCTCATTTAGCTAGCCTCAGTTACCTCCCTAAAGTCTCTGTCTCCAAATACAATTATATTTGGGGTTAGGGCTTCAATGTATGAATTTTGGGGGAACACAGTGCGTTCCATAACAAGGACCTCTTTGAACATGTTGTAAAACTTTAGCCAATCCTTATTGCTACCTTTATTGAGAATAAATTCAACTTGTTTATTGAGGAAGGCAGGTCATTACAGAATGAGAAATGGCTAATAACTGGTTCTTTGATTTGTCTGGGTGGAGATTTTTATTTCAGCTGTTTTTATTCTGATTCCATTTCAGTAAGTCTGACATGTTGGTTTGACCATATAAGAAATCTGAGGAAATAAGCTTTTTCTGTGAGGAGAGAATGGTATACACCTTAGAATCAAAGAAGCTTCTACACTGAAGGGACTCTGAGATCCTGTATTCTACAACCCACAGTCAGCTGTCTCATGCCATTCTTTCACCTAAAAAACTTATAGGACAGATAAATGATAATGATAAAAAGTTAAAACACAACACAGAAGAGTGTAATACACAAAGTAGAAGTTTCTCACCAATCCTAACAATTCCCTGAAGTAATCACTGTTGTTTCTTGTGCATCCTTCCAGATATTTTCTTTGTATGTATAAGCTTATATGTCTGTTCTTGAAAACAAACAGTGAGTCTCCCTTATACCCAGATCCTCAGCTTCTTAGGGAACTTCCCCAGAGACAACCAAGGTTATTTGTTTCTTGTGTATCTATAGATATTTTAATACATTTATAAGCAAAATGCACACATATACACACACATATACACATTCAAAATGTAGTGTATTTTATAATTTGTGTGTGATTGTATGTGTATGTTTTTTCCTCAAAGTTTCCTATGTCCTATACAGTATTTCCAGAAAGTTTACACTGTCATAGTAGTATATGGAAATGTCTTTTTCCCATAACCTTACCACATTGGATTCCATCAGTCTTTTTGATTTTGCAATCTGTTGGTGAAAAATAGTATCTCATTTCTTGTGCTATGTTTTCTTTAATTAAGAGTGAGTTTGAACATCTTTTCATATACTTAGCATGTCCTTTGTCTATTTTTATTTTTATTTATTTATTTTTTTTGAGACTTTGTTTCGCTCTTGTCACCGTGGCTGGAGTGCAATGGCTCAATCTTGGCTCACTGCAACCTCCACCTCCCAGGTTCAAGGGATTCTCCTGCCTCAGCCTCCTGAGTAGCTGGGACTATAGGTGCCTGCTACCACGCCTGGCTAATTTTTGTATTTTTAGTAGAGACAGGGTTTTGCCATGTTGGCCAGGCTGGTCTCGAACTCCTGACCTCAGGTGATCAGCCCGCCTGGGCTTTTCAAAGTGGCATGAGCCACTGCGCCAGGCTTATCTTTATGTACTTAAGAAGTTAGCTCTTTGTCATGTGGCTTACACTAATCTCTTTCAGTTTGTTGTTTTTCTTTTTACCTTAGCTGTGCAAGTCTCAAACAAAAAGAAGAGGAAATTACCCTCTGATGTGAATGAAGGGAAAACTGTTTTTATCAGGTATGTCTTTCTGCCTCCAGAATTGCTTTTGCGTGGTCTTCATAGATCTCTCTTCCTTCTTCTTCTCTTTTTGGCACTAGTTCTGTTACCTAGCCCAGAAATTAGATCAAGCACATCTGGTCCCAGGAACATACTAAACAATGAGAAATGTAGGACAATCAGAACTATAACACAGAAGACAGATAGCATGGGTCCTGACATCACGTTTTCATTTAGATTTCATGCTTTGTAATTGGGTTGGCATCATTTGGAAGAAATCAGTTCAACTGTTAGAAACATCTTGCTTCCGGCCTTTGTTTTAGGGGGAGTGCTGGAGAGGATTGACACTGCTTGTCTCAAATGATTTCTGTCTTTATGCCTAACTTATCTTCTGATGCAGTGTCCAGAATAAAGTAAGGCATCTCATCTGTTTCCAGGAAAACTAGGTGGGAGTGGGGGTGGCAATAGGCTTTATTTCGTGTTGCTGTTGTGTTTTAGCTCTACTGACTGCAATAGATTGCTGCTTTTATGAGGTCAGGATGTCTTCAGTATACCTCAGGCCTGCCTTCTAGTCCTTAAGTACCAGTGTACTAGGGTCATTTGCATCCGATTTTAGAGTTATATATTTTATCTTCTTGTACAATCTTTTAGAATTATTTTCTTGGGTGCGGTGGCTCAGGCCTGTAATCTCAGCACCGTGGGAGGCTGAGGCAGATGGATCACTTGAGGGCAATTCGAGACCAGCCTGGCCAACATGGTGAAACCCCATTTTTACTAAAAATACAAAAATTGGCCATGCATGGTGGTGTGTGCCTGTAATCCCAGCTACTCGGGAGGCCTGAGGCACGAGAATCACTTAAAACGCAGAGGTGGAGGTTGCAGTGAGCTGGGATTGTGCCACTGCACTCCAGCCTGGGCGACAGAGCAAGACTCTGTCTTAAAAAAAAAAAAAAATTTGTTTTCTTATACAATTTGTGTTCATTCTAGGAAATTGATGAAATACATGAGCAAAAAGTCAAAAAAATTAACCTTAATCACTACTCAGAGAACATCTACACTACATGCCCACATCATAAAGATTCACAGAGATGAATTTATACATGCTATACTGAAGCCCATTTTCTCACCTAACTGCATGTCTTTCCATGTGTTTTAAAAATTGTATTATTTGGAACTGCCATATAAATGATTTTGTATTTGCGGAGGATCTGTCTAACAGGAAGGAAGAAATGTCACAGTGAAGAAGAAGCCTGTGACCTCAGTACTAAGGATACCATTCCTTATACACCTTTTAATAAAGAACTTAGGGAAATAAAGGGGTGGAAGAGAGAAAACTATGTCTATCTTAGATAAGGCAAATTAAAAGAAATAATGTAGCTAGGATATGTTTTATTGCAGAAAACCTTTTTTATCTGGGTTATCCATGAAATAGAATCATTCATGGGGCTATTCAGTGCATATAAGAGAAGTAAAATTACAGATACTTATTAGGGACTGTTTTGCTTACCCCTGGAAGGATTTACATAGTTGGGGAAATGAGGAATCTTTATACTGTGTTGAAATTTTAGGACAACAAAATTTCCTTCCAACATTTTTTTAATCCCATCGAGAGAAGTAAGTAGTTGTCTTTTTTTGAACTTAGTAAATTTTACTGTATTTGCTTTTGTGTTACTATTTTGAGGGATTTTTCTGACTTTAGTAAGATTTTAATTGAAACCTGGATTTAATAGCAACACAGAGGAAAAAATGGCTAATTAAGAGAGATAATTTGACTTTTCTCACTAGTCTGCTGTGAGTCTTCTAGTTTGTAGTAAGAGAAATGAATTTTGGTCAATTTAAGTGGAAAAAGAGGGTTTCAGAATCAAAGTTGTCAAAGAGCAAGCCTCAGGAAGAGGGTGAAAATCTGGGCAGTTCTGGGGCCCTAGGTGATGGAGGCTGTGGGTCTTTTCTCTGGGGACACCACTTTTTTTTTTTTTTTTAAGGTATAACATAGATTCTGTAAAGTACATTAATCTAAGCATATAGCTCAGTTAAAATTTTATATGTATACATCCATGTAGCCACCACCCAGATCAAGATGTAGAAATTTCCAGCACCCCAGAAGTTTCCCTAGTGGGGGGCACCGCTGTTTAGAAATGAATCTTTACCTGCAGTTTCTGGTCTTTGTATGTGTCTGTTTACGTTTTCAGATTCCTGAGAAAGAGAACCTCATTGACAAAGGAAAGTCAGTTGGGGCCAAGGGTCACTGGGGGCCATCCCTATGTATTAGTGCTATTTCTGAACAAGGGAGAGTTGATATCTAACTCACTTACATTGTCCTGGAACATAGGATCTCACTTATGTAATTGACTTTTCTTGTGATCATCTGGTTATCTTCCATAGAAATCTGTCCTTTGACTCAGAAGAAGAAGAACTTGGGGAGCTTCTCCAACAGTTTGGAGAACTCAAATATGTCCGCATTGTCTTGCATCCAGACACAGAGCATTCTAAAGGTATGTGTTGTCAGCTGGCCAGGCCCTAAAAGGGTTGAGACCACTGCCGTGGGCACTGACTAGGTTACGAGAGCATAATGTGTGCCATTTTGAGGGGTTCACAGTCCATCCAGCCCAGGTTTCTGGGTTCTATAAAAGTACCAGGGACGCCGGGCACGCTGGCTCACGCCTGTAATCCCAGCACTTTGGGAGGCTGAGGCAGGCAGATTGCCTGAGCTCAGGAGTTTGAGACCAGCCTGGGCAACACGGTGAAACCCCGTCTCTACTAAAATACAAAAAATTAGCAGCGTGCACCTGTAGTCCCAGCTACCTGGGAGGCTGAGACAGGAAAATTGCTTGAACCCGGGAGGTGGAGGTTGCAATGAGCCGAGATCATGCCACTGCACTCCAGCCTGAGCCACAGAGCAAGACTCTTGTTTCCACGAAAAAAAAAAAAAAAAAAAAAAAGGACCAGGGACATCCTGGTCTTTAATGGTGTCACACTCAGCATCTTTAATGGTGCTGCTAGCCATAATTTTGTCTAAGCTTTTTAATCCCTTGCTTATTTACTTTAGGGTAATGAATTCCATTTTTGCTCTTTGCATTTCAAATGTGATAGTATCTCATAGGTACTAATCATTCCACATTGCTTGAAATTACCAGGATCTTTTTTTTTCCTGTTGCTTTTGTTAGAGGTAGAAGCTGACAGAAAAACTCTGTTGCAGTGTCAGCCGTTAGAAGGAAAACTCTATGTTGCAGGAGTGCTGCCTTAGATTTCTTTTTTTTTCCAAAAGCTATTTCTTTTGAGTTTTAAGCATTGACCATTCTTCGTTCTAGTATACTGTTGTTAGGTAAACATCTTTCCAACCCATTCATAATCTTTGATTTCACCTATTGCAGTCATTCTCCTAAAGCACTAAGTTCTTTTTTTTTTTTTTTTTTTTTTTTTTTGAGACGGAGTCTCACTCTGTTGCCCAGGCTGGAGTGCAGTGGCGCCATCTCGGCTCACTGCAAGCTCCGCCTCCTGGGTTCACGCCATTCTCCTGCCTCAGCCTCCTGAGTAGCTGGGACTACAGGTGCCCACCACTGCACCCGGCTAATTTTGTGTTTGTATTTTTAGTAGAGTTGGGGCTTCACCGTGTTAGCCAGGATGGTCTCCAACTCCTGACCTTGTGATACACCCGCCTTGGCCTCCCAAAGTGCTGGGATTACAGGCGCGCCCGGCGTTAAGTTCTTAATTTATTGTGATTCATGATTCGTTTGAGATCTAGCAAAAGCTGTGAATCCTCTCCTTAGAAAAATGCTGCTTCGGAGGCTGTGTGGGCTCTCTTGAGCCTATCCACAGCTTAAGAACCTACCTCCATTCTAAGCCTTTTTATCTTTCACATTGATAGAACCTAATCACTTTTGATTTTTACTCAGCTAAAAAAAAGTAAGACCTGGCCGGGAGCGGTGGCTCACGCCTGTAATCCCAGCACTTTGGGAGGCTGAGGCAGGCGGATCACCTGAGGTCGGGAGTTCAAGAGCAGCCTGACCAATATGGAGAAACCCCATCTCTACTAAAAATACAAAATTAGCCGGGCGTGGTGGCGCATGCCTGTAATCCCAGCTACTCGGGAGGCTGAGGCAGGAGAATTGCTTGAACCTGGGAGGGGGAGGTTGTGGTGAGCCGAGATCGTGCCACTGCACTCTAGCCTGGGCAACAAGAGCAAGACTCCGTCTCAAAAAGAAAAAAAAAAGTTTAAGACCTGGTGTGTGCCTGAAATCCCAGCTACTCAGGAGGCTGCGGGGAGCCCAGGAGTTAGAGGCTTCAGTGAGCTATGATTGCCACTGCACTCGAGACTGTGAGACAGAACAAGACCGCCTCCATCTCTTTAAAAAAAAAAAAAAAAAGATGTGAATAAGGCAGCACTGTGGAACAGAGTTAGAGATCTAATCCCAGCTATGCTACAGATAGACTGGGTGATTTTTGGCAAATCATTTAACTACCGTTGGCTTCAGGTTTTCATCTGTAAAATGAGTGGGTTTGAGTAATCACTTAAGGTACCTGCAGCTCTCATGTTTAGTTATACTACTTGGATCTTTTCCATTTCTAAAATGTTTTTAGACAATTTGAATTGCATAGAATGTTCCAAGTTAGTGGTATGATATTGCTTTACTTTGGTGGTAGTATCTTTTGTCTCTTTTTTAGTGCAGTAGTATATTGGGTTAATACTTTTAGAATGAAGCCTACAATTGACTGACTAGATATCCCTTGCGGTCTATTAATGTTAACAGAGTTCATGATCTTAATAAGCATAGTTTTAATCATTTAAAAAAAATGTATTGTCCTTCCCTAGCTCATTAAATTTTTCTGATACCTTTTTTGCCTACTCATGCAGCCTCGTGCTGCTCCTGTAGTTTATCCCTCTCAGCATGCCATTTCACTACCTGGAAGAGCTAAGTATTAACTGCAGTCTTTTAGGGAAATGTTAAGACTGAACCCAGTACTGACTCTGGAAACTCCAATGATAAAATTCTTACCCATTCAGAGAGAAGCACCCATTTTCTTCATATTCAATCTAATTAGATTCATTTGAATCTGCCTATTAGAAACATTTTCCCCATATTTCCTTATTTGTTTCTTTCTATTGAGTATCTGTTAATGCTGTACACTATAGTAGGTGCTAGGGATATAGAAACAGATAAGAATTGTGGTCATTTTTCCTGAGGTATTCATTCTGTTTGGGAAGATGTCACCTGAGTAGTGCTATAATAAAGATGTGAGTGGAAGATAGGAGGCAGGAGGGGACACAGAAGCTTCTAGATGGTGACCTTTGTGTTGGCCTGGCGCATGTGTCCTTTCAGTTAGTCTGTGCCATTCATTTTTATAGGAGGCAGAAGATCAATGCCCCCACTAGCTCTAGGAAATATGGCAGCATCTGAGAGAATATTTAAAATTTAAAGGAATACTAAACAAAATTATGAAACTTGTATTTCTTTTTTGGAATCTACTGAAAGGTAAACTTACTTTCTTTGCTTATAAAAGTTGTTTTTTATTGACCGGGTGCAGTGGCTCACACCTGTAATCCCAGCACTTTGGGAGGCCAAGGCAGGCGGATCACCTGAGGTTGGGAGTTCGAGACCAGCTTGACCAACATGGAGAAACCCTGTCTCTACTAAAAATACAAAATTAGCTGGGCATGGAGGCACCTGCCTGTAATCTCAGCTACTTGGGAGGCTGAGGCAGAAGAGTCACTTGAACCCAGGAGGCGGAGGTTGCAGTGAGCCAAGATTGAGCCATTAGACTCCAGCCTGGGCAACAAGAGCGAAACTCCGTCTCAAAAAAAAAAAAAATTGTTTTTTTGTCAATAGCAGAAATAGAGATGGGTTAATTGGTCCTGCATCTAATCAAGGAAAGGCATGCCTTATGGAGATTCTAGAGTATGAGCCAAGAATTGAGCTCCTGGCTTTCTGGTTCCCTGCTATATTCATATAGTAGAGGACAGAGACTTTTACTCTGAGAAGCAGATCTGCCCATATCTGATGCCTCCCAAGTGACTGTGTGACAGTGAGATCTGTAATTAAGTTCAGGGTTAAGTGGTTCCTGCTTTATTTTTTAGTCCTCTAATAGGTACTTCATAAGTGATGCTGAATTAAGTGTTAGGCTGGAATTTCTCTACCATTTCATGTGGATATTTCTTTTCTTTTCTTTTCTTTCTTTTTTTTGAGACAAGGTCTCGCTCTGTCACCCTGGCTGTAGTGCAGTGATCATGGCTTACTGCAGCCTTGACCTCCCGAGGTCAGGTCATCCTCCCACCTCAGCTTTCTCGGTAGCTGGGACTATAGGCATGCACCACCACACCCAGCCAATTTTTTTTTTTCTTTCGTAGAGACAGGGTTTTGTCATGTTGCTTAGGCTCTAACTCTTGGGCTTAAGCGATCTTCCTGCCTTGGTCTCCTAAAGAGCTGGGATTACAAGTGTAAGCCACCACACCCAGCCTTCACATGGATATTTCTTATTAAGAGAGATCATGAGACTAAAGTTCTAAGAAGAATTAGAACAGATGAAGGAAGTAATAATAAAATTTCATTAAGAGCAGTGGTATCTTTGTCTTGATTATTTGGTACCTAACATAGTGCCTGTGTCATAGTGCAATATGCGTCACTTAATGATGGGGATACATTCTGCAAAGTTCATTATTTGGTGATTTTGTCATTGTGTGAATGTCATAGTGTACTTATACAAACCTAGGTGGTATGGCCTACTACACACATAGGTCATATGTGCTCCTAGGCTACAAACCTGTACAGCACAGCATGTTGTTATACTGAATGTTGTAGGCAGTTGTAACATAATGGTAAGTATATGTGTATCTAAGTATTTCTAAACATAGAAAAGGTATAGTAAAATGCAGTATAAAAGATAAAAAATGGTACAACTGTATAGGGCAGATCCATTGTAATCTTCTGGGACCACTGTTGTATATGCAGTCTGTCACTGACCAAAACGTCCTTATGCAAGTACATGGCTGTACTTTTTTTTTTTTTTTTTTTTGAGACGGAGTCTTGCTCTGTTGCCCAGGCTGGAGTGCAGTGGCACTATCTTGGCTCGCTGCAACTCCGCCTCCCAGGTTTACGCCATTCTCCTGCCTCAGCCTCCCAAGTAACTGGGACTACAGGTGCCCGCCACCACGCCTGGCTAATTTTTTGTATTTTTAGTAGCGACGGGGTTTCACTGTGTTGGCCAGGATGGTCTTGATCTCTTGACCTCATGATCTGCCCGCATCGGCCTCCCAAAGTGCCGGGATTACAGGTGTGAGCCACTGCACCCGGCTACATGGCTGTACTTAATAAATGGATGCCACCTATCCCTTCCACTCTGTGTCAGGCTGTTGCCATTTGCAATGTTGTCTTTGGTTTATCTGTGGGAGTTTGGGATCTCACTGAATTGTGTCTCCTTGTGCAGGTTGTGCATTTGCCCAGTTCATGACTCAAGAAGCAGCTCAGAAATGCCTTCTAGCTGCTTCTCCAGAGAATGAGGTAAGGAAGATATTTCCTTTACCTTATAACACAGGAGGCAGTTTGGCTCTTAGGGGCAACATCTGGTATTTATACAAAGCTTTATTATTATTTTTCTTGTCAGTAATAATAAAACTAACACTTATTTAGCACTTTGTGTTAGGCACTGAACTTTACATGCATTATCTTAATCATTACATCAGCCCTTTGAGGTAGGCAGAATTATGATCTCTACTTCATAGGTGAGGAAAAGGGGATAATAACGTATCTGATATTTGTTGCTTGCTGTCTGTGTCAGCCTCTATCCTAGACTGATAACATGAAAGACTAGGATGAGGTATTAAGGTCGTCTGTGAAGTAGAGTAGATGTTTGAGAGAGAATGTGTGTGGGTGATGGAGAATTACTCCATTTGTTCTATAGTCGAGTATAATGTTATCTAATATTGCTGTTATTTCTTAAGTCCTCTTGAGTAAGTACTCTACTATTTCACTAGCTTACTTTACAATACTAGACATTTGCCTGGTTACAGATAATTTTCCTCAGTTTGGGTCTACTTTGGGACTAATCAACTCCCAGAAAATAAATTCTTTACTGCTGACTGCCTGAAATACACATGTGGCCTTTTGCACAGCTATACTAAATATTGTGAGGCCCAGTGATCCATTTGTAGCTAGCTGAGCTGAAACGTCGTAGGGCTTGGCTTCCATAGCGTAATTGATGTTTGCTGTATCCCTTTCTGTGGTGTTCTTGTCAGGTGCTTAGTTTCTAGTTTCTACTCATTATGTGTTGTTTTGTTTTGTTATTTTTTTATTTTATTTTATTTTTTTTGAGGTGGAGTCTCGCTCTGTCTCCCAGGCTGGAGTGTAGTTGCGCGATGTCCGCTCACTGCAAGCTCCGTCTCCCAGGTTCATGCCATTCTCCTGCCTCAGCCTCCTGAGTAGGATTACAGGCGCACACCACCATGCCCGGCTAATTTTTGTATTTTTAGTAGAGACGAGGTTTCACCATGTTGGCCAGGCTGGCCTTGAACTCCTGACCTCAGGTGATCCACCTGCCTCAGCCTCCCAAAGTGCTCGGTTTACAGGTGTGAGCCACTGTGCCCGGCCATTATGTGTTTTAAGAAAGGGTTGTGATCTGTTACAGGCTGGTGGGCTTAAACTGGATGGCCGGCAGCTCAAGGTTGACTTGGCGGTGACCCGTGATGAGGCTGCAAAGCTTCAGACGACGAAGGTGAAGAAGCCGACTGGCACCCGGAATCTCTATCTGGCCCGAGAAGGCTGTGAGTAGGGAGATGTAACCCACACTTCTAAGTACCTGGCCCTGTGCCATAATCATTGATCAAGCAATAGTATGCCTGGAAGCATGTTTCAAATTAAAAACCCAAATGTTCTCTTTAACAGTGTTATATGATCATTCCACTTTAATAAATGTGGCTCTCTATTAGTAAACCTTCACTCGTTTTTGTGGATTAACTGTCCCATTATCTTTTCTGCCTGGTTGCCTTTAGTCTTTTTCAATAGAGGATTGGCAAGGCAAAGGGGGAGGAAGAACTCAAAATACCTTTGCTTCTTGTCATCATTTCTAATAAGAGGTTTTCATTATGACTAAAATTACTCTTTTGGATTATTCATGGATTTAAAATGTGCACCCAATACTTTCCTTTAGTGTCAGAAAGACAAAAAAATTAGCTTTAAATTTTTAAAAAAATTCTTCTAGGTCACACAGCATTTATCAGCTCACCTCCTCCATAGCTTCACAGCCTGTACTAGTAATGTCCTTTAGCCTTCGACACCAGCCTTCTATGGCAACATAACTGTTTTCGGCTGGCTTATCTCACTGTTTAGTAATGGACCTCAAGTATATAAGGAACAGCAAAGTTAAGTTCCAAGGGCAGATTATAGGTGGAACATTGTGCATTCTAAATGCCCAAAATGTACTTATGTTCCATACTTCTTCTAGGCCTTTCTTTCTGACTTTGGGCATGTACGTGAAGATTCTTTGAGGGGAGAGAAGGAGAAGAGGAATAAAATCACAAAATGTTTAGAGTTTTAGTCCTTGAGAGCAGCTCTGAGCCCAGAACTTAGCCCTGTAGCCTATTTCTGGACCTAACCAAATGCCACCGTGTCCTGGCCAAGATAGTCCTCTGGGCCCTGTACAAAGAGTTTGCATCATTCAAATCACATTCCTCTTGTTGCTCAGTGAAAATTCCCTTGTTGATGTCTTGGCCTTTTTCCCTCTTTCTGCAGTGATTCGTGCTGGGACGAAGGCTGCAGAGGGTGTGAGTGCTGCTGATATGGCCAAAAGAGAACGGGTGAGTAGATTAGGCATTGACCTTCACGTTCTGCGTGGCCTATAAATCAATCAAAAATAGTTATCGAATGCTAGATGTGCTCATCAAAGAGCCCAGTATGGTCACAGACCATACTTATTGCCCTGTTAGGGAGAAAAGCACATAGGTGAAATAGCAAGTAACCCAACATCATACATAGTATTCTATCTGTTTTGTATGCTGGTATAAAAGAACTGTGTCTTATTATTTGTTTCCCTAGTGCTTGGCAGTAAATGTTTGCTGAACACATGCTGCTACATCATGCAGTAGACAGTCAGAGGCTATTGCTACATGTAATTAGGTGTCAGTATAAACACAGAATAATGTAAAAGAGGAAGATCAGAATGAGCTGGAGTTATTAGAGAAGGGAGAAGATATGGCTCTTGAAAGGGGTAGCTGTCAGTTGGGAGGAGTTATAATCTCCAGATTATAAAATCATTTTAGAAAAACTCCATTTTATGGATGTTTCCGATGTTAACCGATAACTCATATTCCTTTGCTGCTTGGTAATGTTCCCAGTAATTTTTACTTTTTCCCATATAACTTACTTTCAAAAAGCCAAGCCAGCCTAGAAGGGTAAAGATGCATAACTGTGAACAGAATTAGCTATGGAACCTTAACATGCAGATGAGGAACAGGGGTGAGAGTGTAATGACAGCAGGAGGCAGTGCGTCTTTTTTTCAGTGGGCACAGATTCTGCACTAGTGTTTTCAACTTTTGTGGTAGTGAACACCTAGAAATCATAGGCTCTGGAGACCCATCCTTAACTGGAGAAATTACAGAAAATTTTAAAGCCTCAATTTTATAAGGGCACTATATACCCTTGTCTGATCACAGTGCAATAATGACATATTTAATTTAAAACTAATTTTGTTAGCAAAAAGCTCATTCAATGATAGGTATGCATTATAAATTCACAGCAGGCACAGCTTTTCCTGACAGAAAAATAGTCTGTTGAACTTAAACATGATAGCCTTTTCAGATGTTCCTTTAATAGTCGTTTTCCAAGGGATTTGTTTATTTTGTGATCTGTTGGTACTTTTACCAAACAAGAAGCAGCAGGACTGAGAAGACTTGACAAAAGAAAAACTTTTAATTGAAAACTTTTTTCTACCAACTTGGTTTAAAAAAAACTAATTGGGAGAAGAATGTCATCTTTCATTTCATTTTAGACACAGATCACGCAGGAACTGGGGTTTTGTGGCAGCATAGTTGAGGGTATTGCTCTAAGAGCAAAATATGGTTCTGTGGTCATTGATACTCCTTTGCCTCAGGGTGGCAGAGTTGAGACAACACAGCATTCTGTCAAGTATTCTTTGAATAACTTCCATTTCCTTTTGGAAGGATTAGATAATCAGTTGAGCTGGTGGGTAGATGAGGACTGGGCATAGATATTAATCACAGTATTATTTGTTGTTTGTTCTGAGCTACATTTTGAGCTAGGGAATTTTTTTTTTTTTTTGACCGAATTTCACTCTTGCTGCCCAGGCTGGAGTGCAATGGCACGATCCTGGCTCACCACAACCTCCGGCTCCCAGGTTCAAGCGATTCTCCTGCTTCAGCCTCCCGAGTAGCTGGGATTACAGGCATGCACTACTATGCCTGGCTAATTTTTGTATTTTTAGTAGAGACAGGGTTTCACCATGTTGGCCAGGCTGATCTTGAACTCCTGACCTCGGGTGATCTGCCTGCCCTGGCCTCCCAAAGTGCTCGGATTACAGGCATGAGCCACCCTGCCCAGCCTTATATTATCTCATTTTGGCCTCACCTCAGTGCTCAGAGACCTTGATCTACTGTTTCGTTTTATAGATGAAAAATTGTGGCTTTAAAATTTTATGTAATTTCTCCAGTTAGGGATGGGTCTCCAGAGCCTATGATTTTACTATTACCCACCCACCATCTTGTTCCCTTGGACTTTTCTTTCCCTATACTAGGCATTGTAAAGCTGCGGTGTGGGCAGTTTCCATCCGTTTTCTATATGTGTGGTTATGGGATGAGGATCATAATTCTTTCCTTTTGGAGAATTATGAGCCTACCTCTTAAAAAGAGTGGGTTGTACTGTTAACCATTGGTTGTTCTTTCAGTTTGAGCTGCTGAAGCATCAGAAACTCAAGGACCAGAATATCTTTGTCTCCCGAACCAGGCTCTGCCTGCACAATCTCCCAAAGGCTGTAGATGACAAACAGCTCAGAAAGCTGCTGCTGAGTGCTACTAGTGGAGAGAAAGGGGTGCGCATCAAGGAGGTGAGACGTGGCCCTGACCATTTTGGAGCTTTCATTCTGATCTTGGGTCAGATCAAGCATTTCCCTCAGGCTGTGGTGCCAGATTTTGTTTGTTTGTTTTGAGACGAAGTCTCACTCTGTTGCCCAGGCTGTAGTGCAGCGGTGCAATCTTGACTCACTGCAACCTCCTCCTCCTGGGCTCAAGCAGTTCTCCTGCCTCAGCCCCCTGAATAGCTGGGACTATAGGCGTGCGCCACCACGCCTGGCTAATTTTTGTATTTTTAGTAGAGAAGGGATTGCACCATGTTAGCCAGGCTGGTCTCGAACTCCTGACCTCAAGTGATCTGCCCACCTCGGCCTCCCAAAGTGCTAGGATTACAGGCGTGAGCCACTGTGCCGGGCCATCAACAGACTTTCTTCTGGACATGTTGTCAGCATGCATAGCTGAGTTTAGCAGTTTCTTGGTTTTGTTCTTTTTCTTCTAAGAATTGTCTTTTACATCTGACTGAATTACAGCAGAATGCAAGGAAATCTCTGTCTGCATGAATTAATTTAGCAAGCATTTATTAAATGCCTGTTGTGTGCTTAGCATTATACTTTGTGCTATCATGTGAATTTTCTTGCAGAGAAAATAATCTGCTTTGCTTTTTGGAAGAGTATTTTACTCCTAGTTAGATTCTTACCCTGTGTTCAGAGTCCCCTATGCCTTGTGGTCAACACAGGAAGCCATGTAGATGTTCAGCAGTTGAATTAGAAAAACACTGGGTTCACACCAACTTGGTTAGACTCTGTGTGAGTACAGAACTTTTCTGCCTCCACATTCCCCTTTGCGTATTTCTCTTTTCTTTTTTTTCTTTTCTTCCTTTCTTTTTTTTTTTTTAGATGTGGTCTTGCTCTGTCTTTGGCTGGAGTGCAGTGGCACCATCTCGGGTCACTGCAAACCGCCACCCCCCCCCCCCCCAAGCTCAAGCAATCCTCCCACCTCAGCCTCCCAAGTAGTTGGGCCTATAGTTACACACCACCATGCCTGGCTAATTTCTTTCTTTCTTTCTTTTTTTTTTTTTTTTTTTTGAGACGGAGTCTCACTCTGTCGTTAAGCTGGAGTGCAGTGGCATGATCTCGGCTCAACGCAACCTCCGCCTCCCGGGTTCAAGCGATTCTCTTGCCTCAGCTTCCCGAGTAGCTGGGACTACAGGCATGCACCACCACGCCCAGCTGATTTTTGTATTTTTAGTGGAGACGGGGTTTCACCATGTTGCCAAGATGGTCTCGATCTCTTGACCTCAAGTGATCCGCCTGCCTCGGCCTCCCAAAGTGCTGGGATTACAGGCGTGAGCCACCTCGCCCAGCCCATGCTTGACTAATTTCTTGTTTTTGGTAGAGACAGGGTTTTGTCATGTTGCCCAGGCTGGTCGCAAATTCCTGAGCTCAGATGATTCCCCTGCTTCGGCCTCCCACAGTGCTGGAATTATAACAGTGAACCACTGGGCCTGGCCTTGCATATCTCTGTCATACTGGTTACTATTACCCTGGCCTCAAACTGTCTGTCAGTCACTTCTCCCCACTAGACTGAGTTTTTGAGGCAAGCGTTATCTCATTATCCCCAATCCTTGGTGTAGTACCTGGTACATAGTCATCTCTTAGTCAATATTTATTTTAAAAGTACCATTGCCAATATTTTGGGCCTGCTTTACTCTGTTTCGCTACCATAAACTGTTTTCCTAATCCCTGAAAACCTCTTCAAAATGTATGGATTGGTATTTGGGAGATTACTTGAGAGAATGTGAATATATCAGCACATATCTGACACCACAGTTAGTAAAACTGCTCAGTGTTACTGGTTATAGGGGAGGGACAGTTGTGTAATTTCTCCTATCATCCGAATACTTAGTGCCTACATATTTAACACCTGTCATAATTTAGAGAAATTTATGTTTATTCTAGAATATTTTGCATTATGTTGAATTTTCCTCTTAATTCTTTCCTATTTGTATGTATAGTGTCTCAGTAAGATGGTAAGCATCTTGAGAACAGGATCTTCATTATATGCTTCTCTTGATTCCCTTACAGTGTATGACAGTTCTAGGCACAGAGTGGACACTGGACATAAACTAAATGCGGCATCCATGCATCCCCAATACTTAGCTGTTTCCATTACATGAGAACGACAGCTTTGGTAGTAATGGCATGTAAATGATCAGTTTTCTCGAAAAATCCTACCATACTTTGGTGCCCCAGATGTTTACTACATCTGGCTTAAGGATTTAAGGGAAAACCACACTAGAGAGGATCTGAGCTGCAAGCAAAGAGAGCTGAAACTTCTTCCTATATTTCTGACCCTGTATGTTGGAGAGACTTTTTCCTATGCTTGAAATGTCTTTCTTATCTAAAGCCATCAGGCCTTCCTCCTTTCCTTCTTCAATAATTTCCTTCCTGAGGGCTTTTTTCAGTTGTAAGATCTGTGGACAGTACTCCATCCTCGGCAGCAACTTGTTACACGCTTAAAATACCATGTACCTCTCAATTTGTATGTATCGCAAACAGTTGTGTTTGTATTGTGTTTGTTTTTTAACATCCATACCGCTTTATAAATTTTCTTTAGGAAGTTTTGTTTATGTGCTTTTTTTTAGGTCTCTGTTGATGTCTATAAGCTAGTAGAAAGCAAGAAAATACAATTTTAATCTGTTTGATGGTCTTAGTAGGTAAATTCTAATAAGATGGACACACATAAGTGTTATTCCAGTGTGATTTTTGTGATGGTGGTATAAATGAAGATTATGTTTCAATAACCTGATTTTTTTTTTTTTTTTTTGAGACAGGGTCTCACTCTGTTGCCCAGGCTGGAGTGCAGTGGTGCCATCATGGCTCACTGTAACTTCAACCTCCCCGGGCTCAGGTGATCCTCCTGCTTCAGCCTCTTGAGTAGCTGAGGTGCCACCACACTGGCTAATTTTTTGTATTTTTTGTAGAGACAAGGTTTTGCCATGTTGCCTAGGCTGGTCTCAAACTCCTGGCCTCAAGCAATCCTCCTGTCTCGGCCTCCCAAGGTGCTAGGATTACAGGCATGAACCACCATGCCCACCCAATAGCCTGATTTCTTATTGACTCTATTAAAGCAGTTCATGTCAGGCAAGTCTTCTCATTCTGTAATTACTGATTTTTTTCTTGCTCTACTCATAGTGTAGAGTGATGCGAGACCTCAAAGGAGTTCATGGGAACATGAAGGGTCAGTCCCTGGGCTACGCCTTTGCGGAGTTCCAAGAGCACGAGCATGCCCTGAAAGCCCTCCGCCTCATCAACAACAATCCAGAAATCTTTGGGCCTCTGAAGGTAGGCCTTGTCCTCTGGGGAGACTTGTTCCCTTAGGACCACTTGCAGGAAACCAGCCTTCTCCTTTATGCCTAGTGTCCTCTGACATTTGAGGGGTGGGAAACAGTGGCAAGTGGACAAAAAAAAGGTGGGTTGGGGGAGGATGTGTGAAGGGGAAAAACTCAGCTCATTGCATGCACAGATTAAGAAGTCTAATGAATGGCATTCTGTCTCCCTCTGACAGAGACCAATAGTGGAGTTCTCTTTAGAAGATCGAAGAAAACTTAAAATGAAGGAATTAAGGATCCAGCGCAGCTTGGTACAGAAATTAAATGGTCCATATTTTTAAGGACATAAACTCTTCTATTTTGTTCAATTTGTGCTTCTGCTCTCTTAGAGTAGTTCTCCCCTCAGTTAGGTTTTTTTGCTCCTAGTTCCCTTTACTCCCAGTTCCCTAAGCCTCTCCAGGCCATCTTCTTATCTGCTGGCCCATGTCTGATAGCTCTACAGCAGAAGGGAAAGGAAGGAGAGAGGAAGCAGACCAATGTTATTTCCAGTCAGCCGTTTTTTACAGTGTTTGGTGATAGTACGTGCCAAAATTAATGGTTGAGGTTAAGGTTTCCCATTACCTGTAGATTTCAGTTATCTCTTCCATATTTTCTTTTATTAGTTGGCTCCAGAAGTGTGAAGCCTGATAGTTTTAGTACTGTTTTTAATCTGGTGTGGTATAGAAGGTGGAGCAGGGACTTTAGGAATACGTGTACTCATGCTCATACTCTGGCTCTGCCCTTTTTGCTGCATGTTCCTTGGCAGTTATTACCGCTCTGAACTTCAGTTTGTAAAATGGGGTGGACAACATCTGCCTCACATGATTGCTGAGGACTAAATGAGATAATACATGTCCATCGTCTAGCATACTGCATGGTCAGCACGCAGTCAGTACTCATTCTCTTACCCATCTTCCCCCAGGACATACAGGGCCAGATTATTCTTGACTCTGTCATTCTTAGAGCTCTCATTGATATTGCACAGCAAAGTTCCCTTGCATATACAGCAAACATTTGTAGTCTTTGTGGTATATACCAAGAGGATTACCAACAGACGAGCCATTCTGGTGGTTAATGCAGTGGCCCTAGGTTGGAAAATCTGGGATCTGGTTATTGTTCAAGGCAACTTTGTTCCCCAGATAATAGAATTGTTTATTACTGTTAGCCATTGTTTCAGAGGTGATTCTGAAGCTACCAGTTTTGTTTGTTTTTCTGTTTGAGATGGAGTCTTGCTGTGTCGCTCAGTTTGGAGTGCAGTGGCACAATCTCAGTTCACTGCAACCTCCACCTTCTGGGTTCAAGTGATTCTCTTGCCTCAGCCTCCTGAGTAGCTGGGACTACAGGTGCACACCACCATACCCGGCTAATTTTTGTATTTTTTTAGTAGAGACAGGGTTTCACCATGTTGGCCAGGCTGGTCTCGAACTCCTGACTTCAAGTGATCCACCTGCCTCAGCCTCCCAAAGTGCTGGGATTACAGGCGTGAGTCACTGAGCCCAGCCTAGTTTGTTTTTTAACATCCAAATTACTTTATTTGTTGCCTGGATTTATATTCATACTGTTCTTTCTGTGTAAAAATGCCTCTACTCACTTTGCATATGCAGATCAAATGATCTCTTTCAAGTTGCATGCCTCCACCTCTCTCAAAAGATATAAGGCCCTCTTTACTTGATTTTCATGAACTTCCTTAAGCTGTGTAGTTTTTTTTACTTTGGTTTATTTGTGAATGCATCTCTTATCTCCACCTGGCTGTGAGTCCTGAAGGGTAGACACTATTTTTTTGTATCCTGGAAACAGACTGGCACACACTAGGCATATAATAAATGTTCATTGTATCGTTGTACCTATCTAGATTTCTAAGGTGAAAGGGAAGAACAACACACACTTATCATTACATTAATTTCACTTGAATCTTCTGTTTCTTCCACTTCAGTGCAAATACTTCTATAACTTCCTTGATGCCTTCCTTCCCACAGCATCTTTTTCTTGTCGTCTTTACTTCATTTATTCCATTCCTGATGTTCTTCCTTTCTTGAAAACGATCAGTTTCTGACCTATGTCATTTTTCTTCTCTCTGAAGAGATTATTTCGCATTTCTTGCAGACAGGTCTACTGGCAACAAATTCTCTCCATTTTCTTTTGTCTGAGTAAGTCTTTTCCTTCACTTTTGAAGGATAAGTTTATCGGATACAGGATTGTAGGTTGGTGATTTTTTTTTCTTTTAAAAATTTAAATATTAAATATCTCACTTCACTCCCTTCTTGCTTACATGGTTTCTGAAGAGAAGTCTTGGAAATCTCTCTCAATCTACTCTGGTTTGGGAGGGTGCCTATTAAAAACAAAAGAGAGAGAGATTTGATGTAATCTCATCCTTGTTCCTCTATAGGTAAAATTTTTCCCCTGTCTGGCTTCTTTCAAGATTTTATCTTTGATTTTCTGCAGTTTGTCTATGATATGACTGGTTGTAAATTGTTTAGTATTTATCTTATTTGGTCTTCTCTGAGTTCCTAGATCTGTGGTTTAGTGACTGTCATTAGTTTTGAAAAATTCTCAGCCCTTATTACTTCATTATCTTTTCTGTTGCTTGCTTTCTTCTTGTATTCTCCTTCTACATAGGTTACACCTTTGATAATTGTCCCACCTACTGACTTTTGAATTTTGGGCATGCACTCTCCCTTATTTCTGTGTTATGGGAAGGGGAATGGTTATTTTGTGCCCCCCACCCAGTAACCATCTGTTACTGTGGCAGGGCTTGTGATCTACATGTATTCACTTTCCTCTAGTCTCCAATTGTGTGGGGGAAGAATTCCTCTTCTTTCATCTAGCTCACATAAAGCTCATCTTCTGCTGAGTATTTGCAGCAAACAAAGCTCATCCAGAAACCAGATGGCATTTTCTTGTTTTATGCAGCAAAAAATGAGATCCAAGCCTGCAACTGGTGAGCCTCAGAAGGGGCAACCAGAGCCTGCAAAAGACCAGCAACAGAAGGCAGCTCAACACCACACAGAGGAACAAAGCAAGGTGCCCCCAGAGCAGAAGAGAAAGGCGGGCTCTACCTCATGGACCGGGTTCCAGACCAAGGCTGAAGTGGAGCAGGTGGAGCTGCCTGATGGAAAGAAGAGAAGAAAGGTCCTGGCGCTCCCCTCACACCGAGGCCCCAAAATCAGGTGAGATGCAGGAGGGCAGAAGCACAGAACAGTGGGTGGGTTCTAAGCGGGTTTGTTTTTGCTGAGTTATTTTCTCTTTGTGGCATTTGTTTGGTTGAAAAGGATGTTTGGTGCTATGTATTCCCACACATGGGGTTAACACGCGAGTCTTCAACACCATCAGAGATGTCACTCTTAGATCAATGGCAGAGGGGCCTCCTAGGGCAGGCTTTTGTGCCCCTTTTCTCCTCTTTTGAAGAGCTTCCTCTTGTCCAGATGGCCATCTCTGCCAGCTGAGACCACATACTTGAGGTTCAGTTGTAGTTTCTGTTTGGGACAGCAGATTAGTGCTCTACAAAAGTAAATCTTTACAAAATATTTGTTAAATAAATGAAGGTTTTTGAGATATCCATGGGGTTTTATTTATTTATTTATTTTATTTTTAGAGACAGTGTATTATTCAGTTCTTCCACTGCTATAAAGAAATACCTGAGACTGGGTAATTTATAAAGAAAAGAGGCTTGGCTGGGCGCGGTGGCTCACGCCTGTAATCCCAGCACTTTGGGAGGCCGAGGCGGGTGGATCACGAGGTCAGGAGATCGAGACCATCCTGGTTAACATGCTGAAACCCCGTCTCTACTAAAAATACAAAAAATTAGCTGGGTGCGGTGGCGGGCGCCTGTAGTCCCAGCTACTGGGGAGGCTGAGGCAGGAGAATGGCGTGAACCCGGGAGGCGGAGCTTGCAGTGAGCCGAGATCACGCCACTGCACTCTGGCCTGGGCGAAAGAGCGAGACTCCGTCTCAAAAAAAAAAAAGAAAAGAAAAGAGGCTTAATTGGCTCATGGTTCCACAGGCTGTACAGGAAGCATGACAGCAGCTGCTCATCTTCTAGGGAGGCCTCAGGAAACTTAATCATAGTGGAAGGTGAAGTGGGAGCTGGCACATCACATGGCCAGGAGCAGGGGGGAGTGTTTTAAACAACCAGATCTTGTGGTAACTCATTCACCGTCACGAGAACAGCACTGAGGGGATGGCGCTAAACCATTCATGAAGGAGTCATCCCCATGATCCAGTCACCTCCCACCAGGCCCAGCCTTCAACACTGGGGATTACAATTCAACGTGAGATTTGAGCAAGGACACAGATCCAAACCATGTCACAGGGTCTTGCTCTGTTGCCCAGGCTAGAGTGCAGTGGCATGATCATAGCGCACTGTAACCTCAACTCCTGGACTCAATCCACCTTCCTCAGCCTCCTGAGTAGCTGGGACTTTTTAATTTCGTTGTAGTAGAGACGGGGGATTGCTATGTTGCATAGGCTGGTCTCAAACTCCTGGCATCAAGCAGTCCTAAGTATACAAATGTTGAGCTTTCAGAGGGTCTGTTGCAGTATCCCTTTTTAGAATGACTTCACTTATCATGGGCTTGGGAAGGGCCAGTGTACAAAGAGAACCTAGGGGTGTCAAATTAGAAGAAGGACTCAAGGTGACACTCAGCCATGTTATTTCAGGTTGCGGGACAAAGGCAAAGTGAAGCCCGTCCATCCCAAAAAGCCAAAGCCACAGATAAACCAGTGGAAGCAGGAGAAGCAGCAATTATCGTCCGAGCAGGTGAGTTCTGCAGGACATACAGCTTTGGTATGGCATGGTTCTGCCAGGTCGTAGCCATGTTTGTACCTTGGTTAGTTGAGCAAAAAAGAAAAAAAGAAAGACTTCTGTGTAGGACGGTAGCTTTTTAGAGAATGTTGAGCTATACAATCTTAAAAGTGGAGAGAAAAAAGTAAAATGAACCTCCACGTATCTGTTCCTGTGTTTCAGCAGTCTCCTTGTTTTACATATTCCCCATAACATGCTTTCCCCACTAGAGTATATTAAAGCAAAGCCCATTTCACATGTAAATGCGTCTCATATGAAAATGAAACATATTGCTCAGAAAAACCTCAGAGTGCATCTCTAACTGATCAGGCCTTAAACACACACACCTTATGCCATTATAATATCTAATGAAACTAATAAGCCCTTTATCATCTACTACACAAATGATATATTAAATCCATATTAAAATTTGCCAAATTGCCTGAAAAAAATTTTTTTATACTTGGTTAGTATGAGTCGGGATCCAAAGTCCCACATTATACTTGGGTTTTTAATTTCTTAAATCATTTTTTTCTTCTCTAATATCCATTCTCCCTTACCACCCTTTTTTCCATGCTATTCATTTATTGGAGAAACCAGGTCATTTGTGTTACATTTTTAATTTAGCCATTTGCTTCTTTGTGGTGTCATTTAACTTGTCTCTGTGACACCCCCATATTGCCTGTCATCTGGTAGTTAGTTCGGTCTGGTAGCTTGATCAAGTTCAGTTTTCTTTTTTTAAAAATTTTTTTGAGGTGGAGTTTTGCTCTTGTTGCCTAGGCTGGAGTGCAATGGCGCAATCTCGGCTCACTGCAACCTCCGCCTCCAGGAGTAGCCTCCCGAGTAGCTGGAATTACAGGCATGCGCCACCATGCCCAGCTAATTTTGTATTTTAGTAGAGACGGGGTTTCACCATGTTGACCAGGCTGGCCTTGAACTCTTGACCTCAGGTGATTCGCCTGCCTCGGCCTCCCAAAGTGCTGGGATTACAGGTGTGAGCCACCGTGCTTGGCCTCAAGTTCAGTTTTCTTGAAGAGAGTATTTCATAGGTGGTGTGTGTGTTTCCTTATATCGCCTGAGGCACATACTACCTGGTTGCCCATTTTTAGTGATTCTGGGATTGATCAGTAGATTTGAGGATTATCTGCCTTATCCCTCCATTGATGAAGTTCCCAATTAGCCTTTCATGTAATGGCCTTAGCAGTTATTGATGAGTGTTACCAGATCCATTATTTCATTATGGGTTACAGAATGCTGATTATTTAAACTTCTATCCTTTTGCATTTTTAATTAGAACCCTAGAAAGAAAAATCTTCCTTTGTCAATTATTTGCTTACCACAAAATATCATTTATGTAGGAAAGACAGGATAAATGCTTGATTTTTTTTTTCTCTCTCTCTGTTAGTTTTCAGAGTAATGAGCTGTTGCCATACTGGCTCATTTTTTAGTATTATGAAATCCTGAGTTTTCATATGCTTGATGTGTTTCAAATACTGTCATTATTCTTACTCTGTGTAAGGCTGGCAGAAGCCCCTGCAGGTTGGCTTCTGAGTCTTTCTGATGTGGCGTATTTGTCTGGTAGTATCCTTGCTTTCTAGTGCAGGATGTCCCAGGCTCAGCTCAGGTACCTCTTCCCCAGTCCTGACATTAGCCATTTTCCCAAGGAGCCTTAGTTCCTTTTAGTAGAAAACGGTGGTCCTACATTCTTGAACACTTGAAGTCAAGCTTGCTTCTCCCCTTCCCTAGTCTCTTTCCTTTAAGGGTAAAAGCAGCATTAGCTTCCCATCCTACTCAAGAAATCTGTGTCTGGGAAGTTTCTGACGTATACCGTACTATAGTATAGAGATCTCTGAAATCCCATGAGCAGTGTTCTTGGGGAGGGAACAGGCAAGCAAGAATGGCCGGACTCTGTGCTGACTCATCTGCTTTGAGGCTAAAGTGAGCCTTTGGGAGCTAGAGTAAGAGAGGCCCCTGAGTCCCCAGCAGACAGGGAGGTTAGTCAGGCCCTGCTCCCTGTGCACTCACTCTTGGTCTAATTTCTTACCAGTGGATGATTCTGTTTGAGCCTTTCTCTCTAAGAGTCTCTCTCTAGAAACCTACCCCTTTCTGGTAGATATGATCTCTGTCCCACTTACTTTCTCTCTTGGGTGGCCTGAGGGTAAGGTGATATATAGTCTTTGAAATTGATTATATTATGTTTCTAATCCTTTCATTTGTAGGTATCTAGGAAAAAAGCTAAGGGAAATAAGACGGAAACCCGCTTCAACCAGCTGGTCGAACAATATAAGCAGAAATTATTGGGACCTTCTAAAGGAGCACCTCTTGCAAAGAGGAGCAAATGGTTTGATAGTTGATGATGGCAGCAGGCTGGGTAAGAAGCTGGGTTGTGTACTTTCTGGTGACACTCCTGGGCTCCTCCCCATCCCCCGTGTCTCTCACTGAGGGAAAGAAAATCCCCAAGGGCACTGCCACTGTGCTCGGAGGTGCCCTGGACTGTGTACATCTGAACTTTGGTCCATCCTTTGATGTGTGGTTCGTTAGCCACAAAGAGAAATATCTGAAAGTCAACATGATGCTTCTTGCATATTATCCAGATTATTGTATGAAGTTGTGTCTATAATTATTACCAATTTTTATTCTTTATTTCTCAAATGGAAACACCTGAAAAAGCATTCTGGAGTGCTGAATTTTTAAGATGTATATTTTGTTAAGCATATTCTCTAAATGAGATATTGTGTGGCTTTTTAGTAACAACGTCATTTCTAATATGTGTGACTCCTTTATTATGTATGAACATTCTTTGACATTCCTAATTCAGCTCTGTAGTCTTACACACTGCAGGAACTGTCTAAGCGAGAGCAGAGAGAAATGCTTTCTAACCTAATCGCTGCAGGCGGAGACACTTGGAAAAGAATGGGGGGAGGTGGGGCCTGACAGAGAGCAGCACTTATGTGTTTGTCAGATGAGGGGATTTCCAGTTGAATTGGCCTGCAGTGGCCTAAAGACACTAGCCTGGTTAGCGATGACCTGCATTTCTCTCATAGAGCACCTCCCTTTTCATCGTATCCACTAGCTCTCTAAGTCCTCCTTAATGAGGACACTTGATCCTCATTAAGTCTGCCCCTTAAGATGGCTTCACACCTACTGAAAAACTCCAGGGGTTTGACATCTCACTTTGATTGAAATCTTGTCTTCCTATAACATTTGATTCCCTGGGCTCTTCAGCCCTATCACCTCTGCTTGTCTTTATCCACTCTCTTCTTCATTCACTTTTGGCTACACAGGCCTTCCTTCCATCTCTTGACTCTTGACCACCTCAGAGCCTTTGTATCCGTTCCCTTTGCCTGGAGAGTTTTTCCCTTGCATCTTTTACTTGTCACTCAGATCTCCACTAGTTGTCGCCTCCTCCTGGAGCTCTTCCCAGACTATCTAAAGTAGGGCTTTTCTTCCCCTCCCCTCTATCTTGCCCCCTTACTGAAATCTGCTTCCCTGTTTCTTCTTCTTTTTTTTTTTTTTTTGAGATGGAGTCTCACTCTGTCGCCCAGGCTGGAGTGCAATGGCGCTGTCTCAGCTCATTGCAACCTCCACCTCCCGGGTTCAAGCGACTTTCCCGCCTCACCCTCCCAAGTAGCTGGGACTACAGGTGCACGCCACCATTCTTGGCTAAATTTTGTATTTTTAGTAGAGATGGGGTTTCACCATGTTGACTAGGCTGGTCTTGAACTCCTGACCTCAGGTGATCCGCCCACCTCGACCTCCCAAAGTCCTGGTATTACAGGCGTGAGCCACCACGCCTGGCCTGCTTCCCTGTTTCTTTCTAGCACTAATCTCTATCTGAAATCATTTGTCTCTTTCTAGCACTAATCTCTATCTGAAATTGTTTGTCTCTCCAGTTAGAATGTATGCTTTGTGAGAGGGACTTTATCCCTCTTGTTCACTCCTGTAGACACAGCACCTAGTACTGACCCAGGCACGTAGTAAGTATTGAATAAATATTTGTTGAATGAAAAAAATAAGGTAGGAAAGGAAGAAACAGTATTCAGTAGGCAAGAGAAAAAGTTGAGAACGTGGCCCAAAATTCTTGATTGCTTAGTCTAGTTGAGTGTTACAAATAATGCTTTGACAGAACCATTGCTGAGCTAGAGATATGGTTATTTCTTTTTTTTTTTTTTTTTTGAGACAGTCTTGCTCTGTTGCCCAGGCTGGAGTGCAATGGCATGATCTTGGCTCACTGCAACCTCCGCCTCCTGGGTTCAAGCGATTCTCCTGCCTCAGCCTCCCGAGTAGCGGGGATTACAGGTGCTGCCACCACGCCCGGCTAATTTTTGTATTTTTAGTAGAGACGGGTTTTCACCATGTTGGCCAGGCTGATCTCAAACTCCTGACCTTGTGATCTGCCCACCTCAGCCTCCTGAAGTGCTGGGATTACAGGCATGAGCCTGGTTGAGACATGGTTATTTCATCGCAATATCTTGGGGAACCCATGAATGCTCTGAAATGCCTTTGGTTTAGAAATGGATGAAGGAGAGGCCATGGAAATATTTAGACCTTTTGGAGAGATCGAAAGGACAGGTGATTTATCTCCAAGTTCACCTCGAGACATGACTTGGGCTGTCAAATGTTCTTACGGTAGCCTGGCAACATGTCTTTCTCAGCCTGGTCTGTACAGTGTGGAGGAAGTAAGGGACTTTATTAAGAGTGTCACAATAGCTATAACCTGCCAGTCAGGTGATCTGTTTTTCCTTGGCCATCTCTCCGTCTGCTCACCACTCTTTTTTCCCTAGTACACGAATATCTTTAACATTCAAAAATATATCTTAACACTTAGGATAGATCAAAATTGGTGTTCATTCAGATAACATTGTCAGATTCTCTTAGATCCAAATATTTCTTTTAACAACTTAACAGTATGTTAAAACCTCATTCACTTGCTTGGAGAGCTGTTGTACAGTTCTTTAAAGAGTTCTTTATATGAGGTTGAATCTTCCCTTTCTTAATAGTCAAATTCTATATATGGTGTCTTCCTTTGGAACACCTTACCATGGGCTATTTGGTCAGCTCCATTGACTCCTTGCCTTGGGAATTTTAGTGCAGTGAGAGTTGTGCTCACTTCTCCTTCACTTCAGGGCCTGATGTGTCAGGAAATGGAGTTTTCTGAATTAACATGAAAGTTGAGTTGCAGATTGCTTGGTTAAAAAACAACAGGTGGGGCACAGAGTCTCATACCTATGATTGCAGCACTTCGGGAGGTGGGAGGATTGCTTGAGGTCAGGAGTTTGAGACCGACCTGGCCAACATAGTGAGACCCCCATCTCTATTATTTTGAAAAACAACAGCAAATTTTTTCTTAACATCCAAGACAAGGCCACCAGTCAAAACTATCAAGTTTTAGTAGTATTTTCCTGCTTGATTATATAATAGCCTGGCTTAGAGATACAACCTTTAAATAAGGAATCTTAAGATGATGTGCAGCTGTTCTTTGCCTTATTTGTTTGTTTGTTGGTTAGTTTGTAGTTTCTAAGAATCTGCTCTGTTCAGCTGTACAGTTCCTTCTTCTGGAGTTAACCTGTGGCAAGGATTATGTTTCACCTGTCACAAAAATGAGATCTGTGCCTTCCTCTATTATAAAGTTAGGGCATGTGATTCATTCTTCGAAATACTTCAAAATGTACTTTGGTATGTTTTTGTCTTGAAAAGAGGTTTTCTAGCTAGAAATTCGGGGCCCAGAAGGTCAAGGCTCCAGAGATCCCCTTCTCATCATCCTTCAGTTGTCTGAGGAGACAGAGGATCACATGTGTCACAGTGAGTGCTGATTCCCCAGAATCTGCAGTCTTAAGCTCCCCTGCTGACGCACACAGCCAGTTCTCTGCTTCATATTCATGTGACCCACTGTGAAGTGACAGGCAGCTGCCAATTCTGTCATATAAGAAGCAGCTCTGCCCATGCAACTTTGAAAGTTCCTGCACTTCTCCATAGACTGCTCCTTCATGGAAATAAACACATCATCACACTGTGGGTGCCTAAGCTAAGTTTGTTTGCAGTTTGATGATGCCCAGCTCCTTTTCAACTCAGCCTTAATTGGCACTTTAAGGGCCAGGATGAGGTTTCTCTCAGGCCAAGTCGAGATTTCCAGATTTCCTTTTGTCCAAGGCTGACCAGTTTAGAAGTTATTCACATCCTTGTTTTAGTTCTTTCCTTCTTGTCCTGGTACCTCTTCCTTTCCAGGATTATTTGCAGAGTCTGTGATGGCTTACTTGGTGACCAGACATGGGGTGAGCTACTGGTATAGTCTGATTACTTTGGCATCTATTCTGAACTGGTCATTGGCTGTACATGAGTTTTTGTGCTGGTAAAGGAATATACTGGGAAGATTGGAAGGCACAGACTGGGAACTAATTCTGAGAAGAGAACTGCTGAGTTACTGAAAGACCTTTTGGACCACCCCTAAATGGAGCATCTTGATAGATGGCAAATCCAGTGTTTCTTAAACTTGTCCATGCTGCCCAGAGCCCACTGCCTTTTATCAGATGTGAGACTTCACTGCCACAGTGTCATCCCACAGTTTCCTTCCCTGGACATTTGATAAAGGGAAAATCATTTCTTGTCCTTTAAGGCAGGGACTATTATTTTTTCACTTTTCCACATACCCCACAACACCTAACATTGATTTACTCGTAGTAGGAGTTTCATACTGTTGAACTCTCTAAAGGCCATTTGTTCCAGGGCCTAGCTGGGCTTGTGAAGGACAACAGAGTCATTTCCTAAGGACCCCAAAAGACAGCATGAAGGAAAAAATAATAATAAACTGCTGTTCACAGTGCCTTGAGTGTACCACCGTACTTTCTGCTATGCCTTGTCCATTCCAATCTGGACAGTCTCTGTGCCCCTCCTTTCCACTCAAGTGTTATCCAGCACTCAAGTTCTGGCTCAAGGCCCAACATCTCCGTGGGGACCTCAGCCATCCCAGGGCATTGTGACCCCTTCCTCTAAGTCCCCGGCACACTCGCTGATTGGTACCCTCTCATTCGACAAAGCATATGCCATTGTGGCTTACTTGTCATTTCTTTAGGTCTTGCCTTCCCAAGTAGATCATGAGCCACTATAAGAACTAGCTCCCATAGTCCCAGCCCCTGGGCCTGGTACATGGCAATGCTTAGTGATTGGTGATTGAGGATAATGGTGGTAAAGGATGTACCAGACAGTCATCTCCTGAAGAGATGCCGAACAACCTGTCCTTGTTTTATGTATTTTCTCTTTCTTTCCTGTCCAGTTTTATTCCTCTCATAGTAACTGCTAAAAAAATATCAGTTCCTGTCACTCTTCCACCCCTTTTCTCCCTCTCCCCTGCATTGTGGTCTGGGCCTTGGTCCACTAGCAACTCCCCTTAGGTGTTGCTTAATCTGCCTCATGGCCAAAGCCAATCCCATTCCTGTCCCCCGCTACCCAAGGGACTCCCAGTCTGTATGC
The DNA here is from genome assembly GCF_000001405.40 of Homo sapiens. NCBI lineage: Eukaryota > Metazoa > Chordata > Mammalia > Primates > Hominidae > Homo > Homo sapiens. The sequence continues at coordinate 128,305,683 of NC_000007.14, read as the reverse complement.
ACAAGGCGGGATGTGAAGTCTGGATGTGCAAGAAACCCAGCTGTAAGAAACAGCTTCCCTCGGCTTGGCATGGTGGCTCATGCCTATATTCCCAGCACTTTGAGAGGTCAAAGTGGGAGAATCACTTGAGCCCAGGAGTTCAGGACTAGCCTGGGCAACATAGCAAGATCCCACCTCTACAAAAAAAGAAAAAATTCAGAGTCTCAAATGTCCCTTCATCTCCTTACTCTCGACCTGTCTCCCTAGTTCTCTGCCGCCTTTTCCTCTCCCCTGGATCTGACACTCAATTGTCTGCATGCACTTTTCAACTGAAAGAGACTCCAATGCCATCCTTCTGATGAAATTTTTGCTTTGGATACTACTGCAGAAAAAATGCTATCTTGTATTCTGGTCCATGGTGGGGAAGACCCTGTCGTAGAACCTGGCAACTCAAGTGGAGGGAGGGGCCAGAACATTGTTCTTATGCTATTTACAGTGAGACAACAGGATTGATGCAGAACTTTCTTTTTTTTTTTTTTTTTTTGAGACAGAGTTTCATTCTTGTTGCCCAGGGCTGGAGTGCAGTGGCATGATCTCAGCTCACTGCAACCTCCACCCCCCAGGTTCAAGCAGTTCTTCCTCAGCCTCCGGAGTAGCTGGGATTACAGGCGTGCGCCACCACGCCCCACTAATTTTTGTATTTTTGGTAGAGACGGGGTTTCACCAGTGTTGGCCAGGCTGGTCTCGAACTCCTGACCTCAGGTGATCCACCCACCTCGGCCTCCCAAAGTGCTGGGATTACAGGCATGAACCACCGTGCCCGGCCGTGATGCGCAACTTTCTAATAACATACTTTTGAAAGTGCCCAGACATACATCCCTCCTCTGGTACCACAGTGGCCATCAGTTGCCAGAGAACATGAAATTATCCAGCCCTCAGCTCTGCAGCAGGATTCTGAGGAGTAAAGCAGGCCTGTAAAGTACTCTAAAGTACTTCAGAGAGGTAATGCCACAAAGCGAAGAACACCTCTTGGAGGCAGAGCCCCTCAGCCCTATCCAGGCCAGCAGTGTCCACTTGAAATCTGAAAGCAGCCTCCCTCACCAAACCAGCAAGATGGAAAACCTCCCTGGGTTGGCAAGTGGCCCTGGGAAGTACATGCCCCATCTCTGTCAGGATAGCAGTGGAGAGGTTTCGTGCCAGTGCCAGCTCCACCCACCCAGATGGTACTCAAGACTCCAAGCCTGTCAATGGGGTGGAAACTTTCTGGCATTTTCTGTCAGAAGGGTGAGTTAGCACTGAACCATCTCATGTGTCTTTTCACTGAGTAACAGCCCATATCCATTCCATGAAATGAGTGACTGCTTTGTTGAATCAGATAGTAACAAACATTTATTTGTAGTCTGGTTGTGTCATATCATGGTTGAATTGCAAACAGGTTGGATAGAAGAGTCAGCAAAAATCAACAAAAGCATTCTGTAAAAAACTTTTCTAGAATTACAATAAATGGCATTGTATATTTTATTTATAAATTATGTGCTGCACATCATTTTTATCAATGAAATTTATAATAAATTTCTGTACATATATACATTTTTATCCCAGAGAGCCAGTTGTTAAGCATTTACCAGCAATAAATGCTTTTTGTTTCCTGCTTACACAGGTTCTGGGAGTGGCCAGCCCACTCTTTGAGATGTCCCCACTTGCTTTTTTAGTTGTCCAAGTAGTGTTCTGCCCAGCCTTCCCGACTCTCTTTCTTATCCTTCCCTCGAAACTATTCTGTTCCTTATGCTTAAATACTTTCCAGTCATGGGAGCTTTGCTGTAGGCCCTTGGCCTTTCATGGGTAGCTTCTGATACGTGCATGGGTGTTAATAGAGGAAGTTGACCCCGCCTGGGAAGAATAATGACCTATGGAGACCTGGCCCTTTCTCTTATGGCTTCTTAAAGTGACAGCTGTTATGGGAAGTTCAGGCATCTTGACGTGGAAAATACATTGTTCATTTTCTTTTAATTTTTTTTCCCCTAACCACTATACCAACAGGGATGGAAAGATACTTTTAGTTGGAAGGAATTTGGAGCCCTTAAACGACACCTGGAGCAGCTGCCTGTGGGTGGGGCTTTGCACAGTCTCATCCTGGCAAGGGAGGACGAGCCAAGGACCAGTTTTGCAGAATTGTCATCATGAGGCCCTGGTTGTGTGCTGGGCTGGGGCATTGCCCCTTTCCAGGAGGCCAGGCCAAGCAGGGCTGCCTGGCTTAGGCTTTTGCATCTTCAGCATCCTTTCACGTCTCTTATCTCAGGTGACCTTCACAGCAAGCCTGGTGAAGGTTATTGAGAAGCAGATGTCACCACCTAGTCTTAGAGCTGATGAAAGCAGGATGTGGGGAAGTCCAGACCCTCTCCTGAAACCCCTTGGCCACCTGAGCTAGTACCAGAGCAAGGTCCCACTTGGCCGTGAGTGCTGTCTCTAGGGCCTATTTCAGGAACTGTCTCATATATAAGAACAGAACACTTTTTGCCAGCTATACCAAATGTTTTTGGGATTAAAAAAATAGTTTCTCTTTTCCAAATTAGGTGGTAAGAAAAGGAAGGGCATTTTCATTCTCACATTCTTTGAATGTTGAAACGTTTTAAAAACTTCCAGCTGGGCTTGGTGGCTCATACCTGTAACCCCAGCACTATGGGAGGCTGAGATGGGAGGATCCCTTGAGGCCAGGAGTTCAGGACCAGCCTGGGCAACATAGTAAAACTGCCCAAAATTTGAAAATTAGCCTTGTGTGGTGGTGTGCACTGTAGTCCCAGCTGCTCGGGAGGCTGGGGCAGGAGGATTGCTTGAGCCCAGGAGTTTGAGGCTGCAGTGAGCTATGGTTGTACCACTGTACTCCAACCTGGGCAACAGCGTGATACCCTGTCTAAAAAAATAATAAAAATAAAAAAGGATTAAACCCTTTACTTGACCAGCTTCTTTTCCTGCTACCCCTGGACTAACTAATCATTACATATTTTTGTAGTTGTTTTTTCTTTCTTTCTCTCTCCTGATCTACCACAAGCCAAATGTACTCATATACATACTAATAGGTGAAAAAAGAGAGTCTGAGGAGTGAATACATTTATTTTGTGATTTCCTAGGCAGTAGCTAGGACTCCCTTAGAGGTTGCTAATAGGGAAAGGGTGCGCTGGCTCTACTCAGTTTTATAACTGCTTTTCCCCGAATTCTGCAGACATCTTCATTCCCCTGGAGGTCAGATAATGGCTATTTATTTTCCATAGCCATGAAAATCTCTGGGGAGAGCTGTGGCAATTTGACGAGAGCTATTAAAGGGACATTAGGATTGAAGTAGCTGCTCAGGCAGTCACATACCCTCGATCCTCATCTGCAGGGACAGCTGCCAGAACGAATGAGCCCAGCTCTCCTGCCCGCAGCCAGCCGCGTGTGGGTGCAACTGGCGACCAGCCACTGGAGTGAGTCCCAGGGAAGGGGACAGGTTCTTAGAATCACCATTTGTCTCTGCTCTCTCCCTCTCTGCAATAGGACGGGCACTCTAAACTCACATAATGGTTAATAACAACAGCTAACAATTACTGAGCACCTACTATGTGTCAGGCATGTGCTGAGGATGATCGCATCAAGTAAAATGCCTGTCTCTGGCCCAGAGGCCCAGAAGAAGAGAAAGAAGGGAAATCTGTAGGAGGCAAACAGTCCCTTACCCCTCTGCTTGCAGACCTTCAGTGACAGGACACTCCCTGTTTGCTCCAAGCACCTCTTGCATTTTCAGAGCTTGGGACACAGATTCAGGGACTTGCACTTCGATAGAGTGCCTCAGGACCCCTCGTCGGAGCCATGGAAAGTCAGTTTCTGGGCCCATCCTTCCTGTGGGGGTGTCTTTCCTTCTCTTGGCCACCCCCTAGGAATCCCTAGTAGAGAGCAGGCACTTAATAGCCAGTGCAGTGAGAGTGGTCTGTGATGTCTGGGCCAGGGCAAGGCCCGCCAAGTGGGCTCCCAGGTGCCTGCCACAGAGCCTCTGGGGTTTGAGGCCCTCAGTGACCCTTAGGCAATAGCTGGGTCTTAATGAGGGATCATGTCCTTTCCTGGGTAGTCGTGGGTAGAGGGGTGTGAACTGATCTGAGCTACTCTAGGAAGGCTAGAGACAAAAGCAGGAACCAAGAGAAGGGCTGAGGCTCCTTCCAAGAGACTCCAAGTCCTGAGGGCAAGAAGCGGAGAGCCTTGTGCCAGGCCAGGTGTTGCCCCTGTCAGTGCTGACGGACAGGCAAGAGAGGCTGCTGATGCTGCAGCCCTGTGAAGCTGAGACTCACCCTTTGCCCACTTTCACAGCCATCTCCCCAGGAGGCTGTGGTGACACAGGTAAAAGCCAAAGGACAGAGGATGACCCTGGACAAATCACTCAGACCCTCCAGTCCTCTTTGCTCATTTATAAAATACAGGCAAAAAGCCCCCTAGTACTAAATGAAATAGCCACTGTAAAAGAGCACGGGAGATAGGGTCTGTGATGTCTTTTGTCCCCAGTGTCCTGAGTGAATTCACAGGAAAGGGGAGAAAGACTGGTTGCCCACTTCCAGGGTGATTGGCTAATTTCCACTTCTTTCCTGCTAGGGATGGGAACACACGCCAGAATCCTGGGAAGGCTACATGTCCTCAGGTGGTGCTGGCCCCACCTCCAGCCTCTGCAGGGATACCAGGATATGAGCCAGGCTCTGCTCCCGGGGTGACCCATCCTCCTCAGTGCCCCTTCTTTCCTCACAACTGCAGGCAGAAGGAGAGTGTGTCCTGTCTCTCTGAGGAGCTGGCTGTGCCATTTAAGCAGGCCCTAGGGGTGGAGCGCTGTGAAGAGATGGCACCCAGGTCCCTGTTCCTCCTTTTCCAGAGCAAACACTGCTAAGGGATCATGACAGTCCCTGCATCTGGCCCAGACTGGGCCTTGGGAGGCTTTTGACATCAATCCATGCAACCGCACCCAACAATTGGAGTCAGCATGGGAGGTGAGACCCACTTGCCAATTTTGCTCTCAGGGAACAGCCCTCTTTACTAAAACATAGCACAGTATTGATAACAGTTGTTTCCAGGCATCGTAGAAAGCGTTTAGTGGGCATTAACGTCTTTGATCCTCACCACAAGGTCAGGGGTTGGATGATGTTAGCATGCTCATTGAAGGATCAGAAAAGTCAGGCTCAAGATAGCTCGCCCTTCATTCAGCCAGCCGGTGTTAACTGAATATTAACTGTGCACCCGTCTGTGCCAGTGTTCCCCCAGGAGCTGCAGAGGGTCCTGAGCAGAGTGAGCTCAAGCCACTTGGGAGCTCACATTCCAGCTATCAGTGCTGATTCATCTCAAATGTTTGATCCACGCTGGGTTCTAACCCTTCCCTGCTCAGAGCCCTCAGAGTCCAGGTCAGGTAGAACCCAGAACAGAGCCTCTGGCAGGAAGGAGCTTGCATGGTCCTCAGGCTTCATGTCCAGAGATCATTCCTCCACTTTGAGCTTCTTTGTGAAAACCAATCACAAAGAGAGGAGGGGTGAAATGTGCCAAAGCCTCTGCCAGGGTTGTAGCAAGGAAACCTGGGCTTCTAGGGAAAGTTGAGAAAGGGCCTATATTAGTCAGGAGGGCTACTGTAAGAGAGTACCACAGGCTGGGTGGCTTAAACAACAGAAATTTATCACCTTACGGTTCTGGAGGCTAGAAGTCTAAAATCAAAGTGTTGGCAAGGTTGGTTCCTTCATGAGGAATTTCTTGGCGTTGCCTGGCATATAGATGCATCACTGCAGTCTCTGCCTCGTTGTCACATGGCCATCTTCTCCCTGTGTCTATAGGTCTATGTCCAAATTTCCCTCTTCTTATAAAGACACCAGTCATATTGGCTTAGGCCCAGCCCAATGATTTCATCTTAATTTGATTACATCTCTGCTATGGTTTGAATGTGTCCCTTCCAAAATTCAGGTTATTGCCAATGTGATAGTATTGAGATGGGGTCCTTAAAGAAGTAATTAGGCCATGAGGGTGCCTCTCTCTGAAGGGAGGCTCATTGGATTGTATCAGTGTAACATAATTTACATAACCAGTTCTTTATGTGATGGAAATCCCATTCAACGGTTTCCAACCTTTGCTATTACAAACTGCTGTGAAGAGAAACATATGTCATTATACTAATCAGGTGCTGTTGTTGTTTTTATAATGCATTATCCTGGAGAGACTGCCCCTCCCAGGGCTAGCTACTTTGGGGAGAGAGTAAACAACTTGGTCGAGCGTGCCTTTCGTATGCAAACCAGTCAATCCAGAGCCCACACCCCCAGTCACCTCCTTTATCAAACTCTGACACAGCAAGCCAATATTCCCCCTGCCCTAAATCACTCCAGGGCCAGGCATGGGACAACTAGGGACAATCCCTATAGCCAGGGCCTGCCAAAGTTATACAGATTAGCCAATCCTAAGCCTGCTTCCCTGCCTTGCCTTGCCTTTCTGCTGGAAACTACATTAAAGGCGCTGGATCGTGCTTTTCCCTCACCCCCTCTGCTTCTTGGCTGACCCAAGTTCTTCCTGTGTGGCCCTGCAAGGCGTGACACACCTCTCCTCCTGGGAACTGCATAACAAACTCTTCTTGCAGAGATAGTTTTCTCTGTGTCTGTCATCTTACCATACCTGATGAAAACAAATATGGGTACATTTTTTTTTTTTTTTGAGAGAGAGGGTCTCACTCTGTCTCCCAGGCTGGAGTGCAGTGGTGTAATCACAGGTCACTGCAGCCTCGACCTCCTGGGCTCTAGTGATCCTCCCACGTCAGCCTTGCAAATAGCTGAGACTACAGGCACACACCACCATGCCTAGCTAATTTTTGGTGTATTTGTTATAGAGACAGAGTTTCGCTATGTTGCCCAGGCTGGTCTCAAACTCCTGAGCTCAAGTGATCCACCCACCTTAGCCTCTCAAAGTGCTGGGATTATAAGTGTGAGCCACAGCATCCAGCCATGGGTACATTTTAAAGCAGGCGTTTTGTTCATGTGCAGCCCTTGTTCTCAGTTAAGGGGAAAATGAGTGATCCTTTGCTTGGCTCTGAAGGAGCAGTGTTTTATATGTAAAGAATATATTCTGTATATTTAAAGAAGAGCAATGGGGGGCATTTGAAAATAAATCCGTTCATTTTTTTCTGATTGTAAAAATAATATATGCTCAGTAAAGAGAATCTGAAAAATACAGAAGTATTGGGGGAACCCACCCCCAATATTTCAACATAGGTTCTTTCTATTTTCCATAAGTGTCGGCCGACTGAGAAATAAAGAGAAATAGTACAAAGAGAGGAATTTTAACAGCTGGGCTGCCGGGGGTGACGTCGCATATCAGTAGGACTGTGATGCCCACCTGAGCCTCAAACCAGCAAGTTTTTTATTAAGGGTTTCAAAAGGGGAGGGGGTGTAAAACAGGGAGTAGGTACAAAGATCACATGCTTCAAAGGGCAAAAGCAGAACAAAGATCACATGCTTCTGAGGAAACAAGACAAAAGGCAAAACAGAACTACTGATAAGGGTCTATGTTCAACTGTGCGCGTATTGTCTTTTTTTTTTATTATTTAAGTTTTAGGGTACATGTGCACACTGTGCAGGTTAGTTACATATGTATACATGTGACATGCTGGTCGCTGCACCCACTAACTCGTCATCTAGCATTAGGTATATCTCCCAATGCTATCCCTCCCCCCTCCCCCCACCCCTCAATAGTCCCCAGAGTGTGATGTTCCCCTTCCTGTGTCCATGTGTTCTCATTGTTCAATTCCCACCTATGAGTGAGAATATGCGGTGTTTGGTTTTTTGTTCTTGCGATAGTTTACTGAGAATGATGATTTTCAATTTCATCCGTGTCCCTACAAAGGACATGAACTCATCATTTTTTATGGCTGCATATGTGTATATGTGCCACATTTTCTTAATCCAGTCTATCATTGTTGGACATTTGGGTTGGTTCCAAGTCTTTGCTATTGTGAATAGTGCCGCAATAAACATACGTGTGTGTGTGTCTTTATAGCAGCATGATTTATAGTCCTTTGGGTATATACCCAGTAATGGGATGGCTGGGTCAAATGGTATTTCTAGTTCTAGATCCCTGAGGAATCGCCACACTGACTTCCACAATGGTTGAACTAGTTTACAGTCCCACCAACAGTGTAAAAGTGTTCCTATTTCTCCACATCCTCTCCAGCACCTGTTGTTTCCTGACTTTTTAATGATTGCCATTCTAACTGGTGTGAGATGGTATCTCATTGTGGTTTTGATTTGCATTTCTCTGATGGCCAGTGATGGTGAGCATTTTTTCATGTGTTTTTTGGCTGCCTAAATGTCTTCTTTTGAGAAGTGTCTGTTCATGTCCTTCGCCCACTTTTTGATGGGGTTGTTTGTTTTTTCTTGTAAATTTGTTTGAGTTCATTGTGGATTCTGGATATTAGCCCTTTGTCAGATGAGTAGGTTGCGAAAATTTTCTCCCATTTTGTGGGTTGCCTGTTCACTCTGATGGTAGTTTCTTTTGCTGTGCAGAAGCTTTTTAGTTTAATTAGATCCCATTTGTCAATTTTGTCTTTTGTTGCCATTGCTTTTGGTGTTTTAGACATGAAGTCCTTGCCCGTGCCTATGTCCTGAATGGTAATGCCTAGGTTTTCTTCTAGGGTTTTTATGGTTTTAGGTCTAACGTTTAAGTGTTTAATCCATCTTGAATTGATTTTTGTATAAGGTGTAAGGAAGGGATCCAGTTTCAGCTTTCTACATATGGCTAGCCAGTTTTCCCAGCACCATTTATTAAATAGGGAATCCTTTCCCCATTGCTTGTTTTTCTCAGGTTTGTCAAAGATCAGATAGTTGTAGATATGCGGCGTTATTTCTGAGGGCTCTGTTCTGTTCCATTGATCTGTATCTCTGTTTTGGTACCAGTACCATGCTGTCTTGGTTACTGTAGCCTTGTAGTATAGTTTGAAGTCAGGTAGTGTGATGCCTCCAGCTTTGTTCTTTTGGCTTAGGATTGACTTGGCAATGCGGGCTCTTTTTTGGTTCCATATGAACTTTAAAGTAGTTTTTTCCAATTCTGTGAAGAAAGTCATTGGTAGCTTGATGGGGATGACATTGAATCTATAAATTACCTTGGGCAGGATGGCCATTTTCACAATATTGATTCTTCCTACCCATGAGCATGGAATGTTCTTCCATTTGTTTGTATCCTCTTTTATTTCATTGAGCAGTGGTTTGTAGTTCTCCTTGAAGAGGTCCTTCACGTCCCTTGTAAGGTGGATTCCTAGGTATTTTATTCTCTTTGAAGCAATTGTGAATGGGAGTTCACTCATGATTTGGCTCTCTGTTTGTCTGTTATTGATGTATAAGAATGCTTGTGATTTTTGTACATTGATTTTGTATCCTGAGACTTTGCTGAAGTTGCTTATCAGCTTAAGGAGATTTTCGGCTGAGACAATGGGGTTTTCTAGATATACAATCATGTCGTCTGCAAACAGGGACAATTTGACTTCCTCTTTTCCTAATTGAATACCCTTTATTTCCTTCTCTTGCCTAATTGCCCTGGCCAGAACTTCCAACACTATGCTGAATAGGAGTGGTGAGAGAGGGCATCCCTGTCTTGTGCCAGTTTTCAAAGGGAATGCTTCCAGTTTTTGCCCGTTCAGTAGGATATTGGCTGTGGGTTTGTCATAAATAGCTCTTATTATTTTGAGATACGTCCCATCAATACCTAATTTATTGAGAGTTTTTAGCATGAAGGGTTGTTGAATTTTGTCAAAGGCCTTTTCTGCATCTATTGAGATAATCATGTGGTTTTTGTCTGTGGTTCTGTTTATATGCTGGATTACATTTATTGATTTGCTTATATTGAACCAGCCTTGCATCCCAGGGATGAAGTCCACTTGATCATGGTGGATAAGCTTTTTGATGTGCTGCTGGATTTGGTTTGCCAGTATTTTATTGAGGATTTTTGCATCAGTGTTCATCAAGACTATTGGTCTAAAATTCTCTTTTTTGTTTGTGTCTCTGCCAGGCTTTGGTATCAGGATGATGCTGGCCTCATAAAATGAGTTAGGGAGGATTCCCTCTTTTTCTATTGATTGGAATAGTTTCAGAAGGAATGGTACCAGTTCCTCCTTGTACCTCTGGTAGAATTCGGCTGTGAATCCATCTGGTCCTGGACTCTTTTTGGTTGGTAAGCTATTGATTATTGCCACAATTTCAGCTCCTGTTATTGGTCTATTCAGAGATTCAACTTCTTCCTGGTTTAGTCTTGGAAGAGTGTATGTGTTGAGGAATTTATCCATTTCTTCTAGATTTTCTAGTTTATTTGCATAGAGGTGTTTGTAGTATTCTCTGATGGTAGTTTGTATTTCTGTGGGATCGGTGGTGATATCCCCTTTATCATTTTTTATTGCGTCTATTTGATTCTTCTCTCTTTTTTTCTTTATTAGTCTTGCTAGTGGTCTATCAATTTTGTTGATCCTTTCAAAAAACCAGCTCCTGGATTCATTGATTTTTTGAAGGGTTTTTTGTGTCTCTATTTCCTTCAGTTCTGCTCTGATTTTAGTTATTTCTTGCCTTCTGCTAGCTTTTGAATGTGTTTGCTCTTGCTTTTCTAGTTCTTTTAATTGTGATGTTAGGGTGTCAATTTTGGATCTTTCCTGCTTTCTCTTGTGGGCATTTAGTGCTATAAATTTCCCTTTACACACTGCTTTGAATGTGTCCCAGAGATTCTGGTATGTTGTATCTTTGTTCTCGTTGGTTTCAAAGAACATCTTTATTTCTGCCTTCATTTCGTTATGTACCCAGTAGTCATTCAGGAGCAGGTTGTTCAATTTCCATGTAGTTGAGCGGTTTTGAGTGAGTTTCTTAATCCTGAGTTCTAGTTTGATTGCACTGTGGTCTGAGAGATAGTTTGTTATAATTTCTGTTCTTTTACATTTGCTGAGGAGAGCTTTACTTCCAACTATGTGGTCAATTTTGGAATAGGTGTGGTGTGGTGCTGAAAAAAATGTATATTCTGTTGATCTGGGGTGGAGAGTTCTGTAGATGTCTATTAGGTCCGCTTGGTGCAGAGCTGAGTTCAATTCCTGGGTATCCTTGTTGACTTTCTGTCTCGTTAATCTGTCTAATGTTGACAGTGGGGTGTTAAAGTCTCCCATTATTAATGTGTGGGAGTCTACGTCTCTTTGTAGGTCACTCAGGACTAGCTTTATGAATCTGGGTGCTCCTGTATTGGGTGCATATATATTTAGGATAGTTAGCTCTTCTTGTTGAATTGATCCCTTTACCATTATGTAATGGCCTTCTTTGTCTCTTTTGATCTTTGTTGGTTTAAAGTCTGTTTTATCAGAGACTAGGATTGCAACCCCTGCCTTTTTTTGTTTTCCATTTGCTTGGTAGATCTTCCTCCATCCTTTTATTTTGAGCCTATGTGTGTCTCTGCATGTGAGATGGGTTTCCTGAATACAACACACTGATGGGTCTTGACTCTTTATCCAACTTGCCAGTCTGTGTCTTTTAATTGGAGCATTTAGTCCATTTACATTTAAAGTTAATATTGTTATGTGTGAATTTGATCCTGTCATTATGATGTTAGCTGGTTATTTTGCTCGTTAGTTGATGCAGTTTCTTCCTAGTCTCGATGGTCTTTACATTTTGGCATGATTTTGCAGCGGCTGGTACCAGTTGTTCCTTTCCATGTTTAGCACTTCCTTCAGGAGCTCTTTTAGGGCAGGCCTGGTGGTGACAAAATCTCTCAGCATTTCTTGTCTGTAAGGTATTTTATTTCTCCTTCACTTACGAAGCTTAGCTTGGCTGGATATGAAATTCTGGGTTGAAAATTCTTTTCTTTAAGAATGTTGAATATTGGCCCCCACTCTCTTCTGGCTTGTAGAGTTTCTGCCGAGAGATCAGCTGTTAGTCTGATGGGCTTCCCTTTGTGGGTAACCCGACCTTTCTCTCTGGCTGCCCTTAACATCTTTTCCTTCATTTCAACTTTGGTGAATCTGACAATTATGTGTCTTGGAGTTGCTTTTCTTGAGAAGTATCTTCGCGGCATTCTCTGTATTTCCTGAATCTGAATGTTGGCCTGCCTTGCTAGATTGGGGAAGTTCTCCTGGATAATATCTTTTAGTGTTTTCTAACTTGGTTCCATTCTCCCTGTCACTTTCAGGTACACCAATTAGACGTAGATTTGGTCTTTTCACATAGTCCCATATTTCTTGGAGGCTTTGTTCGTTTCTTTCTATTCTTTTTTCTCTAAACTTCCCTTCTCGCTTCATTTCATTCATTTCATCTTCCATCGCTGATACCCTTTCTTCCAGTTGATCGCATCGGCTCCTGAGGCTTCTGCATTCTTCACGTAGTTCTCGAGCCTTGGCTTTCAGCTCCATCAGCTCCTTTAAGCACTTCTCTGTATTGGTTATTCTAGTTATACATTCGTCTAAATTTTTTTCAAAGTTTGTGACTTCTTTGCCTTTGGCTTGAATTTCCTCCTGTAGCTCGTAGTTTGATCGTCTGAAGCCTTCTTCTCTCAACTCGTCAAAGTCATTCTCCATCCAGCTTTGTTCCATTGCTGGTGAGGAACTGTGATCCTTTGGAGGAGGAGAGGTGCTCTGCTTTTTAGAGTTTCCGGTTCTTCTGTTCTGTTTTTTCCCCATCTTTGTGGTTTTATCTACTTTTAGTCTTTGATGATGGTGATGTGCAGATGGGTTTTTGGTGTGCATGTCCTTTCTGTTTGTTAGTTTTCCTTCTAACAGACAGGACCCTCAGCTGCAGGTCTGTTGGAGTTTGCTAGAGATCCACTCCAGACTCTGTTTGCCTGGGTATCAGCAGCGGTGTCTGCAGAACAGTGGTTTTTCGTGAACCGCAAATGCTGCTGTCTAATCGTTCCTCTGCAAGTTTTGTCTCAGAGGAGTACCCGGCCATGTGGGGTGTCAGTCTGCCCCTACTGGGGGGTGCCTCCCAGTTAGGCTGCTCAGGGGTCAGGGACCCACTTGAGGAGGCAGTCTGCCCGTTCTCAGATCTCCAGCTGAGTGCTGGAAGAACCACTGCTCTCTTCAAAGCTGTCAGACAGGGACATTTAAGTCTGCAGAGGTTACTGCTGTCTTTTTGTTTGTCTGTGCCCTGCCCCCAGAGGTGGAGCCTACAGAGGCAGTCAGGCCTCCTTGAGCTGTGGTAGGCTCCACCCAGTTGGAGCTTCCCGGCTGCTTTGTTTACCTAAGCAAGCCTGGGCAATGGCGGGCGCCCCTCCCCCAGCCTCGCTGCTGCCTTGCAGTTTGATCTCAGACTGCTGTGCTAGCAATCAGCGAGACTCCGTGGGCCTAGGACCCTCCAAGCCAGGTGCAGGATATAATCTCCTGGTGCGAGGTTTTTTAAGCCCGTTGGAAAAGCGCAGTATTCGGGTGGGAGTGACCCAATTTTCCAGGTGCCGTCTGTCACCCCTTTCTTTGACTAGGAAAGGGAACTCCCTGACCCCTTGTGCTTCCCGAGTGAGGCAATGCCTCGCCCTGCTTCGGCTCACGCACGGTGCGCTGCACCCACTGACCTGGGCCCACTGTCTGGCACTCCGTAGTGAGATGAACCTGGTACCTCAGATGGAAATGCAGAAATCACCTGTGTTCTGCGTCACTCACGCTGGGAGCTGTAGACCGGAGCTGTTCCTATTTGGCCATCTTGGCTCCTCCCCCCCCCCGTATTGTCTTGATAAACATCTTAAACAGCAGAAAACAGGGTTGAGACCAGAGAACTGGTCTGACCACAGATTTACCAGGGCGGAGTTTTTCCCCACCCTAATAAGCCTGAGGGTACTGCAGGAGACCAGGGAATACCTCAATCCTTATCTCAACCACATAAGAGAGAAACTCCCAGAGCAGCTGTTTATAGACCTCCCCCCAGGAATGCATTCCTTTCCCAGGGTATTAATATTAATATTCCTTGCTAGGAAAAGAATTTAGCGATATCTCTCCTACTTGCACATCCGTTTATAGGCTCTCTGCAAGAAGAAAAATATGGCTCTTTTTGCCTGACCCCACAGGCAGTCAGACCTTATAGTTGTCTTCCCTTGTTCCCTAAAAATCAGTTATTCTGTTCTTTTTCAAGGTGCACTGATTTCATATTGTTCAAACACACATGTTTTACAATCATTTTGTACAGTTAACACAAATATCACAGTGGTCCTGAGGTGACATACATCCTCAGCTTATGAAGATAACAGGATTAAGAGATTAAAGTAAAGACAGGCATAAGAAATTATAAAAGTATTATTTGGGAACTGATAAATGTCCATGAAATTTTCACAATTCATGTTCCTTTGCTGTGGCTCCAGCCGGTCCCTCCGTTCGGGGTCCCTGACTTTCCACAACACACAAGAAAATTTAAAAAATTTAAAACCAACTATTCCTCCAAAAATTAAAAATAGAAATATCATGTGATCCAGGAATTTCACTCTTCAGTATATACTCAGAAGAACTGGAAGCAGGGATGTGAACATAAATGTGTACATCACTGTTCATAGCATTATTCACAGTAGTTAAAAAGGGGAAACAGCCCAAATGTCCATCAACAGATGAATGGATGAACAAAATGGGATATTTAAGTTATGTACAATGGAACATTATTCAGCCATAGAAAAGAATGAAATTCTGATACGTGCTGCAACATGGGTGAACCTTAAAAACACTGTGCTAAGTGAAATAACCCAGACAAAGGGAAAATATAATATGATTCCACTTGTATGAAGTACCTAGACTAGGCAGATTTGTGAGCGACAGAAAGTGCCACAGACGTTACCAGAGGCTGAGAGTAAGGGGCAATGGGGAGGGAGGTATTGTTTAATGGGTACAGAGCTTCAGTGTGGGAAGATGAAAAAGTCCTGGAAGATGAAAGAAAAAATTCTGGAAAATTATAGTAGTGATAGGTTACCTAATATTGTGAAAGTACTTAATGCTACTGAATTATACACTAAAAAATTGTTAAAGTGGTAAATTTTGTTACATGTATTTTACTGGAATGAAAACAATTAAAACCATCTATAAATCATGGTATCCAGAGGAAACAATAAGTATTTTGGCTGATTTTAACACTTTTTTTCCCCTGTAGATATGTGTTTTATAAAATTTGGCTAATAATACTATGCATGTAATCCTGAGCTCTTGAATTTTACATTTTAATTGTATTTTCCTTATCATTAAATACAATGAAATCACCACCTTTAATGGTTGCATAATTTAACATTATATGGATGTTCCATGTAATGTTAAATATGTGTAATGTTCCATGTCATTTAATTGTATTTTCCATGTCATTAAATATAATGAAATCATCACCTTTAATGGTTGCATAATTTAACATCACATGGATGTGCCATGATTCCCTTTAGACATTGAGGCAGTTTCTAATTTTTCATTACTATAAATAATGCAGTGATGAACATCTTTTTGTTGTTTTTTGAGATAGAGTCTTGCTCTGTCACCCAGGCTGTAGTGCAGTGGTGTAATCATAGTTCATTGCCAGCCTTGAACTCCAGGGCTCAAGCGATTCTCCAACCTCAGCCTCTCGAGAAGCTAGGACCACAAGTGTGTGCTACCATGCCCAGCTAATTTTTTTATTTTTTGTAGAGATGGGGGTCTCCCTTTGTTGCCCAGACTGGTCTCAAACTCCTGGGCTCAAGTGATCCTCCTGCCTTAGCCTCCCAAAGTGCTGGGATTACAGGCATGAGCCACTGTCCAGCAATGAACATCTTTGTAGATAAACATTGGCCTTTCTAATTAATTCCTTAAGATAGATTTTTAGAAGGAGAATTACTGAGTCAAAGGGTATGAATTTTAAAAAGCCTCTTTATACATAGCACCAGATTATATTCTAAAAATTGTAGAAATTTATACCATGTATGGTATTATGGAGGGACATACAAGGATACAAGTTTTACTGTACCCTCTCATGATTAAGTTAATTTGAAAGGCAAAAAGTGTCTTCTATTTATATGGATTTGATTACTAGCAAGGTTGGATCTTTTGTATGTTTATAGTCATGTGTATTCTGTGTGAATTGTCCATTTTCTTCACCCAATTTTCTTTCTTTTGTTTTTTTGAGACAGAGTTTTGCTTTTGTTGTCCAGGCTGGAGTACAATGGTGTGATCTCGGCTCACTGCAATCTCTGCCTCCTAGGTTCAAGCGATTCTCTTGCCTCAGCCTCCCGAGTAGCTGGTATTACAGGCATGTGCCACCATGCCTGGCTAATTTTGTATTTTTAGTAGAGACGGGGTTTCTCCATGTTGGTCAGGCTGGTCTCAAACTCCCGACCTCAGGTGATCCACCCACCTTGGCCTCCCAGAGTGCTGGGATTACAGGCATAAGCCACCATGCCTGGTCTTCTTCACCCAATTTTCCAGTGGGGTTTTAAGGTTCTCCTTACTCATTAAGAATAGTGGCCATATTGTCATTTTGTAGCAGTTCAATTTCCAAGTTTGCTGTTTACCTTTTAATTTTGGTAGACCTATTTTTTATATAAAGTTTGATTTTCCTTTTCGATTTTTTCCATTGCTTTTATGCTTATAAAGTTCTTACTGCTTTTAAAAAATGTTTTATTTTTTAAAATTTTTAGACTCCTCTTGCTATCATTCCCAAAGTTTCTTACTGCTTTTGCAAGTACAGTATATACATTTTTTTACCTATATTTCCTCTGAATTTTTAACATGGTTCTATAATTAGACATTTGTATTAGTGTCCTAGGGCTGCTGTAGCAAAGTGCCACAAATTGGGTGGCTTAGAACAACAGAAATGTATGGTCTCACAGCTCCGGAGGCTGGAAGTCTGAGATAAAGTGTCAGCAGGGCCGCTCCCTCTGAAACCCATAGAGGAAAGATGCTTCCTTGCCACTTCCAGCTTCTGGTAGCCCCAGACTTCCTTGGCTGGTAGCAGCATGGAGCTCCAGTCCCTGCCTCTGTCTCCACATGCCATCTTCTTATAAGCATGTAAGTCATATTGGATTAGGGGCCTACCCTACTCTCCTATGACTGCAATTTAGCATAATTAATTGCATCTGGAATGAAACCGTCTCCAAATAAGGTCACATTCTGAGGTGCTGGGGGTTAGGACTTCAACATATCTTTTTTTATGGACATAGTTCAACCCATAACAGCGTTTAACTCATCCACACAGAATGTACTTATTTGAATGTGAGATGTGAGAGTATGTCCCCCCAAATCGTTAACCAATTTTCTCTGTACCACTTACCAAATAATGCCACCTCACCTCACAGCAGTGCAATTCCATCTTCATTAGACACAAGCCTCTTGTACGCGAACTCCTGCTTGTAGATATGACCCCACTGATGTGTCTGCTAATTCTTGCATCATGGCTACACTATTTTCATTATTTTAGCTTTATTGTATATTTAATATCTGATAAGGCAAAATTCCTCCTTATTCATCTTCACATTTTTTTTCTCAGCTATTCTTGCCTATGTATTTCTTCTGAGTAAACTTTAGAAGAACTGTGGCATGCTTAACAACAACAAAGCAGCAAATCTCCTTGGACTTTTAATTGGATTGTGTTCAACCTACAGGTCAACTCTGCAGCACATGCAGCCTTTCCATTTGGGAACATGGCATGATTTCCCATTGAATTAATTATTTCATGGGTTTCTAAAAAAGTCTACAAAGTTATAAGAGATAGTTTCCATTTCTAACACTGGTGCAGTAGATTTGAGGTGTTTTTGTTATTGTTGCTATCTCTGCTTCCCCATCCACCCACCCCCATTATATCTTCTAATTGGTTATTGCTAGTTGATGAGGAAGCTATTGAATTTTGCATCCAGCCACTTTATTAAATTTGCCTGTTCTAATAGCTTTTCAATTTATTCTTGTGGGCTCTCTGGAGCTTTTTGCATAAACCAATTCAAATGAATAATTAACTCTCCAGCTGAATCAGTGACCTTCCCTAAATCAGGCCTCTTGTGAATTTAGGGAATTTGGCTGAAGGAGAATGCCGTGTAAATGCGGTGTGCAAAGGGGCCTTGGAAAATCCTGGTAGCCTCAAGAATGCTCATATTCTTTAATTCATTATTTCACTCAAGCGATGAATCATTTCACTCAAAATCTTTCACTAAAAAAAGGGATCAGAGCCAGGTGCAGTGGTGCACGCCTGTAATTCCAGCTACTCAGGAGGCTTAGGCAGGAGGATTGCTTGAGTCTAGGAGCTCAAGACCAGCCTAGCAAGACCTAGTGAGACATAGTCTCTAAAAATATGAGAAAAAAAAATGATCAGAACTGTGAATGAAAGAATTTAGGTATCAGGCCATGTATTAACGTTTATAATAATGAAAATTGGAAACAATCGGATGATTAACATTAGCGGATTTCGGCTGGGTGCATGGCTCACATCTGTATTCCCAGCACTTTGGGAGGCCAAAGTGGGAGGATCACTTGAGGTCAGGAGTTTGAGACCAGCCTGGCCAACATGGTGAAACCCTGTCTCTACTAAAAATACAAAAATAAGCTGGGTGTGGCAGTGGGAACCTGTAACCCCAGCTACTTGGAAGGCTGAGGCAGGAGAATTGCTTGAACCCAGGAGGCGGAGGCTGCAGTGAGCCGAGATGACACCACTGCACTCCAGCCTGGGCAACAAAGTGAGACTCTGTCTCAAAAAACAAACAAACAAAAAAACCAACCAAACAAAAAAAAAACCATTAGCAGATTGTTTGAGTAAATGTTCACGTGGTTTTCACCTCAGCCTCCCGATCCCCTTACTCTGCTGACTCCATCACAGGCCCAGATGTCTCCCTCAGACTCCAGCCTCCAGCCTCCCAAACCCTGCCCACTGTGGAGGCTCTGACTGTTGCAGAGGCTGTCCAACCACTACACTCCCAGTCAGAGCTCAGCCTCTTGGTGGAGGTCAGGTTCCTCAACCTTGGGCAGGTTCTTGGCAAATGCTGTGAGGTGCATTTAAGTGCAGGAGATGACTGGGGAGGACTCGGGAGAAGCATCCGAAGGGAGTGAGGAAAGCAGACCAGGCAGAGGGAGAACTTGAACTTCGACACACGGAGCCATCAGCTGGTCCCACAGCTCTAGAGCTGAGATGATCCTTCAGAATTGCTCCAGAGAGACTCTGGGAGCTGGGCTCTGGTATGCCCGCACCCACCAGTCACTGGATGGCGACTCTCCTTGGAGAGGGGATGTGCCTTTAGGGGAGGACAGTTCCTGGAGAGGGACCCAGGTATGAGCAGCCAATACGCCCTCAGGGAACCAAATGCCTCCATTCTGAAGGGGCACCTGGGTGGCACCTCACAGCATTCACTGCACCCACTGTGGTGGGTTAAAATGGCCACACGTTCTTTGCTACTCCTTCCATTCAGAGTTGGAGGCTGTTTCTCCTTTTCTTAAATATGGACTGGATCAGTGACTTCTTGTACCCAATAGAACGTGGCAGAGTGACTTTGTGTCATTTCTGAGATTGGGACTTGGAAGATATAGAGCATCTGCCTTTGATTCTTAGAATACACCCTCTGGGAGGCCACCCCATTGAAGAAGTTCAGCTATCCTAAGACCACCATGCTGTGAGGAAGCCCAAGCTAGCCACTTGGAGAGAGAGGGGCCATGTGGAGGAGCACCAAGGTGCTGAGCATGTGAGGGACACATGGACCTTCCAGACCAGCCATTGGCTGGGCACAGTCAAGAGAATGGCCCCAGGTAAAGTTGTGTGGAGCAAAACTGCCCTGCTGAGCCCTGACCATTTCTTGGCCCACACAATCATGAGAAATAATGAATTGTTATTTAAGGCCACATTTTAGGGAGGTTTTTAATGCAGGAATACAGGGAAATGAAACACTTTCTGGCTCACTCTTTTTCCTACATCATCTGTCCCAGTTTGTGGCACCATGATCCACAATCATCCACACTAGACACTTCGGTTGTAGGAGACTTCTCCGCTCTCACCTCTATGCCATGTCACTGGCCAAGCTCTGCCGATTCTTGGGGAGGGTGTAAAATGTTACTCCTAAATAATTCCTGAGACCGCCCCACCTCGACCTGCCTGTTGCCAGCACATTTGCCCAGATTCTCAATCTTCTTGCCCTGGACAGGTGCCATGGTTTCCACACCAGCCATCTCAAACTCCAGCCTTGGCCAGAGTCACCTCCCTAACAGGCATGTTGCCCTCTCCCTGACCTAAAGCCTCATGGTGGCTGCCCATCAACTGTGGAATAAAGGCTCAACTTTAGCCTGATGCACTAAGAACTCTGCCCATTGGGTCCACGCTTGCTTGACCAAATTTCCCTGCTCTTCTAACTTAAAACTTCAGGCTTCAGCAACAGAGAGCTCTGCTGGGTTTTGCCACTCATATGCGATTTCTCCTTTTTGTGCTTCTCTCCAGAATGCCACCTTCTCTCTCCTCCTTCCAGCTGATTCTCAGCTCAGCAATCACGCTTTCTGGAAACCTTTCTCCTTTCCTCCCCCAGCATCTACCACACTTGCTGGACTGGGGGGCCCTTTCTGGGAGTTCATTGCCATCAGATTTGTGTGTCAAAGAAACAGCCACATTGGAAAGGAGTTTTACACCCCTTCCCAAGCTAGACTGGGCGGGGACTGGGGGACTGTGAGATGGCTGCCAGGCCCAGATGGAGGCTCTCACGCAGTGGAGGCCCTAGGAAGGAGAGGGAGGCTTCTGGCCTTCATGGAATTGAATTGAATTCATCATACATTTCTCCTTTCCTCCTCCCTCCAGCCCCAGCTGACAGCGGGGCCGACAGGTGAATTCAGGGACCAAAGCTGTTTTGTGTTTTTTTTGAGATGGAGTCTGGCTCTGTCACCCAGGCTGGAGTGCAGTGGCGTGTTCTCGGCTCTCTGCAACCTCCGCTTCCCAGGTTCAGGTGATCCTCTTGCCTCAGCCTCCTGAATAGCTGGGATTACAGGCATGCACCACCACGCTGGGCTAATTTTTGTATTTTTAGTAGAGACAGGGTTTCACCATGTTGGCCAAACTGGTCTCAAACTCCCGACCTCAGGTGATCCGCCCGCCTCAGCCTCCCAGGCTCCCTTAGAGGCATGAGCCACCACGCCCGGCCAAGGCTGTTATTCTTTTAACAAAGTTACTGATTTTCCTTCAGCCCACTGTACTGGAGTCATAACAACCAGTATTTTACATCTGAGATGTAGGTTCAGTTGCTACAGTATTCGTGGCTGTAGAATTAAGTGGCTGTAGTATTTAGGACACATAGTATTTCATATCTGTAATATTTAGTTACTCTAGTATTTAGTTTCAGGTATTAGCCCCATAGGACTCAGTGGCTATCATATTTGGAATCGATCGTATTTCGCAGTCATGCTATTTAGTGGTTGTAGAATTCAGTGGCCTCCTGAAATCCAGTGACTAAGAGTGTGCTCAAGTTTCCTTTGCTGCTGCTGGACAAACTGTCGTCCCAGCAGTTCTGTCTTTCCTGTCAGTTCAGCTGCTCCCTGAGCCGATGTCCTCTGCTCATAAGCAATTTTTCAGTCCCTTGGCAAGTCTTCATTTAAAACTGCACTTCTCTGCAGCGCCCGAGAGATTTTTCTTCTGTTTTTCAAAGTTCAGCTGTTTCTGAATCATTTTCTATACTTCTCTCCTCCCTCCACCCCTCCCTTTGCTGCAAAATGAAGTTCTTTTCAAAGTGGAATTTTTGGGGTTTTTCATGCCGTGCCTTTACCTACAGGACAAGAGAGTGATTTGGCTTTGTGACCAGAGAGGGCAGGTGCTTGCCCAAAGGGATCGGTGGGCACCAGCTCCAAGCAGGTGAGGAGAAGAGGGCGACTGCTGTGACTACGGTCCATCATTTGTGGCAGGCAATGATGGGTGGTGGGCCCAGGCTCTGAGGACTGAAAGAAGGCTGGTGGCTCAGGCCCACCCTGGCCAGTGGTGTCACCCTGCATCCTCTCTGACCTGAAGGTGCTGATTTATACACGAAATGGTAATAACCTCCTCTCTGAGTGCTGTGTAAGGCTGAAGCAAGTCCAGCTACTTGGAAAGTGCTCAGCACGGTGCCCAGCACTCAGAGCTGTTGCAGTAGCTGAGTGAGGGCTACATGTGTGGCCAGCTGCGCTTGCTGCACAGCAGGGTCGGGGTCATTTAAGAAGCAAAGGAAGGCTCTTCCCACCTATTCTCCACGAAGAGAATAGAATGCTATCCACTGGGCCAGGTGCAGTGGCTTACACCTGTAATCCCAGCACTTTGGGAGGCCAAGTCAGGAGGATCGCTTGAGCCAGGAGTTTGAGACCACCCTGGGCAACATAGTAAGACCCCATCTCTACAAAAAATTTTAAAAATTAGCCAGTGTGGTGGTGCATGCCTGTAGGCCCAGCTACTCAGGAGGCTGAGGTGGGATGCTTGTGTGAGCCTGGGAGGTGGAGGCTGCAGTGAGCTGTGATCATGACTGCTCAAAAGTCATGGCTCTCTGTCTCAAGCCCCACCCCTCAAACAAAAAACAAAACTAAAAAACAAAAAGAAGAAGAAGAAGAAAACCATCAACTGAGAGCTGGGAGTCCTCTATTAGAGAGTTAACTGTACTGATACCTTCTTTCTTCTCCATTTTAAACTTTTCTTTCTTTTTTTTTTTTTTTCCATGACACAGCTCCAGGAGATCCTGAGAACAGATGCCCCTTAAATTTAAAATCTGTCTGGAAGGGGAACATATCAGGTCTCCAACCGATAGGTTGAAACATGCACACACCCTCTTCTTATTTCTTTAAAATCAATTTTGCTTAATTATACAAATACTTATTGAGCACCTGCTCTATATGAGACACTGGGCTGGGTATAGCAAATCCACATTTGAGTAAGAAAAACATGATTTCTGCAACTTGAAAGAACCTTCATCATTCTTTCACTCTCTGGGCTGACTGAGAGAATTTCTTGGGTCCCCATTTGGGTCCTTGGAGGGATCAGACTTTTCTAGTTGAGATCTGGTCCCACCCCCTGCCTTCTGGTCTCAAACCTTTTCCTCTGAAGCCTCCTCTCTCAGATTAGTCTCAGGCCAGGAGCTGTGTGTGGCGGCCATCCGGGTTGGGCCCTGTGAACTGTCCCAGCCACTCTTCATTTTCTTGGGTACCCTTTGTCCTGTGATCTGGGACACCTCTGAAGAGTCTGATCATTTCAGACTCTTATGACAATTTAAGAATTGCAAATGGAGACATTTAGCCTGGTCCCTGGGGTGGTTTAGATTCTCAATCAAGTCCTTTAGCCTTATTGATTAAAATAGAGACATTTACTATCACAAAATGATGCCCCCAAACAGCCTCAAACCTGACACATTAGTTTCCCTTTCCTGCCTCTGCCCAAAATGAATGTTTTTCTTTCTCTTCCCTTGGGTTCTTCTCTCCCTCCCCTCCTCTTCCCTCCCTCTCTCCCTTCTCTATTCTTCCCTCTCCCTCTCTATTTGTCCTTCTCTGCTCCAAGTCCTGCCACAACCCCAGGATTCATCAGCCTCCCTGGACACATCCCATCCAGCTCCTGACCGCTCACCTCCTTCACTCCTCATCCTCAGGGCCCTTTCCTCCATCTGCCTCAGCCCATGCCAGCGGCCATGCTGTGCACCTGGAGGGGCCACCCACCTGCCAGGAAACAGCACATTCAGCCATGCACCTGACTGCAGCCTCCACTCTAGCAGATTAGCTCAGTCACCTGTGACACACTGTTCCTCTGGCTCTTTGGGACTTTCAGCCCATGGACACCTCCATGCCCATCCCACAATCTCTGTTTCTCCACATCTCTCCCTTTCCATCTCAAATCCATGCTCCAGCACCAAACACTAACTCTTTCCATTCTAAACTCCCTCTCCCCATTGTTCTTCCCTTACAGGCACCTGGCAAAACTCCAGTCCTCAACAAATGCAGCCAATGGCGTTTGCTAATGCCAGCAGGCCTGGCCCTGTCCAACTGTGGTCTCCTCCCTCAGCTGGGCCTGCAGCAGCATCCGGCAACCCTGCTGCTCCTAGTTCAGCTCTTGCTCCCATCCTCCTCAAAGACCACACTCCACATCCTCAGACTCTGACAAGCAGGCCAACCCAGTGGTGTGCTGGCAGATGCTTAACAACAGGCTCTAGAGGAGGTGGGGAAAGCCCTGATTTGTAGTGTTTGCCCATTCTTGTGGTATAAGTATTCTCACAAGAATCTGAATATGAGGCCAGACTCAGTGGCTCACACCTGTAGTCCCAGCACTTTGGGAGGCCAAGGTGGGTGGATCACTTGAGGCCAGGAGTTCAAGATTATCCTGACCAACATGGTAAAACTCTGTCTCTACTAAAAATACAAAAATTAGCTGGGTGTGGTGGCACATGCCTGTAATCCCAGCTACTCGGGAGGCTGAGATGGGAGGATCACTGGAACTGGGAGGTGGAGGTTTCAGTGAGCTGAGACTGTGCCACTATACCCGAGACTGGGCAACAGAGTGAGACCCTATCTTTAAAAAAAAAAAGTAATTAATAGCCTATCAACCAAAAAAAGCCCAGGACCAGACGATTCACAGCCAAATTCTACCAGAGGTACAAAAAGGAACTGGTACCATTCCTTCTGTGTTGCAGGAATTCAGGGACCCCGAATGGAGGGACTGGCTGGAGCCTTGGCAGAGGACATAAATTGTGAAGATTTCATGGACATTTATCAGTTTCCAAATAATACTTTCATAATTTCTTACTCCTGTCTTTATTTTAATCTCTTAATCCTGTTATCTTCGTAAATTGAGGATGTACATCACCTCAGGATCACTGTGATGATTGTGTTTACTGTACAAATTGATTGTAAAACATGTGTGTTTGAACAATATGAAATCAGTGCACCTTGAAAAAGAACAGAATAACAGTGATTTTAGGGAACAAGGGAAGACAACCATAAGGTCTGACTGCCTGTAGGGTCAGGCAAAAAGAGCCATATTTTTCTTCTTGCAGAGAGCCTATAAATGGGTGTGCAAGTAGGAGAGATATCGCTAAATTCTTTTCCTAGCAAGAAATATTAATATTAAGACCTTAGGAAAATAATTGCATCCCTTGGGGGAGGTCTATAAATGGCCACTCTGGGAGTGTCTGTCTTAAGTGGTTGAGATAAAGCCTGAAATAAGGCTCTGGGAGTGTCTGTCTTAAGTGGTTGAGATAAGGCCCTGGTCTCCTGCAGTACCATCAGGCTTACTAGGATTGGGAAACCCCAACCCTGGTAAATTTGAGTTCAGACTGGTTCTCTGCTCTTGAACCCTGTTTTCTGTTAAGATGTTTATCAAGACTATATGTGCACTGCTGAACGTAGACCCTTATCGGGAGTTCTGATTTTGTCCTTGCTGTGTTTCCTCAGAAGCATGTGATCTTTGCTCTGCTTTTTACCCCTTAAAGCATGTGACCTACTCCCTGTTTGTACACCCCCTCCCCTTTTGAAATCCCTGATAAAAACTTGCTGGTTTTGCAGCTCAGGTTGGCATCACGGTCCTACCGCTATGTGATGTCACCCCCAGCAGCCCAGCTGTAAAATTCCTCTCTTTGTACTCTTTATTTCTCAGACCAGCCAACACTTAGGGAAAATAGAAAGAACCTACGTTGAAATATTGGGGGCGGGTTCCCCCAATACTTCTGAAACTATTCCAAACAATTGAAAAGGAGGGACACCTCCCTAACTCATTTTATGAGGCCAGCATCATCCTGATACTAAAACCTGGCAGAGACACAGCAAAAAAAAGAAAACTTGAGGCCAATATCCCTGAAGAACATCAATGTGAAAATCCTCAATAAAACACTGGCAAACTGAATCCAGCAGCACATCAAAAAGCTTATACACCACGATGAAGTTGGCTTTATCCCTGGGAGGCAAGGCTGGTTCAACATATGCAGGTCAATAAGTGTAATCCATCACAAAAACAGAACCAATGACAACAACAAAAAAATACCAACATGACATCAGTCAGCCACTAGATAGATACAATAGATATAAATAATCCCAAGGACACAGATAGGAGGGAAATGTAATAAAATAATTAGGAAGTGATGAGTTTTTAGTTTGCTTACCAAATGACCCAGCAATTGCACTCTCAGACATTTATTCCAGAGAATGAAAACTTAATGTTCATTCAAAGCCTGCATATGAATGTTCATAGCAGCTTTATTTGTAATAGCCAAAAACTGGAAACAACCCAGACGTCTTTCAATATTTTAAATTTATTTTAATATATATGTTTAATATATTTTAAACATTTAAAAATATAATTTATTTATTGTAATTTTATCTGATTTTTGTGATAATTGTATGTGTACATGCCATTGTAAGAAATGACGCAGAGATATCTCTTACACCTTTCGTCCAGTGATAACATCTTGTGGTGCCATATGACAACCCGGAAATTGATGCTGATACAATCCATTGGCCTTACTCAGATTTCATCATCAGTGTGACAGTGTGACATGTATTCATTTGTGTACGTCTCTGTGTATTTAATTCTATGCAGCCTTATTACATGTGAGGATTCATGGGGACCACCACAGTCAAGATACAGAATAGCTCCATCACAAGGAGCCCCCACTACATTTTTATAGCTATAGCCACTTCCCTCCACCTACCGTCTAAACCCTGGGAAACTAATCTGTTCATCTCTATAATTTTGTCATTTCAAGAATGCTATATCAATGGAAACATACAGTATGAAACCTCTTTTGAATGTAGTTTTAGTTAAACTTTTAATTCTGAGATAATTATAGATTTATATAGAGTTGTAAGAAATAATAGATCCTTTGTACCTCTACCCAGTTTCTCCCAATGGTAACATTTTATGCAACTCTAATACAATGTTGCAACTAGGACATTGATGTTGATACAGTCAAGATGCCGAACATTGCCATCACCACAGGGATCCCTCCTGTCACCCTTTCAAAGCTGCACCTGCCTTCTTACCTCCTTCCATTCCTAACACCTGGCAACCACTTATCTGTCCTCCACCTCTATAATTGTGTCATGTCAAGAATGTTATATAAGTGAAATCAAACAGTATGTAATGTTTGAGGAACTGGCTTTTTTTCACTCAGCAACATGCCCTGGAGATTCATCCAAGCTGGTGCATGTATCAGTAGTTCATTTCTTTTTCTTGTTGATTAATATTCCATGGTATGGATGTACCACAGTTTATTTAACCATTCACCCATTGAAAGACATTGGGGTTGTTTCCAGTTTTTGGCTATTACAAATAAAACTGCTGTGAATATTCATATGCAAGCTTTTGTGTGAACATTATGTTTTCATTCTCTCAGATAAATGTCTAGGTGTACAGTTGCTGGGTCATATGGTTCGCACATGTTTAACTTTGTAAGAAACAGCCATACTGTTTTCCAGAATGGCTGTTCCATTTTGCATCCTCAGCAGCAATACATGATAAGTGATCCAGTTTTCCATAACCTTTTTTTTTTTTTTTTGAGACAGCGTCTCACTCTTATTGTCCAGGTTGGAGTGCAGTGGCGTGATCTCAGCTCACTGCAACCTCCGCCTCCCCAGTTCAAGTGATTCTCCCACCTCAGCCTCCCAAGTAGCTGGGATTACAGGCGCCTGCCACCACGCTTGGCTAATTTTTGTATTTTCAGTAGAGACAGGGTTTCACGTGTTGGCCAGGCTAGTCTGAAACTCCTGACCTCAGGTGATCTGCCTGCCTCGGCCTCCCAAAGTGCTGGGATTACAGGAGTGAGCCACCACACCTGGCCATTTTTGGTAGAGACGGGGTTTTGCCACGCTGGGCCAGGCTGGTCTCGAACACCTGATCTCAAGTGATCCACCCACCTTGGCCTCCCAAGGTGCTGGAATTACAGAAGTGAGCCACCACGCCTGGCCTCAGTTTTCCACATCCTTGAGAGCATTTGGTTTTATCATTATTTTTTATTTTAGTCATTCTGGTAGGTGTGCAGTGATAGCTCGCTGTGCATTTCCCTAATGTCTAACGATGTTAAACATCTTTTCATGTGCATGCTATTTGCTATCTGCATATCCTCTTCAGTGAAAAGTCTGTTCATGTCTTTTGCTTATTTTTAAAATTATATTGTTTTTTCACTCTTGCGTTTGGAGAGTTCTTTATATAGTCTAGATACTGTCCTTTGTCAGATATGTAGTTTGCATATATTTTCTCCCAGTCTGTAGCTTGTTTTCTCATCTTCTCAACTAGATTTTTCACAGAGCAAAAGTTTTTTAATTTTTATGAGGTCCAGTTGCTCCAACATTTGTTGAAAAAGCTCTCCCAGGGCCAGGCGCAGTGGCTCATGCCTGTAATCCCAGTACTTTGGGAGGCCGAGGTGGGTGGATCGCCTGAGGTCAGGAGTTTGAGACCAGCCTGGCCAACATGGTGAAACCCCCATCTCTACTAAAAATACAAAATTTAGCCGGGTGTGGTGGTGCACACCTATAATCCCAGCTACTTGGGAGGCTGAGGCAGGAGAATCACTTGAACCCAGGAGGCGGAGGTTGCAG
Source organism: Homo sapiens (assembly GCF_000001405.40). Lineage (NCBI taxonomy): Eukaryota > Metazoa > Chordata > Mammalia > Primates > Hominidae > Homo > Homo sapiens. The sequence continues at coordinate 128,277,254 of NC_000007.14, read as the reverse complement.
TGAGCTGAGATCTCGCCACTGCACTCTAGCCTGGGCATCAGAGAGAGACTCCGTCTGAAAAAAAAAAAAAAAAAAAAAAAAGAAAGAAAGAAAGAAAGAAGGAGGGAAGGAAAGAAGGAAGGAAAGAAAGAAAGAAAGAAAGAAAAAGAAAGAAAGAGCTCTCCTTCTTCTCTTGAATTGCCTTTGTACCTTTGTCAAAATCAGTTGGGCCTATTTGCGTGGATCTATTATAATTTAATTTTTAAAAATAGCTATGTTTAACAACCAGTTCACGGCTCTCTCAGCAGGTTCTGACATAAGTTTGGTCAGCCCCTCCAGTTTTCCCCACAACCTCAGCATTTGACTTTGTGTCCTGCTTCTGTGGCAAAATAGTACCCACATGACAATTCCCTTTCCTCATCTCCAAGTCTACAAACCTGCACGCCCACCACCTCAGGTCTGTGCTTGCCTTCACCCTCCTGCTGGAAGAAAAGACCCCAACCCTCCTCCCTTCTGAGGCCAGAGCACCTGGTGCTCTGAATTCTGAACCCCTGCCCCCCCACTTCCTTAGACACCTCAGCCCAATGTTTATCCCTCCTGCTCTCCAGGCTCTCAGAATTCTTTTTATTTTCTTTTTATTTTTTTTATTATTTTGAGACAGGATCTTGCTCTGTCACCCAGGCTGGAGTGCAGTGGGGTGATCATAGTTCACTGAAGCCTCAACTTCCCCAGCTCAAGCGATCCTCCTGCCTCAGCCTTTTGAGTAGCTAGGACCACAGGTGTTTGCCACCATACCTGGCTAATTTTTTTCTTTTTTAAATTTTTGATAGAGACAGGGTCTCAGTATGCCCAGGCTGGTCTCAAACTCCTGGCCTCAAGTGATCCTCCCTCCTTGGCCTCCCAAAGTGCTAGGATTACAGGCATAAGCCACCATGATGGCCAGGCCCAGGCTCTCAGAATTCAAACAGATGTGCTTCCCAGGCCCATGCTCCAGGTCTGCCCTGCCTCCCCCTCAAGCTCTCCTTCCCACTCCCTCATCACATCTCCCATTCAGTAACTTGTTCCAAGAACCAGTTTCCACTTCCTCCCCCACTCTCCCTCCTCAATATACTTTGGTCTCCTTTTAGTCCAACCACAGTGCTGAAGCTGTCCTCCTCAGGTTCTCCAAGCAACTGAACTGTCCCCGAATCCCACCTGTGTGATCTCCATTGACGCTCTGCATAGCTGGCACTGCCATATTCTCAAGACATTGCCTCTCTGGGCCCCCATGTAGCCCTCTCTTCTGATTGGTTCCTGGTTTCTGCTTCCTCTCTCCTTGTTCCTCACATTTTGGGATTCCCCAGGGCTCTTCCTGGCCCTCGGCCCTCTCTCCCCCACACTCTCCCAGGGCAGGGTGATCCTGCCTGCTGGTGCCTCGCCCCCAGATCTCCCTGCCTATCTAGGCTGTCTCCTCAGTGCCACCCCCGGAGCAGAACACCTCCTCCTCAAGTCCCCTTGGGGCTCTTGCAGGTGCCTCAAACTCTACCTGGCCCAAGCCCATGGAGCTCAGCCCCTCTTCCCCACTCCTCCCACAATCAGTGGTCCCCAGTCCCATTTGCCTCAGCCACTCTTCTCACCCTACCCCTGCACCCAGCAATCACCAAAGCTGTCCATTCTGCTCCTGCCTCTCCCTTGAAGCCTTCTTTTCTCCTTCCCTGCTACCACTGGTTCTGGTCACCAGGATCCCTCATCTGGACTGGGGCAGCAGCCTCCTAACTGGTCTATCTATCCCCCACCCAGTGCATTCTCCACACTTCAGCCACAGTGACCTTCCTAAAGTGCAAATCTGACCATGTCACCTCTTAGCTTAGAGCCTTCTACTGGTTCCCCCAGCCCTCAGCACAAAGTCCATTTGAAGTGGACCTTGTGTGATCTGGCCTGGCCCAACTCCCCCTTTCATGCCAAGGGAGCTGCGCTTCATTCAGTTGCTCAGTGGAACTCAGGGCCTCTCTTTTTAAAAAATTGAGATATAATTCATATACCATACAATTCACCATTTTAAAGTACAAAATTCAATGGGTCTTGATATATTCACAAGATTGTGCAACAGTCACTGCTGTCTCATTCCACAGCATTTTTATCACCCCAAAAAGAACTTCTGCCTATTAGCAGTTATTGCCCATTCCCTCTCCCAACCCTGGCAAATACCAACCCGCTTTCTGTCTCTATGGATTTACTCATCCTGAACACTGTCTACAGATGGAATCACATAGCATGTGGCCCTTTGTTTCTGGCTTCTTCCACTGAACATACTGTTTTCAAGGTTCCAGGGCCTCTCTCTTGCCTGGGAACTTTAAAAACACTGTTCGTCTATCCCCAGCAAGCCCCCTCCATCCCTCTACCTGGAGAACTCCTGCTCAGCCCTCAGGTCTGATTATCCCTTCTTTGGGGGGCACTTTTCTGACCCAGATCCCTGACCCTCAGGCTTGGCTGGGACCCCTGCTTTATGCCATAGCAGGCTCACTTCTCCCAGAATAGCCCTCATCACATTCTACGGTTGCTATTGATCTAAGCTGCTCTCCTACTGGACTGTAAACTCCCTACGTTCTGTTCACTCCTGTACCCTAGGGCCTCACCCAGGCCTGGCACATGAAAGGCCAACTAATGTGCTGCATAAAAAAGTAAACCAAGATCTGCTGGAGCTTGGGCAGAGTCCACTGGGAATCCAGCACAGGCACCTCGAAGCCTCACTGTGTAGCCTCTCATCCTTTCCCTGTCTTTTTCCTCTCTGACATCAGGATGGGATCATAGGGGAATGTAGGGAAGGGCTTTGGACAAGACCCTGTATCTCAGAGAATCTGGAATAGTGGGGGGCAGTGGAGAGTGGGAAGCTGCCAGCCCATAGCCCTGTGGAGTTTTTGTTTAGGAGAGGCAAAGCTTAAGAGACTGAAGCCCTTGAAAGGCCTTCTGAGCTCCTGAAGGTCGCCCAGGCTGCTTTTGTTCTTGTATTCCCATCCCCAGTGCTGGAGGAGAAGGAAGTGTCCAATATGTGTCTCAGGAAAGAGTCAGTGGAGACAGGCTGTAGCTTTGGGGTTTTCAGTAAGAGCACCCTGACTCCACCTGTGCTTCTGCAGTACCAGGGAGGTTCACTATAGTGCAGAGTTGCAGAGTTTCTTTCTTTCTTTTTTTTTTTTTTGAGACACAGTCTCACTATATCACCCAGGCTGGAGTACAGTGGTATGATCTCGGCTCACTGTAACCTCCGCCTCCTGGGTTCAAGCGATTTTCATGCCTCAGCCTCCCATGTGGCTGGGATTACAGGTGCATGCCACCACACCTGGCTAATTTTTGTATTTTTGTAGAGATGGGGTTTCATCATGTTGGCCAGGCTGGTCTCGAACTCCTGACCTCAAGTGATCCATCCACCTCGGCCTCCCAAAGTGCTGGGATAACAGGTGTGAGCCACCGTGCCTGGCCTTACAGTGCAGAGTTTCTGTCTTTCCCACCCATGCTGGCACTGCTGGGGCCTCGTGGTGGTGTCCCAGGAGGAAGTGTGCTCCAAGAGAGACACATGCTGGGGCCCAAGGAGGAGAGTACGGGATCCTAGAGTCTGGGCTGAGGACTTCCTGAGTCCCACAAGGCAGAAGACTCGGGAGGTTTGCAGGATGCAGTCAACGCCAATACCTCCCGTAGAGGGAGAGGCATCTGCTCTCTGAGTCAGCAGCGGATCAGAAAGCAAAGCTGGGGGCTTTATTTCCAGAAGGCTCAGTCTGTGGCCCATTTGGATCTTGACCATTGTCATTCAAGACTCTATCAAATGCTCACTGGGGGGTGTTTCTACTAAGGTGTAAATGCTGCCCTACTGGAGCCTGAATCAGTCAGTGCAGGTGAGGGAGCAGAAATGTTGAAGATCTGCAGTTTTGTCCCTAATTCACTCTTCGGGCATTTGCCTTCTCTAGTCTAACTCTCACTATAATAGCGTGAGCTGGGTGTGATTATCCCTATGTTACAGATGAGGAAATGGAGGCTCCACGTATCTGGCATTTTCTGAGATCCCTGGGAGCGTATTCAGCTCAGGGCAGAATACAGGTCTCTAGACTCAAGTTCTTTTCACTGCAGAATGGGGTAGAAACGAGGGCCCCCTGGGGCTCCTCCACAGCTAGGTGCTCTGTAGTTGTTCTGGAGAGGGAATTTCTAGGGAGGTGAGGTCCTAGGAATCCAACTTCATTGCTTAGGTCAATCTAGATCCAAGTTGGATGAGACCTAGTGCAGGGCCAACAGGGCTAACATTGCCATATTTAGCAAATAAAAAGACAGGACACCCAGTTAAATCTGAATTTCAGATTATCCACGGATCGTTTTTTAGTGTAAATATGCCCCTGATAAACAACAGATGCATTTTTAGTGTAAGTATTATTGCATAGCACACACTCCCATGCACACGCATGTAAAGTCCAGACAGCTAGACTTGTCTTCCCAAGCCTGGCAAAGAACAGCAATTAATTCAAATGAAGAAATCACCACTGGTAGATATTTAGACCTGAGTGTAGGGTGATATTTTTGTGGGCAGGAACCTTCCAAATATTCTCTTCAAATCTTAATGCTCAGATGAAAAATTACTGGTTTGCTGGGCTTTCATTGTTATGTTATTGTTATTGCTTGACTTGGTGGCTGACAATAACAGTGTGGGATAATAACAGGACCCACTCACAGAATTGAGATGATGAAATGAGTTAAATGGAAAGTGCTTGTTAAAGGGGCCGAAGTCATCCAGGTACAGTTAACTGAGGGTACCGGACCTGCGGGCAGCAGGAGCGCTCACGGGACCACTGGCGCCGCTGTCCATCGCCCCGCCTCCCACCCTGACCCTCTCCAATCCCCTTCGACTGGGCCCTCGGGGATGGGCATTCAGTGGTCTTGGCAGAAAAGAGGCCCAGAAGGGCAGCTCTAGGCTGGCTGGGGGGTTCGGGGGCCGCCGAGGCTGGGGGACCCCGGGGCGCTCCGTGTGTCTCTCCCTTTGGCCCCCTGTGCTTCGCTGGGCTCAGCATTGCTGACTCAGGGGAAGCAGGAAAAGGAAAGGGGGTAAAAGCCAACAGACAAAACCAACAATAAAAAAGGGAAATTTGCTGAGCGGGTGGGATCATCCAGACCCAGCCGGGCGAGTCAGGGCGCAGCTCTGCGCCTGCGGACACCGACCGCGGCAGTTTGTGGCTCCCCAGGCCGGAGATGGCACCTGGGGAGAGGCCCCAGCCCTCCCGGACCGGGTCAGAAAGGGGCACAGGGTGGGCTCTGTGAAGAGTCGGGGACGGGGATCGTGAAGACATTTCCTGTACTGATAGATTCCTTCCAGGACAAAAAGAAAAGGCACCCGAGCAGCTCAGCGGTTTCCAGAGGACTCGAGTCTCCTCCGACTCGACTCCTTGTGAGAGAGATTCCGACTCCCCTTTTCTGGGAGACACTGGGCGGACAGCCGGGATGGTACCGGGGTTCCCAGCCCTCCCACGCCCGCCCAGGCAGTCCTCCTGCGTGGGGAGAGAGGACTCCGCCGGGCCCGCGCGCGGACCTGGCGCGCATCGTTTCATTCCCCTCCCACCACCAGCCCCGCGGGGCCAGCACGGTACCATGCCCCGCGCAGGGAGGGATTGAGTAATTTGCCCACGGTCACAGGGCGCTGGCACTAGAACCCAGGCGTCGCCCTCCCGGCCTCCCGGCCCAGCTGTTAACCCTGTGCTCTCCTGTCTCCCGCTGGACCCAGCTGTGGCCTCAGAGCTCGGCTGGCACCGCAAATAGAACGTGTGTTCCAAACGTGTTATGTTGGCTCAGAGGCAAAGGATTGTGGCTGCTGGGGGGTCTGACTGGGTGTCACCCTACCGGATACACCTATCTACCGAATCGTGGAATTGTTGATGCAGAATCGACCTAAGCAAATGGGTCTAGGATGCGATTTTTCAGCTGAGGAAACAGGCCCAGAATGGGGAAAACGTGTGCCCAGGCCACACAGCATCAGGATTAGACTCCTGGTGGCTGGCATCCCAGTGGGGGGGCCCTTGTTAACTCTCCCACGTGGCTGCGCTCTTCTCCCCAGCCCGGCGTGGAAAGCCTTGACCAAGACGGCGTCCTTGCCCCGGACCTTGCTTTTTGCAACCCCCACCCCTTTCAGCCGCGTGAAGAGCCGCGAGGCAGAGCGGGAACACACTGCCTCTGCCCAGCACCCCTAGCGGTTTCCCGGTGAGGCAGAGGGGTCCCCGGAGAAGGTGGAGGGCGCTTTCCACATCCAGGCGTGGGGGACTAGGCTGGGCCTCTAGGCCGAGCGCCGCCTGACGGTGGAAGCCTACGAAGGGCTTGAGACACCGCGGCCCCGACCCATGTGGTGGCTGAGTTTGGCGAGAGGAGCACGGGCCAACGTTTATTGGGTAGCCACCGGGCGCTGGGCACAAACCGTGGTTCAATCAGCTTAAAGGACTGGCAAGCGCGTATTGGAGACCCACGGCCTCCCCTGTCCAGGCCCTGGGGGTACCTGGTTCCATCAAGCCTATTTTAAATGGTCCTGAGGCTGCCTTTTCAGATACTTGGCCCCTTTGGCCACAGAATATGTGGGTCACAGATGCTCCCTCCCCACACCCCACAAGGGTCCCTTGTCTTCTTTTTTAATTTTTTCTTTTTTTCTTTCTTTCTTTCTTTTTTTTTTGAGACGGAGTCTGTCGTTCAGGCTGGAGTGTAGTGGCACGATCTCAGCTCACTGCAACCTCTGCCTCCTGGGTTCAGGCGATTCTTCTGCCTCAGCCTCTCGAGTAGCTGGGATCACAGGCACACGCCACCACAGCCAGCTATTTTTTAAATAGTTTTGGTAGAGACGGGGTTTCACCATGTTGGCCAGGCTGGTCTCGAACTCCTGACCTCAAGTGATCCACCCGCCTCGGCCTTCCAAAGTGCTAGGATTACAGGCGTGAGCCACCGTGCCTGGCCTTAATTTTTTTTTAATTTTTAATTTTTGTGGGTACACAGTCGAGGTACATATTTATGGGTTACATGAGATATTTTGATACAGGCATGCAAATGTGTACTAATCACATCAAGGTAAATAAGCTATTCATTCCCTCAAGCATTAATTATTTTAAAATGTACAATTAAATTAATTTTTACTATAGTCTCCCTTTTATGCTAGCAAATACTAGGTCTCATTCATTCTTTCAATTTTTTTTGTACCTATTAACCATCACCCCTCCCCCCACCCCCACTACCCTTTCCAGTCTCTGGTAACCATCCTTCTATTCTCTATCTCTATGGGTTCAACTGTTTTAATTTTTACCACCCACAGATAAGCGTGAACATATGAAGTTTGTCTTTCTGTGCCTGGCTTATTTCAGTTAACATAATGATCTCCAGCTCCATCCACGTTGTCGCAAATTACAGGATCTCATCTTTTTTATGACTGAATTGTACTCCATTGTATATATGTACTACATTTTCTTTATCCATTCGTCTATTTTTTTTTTTTTGAGACAGGGTCTCACTATGTTGCCTAGGCTGGAGTACAGTGGAGCAATCATGGCTCACTGCAGCCTCAACCTCCTGGGCTCAATTGATCCTCCTACCTCAGCCTCCCAAGGAGCTGGGACTATAGGCACATGCCATGACACCTATCTAATTTTTGTATTTCTTTGTAGAGACAGGGTTTCACCATGTTGCCCAGGCTGATCTCAAACTCCTGGGTTCAAGCCATCCACCTCCCTTGGCCTCCCAAAGTGCTAGGATTATGGTTGTGAGCCACCGTACCCAGCCCCATTTATCTATTGGTGGACACTTAGTTGCTTCCAAATCTTGGCTATTGTGAGCAGTGCTACAGTAAACATAGGAGTGCAGATCTCATATGGTAGCTCTATTTTTAGTTTTTTTTGAGAAACCTCCAAACTGTCCTCCATAGTGGTTGTACTAATTTACATTTCCACCAACAGTGTATGAGGATTCCCTTTTCTCCACATCCTCGCCAGCATTTGTTATTGCCTGTCTTTTGGATCATACACATATTTGCCATTTGTTTGTCTTCTTTTGAGAAACGTCTGTTCAGATCTTTTGCCAATTTTAAAAGTGGTATTATTAGATTTTTTTCCCAGAGAGTTATTTGAGCTCCTTATATATCCTGGTTATTAATCCCTTGTCAGATGGGTAGTTTGCAAATATTTCTCCCATTCTGTGGCGTCTGTCTTCACTTTGTTGATCTTGTCCTTTGCTGTGCAGAAGCTTTTCAACTCGATGTGATCTCATTTGTCCATTTTTGCTTTGGTTGCCTGTGCCTATGGGATATTGCTCAAGAAGTCTTTGCCCACTTCAATGTCCTGGAGAGTTTCTCCAATGTTTTATTGTAATAATTTCACAGTTTGAGGTCTTATTTCAGCCTTTAATTCATTTTGATTTGATTTTTGCATATGGTGAGAAATAGGGGTCTAGTTTCATTCTTCTGCCTATGGATATCTAGTTTTCTCAGCACCACTTATTAAATACATTTCCTCAATGTATGTTCTTGGAAACTTTGTTGAAAATGAGTTCACTGTAGATGTGTGGATTTGTTCCTGGGTTCTCTATTCTGTTCCACTGGTTTATGCATCTGCTTTTATTAGGGCCCCTTGTCTTCTGTTTAGCCTCATAAAATATTGTATTATTTTCAACAACTGTTTACACATAAATCAATGTGAACATGACCCATAGGAAACTCAGCAGCAAGTGTGCATCCAGGGATATGAAAGGGCCACAGGGCTACTGCAAGATGAAGACAGGGAGGCTCCAGCCGTGCATCACACCATGGTCTGCCCCTTCCCTGCCAATTACAGCATCTCCTCTAAGCTGCACAGAAACCTGGGAGGGAGGCTTTGAGAGCTTAGTGACTTGCCCCAGCTCACCCAGCCTGGAGTGACAGGGCATGGACCAGGCCCCTGACATCCTGACCTCAGGTCAGTGGGTGATTACTTCTTCCCCCTTCCCAGATGTAGCAGGAGGCCTAAAACGTTGCCATTTTGATCCCCTGCCCCCTGTTAGCACTGGAGGGTTTGAGGGCTTCAAGAATTTCCTCTTTAAACAAATCATCCTGGAAGTAACTCTCCATCAGCCACTAATACTGTAAAAGGATTATGGTACTTGCAGGGATGAGGGGCATGGAGGAGGGGGTGCCAGGACCCCAAAGATCACCTCCACATGTTTCCCACAGCTCAGGGAGCCTCTGTGTCCCCCAGTGCCACTGTCTTCCCACCAGGCTATGAGCCCCTCTATTTGTTCAGTTTTGTTTCTCTGGAGCCTGGCACAGCATCGGGCACATAGTAGGCACTCAGAAATATTTGCCCAACTCCTCGCTTACCATCATTTAATCTGTCTGACCCAGGACCTGCCAGAATTGGCCAAAGGGCTGCCATTTGCACTCCTCCTCCCAGCACCCCCCGACCCCTGGCAGCCCAAGAATGAGCATGGTGGCACGGGAGGCCACAGGATTCCTCTAGAATCCTGTTTTTCATCATCTAGCCTCCAGCAAGGGATTTGGGAATTCCTCAAACAGCCAGTGTGCATTTGTGCATACACAGTTAGCCTGCCAGCTCTCAACATGCCATGAAAGACATCCACCAAGCAGCCCTCCTGGCCAGACTGGGCTGGGCGGCCCCAGACCTCCACGATGCTGTCCAAACCTCTTGGGGCTCTCTGATCTGTGCCAGTGCCTCATTCCTCTTCCCCGGACCCCCTGGCGGCAGCAGCAGCTGGCCCCTGAGACAGTAGCTTCCTGCCCTCCCTCCTTGGCTGGGACTCATCTGCATTTGGCAGTGCTCAGATTAATCCCGATTACCTTCCCTGCTGACTGCGCAGGAGCTGAACAATTTCTCTGGCCCCCGCCCCCATCCCCTGGGAAAACACAGCTGAATGTTCCTGCAGCCAATGTCCTCACGAACCAAGAAGATTATGGCCATGTCGGGTTCTAGGAAGAGCAAGGCCAGAGTGTGTTCTTAGGAGGGCAGGAGGCACCGAGGGATCTCGTAGCTCCCTAAACGGGGCAAATGGAGCGAGGCTGTGAGCAGGAATGATGCAACACCAACAGGCGGAGACTGGAGAGAAGATTAGAGAGGGAATGCAGAGGGAGGAGGAAGACAGCCTCTTTTGCAGGAGCTTTTATTTATTTCTATTCTCTTTGAAGTTAGACATCAAGTGGAATCAGGAGGGGAAAAGCAGTAAAGAAGCAGGGAAAGAAAAAATCAAGAGTCAGGCAGCTGGTATGCGCCTCAGAGACCTGTGGGGGGACTTGTTTCATGCCCAACCCCGTGCCTGGGCAGAAGGCCAGGAACGATCCTACCCTTAGGGATGCAAACATGTGACCATCAGAGAGAGGCTGCCAGGGCAACATTTTCCTAGGAGACAGTACGATCCTGGAGGGCAAGGACCATGGCTCTCAATCACTTCTGTCTCTGCAGTGCCTGGGACAGAGCGTGGTATACAGTAGTTGCTGAAGAAATAATAGCTATGTGCTAGGAGCTATTGAAAGGCCTTTGAATGCTAATTCATCATGTCCTTTCACAAGGCTGTGAGACAGATACTACTATCTTCATGGTAGAGAAGAGAAAATGGAAGCACAGAGAGGGTTAAGTCACTTGCTCAGGGTCACACAGTTTGAAAGGAGCCAGGCTGGGATTCAAACCTGTGCAGGCTGATTTGAAAGACTGCTCTTATTCACCATTCTCTACCCTCTTGAAAAAAAAGAGGGATCTTTTCCTACCCTTTTCTACAGACTCTTGAAAGAGTGAAAAGAAAAAAAAATATGTTAGTTGTAGAATCGAAAGAGAGCATTTAAATTCAGTTTCTTATTTTATCAACTAAGGACTAGACAGGAGAAGGGATTTGTCCAAGACCTTTGGCACTAGCAGCTACTAGTGGAGCTGGGATTAGAACCTAGGTCTCCCAGTGCCTACTCCCAGGAGCTTCCTACCTCACCAGTTTGTCTTGGAAGAGAACAATCAGTGCCCTCCATGGTTTGTAAACTGACTATTTAATGGCATAATTGTCTGCTGGGCTTGGGAATCTGGTGGAAAGCAGACCTCTTCTTTACCTCCCCAGCCTTTCCTCAACCCGGTCAGGCTGGCTGCATAGGGTGGACCCGAGATCTTCAGGCCTCGGCAGCCTGGCCCAGCAGGAAGACATTGAAGCTCACCAGGAGGTGGCAGGGAGTGTCCCTGGGGGAAGCTGCTGAGGCCAGTGCTCAGGAAGGAACCAGGGCTCTGTCTGAGGACCAATTCCATCCGGGCCTGGTAAGGGACATGTGGCTGTCCAGTGTGAATGTTCTGTGCTTGTATATTTCAGCCTAAATTCCCAGTTCTTTGGCAACCTGAATACTGAACGTTTTCAGAGTAGTTTTTCTCCCAAGGCGTTTGTTCTGGATCACTAGTGTCTGGTATATATCATTTTTGATTCAACATATTTAAAACTCATTTCCCCCCCAGACAAGACAAATAGAATTTGTAGCTTTCCATATGGGCTTTTCAAAAAGATTGGTACTGGGAGCCATTGGCTTCCCGGAGTGGTGTCATTTGATTAGCCCTGGTGTTCTTCCACTTACGGGGAGTGGGTAATTGCAGTTGTTCCAAGTGGGAGATGGTGTGATTGGGTTTTTCTCCTATGGGGAAAAACAAATCCTATCAGATAGATGAGTTTCTGGCATTTCCTATTCTTCTTTGTGACAGGATCTTCCAGAATAGAAGTCTCCCAGCAGTGCACATCCAGGAAGCATCCAGGCCAGGTTGGGCAGGGTTTAATAAGCGCTGGGCCTTTCACCTGGATGCTGGGAAGGTGCTTGGATCTATGAAAACCCCAGGGTGGGGTCAGGGGCCAATGCAGAGGTTTCCCAGAGAGCTCTGGGGCTGGGTCACTTCCCCACTGGCCAGTCTGTCATGCTGAATGCCCAGGACTTCCACAATGAGTCCCAGAGGTGAGATGACAGGGTCAGGGTCAGGGCCCACTTCTGCAGGAGTTGCCACTTACCTTGTTTGTTAGGACACAGGCAGAGTGTTGGAACAGAGAGGATTGCCTGGAGGTTCCTAGGACCACAGCAAGAGGTGTTGTGGGGGGCTTCCCGGCTTCCCGGAGGCCCTTCTTCCCATGACAGGAGGGACAGTGGAGATAGCACCTACTCTGGTGACCTTGCTCTCTGCTTTTGTCTTGTGACCTGCTTGTGGGTGAGCCCTACCCCTTGGTTTCCACGTGACCCATAAAGTCTACTCATTTTCTGTCCAGGGTTCAGGCACAGAGAGAAAAGGCAAGGATGTGGAGGGAGAGGAGAGTCCCTGGAAGGAATGTCCCCAGCATATCAGCCTGGAGTTTCCATTCAGGAAATTTCCCCAGCTCCCCAGACCCTCCCAGACTTGCCTCCTCCCTCCTGACAAAGCCCCAGCCCTACCCATAGCCCCAGCCACCACCCCCTTTGAGGAGAGAAGGTGCTGGGTTGGGTGAGGAGCTCTGCGGGAGGACTGAACCAAGCTGTGGGCTCCTGGGCACCTGCCCATGAGCCAGGCCTGCATCTCCCAGACCTGCTTGTGGGTGAGCCTGCATGCTGACATGCTTGGCTGGGCTCTAGCCTTGGCTATTGGTGGCCCAGGGTGTGTGTGTGTGTGCGTGCATGTGTGTGTGTGTCCCTTTGGAGCTATGTAGTTTGTGTACCAAAATAAGAAGGGAGCTGGGGAGTTGAGCCCTGATGAACTTTGTAACAATAAAGCCTTATCTTGTTAAATAAATCAAGCCTTGAATAAATGCCTGCTTATTCCTTGCCAATATTTTCCTGCTACCTAAGGCAACATAGCTCTGTGACCTGTAACCAGTCACTTAACCTCTCTGGGTCTATTTCCATATCTATAGAAAGTGGATATAATACTATTTGTTCTCCTCAATGCTGCTTATTGTAGAGATCAAATGTAATAACGTGTGTGAAAGTGCTTTATAGATGGCAAGGTGCTGTTCTGCTGTAAGGAATCCTTCTGATCATTACGCTTTTTGTAAAGCAATCAGAACAGCCATCCCTACAACATAAGGTGTCAACAACACGACCTCCATTAAAAGGGAAGAAAAAAAGAACAAATTTCCCAGTGGAAAAGAATGACCCCCCGACAAAGCAGAAAGACCAGTAAAATAACCCCAATGAGAGCAATAACAATTTGGATGACTTAATATCAAGCCCCAATCCACTATAACCAGTAACAAAAATGTTCTTCATACTTATCAGAAGCAGTTGTCAGAGCCAAGGACAATCACTCCACCCTTTTCTAAGTCCGGGGTCAAACATTATTTTTTATTTGATGCCGTGTGGTTGAAGTTAAGAGCCAGTCAGAGCTGGTTTTGGTTCTCAATACAAAAGTAAAGGGTCAAAGGGAGTGAGTCTCTTCCTTCTCTCAGAAAGAAATCCAGACTGAGACAAGGTTCCAGAAAGCTGTCAGGAATCAGACAGGCCAGGAAAGAAAGGCTCAGAGCATTCCTGGAGGAAATCTGTTGTTTCTTCCTTCCCAAGACCCATTTCTCCTGCTTTTTGGTAACACACCCTCTTTTCCTTTGGGAAACTACCCTATCCCCATTCTCATTCCAAGTGCAATTGACCCCTTCCTTGGTTCGACTCAAATCTAACCAATCAGAGTACTGCATTTTCCTGGTCCCAGTGATTGGCTCAGCAATAGACATGTGATTCAAGCCAGACCAATGGGAGTCAGCTCTGGGGCTTTTGCCGGAACATTTAGGAAGGAGAGCTCTTTTTCCTGGGGAGTTGCCAACCTGGAAGGTATAGGACTGGAGTTTTTGATGATCACTTTTGCCACCGTCTAAGAATAAAGCCAATGCCAAAGGAAACAAAGCTGAGATGGAGAATGATTCCCGTTGACATGGTTTGAATACTGGTTCAACTGCATAGGAAAAGCAAGGCAAGTGAGGGTAAGCAAGTTTAGGATTGGCTAGTTTGAGTAATTTCAGTGGGCTCTGGAGCATGGGGGCTGGCTCTAGTTGTCTGGTACCTGGCCCTGGGAAGATTAGGGTAGGGGATAGTGGCCCTGAGTATGACAGCCCAATAGAGGAGGTGGTTGGGGTGTGGGCTCTAGATTGGTTGGTTTGCATTTGAAAGGTATGCACCCCTTGAGCTGTTTGCTATCTCTGGGAATTAGCTAACCCTGGGAGGATCGGTCCCTGCAGTGTCAGTGAGGTTCCAAGATGTCACAGCATCAGAAAATATAGGAAAAAAAAAAAGACCAACTAATACAGCTGGGATGGCTGGGGCTGGGGCCTCTCTCCACAGGGTCGCTTATCCTCTTGGAGGCTAGTCTGGGCTCCTTCGCATAGTGGCTGAAGATTTCCCTGCAGCGAGAGAGGACAAGCCCCCATGGGCAAGCACTTTTCCAACCTTTGCTTGTGTCTTGTTTGCTGTTGTCCCACTGTGGCAAGCAGGTCACGTGGCCAAGCCCAGTGTCAGTGTTGTGGGGAGCCTACATCGAGGGCGGACACCAGAAGGCAGGGGTCACACCTGGGCGCCATTGCCACAGCAATCTGCCCACAGCCTGCCCCAGCTGGCCCTCCTATCGGAGAGTAGTTCTGATGGTACGACTAAGCCAAAGCTTGCCTTCTGCCACATTCTACCTGTTGATCCCCAATCTCCCTCCAGTCTTGTCCACATGACAGGACTTTGGCAACCATATCTGGCTTGGAATCCTCTAAGTGGACAGACTGCTGAGCATTCCACTTCCCCTCATGCCACTTCTTTGTACCCAAATGCAAAGGGGACATGGGGCATCAGCTCTTGAGGTTAGAGACCCATTCAGCCAACAGGTTGTACCTACTCTGTGTAAGGATCTAGCCTAGATGCTGGGGATCTAGCGGGAAACAAAACAGACCAAAAGACAATCCCTGCCTGCTGGGAGCCTACATTCTTTTTTTTTTTGAGATGGAGTTTCGCTCTTGTTGCCCAGGCTGGAGTGCAATGGCGCAATCTCGGCTCACGGCAACCTCTGCCTCCCAGGTTCAAGCGATTCTCCTGCCTCATCCTCCCGAGCAGCTGGGATTACAGGCGCCCACCATCATGCCCGGCTAATTTTTTTGTATTTTTAGTAGATACATGTTGGCCATGCTGGTTCTAAACTCCTGACCTCAGGTGATCCACGTGCCTCAGCCTCCCAAAGTGTTGGGATTATAGGAGTGAGCCACTGCGCCTGGCAGAGCCTACATTCTTATGGGGTAGATATTAATAAACAAATGTACAAGTAAAATATATGAAAATGAAGACGAGTGGATGGGATGAGGAACAGGAAAAAAATGACTATGATTTTTTTTTGTTGTTGTTGTTGAGACGGAGTCTCCCTGTGTCACCCAGGCTGGAGTGCAGTGGCGAGATCTTGGCTCACTATAGCCTCTGCCTCCCAGGTTCAAGTGATTCTCCCACCTCAGCCTCCCAAGTAGCTTGGATTACAGGTATGTGCCACCACTCTTGGCTAATTTTTGTATTTTTAGTAGAGACGGGGTTTTGCCATTTGGCCAGGCTGGTCTCGAACTCCTGACCTCAGGTCATCCACCCACCTTGCCCTCCCAAAGTGCTGGGATTACATTTGTGAGCCACCGCACCCAGCCACAATGACCATGATTTAAAGAGCTCTTCATCTCAGAGAAGGAGCAGGACAGGAGACTAATGGAGGGGGCTTCCGGCAGTGCTGGTGGGGAAGGTGGGCAGACCTGTGGGTGAGCCCTGGAGCCAGTTCTGTGTGTGTGTGCATATGTGTGTGTGTGTGTGTGTGTGTGTGTGTGTGTACAGTCAACCCAGGCTGTAAGCTCCTCAACTTTAGGACACTTCCCAGCACTTTGGGAGGGTGAAATGGGAGGATCACTTAAGGCCAAGGGTTTGAGACCAGCCTGGGCAACATAGCAAGACCCCATCTCTAAAAAAAAAAAAAACTTAGCCAGGCATGGTGGCATGTTCCTGTAGTTCCATCCATTCAGGAGTCTGAGGTGGGAGGATCGCTTGAGCCCAGGAGTTTGAGGCTGCAGTGAGCTATAATGGCACCACTGCACTCCAGTCTGGGTGACAGAGTGAGACTCCATCACTAAACCAAACAAATAAGCACAATAAGAACAAACAAAAAACAACATTAGGATAGAGACATGGCCTGCAAGTGCATTTCCTAATGGATGTCCCTCTGGGGAGAGGTGGGGATGGGTGGGCAAGCAGAAAACGGCTGGAAATCTCTGTGTGTATGTGTTTGGGGCACAGATGGGGCAAGTAAAGAAATATCTATCAATCTCTGTCTTTGTATTTCTACATGTATATATATGTCACCTGGGCATTGCAAGTCAGGTTCTAATCCTCAGATGTGAGTTGTTTGGGGGCAGGTCTTATGAGGCTTCTAAGCGTCAGTTCTGTCATCCATTTAAATTGACTGAGTAAAGAACACCCTGACATGCTCCCCCAAGGCTGGGCTGGACCCTCAATTGTTCCATCCTGAAGTATGGTGGGGGTTCCTAGACTGTTTCCATGAGCCCCAGATCATTGCTAGGCTGTGCAGACCGGCTCCAGATTTTGGGTCCAAAATCCAGAGGCAAAGTCCAAGCCCATGAGAGGAAGGGAGCCCCCACTTCTATGATTGTTTCGGGCCTGCGTGGGGGAGGCTCTGCTCCATATGGCTGGCACAGCGCCTACAGCTCTCCCTCAGAGAAATGCGCACATTTTCTACACAGAAAGGGCGAAGCTGTGAGGGTTGGTGTTTCTCAGAAATTAAGGCATGAAAAGGGTGGGGCAGGGGTGCTTTTCTGAGGTGTGACTGGGGACATTTTCCCCAGATGGAACACCAACCTTCTGCAGGGAGGGTCCGTCTTTGTCTGGAAGCCTCCGGCGCTGGAGGGCCCAGTTTAGGCTGGCTGAAGGGAAACCCCAGAGGGAACGCTGGCAGGCCTCTGAACAGGCAGGCCCCTTGGTGGTTCCTTCTGCACTCTTGGAATCTCCTGGACTCAGGAGGATTCTGTCTGGGGTGGGTGGGGTAGGATGTGAGTAGTGACCTGCCCCTGGCCCTGGAAGGGGTCTAAGTAAGCAAGGGAAGAGATGGGATGAGCCGGCCACAGGCTGCTGCTGGATCAAGGTTGTGAAGGGAGAAATAGGAGCCTCGTTTCTGAGGCTTACAATGTACAATTTAGGGGTCATGTAGCTCCTGGGTAAATTACAATTTAGGGGTCATGCATAATTAATTACAATTTAGGGGTCATGCAGCTCCTGGCTCCAAGAGTCTGAACCTCCCCAAATTGCTCCTGGGGGTAAACAGCACTGTTGTAAAATCTAAGATCAGTGCTTGAGATATTTTGCAGAGCCTACACTCCATGGATAAGCTGACCCCACCCAGAGCAGTAATCTGGCCCAACCAGTTCTGCCATCGCACCCAGGAACAGAAGACATTAAGAAAACCTAACTTGACCGGGTGTGATTCTATCCCCAACCTGACCAATCAGCACTCCCCACTTCCCAAGCCCTTACCCGCAAAATTATCTTTAAAACCCCCTGCTCTGGGGAGACTGATTAGAGTAATAGTAAAACTACCGTCTCCTGCACAGCCTGCTCTGCATGCATTACTCTTTATTGGAATTCCCCTGTCTTGATAAATCGGTTCTGTCTACGCAGCAGGCAAGGTGAACCCATTGCGTGGTTACAAATGGTCTAAAGGCTTCTCTGCCTACACAGTGTTATTTAATATGGAGGAACAGCTGCACAGCAGGAATACCACGATGCCCCCTTGGGTGGGGGGAGTTGGCTTCTGTGGGACACCTGAGGCCCAGCAGGACTGGGGCAGAGCTTGAGGCCCTGATGTCTGCTGCTTTGGCTTTTTCCTGTGAGCTTCAGGACATGCCTCTCCCTGCCCCTTGCAGCTGGTTCTTACCATTCCTTCCTTGTTTGATTTGCTAAATCCCTGTCTTAGTTCACTGTTTCACACCCGCACTGACAGTCTGCTGTCCCCCCAAGGCCCTGGGACATCTGCCAGGCAGTGAAATCAAATGTGCTCTTTAAATACAGCTCAGCTCCACGTCATATTCTCCTTCTCCCTCTTCTCTCCCCACCTCCTCTCCTTCCTTCCCAGGAATGCAACATTGCCCAGGCAGGGGACGGGCCAGGCTGAACTGGACATTTCCAAAAAGTGTTTCTTCTGGAAATTTCACCCAAAAGGAAAGGGTCTGGTATAATGGACTCCCATGTATCTGTCACTTAGCTTTAGCAATTCTCAACATTTTGCTGATCTTGTTGATATATATATATAGATATATAGTTATTTATATAAAGTTTATATAATATTTATAAAAAATTATAAGATAAATTGTTTTGCTGAAGTTTTTTAAGGTTAATCCCAGGCATTGTGCTATTTCACCCTAAACTTCTGTTTGCATCTATCACGAATGCATAAGGAAGCACTGAAGAATAACTACACCACCATGCCATCATTATACCTAGTAAAATTAACTAGAATTTCTTATCAGCATCTGAAATGGAATTGGGACACATGTTCTCAGGAACTTCTGAGGTTGTGTCACTGGCAAAAAAGTTAGAAAGAAAGAAAGAAAGAAAGAAAGAAAGAAAGAAAGAAAGAAAGAAAGAAAGAAAGAAAGAAAGAAAACAGAGCCCCCATTTAAATTTTCCTCATCTCAAAGTTATCTTTTATACAGTTGATTTGGACCTCTATTTGAACTCAGAATGGTTTGTTGAACAAATTAAGATTAAGCGGAATACTAATAAGGAGTCTAACCTTTGATAGGTATGTTTTAAGCTTTTTGAATAATTTGCTTACATGTTAAATAATGGGCTTGCTATCCAAGAATCTCAATTTTTTTTTTTTTTTTTTGAGACAGAGTCTCACCTGCCACCCAGGCTGGAGTGCAGTGGCATGATCTCGGTTCACTGCCACCTCTGCCTCCCGAGTTCAAGCGATTCTCCTGCCTCAGCCTGCCAAGTAGCTGGGATTACACGCACGTGCCACCATGCCTGGCTACTTTTTGTATTTTCAGTAGAGATGGGGTTTTGCTATGTTGGCCAGGCTTGTCTCGAACTCTTGGTCTCAAGTGATCCACCCACCTTGACCTTCCAAAGTGCTGGGATTATAGGCATGAGCCATCGTGCCTGGCCCAAGAATCTCAATTCTTCTGGCCACCAAATCAGAATGGAGGGGTACATTGTGCTGGGCATTGTGCCAAATTAGTTGCATCATGAGGTGATGCTGAACTCTTTATTTCTTCTCTCTTCATTCCCCTCATCCCTCTTTCCCTGTGGATCCTGTCCTTCTTCCATCCCAGTGGATGCCTCTTTCTGTCCTTGCTCTGTCCCGTGTTAAGGGGCCTCTCCAAAGTGGATCCCTTCTTCCCGAGGACCCCTCTCTTTGTCCTCATTCCTTGGGATGGCACAGAGGCCTCTCTCTGGCTCTTGGTGTGTGCTTCCTGTGCCTCCCTGCAACCTGTTTCCCAGTCCTCTCAGCGTCCAAACCCAGCTCTGTTTTCTTTACAGGGTAATCCTTTTGCCTGAATAACTGGCGGCTGGCTGTGGCCAAGCCTGGGGCGGAGCTGACCCCAGTGATGGATGGGGGCCAGCCAGGCCTTGCCCTGTCACACACAAACAGCTCTCCCGAAGCCCCTCCAGGAACGGCGACAGGAAACAAAGAGCAGGGGGCAAAGTTATTTTATTTAGATTTTTTTAAAAACAAACTTTTTTTTTTTTTTTTTTAAGACGGAATCTCGCTCTGTCATCAGGCCGGAGTGCAGTGGCGCGATCTTGGCTCACTGTACTCTCCGCCTCCCAGGTTTAAGCGATTCTCCTGTCTCAGCCTCCCGAGTGGCTGGGACTACAGGCGCCCGCCACCACGCTCAGCTAACTTTTGTGTTTTTAGTAGAGACGGGGTTTCACCATGTTGGCCAGGATGCTCGCCATCTAGTGACCTTGTGATCCCCCCACCTTGGCCTCCCAAAGTGCTGGGATTACAGGCGTGAGCCACCGCACCCGGCCAAACTTTTTTTTTTTTTTTTAAGTTACAAAAACAGACAACCATTTATACTTAGGAAGTTTCACACTCTGGGAATTAGCCATTGTGCCAGGTTTTGTGAGCAAAAGGCTTAAGACACCTCAGCCTGATTAGGTGGTTGTGAGGATCTGGGTCACATTTTCCAGAGCAGCTCTCACCCTGGCCACAGCACCAGCCTCTTCTCTAGAACTTGCTACTCTTAACTCCTTTAATATCAAACTTCTTTACCCTTCAAGGTCCCTTCAGCATGGCCCTTGCCCTCCTGTCTCTTCTTTCTCTGCCTCTCGCTGTAACTCACTGCTCACACTTTTACCTCTGCATCTCCACACACCAAACCTTCCAACAAAACAGGCTTCTCTCTGCAGGCAATTCACATCCCTCACCTCCTTCAAACTCTACCTCGAAACTCCTCTTTTCCAGAAAGCGCTCGGTCTCCCTGGTTCCAGTCCCTCATTACCTGGCTCACGTAATGCTCTGGGTATCAGAGGACCTGGGCTATAGTCCTGGTCCTGCCACCTGTTGGCTGTTATGGTCTTATGTATTTTCTTATTTTTAAATTCTCAGTTATCTTGTTTCAAAGGGATGTGGCTATAATAGAAGCTAAGATGCCCTGAAAAGTAAACATGTTACAAAGTGCAAGCAGGGTTCCCTGTGGGCCCCTGGGCACGGCCCCCCTCAGCTCATACCATTTCCCACCTGCTGTCAACTGCACCATGCATTTGGCTGTTCAGCTGCTGTGGTAAATACCCCACCTTGGCACATGGGTGAGTGCGGTTTGACCACTGGGAATGCAAGATCCCTGAGGGCAGGCCTCAATCTTAATGTTTATTGGGTGAGCTTCTCCAGCCTATAGCACCAGTCAGGGCTGAGCATGAAGCAGGTGCTCAGTCTTAAAGTTAACTGCTTTGATTCAAGTTTCCTTGGACAGATCCACCACCCACTGTGTGATAGCAAAAACACAGCAGCAGGATGGTGGCAGACCCCAAACCTCCTCTTTCATCTTCCTGAATGTGACCTCCAGTGGGAAGGGCCATCCTGGTGGCCTGGCCTGGGGAGTCCTGGCACTCGCCTAGCAGTGCTTGTCAGGTCTCAGGACCACCTGCTAAAGGAGTTTTCTTCACCACTGGAGTAAAAACCCCCCAAGATTTTTGGTAATTTTGGCCTTGCTTGGGTGAGCCAATCAGACAAGAACTACAATTTGGCATGCAAGCCCCAAATAGGAACACTGCCATGTAATAAACCCAGAGTGTGATCAACCCTGGACCATTCAGAGGGTCACACCAAGGACCCCTGCTCTGAAGATCGCAGTCACCAGTGTGGGACCGTCACTCCATGATAGGAAAGACCACTCCCTAGCAGTCGGAGAAAGCCAGAGCTTACCACTGCCCCAACAAATGGCTTTCAGCCCTTTGCGTTTTATTCTGGATGGATTTGAAGCAAAGCATCAGCTTCTCCAGGCTCTTTGGGGTCAGCCAGGGCCAGAAACTTCTCTCCAGGGGGTGCCTGGCCAGGCCTCACAACCCCCCTGAAAGAGCTATTTTCATGAAAAACATCCTAAGCAATTGCAGAAGATAAGAAAATGATCTCACTCCTTCCAAAGAACCCACCACACAAATGTTATTCAGAAAACACATTCTAGATCCTTCTCCCTTCTGCCCAAACATTCCCCACCCCTGGGTGCAGACACCTACATATGACACTTGACAAAACAAATCTTTTTAAAATAACCTGGTCCTTGGAGATCCACTCAGGGCAACACCATTGCAAACACTGTGATGTAACATCAGTCACAGTAGAAATGAAACCAGTTACGAGAGAACTAACTGGAGAGCCACCTTTGCCAGCTCTTGCTCAGATGAACCCAACCCTCGAGTCACTCAAAATGGGTTCAGCTCAGCCAGACCCATCTATGGGATTGGAAACTGCACTCCAGGGAGACCCCTGGCCCTGGCTGACCCCAAAGAGCCTGGAGAAGCTGGTGCTTTGCTTCAAATCCATCCAGAATAAAATGCAGAATAAATAAACATGTGCTTCCAGCTTGTGTTGCTGGGAGTTCCTGCGTGTGTGGATGTGGTCTTCATGGAACTCCTTGGAATTCTCAGAGGGAACCTTGTTCTGGTCATCCAAAGGCTCTGCCTACCCCTCTGCCCTCTCTGAAATCACCCCTGGTCACATTGAGGCATTCAGTGAGGGGGAGATGGGTCAAGAGGGGACAAGACAACTCTTGTTGATGGCTGAAGACCTTGGTGGGAATCCCAGATGCAGCCCACTCTTTGCTGGGTGGACCCCCTTCCTGGTGAGAATAGGATCCTGTGTATATATCTTTGGTTTCAAGCAAAAGGAGGCTTAGGGTCTTATGCCTTTGGAAGAGTGGCTTAGAGGAGTCAGGGAAATTGACAGAGTCCTGGATAAGGGGTGTCCATGCAATGCTCTTCAATCCTGGAGATACCTGGAAGCCAGAGTTCCTTCCCTTAACGTAGTCCTTGCAGGAAGAGTGACCTTCAAGGCCTCAGCACCCAGGGCTGAGGTCCAGCTGCCACAGCATGTCCTGCAGAGACCCCTGCAGCCTGCTCAGGGCCACCACCTCTGTGGAGTAGCCTGAAGCTTCCAGGACACCCCCCAGGCTGTCCAAGGTCTCCAGGCCACTGGCCCAGGGCAAGTGGCAGCTCTTAGAGAAGGCCAGCACGTGAAGAAGATCCCGGAGGTTCTCCAGGTCGTTGGATATTTGGATCACGTTTCTGGAAGGCATACTGGTGAGGATCTGTTGGTAGACTGCCAGTGTCTGGTCCATCTTGGATAAGGTCAGGATGGGGTGGAGCCCAGGAATGAAGTCCAAACCGGTGACTTTCTGTTTGGAGGAGACTGACTGCTATGCAGGAGGAAGAGGGAGAACAAGTGCTCAGCATGTGGGAGGAATCGCTCTCAGAGCCCTCTGCCTTCCCCGTGGGCATGGAGGGTCATTCTCTGGGCTGCCTCCTTCCACCCTCCCTCACCACTTTGGCTCAGGCCCTTGTATCCTGCACCCAGGTGACTGCCAAGCCTCTAAGCTGGTCTCCGAGATTCCTGCTTTTCCCACACCATCCTTCCCTCCACTTCCAGGCCAACTTTCCTAGGTCATTCCTTTCTCTACATGGCCTCTGCTGAAGAACCAGCCATGGTTTCATATGTTTTATTTAGTGGAGTCTGTTCCCCAGGCATCTGAGGTCCTCCATAAGCACCCCCACCCCCAGCCTTCCCTAGTCCCTTCTACCCCCAGCCGAGTCCTCCCTCCCAGTCAGCTTTTCCAGGCAGTCCCTCCTCCTTAGAGATCAAGGCCGTACCCTCAGTGAGGCCCCCCAACCCTGCTCCAGTGACTCCAGTTCCGGGAGGCTCTCCCCATCCATCTGCCCACAGCACTGAGGCTGACACCTCCGTGGTTACTACCCGGGGCTCCCGTGATATTGTGTATTACACCACCCAAGGTGGGGCACTCGGGATCTATCACGTGCAGTCTTGCTGAGTGGCTAATATGCCCAGCTAATTTTTTTTTATTATTTTTAAAGGAGACAAGAGTTTTTATCTATAAAATGCCCAAGACTCTATCTAGTTCTGAGCCATCTTTGCTTCCAGACACCTAACTTCTCCCTAACTGCCCAAGACTACCATAAGACACCCACAATGACCAGGAGACGTGGAAGTCTCCAGAGAGCTCCATGCAGGGGGTAAGGAGGATTCAATTGCTTTAGCTAATTTAGGCCTCATAACAACCTTGTGAATAGTGTGTGATATCCCCATTATCCAGATGATGAAAACAAGGCTTAAAGACAGTAAGGAACTTGCTGAAGATCTCACAGACATCAGAAGTGTGAAGATTCAAACTTAATCTTCCTAATTTCAAATACAGACCTCATCAGGAAAATGGCTGAAGGTCTAGGCCTGCTGGACCCCAGAGAAAAGACCAGGGTGGGCACTGACTGCTATTTGCAAATCAGTAGAGGGTTGAATGTGAAAAAGGGTAGACTCGCTCTTTTGGGTATCTTTGAGCGGCAGGGCCAGAGATCAGCTGGAACTACAAGAACCCTAATGACAAGCACATCTAGAGATGGGATAGAGGCCCTGAGGAGATGCTTCTGGGGGTCTTGTTCCTGCCAATGGGACACAAGGAACTTCACAGCTCCCTCTGGTCGTAGGCACTAAGATTCAAGGAAGTGAAGTCAGGGAGGAAGGCGAGCGCAGAAGGTGGGGACAGAGGGGACAGGAAGGAAAGAGACAGTGGCTGTGCCTGCATGTGGCTCAGCTAATCGCTGAGGCCTGGGTTTCCCCTTGGTAGGTTGAAAATAAGCACGTGAGGCCTCATGAGAATCCTATGATTTTTTTCTTATCTTTAATTTTTATTTTTTTAAAAATTAGAGAGAGAGGTCTTGCCATGTTGCCCAGGCTGGTCTTGAACTCCTGGCCTCAACTGATCCTCCTACCTTGGCCTCCTAAAGCAATGGGCTTACAGATGTGACCCATCATGCCTGATCAAATCCTATGACTTTTATTTATTTATTTATTTATTTTGAGACAAGGTCTCACTCTGTCACCCAGGCTGGAGCACGGTGGCATGATCAGGGCCCACTGCAGCCTCAACCTCCCAGGCTCAGGTGATCCTTCCATCTCAGCCTCCCCTAGCTGGGACCACAGGTACACACCACCATGCCCAGCTAACATTTTTTATTATTTTTGTAGAGATGGGGTCTCCCTATGCTGCCCAGGCTGGTCTCGAACTCTTGGGCTCGAATGATCCTCCTGCTTTGGCCTCCCAAAGTGCTGGGATGACAGGTACAAGCCACCACACCCAGCCCAAATCCTATGATTTTTAAATGGAAACATGTAGCAAAATCAAATGTTCTTGGAGTGGTTTAGAATTAGAACCACTAACCCCTGGAATCTCAGCAGGCAGAGGGGCCAAAAGAAACAACCAGAAAGAGTGGAGCCCTGTGCTTTCAAATCCTTCTCAGCTTCCAGTAGGTGCCTGGCATTCAGGAGGCGTTCAATAAATGTTTCTTGGACTATCTGGGTCCAGTGCCACTAGGAGCCAGTGCTGGGCTGGCTGCAGTTCTACTTTGTCCCCGCATACTCTCCTTACCGTGTGTGAAATGTCATTGATCCTGGTGACAATTGTCTTGATGAGGGTTTTGGTGTCATCTTGGACTTTTTGGATGGGCACAGCTTGGACATAGAAAAGATAGGGCCAAAGCCACAAGAATCCGCACAGGGTTCCCCAATGCATTTTCCTTCCCAGGATGGGCTTCTTGGGCCTGAAAACAGAAGGAACCACACACTGCAAGGAGCCGGTATCTCAGAATACACCCATCTTCACATTACCAACCACATTACCAGACGGGGATGAAAATCAGCTTTGCTTTCTGCTCTGGCTACCATCCCCTCAAAGTCAAAGACAATTCATGATCTACATATGTATTAATGAAATGCATCCCCTTAGAAAGAGGATTATTGTCTGGTCAATAAAACCACCATGAGGTATCCTGTAGACCACAGAGCTGTGAGGCCAGGGTGTGATCAAATGGACATGGTAGGGATGATGTAGACTTCATTGCATGCTCGAGGGAAAGATAACAGACTTTTAAGGTCTGGTTTGAACCCAGTCATTTACTCACTGCATAATTTTAAACATATCACATAACCACAAAATACTCCACCTTCATCCCTGTAATATATCTATCTCTAGGCTTTTATGAGGATCAAATTATCTGATGCACGTGAAAGGGCTTAAAGGTGTTGTGAAATGTGCTCTATCATTACCCTATCATTAGCGATTATGCTACTCACCCATCCTCTGCATTTCTCCCTCACACCAGCCTGCTGATACTCTGTGAGGGCCTTTACCACTTGCTTCCTTACGTCCTTTCTCTCCCACCCACTGGGAGCCTGAATCCCACTAGCACTTACTGACCTTCTAAATAATATGTCAGACGCAGTGCTCAGCACCGAGGATGCAATGGTGAACAACAGATGCTCTCTACCCTCGAGTGGCTTACAGTTTAATAGGAGAAACAAACAGGTCAATGGGCCATTCTAAGCCAGGAGGAAAGAGCTTTGCAAAAAGGGCAGGTACAAGATACTACTGGAAGGCACAGGGGGCTCCCTGGAAGAAGTGTCTCCTGAGCTGGGGATTGGACTAAATATGGGCTACTAAGAGTAGAAAGTGGTTGCCATAGTGGCTGAGAAATCAGGGGGTATAAAGACATGGTGGCGGGAGAGAGCATAACACATTCACCCAGAACGCTTGAAACTTTCAAAGTCTTGGAACTGTGAATTCTAAAATTAAAATAATATGCAGATCCTTGATTAAGCAGCAAAATTTTAATGAGATACATGAGGCAAAAGGTAATAAAGTTAAATGTATGCGAGTCTGTGGCCAATGATCCATGCTAAGTATATGTGCATGAGCCTGAAATAATAATAAAATGTAAGTAAATATTAGGATGACGGTTCTGGAGATGGCAGTAAAATTAATCTCCGCTTTTCGTGTTCTTCCTCGTCTGGGTCTTGATGAAGACAGGTAATACATTTTCTGTCCATAGATGGCAATATTAGTAGGATTCATTTCTGGCAATACAATAAAAACAAGCAGTCTGTCTATATATTATTTATAATGTTTGATCAAAGCCATGTTTTTTTAATCTGAATTTCACAGAAGAGAAAAATATGGGGCTCAGGAATAGGAGTCAACTTGCCCAAAGTCAAACAGGTCCATGACAGAGTCAGGATTCAGATCCAGAAAGCAGGAGTGCGAGCCACCCACCCCTCCAGCTCCTCAAGGATTTAAGGAAAAGCCCAAATCACACCCCAATTCCCAGTCAAGGGCAGCTGCTGGGAACATGGCATTTGGAAACAAATACCCTGCTCTGGAATAAAGCTATGGTATTGTACCCACATCTCAACTTCAAACATGAAAAGTACTATGTACCAAGTAATTTGGGAAAAGGCAAATTTATGTCTTAAAAAAGTAAAACTTCCTCTATTAGCTACTTGTTACCTGAATAATACACCAAATGTTTGTGCAACAGAGTTAAATACTGCTAATCCCCGATACGAAGTCATGAAACCCTAGCAGAGATGGGCGGGTGTAGTGATTAGGCTCTGCGGCTCCAGCTGCAGGCTCCACTCTTGTTAGCTTTGTGTCTCCTGGCAAGATGCTTCCTTAAAGCATCCTTTCCTTTCCTCCTACCCAAGAGAATTTATTACCAGATTAACTGTGGTCATAGTCACTCTCAAATAATGGCCACCCTCTAATACCTAAGTGGAAAAACAGTTTTACAAGCCCCCTCTATCACCACTGATAATATGCTTCAGTGGATGCTGGAAATAAATTGTGGTTCCTTGAAAACATGGAGCTGAGAAGCTGCCGCTGAGTAAGGCTGCCTAATAGGAGAGGCCAGGTTTAGGAGAAACCTATGGGGGTCTGCAGAGAGAACTGGTAGCAGGTCCATCTGAGACCAAAGTGCTCGCAAGAATCTGCCCCACCAACACACAACACATAACACACATGCTCATACAAACATCACACACACACGCACATCAACACAGATCACCCTTTTAGTAGAGGCTGCTAGTCTTTCCCAATATCTTGTCTTCCGTTCTTCCCCAGTCATAGAAAACTCCAAGTCTTAGGTAGGGATATGGCCATCTAGAATAAATACTTTACTTCTCAGAGTCTCCCAACTAGGTGTGACCATGTGACTAAGTTCTGGCCAGTGAAATATAAGCAGAAGTGTCCTGTGCCAGCTCTCAGGAACCTGTCGTGTGCCTTCATCTCTTCCTTTTTCATCCCTTGCTCCATTCTGATGCCTGGACTATAGATATGGTAGCCAACATTCTAGCACCATCTTGAACCAGGAGGACAAAGACCTCACCTTATCAACTGCAGGGCAGGGAGCTGCAGGAGCTCGGTTCCTGAGGTTGATGGAGCTGAGATGCCATGCTGGTCTTGGACTTGTGCTGGGTGTGTGTGAGAGACATAACCTCTGCCTTTTAAAAGGCACTGTTCTTTTGGGTCTCTGCTAAATGCAGCCAAACTTAATGCTAACCGACTTAACACATGCCAACATGGGCATCAGAAAAGAGTGGGCATTAAGTCTTCCTTGGTTCACCTGAGTCTTAGTACCTGGGTGGGGCCTGGCCATGGCCCAAGAAGGGGAGGAAGAATGGCTGGGAGGAGCAGGGTTTAGGGATGAGGAGAGGAGGAATAATTCAAGGCAGCAAATAGTTGGTGCGAAAGTAACTGCCGTTTTTGCCATTACTCTTAAAAACCACAATTACTTTTGTACAAGCCTAATACAATTTCATTGAGCATAGTGCCTGACATACCATAATTACTCAATATAGGTTTGATGGTTGGTGGCTAACATGTATTGATCGCCCACTGTGGGCCAGAAACAGACATGAAAAAGATATGGAAACACAGGAAAGTGGAATCAGGAGTGGGAAGGGATGGGGCAGAGGCTGATGGCTTTCCCAGGGAAGCCTCGGTAGTGTACACAGTATTTGATTTTGTCAACTACTTACATAAAATATTTGTTAAAAATATAGGTAAAGAACAAAACTGTGCCCTTAAGCAACTGGTTTGAGAATTTACATATTTAACTTCATTGCAAGGAAGAACATTTATTTTTATTTATTTATTTTTGAGATGGAGTCTTGTTCTTTACCTAGGCTGGAGTGCAGTGTTGTGATCTCAGCTCACTGTAATCTCTGCCTCCTGGGTTCAAGCAATTCTCTTGCTTCATCCTCCTGAGTAGCTGGAATTACGGGCATGCACCACCCAGCCTGGCTAATTTTTTTTTTTTCTTTTTTAGACGATGTTTCCCTCTTTTTGCCCAGGCTGGAGTGCAATGGTGCAACCTTGGCTCACTGCAACCTCCACCTCCCGGGTTCAAGCCATTTTCCTGCCTCAGCCTCCCAAGTAGCTGGGATTACAGGTGCCTGCCACCATGCCTGGCTAATTTTTTGTATTTTTAATAGAGATAGGATTTCACCATGTTGGCCAGGCTGGTCTCGAACTCCTGACCTCATGTAATCCACCTGCCTTGGCCTCCCAAAGTGCTGGGATTACAGGTGTGAGTCATCACGCCCAGCCTCATTTTTTTGTATTTTTAGTAGAGATGGGGTTTCACCATGTTGGCCAGGCTGGTCTTGAACTCCTGACCTCAGATTATCTGCCCACCTCGGCCTCCCAAAGTGTTGAGATTACAGGCGTGAGCCACCGCATTGGGCCTGAGCCACTGCGCCTGGCCAAGGAAGAACATTTAAATGAAGAAATGCCTTGGGTGACTCAGCAAAGAAAGTCATGGTGCTTAAACTGATGAATGCTAGAGTTCCTCAGAGCTATGCTTGAGTCAGAGCACAGGGCCCTAGGAAAGTGGCTAACCTCTCTGGGACTCAGTTTTCCTGGCTATCAGATGGGGATGATATGAATCATAATGCCACCTGTCGATGTTATGTGGCTGAAATGAGATAAAGCATGTAAAGTGCCAACTCCTTGCCTGGCACGTAGCCAACCCCAATGCCTTAGCTGTTATCACCATTATTTCCAGCAGGGGAATCAGGGAGGCATCATGGAGGAGATGGCATTTGATAAGGGACCTGAGAATGGGTAGGAATTGAGTTTGTGAAGGTGGAGGAGAGGGCAGCC
The DNA here is from genome assembly GCF_000001405.40 of Homo sapiens. Classification (NCBI taxonomy): domain Eukaryota; kingdom Metazoa; phylum Chordata; class Mammalia; order Primates; family Hominidae; genus Homo; species Homo sapiens. The sequence goes on along the minus strand of NC_000007.14, from coordinate 128,247,593 downwards.
CTGGCAGAGGTGGAAGAACACAGGTGGGTTTAGGAGATGGTGGCTTCCAGCTGACACCAGGGTGAGGAGCCGGGGAGGGCTTGGGCTGGAATCGCAGGGGCAGTGAGCACCAGGAAGGGAGGCAAAGCTTTCCCTTCTGCACCCTGAGGAGCAAATGTTTTCAGCCTGGCTGACTAGAAGGATGGAGATGGAAACTAGGAGAGACATGAGGAGAGATTTTGGAAAGAGGTGGTTGGGCTCCTGCTGATGTCCTAGTACTGGCTGGACATGCTGGTGAGCCTGCCCAGCTGCCGCTTGGAATTGGAAGTCTGAGCTCAGAGACAAAGGGCTGCAAATGTAGGACCCAGGGGCCCGCTGCAGCTGTGGCAGGAGAGCATGGGGAGAGCATGGGTTGGGGTGGAAGAAAGGCCGCGATCAGCTGTCTGCCTGAGCTGCAAAACCTCTCTCCAGAAGTTTCCAAAGCAGTTTTGAACATTTAGGAGCTGCCATTTTCTTAGAGTTAAAAGATGAGCTGCTGAAATGTTGATACAGCATCATTCTTTCCTCTGAGTGCTACTGAAGCAGCTCCTGGAGAGGAGAGGGGTCTCTAGGAAGATGGTGGGCTCACAGTGGGCTGTATGCTCATTTGGGACGCAGCCTGCACTCTGCTGTCTCCCTCATGGCCCACTTCTCTCTGCACTCCCTGGGCTGCCCTCTCCACAGGCTGCCTTCCTTCTCCTTTAATCAAGGCCTGGCTGCCCCATCTTCTACCCTCATCCCTTGCCATGGGTACCCTGGAGAAGAAATGAGAAGAGTAGAATGTGGAGCCCCTGGAGCTGCACAGATGAAATGTGGCTGGGTGTGGTGGCTCAGCCTATAATCCCAGGGCTTTGGGAGGCCAAGGCAGGAGGATCGCTTGAGCCCAGGAGTTCAAGACCAGCCTGGGCGACACAGCAAGACCCCATCTCTAAAAAAAATAAAAATAAAAATAAAAATAGCTGAGTGTGGTGGCAAACGCTTGTGGTCCCAGCTACTTGGGAGGCCAAGGTGGGAGGTTTGCCTGAGCCCAGGATGTCGAGGCTGCAGTGAGGTATGATCACACAGTGCACTCCAGCCTGTGTGACACAGCAAGACCCCATCTCTTAAAAACAAAAGCCAAAAAAGATAATGAAACAATCTCAGTAAACAGGGCAGCAAGAGAGGCTTATATAATGTGCCATCCACCCCACCACAAATTCTGCTGTCTACCTCCACCTGGGTCCTCTGCACCAGCCTCACTGTTACTTATCCTCAGGTGGACCCCACCCCCATCCTCACTTGGCAGTTGTGTGCAGGGCCCGCACCCCACCCTCCACCTCCTACCTCCCTAAGAAGCTGGTGGCCTCTAGACTTGAGCTCCATCACCTTCCCACCATTGCAGGGGACAAGGCAGATGGAGGCAGACCCTCCATCCTGGGGACCTCAATGTCAAAGTGGGAGTTAGGATGGGCAGAGATGTGTGCTCCTCTTTATTTTTTTTATTTTTTTATTTTTTTATTTTTTTTTTGACGGAGTCTTGCTCTGTTGCCCAGGCTAGAGTGCAGTGGCGTGACCTCGGCTCACTGCAACCTCCGCCTCCCGGGTTCAAGCGATTCTCCTGCCTCAGCCTCCTCAGCCTCCCGGGTAGCTGGAAATACAGGCGCCCACCACCGCACCTGGCTAATTTTTGTATTTTTAGTAGAGACGAGGCTTCACCATCTTGGCCAGGCTGGTCTCAAACTCCTGACCTCGTGATCCACCCGCCTCGGCCTCCCAAAATGCTGGGATTACAGGCATGAGCCACCGAGCCTGGCCCATCTGCTGCTCTTTAGATCCAGGCTGGAGGGCCTCCTGAGCCAAGATTAGGCCTGCCCACAGCCCTCTGATGACATCAATGGGGAGAACAAAGCGAGTCTTTTGTATGCTACTGTGAATTAAATTCAGGTAACATGGTATTTGCTATTAATTATGAGGGAAAAGCTTTAGCTAGTCTGAGTCCTCTCCCTATACACATTCTCCTGTGGGATCCCCTCCTGTTCTTCCCTCCCACCCTTCCTTCCTTCCTTTCTTCATAACTCCAAGTTGGAAGGGACTTGGGGATGAGAAAAGAACAAAGGAGGAAATAAAGGCAGCGAAGTTTGGATCTTCGTTCTCCAAGTTGCTCAGAATCTAGTGGAACAGACAGGACCTTGAACAACTCATTTTAACACAACCTGGTGGGAGTTATGAGGGAAGAAGCATAGAACCCAAAGAACAAAGGGGAAGAGGGACTCCGGGGATGGGAGGAGAGCTTTGCAAGGGAGGCAGTGTGTGAACTGAGGCCTGAAGGACAGGCGTTCCCCAGGGGAAAGAGGGGAAGCAGGGCATTCCAGGCCAAGCTCCGGAGTTAGGGAAAGCCATAGTTGGTTTGGGAAGATTCAATATGGTAGAGGGGTGGAGTGTGTGAGGCTGGAGAGCTAAAATTTTGCGGGCTTAAGTCTGTTTAGTAGGGACCTCCTGGGAGATCTAACCTACCCAAGAGACACACATACACACACACAGACACACACACACACATACACAACCCTTGATGGCTATGTTTGCATTTACACTCCAGCCCCCTTGGCTACAATTGCCTGGCCAGTGGTAGGCAAGAGACGAAGAGGCTCTTCTCTCCTCCCTTTCCTCCTCCCTTCCTTCTCCTGACCCTGATTGGGTCAATCAACTTCTCTCTTAGGAATTTAGAGTGGGGCTGCAGAGAGTCCAGTTCATCTCTGTTGAGGGCTCAGAAGCTCTAGGGTAGCCACATTTGGCCTCATATGCATGGAACAGCTGAGAGAGACCAGAGCCCACATAGCCACTGAGCCAGAGTATGGTCACCGCCTGTGCTCCTTCCTAGCCTTCTTTGTGGTTCCTGGGTCCTCGTGAGGCCTGGTGGCCCTCCCTGTCCTTAGCCTTCAGGGTGAGATACTCTTTTCTTATACTCACTTGGATAGCTTTCAACTTTCTAAATATATTTTTCATTTGAGACAGATAGATACATGTAAGAGAAATAAGTGTCAAGAAGTAAAATTCACCCTTACCGTGGGTAATGCACTCTTGAGAGTCTCGGCTCTTTTTTCAAATGTTGATCACAATAAACAATTTGAAAAACACAGGGCCAGCGTGAGTGATTTTCTCTTATTTGCAACCAAAAGCCTCATTTGAGAAATCGTGTTAACATATGTAACCAGCAGAGAGGGTGTGAGTACAGGGGTTACATTCTTTCTGTTCATCAGAAAGATCTGATCTCATCAGAGATACAGATAGGTTTCTACTCCTGTTTCAGCTCTAATCTGTGTGTGTGTGTGTGTGTGTGTGTGTGTGTGTGTCAGGGTCTTGCTCTGTCACTCAGGCTGGAGTGCAGTGGTGTGATCAAGGCTCACTGGACCCCCGACTTCCCGGGCTCAAGCAATTCTCCCACCTCTCAGCCTCCCAAGTAGCTGGGACTACAGGTGTGTACCATCACATCCAGTTACTTTTTTTTTTTTTAATAGAGATGGGGTTTTGCCATGTTGCCCCAGCTGATCTGGAACTCCTGGGCTCCAGTGATCCACCTGCCTTGGCCTCCCAAAGTGCTGGGATTATATGCGTGAGCCATGGTGCCTGACTTCTGATCAATTGTTGAGGCTCCCTCGAGCTCTGTGTGAGGGGCATCTGAAGCTCCAGCAAGACTCAGAAGGAGAGGTTGCCCTGATCAATTAATGACACCTGTATCTCTGTACCTGTTCCAGCATCTATCACAGGCCTGGAACACGGCAGGGCTTCGTTAAATATCTGTTGCATGAATAAATGAAAGATTTCCCATTCTCGATCTGCATTGGCTAACTAGGGTAACCTGCCTCCTCAATGGTTCGCTTGCTCCCATCTTAAAGTCGCATCCTAGAATTCACTTTGGCCCAGCAGGAATTCTTACGGAGTTGTCTTAATAAAGACAGAAAATGCTTCAGCGTCCAGGTCTCCCTCTCTTGGGGACCTTGGTCTGCTTCCTGCACTTCCTATGTGCCCTCTAGCACCCAGGTGGGCCAGGATTCCCTTCAGCTTCCTAAGCTGTGCTCCATCTTGACTGCCGTCCCTGGATACTCCCGCCCGTGGCCCCTTTCATGAGCCTGGCTCCTGCTCCTGCACTCTGGGACCCCTCCCCTTCTCAGAGACCCCTGCCCTGCCCTCCCGTCTTCTCTGCGGTTTCTCTTCTCTTCCTTGGCAACCCCCCAGCCTGGAGCACCCCAGAGCAAATGTAATGTACACCCAGATGGAGACTAAATCTCCTATGATATTAGTGAAATGTTGGTATGGGCATTGATTATAAATTCCATTCCATAGAGCTAACAAACTGAGCAGGAAAGACGGTAACATGCTGTCTGCTAAGCAACGAGGCACATTGGCTGTCACACGTGGAATAAGTGCAAAGGAGTCTGTGGGCCCAGACACCAAGTGTGTTGTTTTTAAGCAGAAACAACCTCTCTGTTTCTCTGAGACAACTGTGTGGACAAAGAAGAATTTCAAGGCTCTCTGCCGACTGGCCAGAATGGAGCTGCGGCTGCCAGACTCCTACCCCGGTGGGGATGGGGTAACTGACTGCCGGAAAATTTGGCTCAATTTTCCTTTAAATCATACCAGTGCTGTTCACAGATGCACAAGACACAAGGACTCTACCTTCCTGGAGCCCCTCTTCTCTCCTTGGCTCCCACGCCCCTGGTGGCATCTAAGCGGGGGTGGGACATTGACCCAGGTTCCGTGGCGGCCACCTCCACGCTCTGCATGGGCCACTCAGACGTGCAAGGCATCTGCCTGGGGCTGACGGGCAGGAATTCATTGCAACTTCCCTGGCTCTGTCCTTGGCACTTGGAGCCATTTCCTGGAATGGACGGGGAGGAAAATATTTCCCCAAATACCAAGAAGAGTTATTTTGGGTATAAAATGTACAAAATATGAGGAGGACGCTCCTTTAGCCAATGTGGAAATGTTCCCCTCAGCCCAATGTCCACAACTGCTTGGGAAGGGAAAGAACCTAAAAGCATCCACTGTTTCTCTCTTGCCTTGTCTCCCTGCCTAAGTGAGAGAAATGATCAGTGTGGCCTTCTTGTTTCTAAGGGCATTAGAACAGGAGCACTCACGTTGCTAGAAGCCTCCATATCTGGTTCTGCAGACAATCCTAATATGAAAGAGATTGGCAAAATTCCCCAGTTCCAGCTGCCCATGGCCCACCTCAGAATCCTACAGAACAAACACAACTCCGGCTGCCAGAGGTCATTCTGCACTGCAAAGGAAGAGAGCCTGTGCTCCTGGAACGGTACCACCAAGTCTCTGCTCTTCACCCACCTCCCCAAAGATCACCCTTCCAACAGAAATTAATCACCTCTTGGAAGCTGCTATTCTGAAATGACAGCCAGGCCACTTGTCTCACTTGGACCTAACTGTATTTAAGGAGTCACTTTCCCAAAGCACCACTATCTTTAAACTATAGAAACAGGAGTGTAAAGGCGATGGCACCCACAGTGAAATCCAAACCAAGCCCAGACTGAAGGAAGGCTATAGGTGAGCCTGGTGGGCCAACAGCGCGTATTTAGCAGTCCTGGCTAGAAGTTCCCTAATAACCAGTTCTGACCCCCAGAGACACCTCATTGTATGCATTGCAAAGAAGGCAATTTGCATGGCTTTGAGGACAGATCTGGTAAGACCCTGCACAATTTCTCTGGAAGATTTTGAGTCTTCCTGACACTTGTTTCCCCCCACCTCTACTCATCCTTGCCTTCCTCCCAGGCATTGGCCTTACACAGCCCCTCTCATTCAGAGGTCAGGAACTTCCCTGGAAAATGAATCCTGAATTCCTACCCGCAGAGCAAGGCAATGTCTGGGACTGAGACTGATCACTTGCATCTGCGTCTCTCCTACCCCCAACTTTATCTCCTTCAGACTGGGGTGGGACATCCTGATCTTTGGGGATGTGCCCAAGGCAATTTCCAATGCATCTCAGCTCTGCGAATGCCACCAGGTTGGTGGGTCTGACAGTCTCCCAGGGACCTGGCTGGTTCTGCAAGGTCCTGCCTTCTGGGCACCGGCACAGCCCAGCAGCAAATCCAACGCTCCCCAGCTCCCGGTAACCTTCTATCTGGCTAGAACTCGGTACAAAGCTATCATAGTCCAGAACTAAGCCATCCGCCCTGCATCCCTCCTGACTCAGTTTCCCCGGGATCCAGAGTTGTGTGGGGCCCTGTGGCCTGCCAAGAAAGACCAGCAGAGAAGGAGGAAGGAGCGCGCCGGGGCCTTACCTTGCAACCGCTGGCGCTGCGATTCCTACGGGGCTCCATGCCTGCCCGCCCCTCTTATAGCGGCCCGATCACAACTTGCGCAACTGCCCCGCAGGCCCCGGCGCATTTCTAGCGCCAGCTCCCGCCCCGCCCCTCAGGGTAGCGACGTGCCGGGCGGCTGCTAGCCCTGGGCCCGCAGTGTGCACCTCGCGGGGCCTCGAGGGAGGGCCTCGGCGCGCCAGGAGCCACGCGCGCACCCTTGGGTACCTCCCAAAAATTTGGGGGTGGCTGGTAGGAGCGAGAAATCCTTGATGTCCCTCCAGAGGCTCCGGCGCGACTATGGCGCAAGGACCAGCCCCTTGGGAAGGTGCTTCGAGCCGCGCGGGGCGCGGTCGGGGCGGGGGTGGCTGTGAGGGGCTCCGCGGAGCGGGCTGGGGCATACGGCTGCGCCCTCGTTGGTCCTGGCGCGGCTTCGGGGTGGGAGCGAATCGGGACTCGGCCCCGACGGCCCTGGACGCCAGGGAAGCCCAGGGTTAGAGGGAGCGGCCCGCAGTGCGCCAGGCTCCCCGACCCAGATTGCGGGGTTGGGGGTTCTGAAGTCCCACCCCTTCTCTGGCACGCGGAGAATCGAGTTCCAAGCCTCAGGGCAAGTTGTCTCTGGCTGGCACCCCAGGGAGTGCACGCTCTCTGGAGGGCTCCAGGCGGGCACTGTGGCCTTTGGGGACACTCTGGACATACTGTGGGTCTCCATCCTCAACTCCGTATTTCCTACGTACAAAGTGGGGGTTGGGGGGTGGTCCCAGATGTAGCCACGTTTTTGTCATCATAGCCTGTGAGTGGTGTGGTAGGCATGTTTCACCTGTATCGTTTGTAGTTCCCCGCTTTACATGATGGGTTGGTTTGTTTTGTTTTGTTTTGTTTTGTTTTACCCTTGGGCTTCAGGGATGAGGAATCTAAGGTCCAGCGAGGTTAAATGACTTTCCTTAGAATCCACAGCTGGTAAGGAATAGCAATGGGCTAGGAACCCAGGCCTATTCTGGTCCCCACTGCGCAGAGCAGCTCCAAAAACAAACCACTCCATTGAGAACCAACCCAGCCAGGCGTGGTAGCTCAAGCCTGTAATCCCAGCACTTTGGGAGGCCAAGGTGGGTGGATCACCTGAGGTCAGGATTTCGAGACCAGCCTGGCCAACATGGTGAAACCTCATCTCTACTAAAAATACAAAATTAGCCAGGTGTGGTGGTGAGTGTCTGTAATCCCAGCTACTTGAGAGGCTGAGGCAGGAGAATGGCTTGAACCTGGGAAGTGGAGGTTGCAGTGAGCCAAGATCAGACCATTGCACTACAGCCTGGGCAACAAGAGTGAAACTCTGTCTCAATAAAAAAAACAAAACAAAACAAAACCCATAACATAAAGCGGGGAACTGCAAATGACGTTGGTGAACCGAGCCTGCCACTGCCGGGTTTGGTAATGCCCAAAAGCTAAGAATGGTTTCTACATTTGTAAAAGTTTGAAAAAAAAAAATCAAAAGAAGAGGCCAGATGCAGTGGCTCATGCTTGTAATCTCAGTATCCCACGTTGGGCACCAGATATTGGGGGAACCTGCCCCCAATATTTCAACGTAGGTTCTTTCTATTTTCCATAAGTGTCAGCTGGCTGAGAAATAAAGAGAGAGAGTACAAAGAGAGGAATTTTACAGCTGGGCCGCCGGGGGTGACATCACATATCGGTAGTACTGTGATGCCCACCTGAGCCTCAAACCAGCAAGTTTTTTATTAAGGGTTTCAAAAGGTGAGGGGGTGTAAAACAGGGAGTAGATCACATGCTTCAAAGGGCAAAAAGGAGAACTACTGATAAGGGTCTGTGTTCAGCGGTGCACGTATTGTCTTGATAAACATCTTAAACAACAGAAAACAGTGTTCGAGAGCAGAAAACTGGTCTGACCACAAATTTACCAGGGCGGAGTTTTTCACCACCCTAGTAAGCCTGAGGGTACTGCAGGAGACCAGGGCGTATCTCAGTCCTTATCTCCATTGCGTAGGATAGACATTCCCAGAGCGGCCATTTATAGACCTCCCCCCAGGAATGCATTCCTTTCCCAGGGTGTTAATATTAATATTCCATGCTAGCAAAAGAAATTAGCAATATCTCTCCTACTTGCAGGTCTATTTATAGGCTCTCTGCAAGAAGAAAAATATGGCTCCCTTTGCCCGACCCCGCAGGCAGTCAGACCTTATAGTTGTCTTCCCTTGTTCCCTAAAAATTGCTGTTATTCTGCTCTTTTTCAAGGTGCACTGATTTCATATTGTTCAAACACACATGTTTTGCAATCAATCTGTACAGTTAACACAATTATCACAGTGGTCCTGAGGTGACGTACATCCTTAGCTTATGAAGATAACAGGATTAAGAGATTAAAGCAAAGACAGGCATAAAAAATTATAAAAGTATTATTTGGGAACTGATAAGTGTCCATATTAAAATGAAATCTTCAAAATTTATGTTCCTCTGCCACGGCTCCAGCCGATCTCTCTGTTCGGGGTCCCTGACTTCCTGCAACATCTCAGCACTTAGGGAGACTGAGGCGGGAGGATCAGCGCAACCCTGTCGCAAAACAAAACAAAAGAAGAATAGTTCTCATGGGAAAATTACAGGAAATTTGCATTTCTGTGTCTATAAAGTTTTGAATTCTGTCAACAAAAAATTGTGTAAATTGTTTATTCTTGTTGTATAAGTACCCATGTAATATCCTCAATTTTGCCTTGGCTTAGAAAGCCTAAAATGTTTTCTACCTGGCCCTTTAGAGAAAGTTCCCAGCCCTTGAACCAGGGAACACACATACATTGCACATTGATTCCTCCAGGCCTTTTTTCTTTCCAGTCCGTCTGTGGGGATGCCCAACTGTGCATCCATCGCTTCTCCCGGAAGAATCTCCCCATTCCACTAGGGCCTCTCCATCCTTAAAGAAGCTTTTCCTAGTTCCCCTTGCAGCTAATTCCTGTCTCTCAGTCTGGGTTGGGTGCCCCTTTCCATCTCCTCCCTTAGGTTTTAAGAGGACAGGGATTGGGCCATCAACTGTTTCAGTCCCGGTACTTTTCCAGTGCCAAGAACACATGGGTGCCCAGGGAAAATTTGCTGAATTGAACCCCAGGAACAACACACACCATAGAGATGATTTTTGTTATGTGTTATATTCATGTACCACTATACAGGGATTCCTCTAGACGCAAGGCCACTGGGAAGGTAAATGTTTAAAACTTGGGAAAACACACCTGCAGTGATGATGCGGAGGGAACAGGAAAAGCCAGGATCACACAGGTCCTGGAGACCACAGTCACATTGCATTCGAGGCTTCCTAATGGAAACATGTTTCCCAGAGAATGTGCATTCTTTGAGTTGGTAGGAGTCTATTTGGTCATTGCTATGCTCCTAGCTCATAGCCTGGTGTCTAGCTCAAAGTTTTTTAAATGAAAAATTTAAACATACAGAAAAGTGTGCAATACTATAGTGAACTACAATATACCCATCACCTAGATTTAATAATTATTATTTTCCATATTTGCTTCATTAATTATTTTGGCAAAAACATTTTAAAGTGTATTGCACACATCATGACATTTTATCCCTACTTTGGTGCTTCCCAAAAAATAAGGAAGAATTTCTGTGTAACTGCAAGACCATTATCACACAATAATAATTCCCTAACATCGTGAAAGCTAGTCTATACAAAATTTCCCCAAATATCTCCCTCTTCCACTATAGACCTCCTTAAACAAAATAATGAAAAATGAATAAACCACAAATTTTAGTGGATGTTTTCATACCTCCATCAGGACATCAGTGGCAGTATTTGGGAAGTTTTAAAAGGTGGTCTTTATAGCATCTCTTCCTCCAGTCAACAAACACACAGTCTTATATGTTTGTGAGATACATAACACACTATGCCTAAAACTTAGTGGCTTAACCCAAGACTATTTATTTAGCTCATAATTCTGTGGGTCCAGCAATATGGCCTGACTCATGCCTGTGGTGGCTGGCTGGCTATCAGCTAAGATGATGAGGGTAACTGGTCTAGCCTGGGCTTGTTTACATGGTGACAGCTGCTGGATTCCCTAGAGCAGCAAAAGATGGCAAACCCCAATGAGCAAGCACTTTTCAAGTCTCTGCTAACATCCTGTTTCCTGTTGACCAAAGCAAGTCACATGGTCAAACCCAGAGTAACTGGGAGATTACCCAACCCAGCAATAGAGGGAGGCACCACTAGATTGGGACCTTACTGTAATCAGCCCATCACGGGAAAGGGTGTCACACTGAACTTATGACAAGCTTAGCCAGCAGCAAGTATCAGCACAGGCAGCTAAGTGGCTACACAGAGAAAAGGGCAACTCAACAAGGGCAGGAAAGGATACAGAGAGGCCAAGTCAGCCAGAATGGAGCTTTGAGGAGTGAGAGAGAAAATCCTTGCAAAGAAAGGTAACAAGCAGCTGGGTTTTGAAAGGCCTTCGCAGACAGTGGGAGCCATTAAAGTCACCAGAGGAGATTCACGTGGTCGAGTCACCACTTTGGAAGATTCAACTGGCAGAGACATATAGGAAGGATTGCAAGGAATAAAACAAGGATTGCAAGAAATACAGGAAGGATTGCAAGAAATAAAAATCAAGGTGACAAATTATTAAAACTTACTTATTTGCCCATTTTTTCATGCATTCATTCATTGAACCAAGAGGCATACATTGAAGGCATACTGTGCACTGGGTACTATGCTAGATCCTAGAGATTCCAAAATGAGAAAGGTACAGCCCTGGAGCTCAGCAGTGACTCAGGAGCATGAGTGAGGGGTAGTGGGGAGACAGAAAAGACAGATTCAAAATAAATTTTGAAGAAAAGAACACCAACCCTCTTTGCCCTAGGGAAAAAGTGATCATATTTCCATACACTTTCCCATCTACAGCTCAATGCTGCTCGTAGAGACACAGAAGGAGTGGGTGAGACTAAGATGCTTCATGTGGACATGGTTGCTGAGGACACCCAGCTGCTGGTATTCAGCAGTTAACTGGGGCTACAGTCCAGGTAAGGGACCAAGGATAGAGACACAATCCAGGCACGCTCTGCAAGGACACAAAAGATGACTTCTTTTGAAATCAGGGTTGTGGGGACCAGCAGGCTCGGGCCAGTGAAACATTTTATAATCTGCAAGGATTTGAGCAGATCAGTACACAGTGAAGGGTGTGGAAAGGACAGAGTAGAGATGGGAGTTTGCTGGTGTGAAGATCAGAAAGAGCTCGGTGGAAGCCACATGCAATAGAGGGCACATTGGAGCTTAGCAGCCCATATAAGTGTGGGGAAAGAGTCCTGCAAGGGACAAAGCAAGAACAGTGACTTTCCCCTCCCTGTAATTATTTAATTGCCCAAATAATCATGTGCATTGCAGAAAATTAGAAAAGGCAGAGAAGCAAAGCCATGAGAAAAAGTCATCCCTCATCACACCACGCTGAGATAACCCCTGTTAATATGTTTGTGCTGATCTGCCTGGACTTGGTAACAGCCTCTTACATCCTCGGTTGGAAGCCAGCCTGGAAACCCTGAAGAAACAAATGACAGCCAAGAGGACAATGGCAACCAGCTCCCCCTCTGGGCGGCATGCTCTTTCTCTCACTTGGTTGGTCTTTCCCATTGGAGCGGAAGGACTCGAGCCATGATCCTTTGTAGAGCTGGACCCTGCCCAGGTACCCAGGGCTGCACAGGCATTTGGAGAGATGTTCTGGAGAAGCAGCAAGAAGCCTTGTGCCCTGCAGAAAGCTGTGATCTGACACATCCTGAGGCGTCCCAAGTCTCCAGCTCTACGTTTGTCCCTAAAGAGGTGTTTTGCCAGACTGCTTGCATAAGCACCTCTAGATAAGCCTCTAGCAGCAAGATTATGGCTCAGTAGGATTCACCACTTGCACCTGCAGCTGGAGTAGGAAAGAAGGCGGGCTTCAGAGCCGAGAATGCAAGCCCCTGGGAAGGCCCTGTGCACTCAGTGCTCTGCTGGGCCCTGGATGGTCCCACGGAAGTGAAAGTCACAATTCATGCCTTCGAGGAATCCATAGTCTTCCAGCAAAAATTTGGAAACAACTCAGAATCACCATGCAAATGTGGCTGTGATAGCAATTATCTGCCAGGGGGCTGCATGGCGTGGTGTCTTCCGGGCTGACCCTGGGGCTGCACTGCCTGGGTTTGAATCCTGGCTCTGCATAGTACTTTGGGTAATCGCTTGTGCTCTCTCTGCCTCCGTTGCTTCATTTGTCACAAAAGCATCACAGTACCCACTTATAGTGTTGTCATGAGAATCGTTTGGATTATTACAAGTAGAGTACTCTGCAAGTGTTCATTATGGATTAGAGCAGGGGCTTTTGAAGCACACGGCATAGTGGAGTTAGTCCGGAAGGCTGCCTGAAGAAGGCTCCTGCTTCGCATGAGCTAAGCAGTACAGCAGGGAAGGAGTCTGAATATGCCTGCTCAGCTGGGTGGAACACAGTGACCAGAAAAATCTATCCATCCTGCTTTTATGCAACCATCGGGCCTGAGGTCTGGTTGTCCCATTATGGCCTGTAATGGAGCCGAGGAGTCAGAGGATCTGTTTGCCCAGGGCCGAGGCAGCTTGTTGCATAACCAGGGTTGCTGTATGGCACTTTGCAGAGGAGGGCATGGCTGAGAAGTGTGTCCCAGCAGCCGGGAGCTCAGGGGGACTCTCCTGGCCTAAGCAGTGCAGCTCCCCAGCACCCACCTCCTACCCGCATGTGCCTCAGATGGGAATCATTGTCCTGTGCCAGGAGATATCATTTTCAAAAATAGAGTATCTTTTATTCTGATTAAACAAATAGTGAACATCATAGAAAACATCCAGAAAAGAGAATTAAAATTTCTTATTAATCCACTACCCTGAAATCATGAAAGTTTTATATTTTTGATACATGACTTTTCTCTCTCCCTTGTGTCTCTACGTTTGTATATATTTTTTACTATCAGAAATAGTATCATGTAGTACACAGTATTTTGCAAATGCCTTAAGTTTCTTTTCATGTCATTAAATATTCTTCCATGATGTAATTTACAACTCCTGCATTGTGTGAATATGCCATAAATTATTTAGTCAAACTCTATGAATGAAAATTTAGGTCATTTTCAATGATTTTTCTCTTTTATAAATAAGGCTCTCATGCATAATCTTATAGATAAATCTCTGCAAATACTCATGCTTATTTCCTTAAGATCATTTCTGAAAGCTGGGTTCACAGGCATGCAAATATTTATGGCCTTGGATGCCCACTGCAAGGGCTCTCGGATGAGACTCTCAGGGATGGCTTCCTTGCTCGATGACCTGAGAAGGCACAGCCTTGCGGGAAGCTGGGCAGAACTCTTCAAGCACCTTGGAGATTCCTCCAGTGCTGAAGTTAAATAGCTGGGACAAAGAAATGTGGGAGGGAGTAGAGTCAGGCAATATGAAGCCAGGAAGCTTAGATGCCTTTTGGAGAGTCAGGGAACCCAAGGATTACTGGTGGAACCCTGTGAATAATTCCACTGAGGTGAATGAGGTGCCTCAAAGAGGGAGAATCCAGAAAGGACAGACTCTTTTCAGCTCAAAAACCTGCTCGTAGGCCAGGCTGGATGACTCACACCTGCAATCCCAGCACTTTGCGAGGTTGAGGCGGGAGGATTGATTGAGCCCAGGAGTTTGAGACCAGCTTGGGCAATATAGTGAGACGTGGTCTCTAAAAAAAAGAAAATTACCTGGGTATGGTGGCATGAGCCTATGGTTCCAGCTACTTGGGAGGCTGAAGTGGGAAGATCGCTTCACCCTGGGACTTTGAGGCTGCAGTGAGCTGTGATCTTGCCATTGCACTCTAGCCTGGGCGACAGAGGGAGACCCTTTCTCAAAACAAACAAACAACACCTGCTTATAACTTTCAAGGGAGCCCTAGGTTTGCCCACACTTTTGGGCTGTGGTCTATCTCTCCCAGTAGGTTGAGCTCCCTGAGGGCAGGAATGTGTCCATTTTTCATCTCTGCACACCACACAGACAGCCCAGTGATGAAAGATATTTGTTGAGCTGACAGGACAAACTCCGCTCCACCTCACAGCCCCTGCACCTCTTCCTCCTGCATTTTCAGACCAAGGCTCCAGGCATCTTAATATCTGGCTAAGTGTACATTGGAGCATCCTTTCTGGAGGACACTTGGGCAAGGTGCAGTAAAGACCTTAAAACATGCATACCTGTTGACCAGCTATTTCACCCCTCCTAAAAATAATCCAAGATCTCCGGGAACTGCCTCCTGCCTCCTTACATCCTGGACCTTGGCATCCTTGACATTAGGACAAGGGCATCACCTGCCCCGTTACCCATACTCCGCTCTTCCTTGATGCATGGTTAAAATACTCCCTCCTCTAGCAAGCCTGCCCCGACTCCCAGCCAGACCTCTTCTCTACTGCGTGTTAGAGTTAGTTACATGCATGACCTGTCTGAACTTCCAAACCTCAATCTATTTGAGGGCAGGTAGGCAGAATCTGTATCTGTTTTATCTTTATCCCTTTCTGCACCTCGCTGAGTGCAAAGCCAATAGCAGTTTCAGAAAGTTTAATGAAAGGGCACACTTAGAGAAAGCCTTTCGGTCACACCCAGCAGGGCTGTGAAACTGCATCCTTGGCCTGCTGACAATGACATTAGGAATGAGCTATAGAATTGCACAGTCTTCGTAGCAGCAACAGGATTTTCAACCCCACTTTTCAGAATCGCAGTCTAAAATTTAGTGGAGCAAATGGAGGCTGGAAGGGGTGAGGGGTGTTAGCCAAACACACACAGATGCTCTGGAATCCATGTGATCTGATAGTAAGTTCCAGGCTCAGTTCCTGAGCTAACTTGCTTTTCATTTATTTTGTAATACAAATATGCATTCTTTACAATAAGATCTAGCATGCAGAACTTTTGGTTTTTGGGTTCTTTTTTTTTTTTTTTTTGAGACGGAGTTTTGCCCTTGTCGCCCAGGCTGGAGTGTAATGGAGTGATCTTGGCTCACTGCAACCTCCACCTCCTGGGTTCAAGTGATTCTGCTGCCTCAGCCTCCTGAGTAGCTGGAATTACAGGCACCCGCCACCATGCCTGGCTAATTTTTGTATTTTTAGTAGAGACAAGACTTCACCATGCTGGCCAGGCTGGTCTCGAACTCCCAACCTCAGGTGATCCACTCACCTTGGCCTCCCAAAGTGCTGGGATTACAGGCGTGAGCCATCATGCCCAGCCGGTTTTTCTTTTAGAAGAGGTCTCTCTCTGTTGCCCAGACTGGAGTGCAGTGGCAAGATCGCAGCTCACTGCCTCTTCAACCTCCCATGCTCTGTCTCTCCTCCCAACTCAGCCTCCCGAATAGCTAGGACCATATGTGTATGTCACCACACTTAGCTAATTAATTAATTAATTAATTAATTTATTTATTTATTTTTGGTAGAGACAGGGGGGTCTCCCTATGTTGCCCAGGTGTTCTTGAACTCCTGGGCTCAAGCAATGCTCTCACCTTGGCCTCTTAAAGTGCTGAGATTATAGGCGCAAACCTCCGTGCCTGGCCAAAGGCTGTAAATATATGCAGAGTTCCTATGAAACTCCCCTGAGTTTCAGGGAGGATTTAATTAAGTACAATTTGATTCAAAAGAGCCAGCCTCCTGAAACAGGATTTTATGAGAGATGGAAAAGAGCCACTGTCCTGACACTTGTCAAAGACTGGGAGGACAGGCGGGCCCTGGCATCTTCTTTTTCACATCCCCAAAAGCAGCACCTTTCTATTGATAAGAACTGAATTCTTATTGGTAACATAGTTAATTACTAATGGTAAATGTCCACTTTCTGACAAGGAGAACTACTGAGAGAGCTAACGCAGGCCATGCAGGTGGAAGACACCAGCTGCAGTCAACCCTGCATGGTGGGTTGCAGCACTCCAATGTTGGAAATGAGAAAATTGAGGCTCAGAGAGGTGAATCAACCTGCTTACACTTACCCAGCAGAGCCCAGACACTAGGCTTAGTCAGTCTTACTGAGAAGTCACGGTTCTTTCCCCTCTCCCAGTGAGTCTCACTCTGGCTACGCATCAGAGGCTCCCGGTGCCCAGGTCTCAGTCCAGCCCAATAAAACTAGAATCGCTGGGCTTTGTGACAGGCATTCAATTTGTTTTGTTTGTTTGGTTGGGTTTTTTTTTTTTTGAGACTGTGTCTTGTTCTGTTGCCCAGGCTGAAGTACAGCAGCTTGATCACGGCTCACTGTAGCCCCAACCTCCCAGGCTCAGGTGATCCTCCCACCTCAGCCTCCCGTGCCACCACCCTCAGCTAATTTTTTGTAGAGATGGGGTTTTACTATGTTGTCCAGGCTAGTCTTGAACTCCTAGGCTCAAGGGATCCACTCACCTCGACCTCCCAAAGTGCTGGGATTATAGGCATGAGCCACCACGCCGGGCCAGCATTCATATTTTTAAAAAGCTCTCTCGGTGCTGTAATGAGCAACTAGAGTTGAGAGGCCTTTACCTCTAGGCTTCTGAACTCACAGGGAGCACTGACTGACAGATGTGATAGAGACTCCCACCCGGGAGCTGTCAAGGCAGATGCTGCCCTGGGCACCACCACGCCTCAATTAAGACAGAAACGCTGGGGGTGGGATCTGCACATTCACATATATACTTTAAAGCCCCTCTGGTGATTCTGAAATGCAGCCAGTGTTGAGAATTAGAGCTCAAAGGCTTAAACCAAATTGCTTCTTCAGGCCTTCCCCTTAGGTAGCCAACTAGCCCCCAACCTGACTAGGGCAGTGCCTGGGGTCCCATTTAAGCTGTGGGGAGTGAGGGTGGAGGAGAAAAATAATCAATATTTGACAATCCAGTATGCAAAGTTGTCATCAAATGTTCAAAAACAATTCCTGATCTCAAGTCAATTGAGTGGCTCCCAGCAAGTTTGTTGATAAATTTACTTGACATCATCTTCCTTTACAGAAAAAGCAAAATACACTTTAGTCTTTGCTTAGGAAAGTGATTTTTGAAAATGTCATGAATGGGGTCCAGATGAATGAGGTTCACTGTGGAAACAAAGGGGACTTGGCGGACAGGTAGAGAATGGAATCTTACCGTGCATCTATTACACACAGCATCTGTATGCAAAGCGGGCAAGAACTGCTGAAGGGGAAAACAAAAGAAGTTTAACATTCGATGCATAAAGGAGGGCAAGTGAACCCAGGGCAGAGAGCCTGGGAAGGAAGACGGGCTGGGGGCTGGGGAAGCCGGGGAACTGTACAGGATGGATTGAGCCTGTTTCTTTTGGATGATGCCCAGGCTCTGCTATACCAGCTGTGTCTGACCTTGGCAGGGCCTGCATGCCCCTCCTCTCTCCTTCCTCCTTCCCTCCCCTGCCAGTGGTGCTACCTCAGCCTCCCTCCTCCTGAAAGGCCTGGGTATCCTCTCTTTAGGAGAGCACAAGAATTGCTGGGGAACGATAATTACAGACAAAATCTCTCAACTCAGAAAACCTCTTCACAAAGGTTGAAAAGAAAGAAAACAGTTTTATTATTGCACAAGCATTCAACCAGAATGGGACGCGCATGCCAGGTGATCTGCGAAGAGATTGCAAAGACAGAAAGGAGTCTTACCTTTTGTCCAGCCAAGCAGCTCCAATCTGTTACATACGTGTTCTCACGTTAAACAATAACTAGTTTTCAGGGGACTAGTTCTATTTGTCACACATAGTTCATTCTAAAGTCTCCTGGTTATTGGAGTGGCCATCTGTGTTTGCTAATTGCCTTTATCCAAAGGAAAAATAAACTTCTTATTTCTTTATGGCAAAAGGTAGTTTTGCAAGTTGGAGCTGAAGTTAGGCTCCTATGCTTCTCTAGAGACTAGAAGATGGGGAGCTATGTTCCTTGATGATTACCTTTCAAAGGGATGATTCCCAGGTCCTTGGAGAAAGACATACCTGGGTCCTAAAGTTGGCAAGAGGCTTATTTAGCTTTTCAAAAGATTTACATACATTTAAAAGAGACAGAGAAAGAACTACTGATTACAGGTTTCCAAAAGTAAGTGCTCTAGGAAAAGGAAGTGAGATGGGCTGGGAGAGTCTCTTCTGTTACTTTCTTTTCTTTCTTTCTTTCTTTTTTTTTTTTTTTTAGACAGAGTATTGCTGTGTCATTTTGTCATCCAGGCTGGAGTGCAGTGGCCCGATCTCAGCTCACTGCAACCTCCACCTCCCTGGTTCAAGCAATTCCCTTGCCTCAGCCTCCAAGTAGCTGGAATTACAGGCGCACGCCACCATGCCTGGCTAATTTTTTTGTATTTTTAGTAGAGACGGGGTTTCACCATGTTGGTCTTGAACTCTTGACCTCAGGCAATCCGCCCACCTTGGCCTCCCAAAGTGCTGGGATTACAGGTGTGAGCCACCGTGCCCGGCTCTTCTGTTATTTTCAACAGGGAAAATTAAGCCTCTACTTCGATGGCTGGGTGCAGTGGCTCACGCCTATAATCCCAGCACTTTGGGAGGCCGAGAAGGGTGGATCTCTTGAGGTCAGGAGTTCAAGACCAGCCTGGTCAATATGGTGAAACTCCATCTCTACTAAAAAATACAAAAATTAGCCGGGTGTGGTGGTGCTTGCCAGCTACACAGGAGCCTGAAGCAGGAGAATCGCTTGAACTGAGGAGGCAGAGGTTGCAGTGAACTGAGATCATACCACTGCACTGCAGCCTGGGTGACAGAGCGAGACTCCATCTCCAAAAAAAAAAAAAAAAAAAAAAAAAAATTAAAAAATAATTTAAAAAAAAGCCTCTAGTTTCTTTGTTTGTTTTAGAGACAGGATCTTGTTCCGTTGCCCAGGCTGAAGTGCAATGGCGCGATCTTGGCTCACTGCAGACTTGACCTCCTGGGCTCAAGTGATCCTCCTACTTCGGCCTCCCAGCTAGCTGGGACTACAGGCACTTGCCACCATGCTCAGCTAATTTTTAAATTTTTTGTAGAGATGGAGTCTCACTATGTTGACCAGGCTGGTCTCGAACTCCTGAGCTCAAGAGATCCTCCTGTTTTGGCCACCCAAAGTGCTGGGATTACAGGCGTGAGCTACCACACCTGACTGTAAACCTCTTATTTTTAATGTGAATTTATCCTTACCGAATAGAGCTTTGGCTTTCATGGGGAGGGAAATGAATATTTGGTCCCAGCAGTGGGTGTCAGCTCATGACATGAGAAAATCGAAGGAGTAGCCTTAAACTGGATTTGATCTTGCAAACTTAGGAGGGAACTGGGATGGTACAAGGGTGGAGCAAGCGCCTTTAGGAGCCTCCAGGGCTTGGATAGTTTCTGAATTTGACTGGGATGTTAGTAACGGAGGTGGTCCCTCCAACCACAGAGCTCCTGACCCCTCCCCCTTCCTGCTCTTCTGGATCTCATCCCACACCCTGTGTCCCTCTTATCCCACACCTAACAGTCGGTGTCATCTTTGAGCTCTCTGTAGGGGAGGAAGGCTGTTGGGGATGCTGGACGGGTGTGGGTCCTGGGCTGTGGCTTCTTCCTTCCCTCCTCTCGGCAGCACAGCTCACAGCTTCTGCTCTACTCCAAGTAGACTCTAACCCACTGGAAACTGCAGCCAGTTCTGCAGAAAGTTCAAATCTTTAGGGACTTCATAAATTAGCCTTTACTGCTAAGTTCTCTGAAAAAAAAAAAAAAGAGAGAAAGAGAGAGAATTGGGGAGTGGGGGCAGGGGGAGGGGTTGCAAAGCACAGCACAATCACTGCTTCCTCTTCCCAAACTCTGAGTGTCCATGTTGCAACCAATCAGAAGCACCATCAGGAAGGGGCCATGGGGGTGGCAGAGTTGGTGCAGGGGATGCTGACTGGCCAAGAGGCACTGGATGACCCTGGGCAGAGCAGGAGTGCGGGCGGGAGGGATAGTGCTGAGGTACTGTGACAGCATTTGCTTTGTGTTAGCACATTCTGAGCAGCACCTTGAATTTTTCGTTTGTAAGCATGTGGGGTGTGTGCCCTTCTATGTTTATGTTAGGGAATTCAGAGCATGCTCCTGCATTTCTGCTCATGTGTGTATCTCTGAGGATGTTTTGCTGTTGCCAGTTGTCATCAGGCCTTCAGCTAATTGGATGGAGCCCACCCACATGGTGGAGGGTAATCTGCTTTACTCAAAGCCCACCGGCTTAAATGTTAATCTCATCCAAAACACCCTCACAGAAACACCCAGAATAGTGTTTGGCCAGCTATCTGGTACTGTGGCCCAGCCAGTTTGATATAAAATTAACCATCACAGTAAGGGATGTAGGGAAGGGGAGGCAAATTGTTGAGTCCCAAACACTATTTCAGCTGTCCCAGCTCCCTTCATAATGAAACAGGAGTAAAATGGAGCAATGGGTGGATGGGAAGATGGAGATGGATGGGCAGATAAGTGGATGGGAGGATGGATGGATAGGAGGATGGGTGGATGAGAGGATGAACGGATGGATGGATGGATGGGGGGATGGGTGGATGGATGGAAGGATGGATGGATAGAAGGATGGATGGATAGGAGGATGGAGATGGATGGAAGGATGGAGATGGATGGGAGGATGGATGAATAGGAGGATGGATGAATGGTAGGATGAATGGGTGGGAGGATGGATGGATGAAAGGATGGATGGATGAAAGGATGGATGGATGGAAGGATGGATGGATGGGAAGATGGATGGATGAAAGAATGAATGGATGGGAGGATGGGTGGATGGAAGGATGGATGGATGAATGGGAGGATGGAAGGATGGAAGGATGGACAATAGGAGGATGGAAGGATGGACAATAGGAGGATGGAAGGATGGATGGATGGGAGGATGGATGGGTGGATGGGAGGATGGAGATGGATGGGAGGAAGAATGAATGGGAGGGTGGATGGATGGGAGGATGGAGATGGGTGGGAAGATGGATGAAGAGGAGGATGAATGAATGAGAGGATGAATGGATGGGAGGATGGATGGATGGGAGGATGGATGATGGAAGGATGGATGGATGGGAGGATGGATGATGGAAGGATGGATGATGGGAGGATGGATGGATGGAAGGATGGATGGATTCTGGGAAGATGGATGGATGAACATAGACAGATGGGTGGATGGGGCGGTGTCTATGTAGATAATAGACAGGGATAGACAGACACTAGTACTGGCAACTTTTCAGACACTATTAGATGGAAATTTTCAAAAATACAAAATTGGAGACTGACAGAGCAGAAAGGCCAACTGACCCAACTCTAAATTTCCACATGAGGAAAATGACACCCAGAGAAGAGTGACTTCCTCAAGCTCACACATGGGTTAATGGCAGAGGTTCTATTACCTCCTGGCCTGGTTACTGAGATTGGCATAGGAATGAAGTATGTACACACCAGATCAAATGAGGCTAAACTGCAGGAGCAAACTACCTCTGAAATCTCAGAGGCCTTGCACCTCCCAGGCTTCTTGCGTGCTTACACAATGCGCCCAAGTCAGCTTGGAGGAGGAGCTCTATTCCACATCCCGCCCTGACACCTCAGCATGTGGCCCGAGTTGGCATGTTGGGTGCCAGCTCCTACATGCATCAGCCCAGAAGCAGCATCAGTCACTTTTCTATCAGCCACAAGGCCCCTAACTAATGGAAGAGGGTCAGAAAAGTGGGTGGGTACATGGATATTTGATGAGAAATGAAAGTTTCCACAAAAGAGTAGTTTTTCATCTCTTTGTGGGTCCCCAGTGTTTCCTTTTCTACATTTTTTAACCAAACAAGTTGCCCCAGGATATCTCCAAAACCCAAGGGTCTCCTCTGAGCTCTTGGAACCTCCAAGGAGTCTAACTTGACTTTGCACAGAATGCCTCCACCTTTCACTACTGTAGAATTTGGTGTGCTTTTTTGTATGTGAAGGCTAAACCATTTACTGACATTTTCACCTAAAGCACAGCAGCATCACCCCAGGGACACACTGTGTTTGGTCTCTCTCTCACTGCTACTCACTCACCTTTAGGACGTTGGCTGTCCAATTTTCAGGCTTTTAAAACTTGTTCCTCCTAGAATGTGGTTTGTTAATAAGTATTGATCAAGCATTATGATAGTTACAAGAACCTTATAGGTTTGCATCGCTAGAACCCCCACACACTGTTTATTTCCTTTGAGTCTCCTTGCCTGTACTTGAAATAAGCTGCCACATGGAGTCAGGCGGGTTTGAATTGCTTGGCTCCCCAGTGGTGTTAGTAATGAAAGCATTCTTTTCTAACGGCATTAGTGTTCTCTTTTTGTTTTGTTTTGAGATGGGGTCTCACTCTGTTGCCTTGGCTTGAGAGCAGTGGTGTGATCAAGGCTCATGGTAGCCTGAACCTCCCAGGCTCAAGCAGTCTTCCCACCTCAGCCTCCCAAGTAGCTGAGACTACAGGTGTGTGCCACCATGCCTGGCTAATTTTTGTATTTTTGTAGAGACGTGGTTCCATCATGTTGGCCAGGCTGTCCTCAAACTCCTGAGCTCAAGCAATCCACCTGCCTCAGCCTCCCAAAGTGCTGGGATTACAGGCATGAGCCACCACATCTGGCTAATGTTATTTAAATACATTTAAATAGAGCTTTTTATTAAAATAACAAAAAACAAAGAATAACAAATATTAATTTAAAATAGGATATACAGTTGGAGTTAGACCTAAAGAAATACAAACACCTAGGCATAAGCCAGTATCCTCATTACTTGTGTTGTCATTCTTTATTTGGTTTAATTCTTAGGCTCATGTAGAATTAATTGAGTCTTACATTTCTTAGGTGTGTTTCAAATCTGGTCAGATTTGTCAAGAGTCCTGGTCTCCAGCTTTGATCTTCAACTTCTTTCTTTCTTTTTTTTTCTTTTCTTTTCTTTTTCTTTTTTTTTTTTGAGATGGAGTCTCGCTCTTGTTGCCTAGGCTGGAGTGCAATGGCGCCATCTTGGCTCACTACAACCTCCACCTCCCAAGTTCAAGTGATTCTCCTGCCTTAGCTTCCTGAGTAGCTGGGATTACAGGTGCGTGCCATCACGCCCGGCTAATTTTTGTATTTTTAGTAGAGATGGGGTTTTGCTATGTTGGCCAGGCTGGTCTCGAACTTCTACCTCAGGTGATCTGTCCACCTCGGCCTCCCAAAGTGCTGGGATTACAGGCATGAGCCACCACGCCCAGCGGGATCTTCAATTTCTAATAAAGAATTCCCTCCTGACTTCTTACAGTTTCCCCCAAGAAGGCTTTGGTTTCTTCTGGGCATCTTTATCTCCATCCTGCTTTGGGCCCTGCAGATAGAAAGAGAGTAAATAGGGAGTAAATAGAGTAACATGTGATGTTTCCAGAATGTTAGAAACTCGTGAGTGCCCTTTTTCTGAATCAGCAGAGGATTTTCCTTACCTGAATTCATTTCTGAGCCTCACCTCTCTGCTGAGTACATTCTCGCAAATCTCCACAGAAGGGTCCCTTAGCCACCAGGTCTCTGATAAGGTTAGATTGCAAGCCAACCCTTTATTTTGCCTGACTCTGCAAACCCTGCTCTTTTGTACCTACGAAGCAGGCCATTCCAGAACATGACTTTTTTTTCTTTTTGATTCCTTTTTTTTTTTTTTTGATAGGGTCTTGCTCTGTCACCCTGGCTGGAGTGCAGTGGCACGATCTCGGCTCATTACAACCTCTACTCCCAGAGTTCAAGTGGTTCTCGTGCCTCAGCCTCCTGAGTAGCTGGGATTACAGGTGCACGCACCATGACTGACTAATTTTTTTTTGGTGTTTTTAGTAGAGACAGGGTTTTGTCATGTTGGCCAGGCTGGTCTTGAACTGACCCCAGGTGATCCACCCACCTCAATCTCCCAAAGTGCTGGGATTACAGGCATGAGCCACCGTGCATGGCCCAGAACATGACTTTTAAAGTTATTTTAATCAGAAGGTGACACAGAGACACAAAGTGACTTCTACTGAAGCCTCCCTGTGTGCTCAGCAGGATCCCAGGGGATAGTAAAATAGAAAAGTGTCAAAAGAGCTTTCAGTCACTGCAGGCAGAAGTTCCTGGAGAGCTGGGTCCACAGCTCCATGGCCCAAATGTCACAGAGCTGACTCGATGAGATGAACTCCCAGCATCATGGGGTTCATCATTCCTGGGCTCAGACCACTTGTGAGCCACACCGTTTCCTGTGGTTTAAGCACATGCTGCAAGTCTGAAGTCTCCTGCCAGGAGTCAGGGCTTGTGTCCATTTCTACCATCTCACCAGGTCACCAAGTGCTCTTGCTCAAGTGCAGGAAGAGAGTTGGAGCTCGGTAAAGCCACAGAACCTAAGCCTCCATCAGCCCATGTGGCAAGGAGGATGGGAGAATCAGGAAGGGCCACACTGCTGGGTTGTGCTGTGTTCTGGCACGGAGTCATTCTTGGGGGAGTTCAGGCTGTTGAATCCTGGTTATTTGCGAAGGGCTTGGAGAAGCCTTTGGCATGAATGGAGCTCTCCTCCTTAATAAGGCTGAACCAAATTGGTTAATAAAGTTACCCAATGCTGTTTCTACCAACAGTGTCCAAATTATGCCTCAATTCTGTGGCTACAGCTGCCCTGGGGGGTGGCGTGAAAGCTGCTTTAGGAACTGCAGATGTAGAAATCGTTACCATGTATTGAGTGCCTGCTGAAAGCCAGGCTCTCTGTGAAGCTTTTACTTGATTATCTTATTTAAGCCACACAGTATTCTCCATGAAGAGCATGTTCTGTGAGGGAACAACCAAAGGGAGAAAAATTCAACAGGGGGAAGGTCTTGGTCCCAGGAGGAACTGTCCTAGTGAGGTGACCTGCTCCCCACAGTGCAGGTCACCTGGAGAGGAATGACCCTGCCCTCTCAGGCACCCTCCCCATCCCCCGATGCCTCCTCCACCCACCCAGTGCTAGGGCAAGCAGAGCCATCTCTAAGCCAGGCTGTCCCCAGGCCTGCTTCGCTTCAGAAGAGAGTGCTCACTGAGCACTGTGCCACGTGCTTATCCTTCCATGATCTTGTTTTATCATCAACATAATCTTATAAGGGAGAATATTTTTGCCTCCATTTTACAGATGAGGACGCTGAGGCATAAAGGGGACAAAGGCTTGCTCATGATTCTGCAGCTAAATGCTGGCAGAGCTAAGTTCTACACACGTTCAATCTGACTGTCACCCCCTAAGGTAACCTGCCAAGTTCTGAGTCAGTCTCCATGGCCCCACCCCTTGGTGTCACAGTTGGGTGACTAGGCACATTGAGAATCTCAGGCAGGGTTAGGAGAGCCTGAAGAATTGTGGAGGAAGGTCAATTACCCTGTAAAACTGATCAATCAACAGATAAGAACAGAAATAAGCAATCTGGATTGCAGATGGTATTAGCCAGCTAGGACGGCCATAGCAGAATACCACAGATGAGCTGGCTTAAACAACAGAAATTTACATCCTCACAGTTTTGGGGCTGAGAATCCAAGATCAAGGTGCCCACAGACTTAGTTTCTGGTGAGGCCTCTCTCTTTGGCTTGCAGACATAACCTTCTCATTGTGTCCTCATGTGGCCTTTTCTCTATGCATGCTCATCCCCAGTGTGTCTCTGTGTGTCCACATTTCCTCTTTGATAGGGACATCAGTCAGATTGGATTGGTGCCCCACCTCATTTAACCTTAATCACCTCCTTAAAGATCCTATCTCCAAACACAGTTACATTGGTGATTAGGAATTCAATGTATGAATTTTAGGGGACACGGTTGAGCTCGTAACAGATTATTCAAAGCTCTTTTTCCCTCCTGCAGCAGCCCCCACAGCAGTGGGCACAGTCAGCAGCAATCCGGGTGTCAGCCCCTCTCTGCAAGGATTGGGGGCCAGATGCTCCCTCCCTGGAAGCCACATCAACGACAGACCACTGCTCTACTGAGAATTCAATAAAGACTTTTTACAGAACATTACTACAGCTCTTTTTACAGACTCCTACAGTGCTATACAACCCAACATTTACATGTAATTTTCACTTCAGCAAGATCTTTTAAATTTAAAATCTCAGCACAGTCACTGAAGCCACAACTCCCTATCTAATCAAAGTTTCTATCAATGTTAAAAGTTGGTTGTTGATTTTTTTTTTTGAGTCCTCAAAGCTGTCTGTGATTCCAGAGAGCTATGTTCTTCCCATATACAAAACTGTTCCCCTGATCCCATATCTGGAATAGTTTTTCCAATGAAAGAATGGTTTTGCGAGAAGACACACATGCCTTGGTAAACTAGCTCTCACAAAGAAGGAGGAGGAGGGAAGGAGGAAGAGAAACCCCGATTTGTAGGGGTTTACCAATTTCCATGGTATAAATACTTGCACCACGATAGATTTCAAGCTACTAATGATTTTAAAAATTGGCTTACAAAGCTCCAGAATATTTTACACCTGGCTCTCACAAGCCACTATAAGTCTGCTCCTGCACGTCACTGCTTGTGTCTCTCATGGTCACAAAAGCCCATTTTATAGATTTTAATCTGGGTCAGGGGTAAAATCTGTGATCTTGATCAAAATGAAGTCAACTAGCCCCACCAGGACTCAATCTCACCATCCGGTTTCCATTCTCGCCATGCTTTAAACCCTGAGCACAGGGTTTAAAGCTGTGCTGGGAAGCAGGAGGAGACAAAGGACCCCTCAATCCCCTGCTGCCTCGAGGATATTCTCTTTCTCTCCCTTCCTCTGTAGTTCACTCTCCAGCTCATTCCCAGGTCCCGGGTGAGCTAGCTGAAGTGGTCATGATAATACTAATAAGCTGATTTCAGAGAAGAGTTTAGTTCATTGCACCTTTGGGAAAGACCTCGGCTGGTGCTTTCCTAGGATAACAAGCTTCAGTGAAACTAACAGGGACCTGAGCACAGGTCACAAATCCATGTTCATCTAATACATGCTTCTGGTAAACCTCCCCAATTTAGAAGGACCACACATTTGCTGGAAATCAGTCACCCCACTGGCCATGGGCATTTTCATGGGGTCTTGGTCTGCGTGGAAAAGTGAAAAGTCAGTGAAGAGCAAATCCGGGTTGGATTGGTGGCAGGTGGAACAGCTGCCCAAGCATGCAGTGCTTTGTCTGGAATGGAACATCTCTATTTTTCATTCACCAAAGGTTGTGGGGGCTTCAACAAGTGCTTCCAGCCTGACTTCCTGCTGATGACAGGTGGTCAAGGTGATGTTCAAGTTCTCCTTGGGTCCTCAGTGACTCTCTGCACTCCATGTGTGTGAAAACGTGCAAGGAACTTTCATCCCAGAGGCAGAATTGAGGCGTTCCAAGGGGGCAGGCCATTGAATGTTCAGAATTCCAAGTTCATGGCTAGGATGTGGTATTTAAGAGGCAAACGATGATCTGGGAGCAGACCTTGGAGAAAACTGGGATTGGAGGAGATATACTCTACCAAATTAAATATAAGTGGGAACTGCAGCAGGCATCTGACCTGGAACTGGAGGTTTCCAGAGCAGCTGGCATGGTGAAGGAAGGACACACAGAATTGGAATTTCCCCACCCCGTCCTCTGACTGCTCTTGTTCCTCCATCAGGCAAGACTTGCTGGGAAGCAGGAGGAGACAAAGGACCCCTCAATCCCCTGCTGCCTTGAGGATATTCTCTTTCTCTCCCTTCCTCTGTAGTTCACTCTCCAGCTCATTCCCAGGTCCTGGGTGAGCTAGCTGAAGTGGTCATGATAATACTAATAAGCTGATTTCAGAGAAGAGTTTAGTTCATTGCGCCTTTGGGAAAGACCTTGGCTGGCGCTTTGCTAGGATAACAAGCTTCAGTGAAACTAACAGGGACACTAACTCACTCCACTGCTATATTCTTATTTTATATGCTGAAGGTGTCAATAGTCACTACCATAAGTAGAATCTGCTTTTCCTCTGGCAGTGGAAAGGCTAAATTGTAAATGGTGTCTTCAGGCCTTCTCTCCCTTCTAGGACTTCTCTGAGTTCAGGGGAGGGTGGACACAGATGACTTCAAACCTTCCCCTACCCTTGGGGTCCCTGGTCAGTGTTCTCCATAGTGTATGACGGCATTTGAAACATCAGTAATGACTATCCTTTCTCTTACACCCATACCCTCTCTTTACTCATAGTATTATTTTGAGGAATACATGAAATTATAATCATTGTAACTGAGCATCTACTATGTGCCAAATCCTGTGCTAGATATTTTTAAATATTATTTCCGAACCTAATAAAAACATCGTGCCATTTTATAGATGAAGAAACTGAGACTCAAAGAAGCTAACAGATTTGCTCACAGTCAGTGAGTGTTTAGGTTTTAGCTCATGTCTTTTAATCTCTATTTTTTAAATTGTTATTTTATTTTTTTAAAAAGTAAAATAAAATGGAGTCTCACTATGTTGCCCAGGCTGGTCTCGAACTCCCAGGCTCAAACCATCCTCCCACCTTGGCCTCCCAAAATTCTGGGATTACAGGCGTGAGACATCGTGCCCAGCATTTTAAACTCTAAGGCTCACATTTTTCTACTACACTACCATGTTATATAAAACATGGCATCAGACAGCACAAAATTAGGTTGTGCTGCAGTTATAGGCAGCCTGAAAATCTTGGTGGCTTACAACAACAAAGTTTTACTCCATCCTCACGTGCAATGCATGATACACACGCCTCATGTCTCTTCTCGGAGCTCGGTTTCCTAGTATTCCAGGATTCCAGCTGGTGATGGAAGAGCCACCAGACTGTTGCCAGTTCCCATGCTAGAGGGAGAGGGAGCTCTGGAGGGTCTAAAACTATCAGCGAAATGCCCTGGCATTCAGTTGGTACATGTCACTTCTACCCACAACCCATTGGCCAGAATTTTACATTACTCTTCCAAACCACAAGAGGGAGGAAGTGTAATCCCCCTGGACAGCTGAGAATAAAAAGTACATGGCGAGCAACACTAAAACCTGCCACGAGTGTCTGGCACTGGGCTTGGCCCCTACATGATTAATAAACGCTATTTCACGCCCCCTTTCCTTCCCCAGCTATGAACAGATTATGGTGAAATCATTCATTTTGGACCAAGAGACAGGCATAATGAACAGGCCCTCCATTCTGTACTCTTCCTGGTTTGCACCTGCGTCATAGGATGCTGGCTCAGATTTCTCCAGGGCCTGAGTCTCCAGTGCCTTGATGTCCGACCATGTCTCAGGGGTTTCCATCAGTCATTCTCAAGTGCTGTGTTGCAGATGATAAATGACATTCACATGCACAACACATGACACCCTCCCATGGGCATCCAACAGGGTCAGGGCTACAGGCAGTCTCTGTCCGGCAGCTGTAATTCCACCACTTCTTCCTTTCAGGGAGGCATATCGGATTGCAACTAAGCAGCAGGGGCATTACTATAGGACCATATTGAATCTGTTCTAATTGATTAAAAAAAAGTCATCAACGATTTGAGAACCTCAACAGTTCATTATCCATAGCCAACTGCCTAGGACACACCTCCTAAGTGCTCCAGGCATACAGCATGTCAGGATACCACCATTGAAGAAGCACTGGTCAAGAAGAAGCCGGAGCAACCAGTTGTAAAATGAAAAGAAGTGCCAATTTGTCTACAGCGTGCCAAAGAATTGATTGGAAGAACATTTTGTCCATACTCACTGAATTAGCTAGTTGTCTTGGCACTGTGTAGACACAGCCTGAGTATTAAGAATGTGAGCATAGTATCAATCATCAAACCACAGAATGTTAGACTGGAAGGAATCTCCAGAGATATTTTTCATACATTCCCCTCATGTCACAGATGAGGAAACTAAGGAACAGGCAGGCTAAAAGATTTGCTTAAGGACATGTAGCACAATTGTCAACTGTTGTTTTAGAAAAGAGGTTAATGTGGGCACATCTTCACCCACTGCATTTTTAACATTTTCTTTAGCTATTTCAGAATCAAGATGCCCACTGAATGTCATTGCGTACTTTTTCTAAAAGTAGACAAGAATTTGAGAAACACCCCGTGATGCAATGGTTCATTGCTTAAACTTGCTGCTGACTCATTTGCCCTCCACCATTTTTTCCCCCAACTTCTCTCTTGGCATCTGGCACTTCCACTGGCTCTTTTCTCCAGCTTGTCCCATTCTCCTGGTCTGGGCTGGGCAACAGGATGCAGTGACGTCATGTCCGCGCGTCCTCATTGGGTGGTAGGCGGGGCTCAGAGGTGAGGTCCCTTGGTGAATCGCCCTGGGCGCCTGAGTAGGCCTCCTGGCCTCCAGGCTGAAGCAAGCCACCTGCTGCCCAAAGGGCAGACTGTTCTGGGCCAAAAGGAGTCTGTGGAACAAGGACGCCAAGATGTTCATGCTTTATCGTTTTCCTTTTTGGGATACGGTCTCACTCTCTTGCCCAGGCTGAAGTGCAGTGGTGTGATCATGGCTCACTGCAGCCTCGTTCTCCTGGGCTCAAGAGATCCTCCCACTTCAGCCTCCTGAGTAGCTGGGACTACAGGTGTGCACCACCATGCTTGGCTAATTTTTAATTTTTTGTTGTTGTTGATACAGGGTCTCCCTATGTTGCCCAGGCTGGTCTTAAACTCCTG
The DNA here is from genome assembly GCF_000001405.40 of Homo sapiens. Lineage (NCBI taxonomy): Eukaryota > Metazoa > Chordata > Mammalia > Primates > Hominidae > Homo > Homo sapiens. Next base: position 128,216,780 of record NC_000007.14, on the reverse strand, counting down.
GCCTCAAGCAGTCCTCCTGCCTCAGCCTCCCAGAGTGCTGGGATTACAGGCAAGAAACTCACACCCAACCAGGTTTCATCTTTTTGATAAAGGACAAATGCCCCCCTCCAAACAAACAACTCCTGTAGGTCACACTTCAAGTGTTTGCTGGGGGAGAAATCCCATCCAAAAATAGTCTTTCTGTTGGAAAGAAAGAAAGGAGTAGTGGCTCACTCCTGTAATCCCAGCACTTTGGGAGGCCAAGGCAGGAGGATTGCTTGAGCCCAGGAGTTTGAACCAGCCTGGGCAACATAGCAAGATCCCTTCTCTACAAAAAAATTTAAAAATTAGCCGGGTGTGGTGGTGTGTGCCTGTGGTCCCTGCTATGGGGAGGCTGAGGCAGGAGGATTGCTTGAGCCTCGGAAGTGGAGGCTGCAGTGAGCTGTGATTGCACCACTGCACTCCAGCCTGGGTGACAGAGTGAGACCCTATCTCAAAAAAACCCTAAAAAACAAACAAAAAACACAAAAATAGTCTTTGGGTCAGGGCCCTCCCTACTCTCGCTTAACTGTGAATTGTGCTTTTTCATTCACTTCAGGTTCCTGCCTCTTGAAATGTCTTTGGTTTGAGCTAGGCAACTTTGTGGTGGTCCCTTGAATCCCTATCCCCCTCCTTATCCCCCCATCCCCTTTTCTCAAGTCAACTTCAGAGGCCTTGGAGGCTCCTGCTTCAGGGCCTGTGAGGGAAGGAATTCCAGACAACTTCTGTATGGTCCTGGGGCTGAGGAATCGGCTCAGTGGCCAAGATATAGGCTCTCCACTGTCACTGCCCAGTCTAGGATTTTGGCAGCTCTCCCAACCCCACAGGCCCAGATGCAGGAGGAATCTTTGGCATGGACAGAGAGCTCTTAGGCCTGGGGCCAAAAGTCAGCCCTTTACCCCAGATGAACACATGGGGCTGCCCCTCCTCTGCACAGAGTACCTCTTTCCCTCACCCCTAGGTTTACACAGCTTAGAGAAGTGTCTGGAGTCTGGTGGGTTTGGGGAGCAGGGAAGATGGAGCCACAGAGTAATGTCCTGGGACAACTCCCCCTTGACCCCCAACAAATAAGAGGGGGAGGAAAGGACCTATAGCTTGAGAGTGGATTCTGGGTCACACTGGTTACCCCTCTTTCCTGGGTTTGATGCATCATTTAAAAGATGCTATGGAAAGTCTTGTCCTTCCAGTTCTTTCTTGTTGGCTTTGGTACAAAGCTACAAACACAGACACACACACACATACACACACATACCCGACTCCATCCTGTAACACACATACCAGTCATTTCTTCTTGGCCACTAGGTCAGATTCTGGAAAACCCTAGTTGTAGAAGAATTTATGGCTAAAGAATTTAAGACTTTAAGGGAAAGTAGAATTGGAGAACAAAGGTCGGGAACGAACTAGAGAAAATCCTTATAATTGGTTTTGCATTCAGAAGAGAGCCCAATCCAAGAGCACACTGAATAAATAACATTTTCAGTTGTTTTGTCTGCTGCTGGCACAAGCGTGAACTGGCTCAGCCAAGCTAGCGAGTAAATTGACAGCATGTCTAATAACTGGAACGCATCTTCCCTGCGGCCCAGCAACACCACTTGTAGGGGTCTACTCTACAGAAGCATGTTCAAGGATGTCCACTGCAGAATCATTTGTGATGGTGAAAAACTGGAAACAAATGTCTATTAGTAGGTGAGTGGATGGATTGTGGTATCTTTGTACAGTTTCATGTTATTCAGCAGTAAAAATGAATGTATCATGCATCAACATGGACCGATCTTGGAAACACAATTTAGCTGAAAAAAAAGTAGGTTCCAGAATGGTGGGTTTAGTGTGACATCACTTACATAAATTAAGAAGCACTCAAAGCAATGCTAGGTGTAATTTACGAGTAATACATATATGGTAAAGTATGAGCACCAGTGTGAGAATACCTACCAACTTCAGGACAGTTGGAGGAAGGAAAAGGGGCACAAAGACTTCAACTGTGTCTGTAAGGTTTTTTCTTTCTTTCTCTCTCTCTCTTCCTTCCTTCCTTCTTTCTTTTTTCTTTCTTTCTTTCTTTTTTTCTTCCTTTCTTCTTCTTTTTCTTCCTTTTTTCTTTTTTTCTTCCTTTCTTCCTCTTTTTCTTCCTTTTTTCTTTCTTTCTTACTTTCTTTCTTTCTTTCTCCTTTCTTCTCTCTTTCTCTATTTCTTCTTTCCTCTTTTCCTTTTTTTTTTTGACAGGGTCTCACTTTGTTGCCTAGGCTGGAGTGTAGCAGCGTGATCATGGCTCACTGCAGCCTCAACTTCCCAGTCTCAAGCAGTCCTTCCACTTCAGCCTCCTGAGTAGCTGAAACAGGCACGAACAACCATACCCCATTAATTTTTTGTTTTTTGTAGAGATGGGGTCTTGCTATGCTGCCCAGGTTGGTCTTAAACTCCTAGGCTCAAGCAATCCTCCCACCTCGGCCTCCCAAGGTGCTAGGATTACAGGCATGAGCCACTGTGCCTGGGCTGTCTCATTTCTTTTAAAAAATGATCTGACATAAATGTGGCAAAATGGTAGCACTTGCTATTTCTGGTGGTAGGTACAAGGCTTTTGTTATATTACTCCTTGTCTTTTTCTATATGTTTGAAATATTTCACAACGGAAAAAAGGAAAGAAAATTCCAGTGGCATTTTGCACACATTTACATGAGTAGTAATGAGCATTTGCTAGGATTTTCCATTTTCATCCCTTCCCTGAAAAACACTTCGTAGGATTTCTCTTCCTTCTATCTTCAGTGAAATGCTCATGGCTAGGCATGGTGGCTCACACGTGTAATCCAAGCACTTTGAGAGGCTGAGGTGGGAGAATCCTTTTAGCCCAGGAATTCAAAACCAGCCTGGTCAAGATAGTGAGACCTTGTCTTTACCAAAAATACAAAACTTAGCCAGGCATGGTGGTGTGCACCTGTAGCCCCAGCTACTGGGAAGGCTGAGGCAGGAGGATTGCTTGAGCCCAGGAGTTTGAGGCTGCTGTGAGCCATGATCGTGCCACTGCACTCCAGCCTGGGTGACTGAGTGAGACCCTGCCTCAAACAAACAAAACAAATGCTCATAAATGTGTTTTTCTTTGTTACAGAAATATGCACCCAAAGGAGCATTTTTCCAGCCAATTATCCTGTGCCCTTCCGATCTCATGACTTAGAGTAATTGACGCCATCTCCCTCATCTGGATACGTGGAAAAATGACTATTTGACGTTGGCTGCATCCCACCTACTCACCAGATTCTCTTTCCTCCTTCCATTCCCTGGGGCTGCAGGTCTCATCTCCGTCCAGGGGTATTTCCTGCCAAGTGCCTGGTTGCCTCTTTGCCTGGAGGAAGGCCCCAGGGCCTAGTTTACTTTCTCTCTTCTTTCTTTACCTTTTCCAAAGTTTCCTTGTGAAATCCTACTCCTTGGGCACCCCCACATTCCTTTCTTTCTTATGATACCACTAGAGCTGGCCCATGGGAACAGTGATTCTCAAACTTGAATGTGCATCAGAATCACCTGGAAAGCTTATTGAAACACAGATTGTGGGGTTCCACCTTCAGGGCTCTGGTTCAGTAGGTCTGGGTAGGGTCCAGTGGTGTGCTGGAAACTGTTTAACAATGGGCTTTCAGAAAGAAAAATGAGCACTGATTTGTAATGTTCCACAGTGTAAACACTCTCACCGTGGTTGATTTCAAGCCCCCAGTGTGATGGTCACTAAATGTGGAGTTAGGAAAGAGACATGTGCAATTGGTTCTCCTGAGATGTTACAAACTGTCTCCAGCCACCCTTGGCACTGGGATCTAAGAATTTGCATTTCTGTTTTTTTTTTTTTTGTTTTTGTTTTTGAGATGGAGTCTTGCTCTGTCGTCCTGGCTGGAGTGCAGTGGTGCAACCTCAGCTCACTGCAACCTCCGCTTCCTGGGTTGAAGCGATTCTCCTGCCTCAGCCTCCTGAGTAGCTGGGACTCCAGGTATGCGCCATCATGCCCAGCTAATTTTTGTACTTTTCGTAGAGACAGGATTTCACCATGTTGGCCAGGCTGGTTTCAAACTCCTGACCTCAAGTGATCTGCCCCCTCGGCCTCCCGAAGTGCTGGGATTACTGGTGTGAGCTATCGCACCTGGCAGAATTTGCATTTCTAATAAGATCCCTGGTAGTGCTGAGCTGCTGGTCTTGAAGTGGTTCCTACTTCGAGAATCACTGCCTTGGAGGGCCGAGCATAGGAGTATGGAGTTTGGGAAGAGATTCCTGGATTGTGTGAATGACTCTGAGACTTTGACCTGAAAAATCTCATCTCCCCAGGAGCCTAGAAAGAGATTTCCTGTCTCACAGCAAAAGAAGCTTATGTCATGGGGACCAGCACAGGCTACACGGTAGATAAAGCCAACCAGGGCTCTATTTTGGGCTGGTGCACTGGCCTGGAAGTTCTGTGCCCTACCTTGAAATGCCCCCCTGGCCACAGACCACTAACCACGCAGCTGCTGCCTCAGGCGAAAGTCCACTCCCACCTTCCCTGGCTCCAGGGCCCGCAACTAAGGAGCGCAGCTGGACAGGACGGGTGCACGCGAGTCCCAGGAGGCTTTCCCTCTCAAGAGGACGAACCATATCTCCGAGAGTGCTCCTGGCAGAACAGAGCATAGATGCTGGGGAAGAAAGGGAAGGATACAGGAAAGGAAGAATGAGAGAGAAGGAAAGGGTTAGGGGCGGGGGTAGGCGGGGAGAGAAGAGGGTCCTCAACACAGATGCTGATGTGGGGCTGGCAACTTCCAGGGGACTTAGGATGCATCCAGATTAGGCAAAAAATGAAAGCACCAAACCACACCTGTCCATCCCCTGACTAGCGCCATGCCAGCTTCATTCCTTGGGCTCTTTGATTTTCACTTCCTTGGTCACCTCCCCCAGGTCCAGCCCGATGAGGCCACTTCTGGGAAGAACAAAGGAGGCTCTGTAGGCTCTGCTGGGATGAGAAAGATCATCCCAGGAGGCAGGCAGGATTAACATGCGGCAGTGTTGCCACACACACTCGTGATATTATCCTGTTGGTGTATAGGATTATATGTCATTAGGATTACAGGGTGTAATAACTCCAGGTGCATTTGACATTTCTATTCAAATTGTACTTTGGGGAAACCTATAGGTTTTCCTTGCTGATGATTTATCTGGTTCCTTCCCCTGAGAGCCTGGCGTTCCCATCCTGCTTGCTTCCCTGCCTGCCGCCCCCAAAACTCCTTCCTGTGCCCTCAGCGGCTCCCACTCTCAAGGACAGCTGTTGGGGCCCCAGTCCTTGCTTTCCTGCCGAGTGTGGGGTGGGCCTGGTGGGAGAGGAGATTGTATCTGATCCAGCACATTCCTCTCATTTTACAAATGCAGAAACCCAGGCCCAGAGCATGATGGAGACTAGTTCAGGCCACTCTCTCCAGGTGGCCCAGCTTGGATCAGATCCTGGTCTCAGCCTCCTGGGAGAGGGGACACCTTGCCAAGGTGCCCCTGCTGGCACCTCGAGCAATCAGAAAGGGTGACATCAGCCACCCGGAGAGACTTCTCATTTTGCCTTCCACATTCCCCCACCTTCCTTTTCATTCCTGCCTTTCCTTTGTCAATTCTGTGCCACCTCTTCATCTCCTCCCTCCCTCCCCGAAAGGCCATGATGGCCCGCAGGTCAGGACAGCCCTTCCCGGCCTGAGCCTCTCCAGCTCTGGGAGTTCCAACACCACTGCCGGTTCTTCGAGAGCAGTGAGGGGACCTGGCTCCCCCTGGCTTCCCCAAGCCTCTCAGCCCACAAGGCCCTGGTCCTTCCCACCCGTAAGACTCTCCCGAGACCACACAGCTAGTGCAGGTGGGACCTGAGATTAGCATCCAGCTCTGATTATTCTGAAGTCCAGTTTCTCCCTCTGCTCACTCCAGGTCTGGCAGCTGCTCCTCGCTGTGGCGCACTCAGCCTTTGGCACACAGCCGCAGGCGCTCGGCAGGTGAGGAACCTGCTTGGGAGCAATAAAGCAGGGGGCAAAACTCCATGGCTGATTTCAGACAACCGACTGCTAAATGCCAGACACATCCACACAGCTGTGGAAAGACAGCCACTCATGAGCAGCCAAGCAGATGCCCCCCAGAGCTGATACCCCTGGACACAGAATCGGGGGCCTTGCTTTTTATGGTGGGGACCATCCATTGTCCTGACATTATTTCACTGACTAGAACCCACCGCCCTGTCAGAGGGGCATGATTTTCCCTGTTTTACAGATGAGGACACCGAGGCACAGAGAGGGCTAAGGACTTTCCTGAGGCCACATAGCTGGCGCAGGGACAACCTGAGATTTGAATCCAGATCGGATTGATTCTGAAGTCTGGGTTCTTTCCTTTAACATTGGGAACAGGAGCCTTTTTGGAATAGTGCCTCTCCTGAGTCCCTCTCCCTCTGGAGGGAATAGGTTCTCTAGGGTGGCAGGGATTTGAGTTGCAATTTGCGAGGCTCATGCAAAGGGTTAAGTCGTCAAATGCCTGAGATGTGGACCCAGAAGCCACTTTGAAAGGTGCCCTAGAGCAGTCTGGCTGTAGACACGCTCACCAAGGGGCTCTAGCAACCCTCCCCCTCCCACCTCCCCTCCTTCTCTCCTTCTCTCCTTCTCTTCTCCCCTTCCCCTCTCAGGCTCTGCACCCCTCAAGACTGCTCCTCACAAAAACTCTGATTCTGTTAGGAAAGATCTTGCAGTCCTAGAACAGAGTCTGGCACATAGACTCAAAATTCCTTGAGTGACTCCGCAGAATGAAGCTCTTTGGAAGCTGTGAGGTGCACTACCCCACTATGACCACACGATGCCACCCTTGAGCTGCACACGCATTCCCACCCGCATGCTGGCAGCAGGTGGCAGAGCAACAACTGCTTTGCAGCTGGGTGGGATGGGGAGGGTCAGGATAGCATCAGGGGCAGGAGCTCCCGTGGTCACAGGTATTATTCAGCCGTGCCGTTTTGCTCGTCGCCATCGTCCCTTCTCCCACTGCTGTCTGGCTGTCACCTAGTGGGGGCTCGGTTGGCCTCACAAACCTGCAGTAATTGTTCCTGGACCCGTAAACCCAGCCTTTCTTCCTGAACCTCCACAGCAAACCCCCAGCCCCACTCAGGATCCTTTAGCACCTCTGAACTCAGTTGCAGGCGACACGCCAGCTCACATATTGCCTTAAAATGGCCTCCAGCAGCTTCTGCTTAGGGAAGGAATCTTCCAGGGGCCTTGTTTCTTGAGGGCTGTGGCTCTGCAGCAGTAAAGGCCTTGGGGAGGCCTGATGCCACGCCCCCAACCTTGGGCTGTCTCGGCACAAGTGGCCACCCCAGGGCCGAGTGGGAGGATTCCAGATAAGGAGGGTCCCTGGCCCCTGGCCATTTCCTGGCCGCAGAGCACTACGGCACTCGGCACTCGGGAGCCTGGTCATCCGTCTCATTGTCAGTGGTGGACAACAAGATGGATGTCCGTGTGGTCATTCCTGACCTGCCGTGGCCTCACCGCGGCTGCAGTGTCGATCCCCCAGCTATCCGGCATGAGGAGGAGGGACTGGGAATCTACAACAACCTGTAATTGGCATAACCTGTTTTCTGCCCCATTTATTTATTTATTTAGATGGAGTCTTGCTCTCTCACCCAGGTTGGAGTGCAGTGGCGCAGTCTCGGCTCATTGCAACCTCTGTCTCCTTGGTTCAAGCGATTCTCTGCCTCAGCCTCCCAAGTAGCTGCAATTACAGACTTGCGCCACCATGCCCAGCTAATTTTTGTATTTTTAGTAAGAGTCGGGGTTTCACCATGTTGGCCAGGCTGGTCTTGAACTCCTGACCTCAAGTGATCTGTCCACCTCGGCTCCCCAAAGTGCTGGGATTACAGATGTGCCCGGCCCCTGGCCTCTTTAGAGGTGAGGACCCCACTTAGCTGTATTTCACTTCTCTCCATATCATATAGGTCCTCCTCTGTCCTTTATCCCAACATGGTTCTCACCTTTGGGGAAGTTTCCTTAGGCCCCCAACCCAACTCTTGTATATGACCCCTGCTGTCAGCTCTGTCCCCTGTCAGTCCCCTGCCCCCTGAGGGCTGACACCTGTGGGGCCTCCCCCAGGGATGGTAACTCACACCTTCCTCTTTCCCAGGGTGTGCAATTCCACCTCCTCTCTCTAGAGGTCTCTGGATCCTCAGCAAGCAATATTATTGACTCTAACAAGCAATCAAGGACTTTATTTGAAGGATTTGGGGGTAGTTCACAGAATGAAGGGCGCGGTTAAGATCCAGGCCAGGGCAGGGCAGACATTAGGCAAGTCAGTGATACAGGCAGTGGAAGCTTGTCATCTTCTCGCCATACACTGCTGGGATCAATCAGCATCAATTATTTTGTTCCCAATCTCAGTATCCTTTACAGATTTCAATTCTTGTGTCCACCCAGTGGGCAGAAGAGGGCAGGACCTCTTGAGTGACAACCCACCCAGAAGTGTCCATGGTGTGGAAGGGGGTCATCCCCAAAAGGATTTCAGAAGGAGATCATCTGTATACAGAGGACAGAATGCTGGGAGAGCTGTGTGACCTTCATCCACCAAAGCGGTTTTCCCTGGCATGTAATTGAGCCACTCCTTTATTTTTCTTATCTGTGGAGTCTCTCACTTGACATTGCCCACTGGTAAATGATGAAAAGAGTGGCATAAGTGAGGCCCAGAGAGGCTCAGTGCTGGACTTAAAGTCACTCAGCAACTCTAAAGGAGAGCCAGGAGACCCCAGTTCCATTCACTGTTCTTGGGTTTGCTGTGACTCACCTGGAGCCCTTGGGGCAGCCTCCCCTGTGGACAAGGCCTCCCGCAGATACTTTTTGGGGTAAGGGCTTCCTGACTACTGTTGAGAGGAACAGCAAGCCCAGACCGCAAAAAGATCCAAAGGAGACAGCAGCCATCCCATGGCAGGGGGGCTGGAGGGGAGGCTGTGGCCCCTCCAGGGCTTAGCTGGTACCAAGAAGACCGGGTCGGGGAGGGAGAGCCAGGACCTAGGGGGAGGAGGGGAGTGGGGGGGGAGGTGGGGGGAGAGGAAGAAAAGAGTCCTGGGGAGAAGAGAAAGCTGAGAGCCCCAGAGGCAGGAGGCAGGCAACAGGAATCCCAGCTGTAATCCCCCTCCACCTCCCAAAGTCACAACCTCCTTCTTATGAGACAGAAGTGGCCAAGCTGTAGCTCACTCCTGGGAAGGGGCAGTTTGAACCTGCGGCTCCCCTTCATTTTCCCCTTTCATCTCCTGCATCCTGCGCCTCCTCAGAGCCCTCTGCTGTGCCTGGGCTTCATTTGGATGGTCTGGCCCAGGGTCTCTCTGCAGCCGTGGTGCTTCCTTGGTTCCACAGTGTCAGTACACCCAGTTCCCACAGGGGACTCTCCCAGAGTCTCAAAATGCTAAGTGCCCCAAGAAGAAGATGCCATCCCTGGTTGAGACCTTGGGGACAGACATCTTTGAACTTGCAAGTGTGGGCTCTGATGTGCTTTCAGCAGACGCTGCTGTCATGGAAAAGGCAGGGGTCCCAGGGCCAGGCCAACTTAGCCTGATTAAATTGCTCCTGGCTGTCTCAAATGAGCTGTTTCTCCAAGGTGGCAGCTAAGCCCCGCATCTCACAGTGGCCTCCTGCTTCCATAACATGAGGTCAGCAATGCTACACAGAGGTCCCTGAGCCAACCTGGCCTGGGTCTTACCTGCCTTAGAGGCTGCAGCCCTGGAAGAGGCAAGGAGATTCCAGAAGTGTCACCATTGCAGGTTTGCAGAATGGATGGTGTCCGCCTCCAGTTCCCTGCAGAGCTCAGCATGCAATGGTTTATCTCTTGCTTTTCCTGAAGGTGTGGAGGAGCCATCGGGACCTGCTAGAGAGGGGCCCTCGTGCCTTGCCCAGACTCCCAACATGACACAACACGGACTTGTCAGCAGGGGCCAGCTGGAGGCACTGGAGAGAGCGGCCCTGCTGTGCAATCTGGTCCAGGGAAGAGGCCCAGAATGTGAGTGTGTAGCCATGGATGGGAGGGCGTGGCTGTGGAGCAGGCTGCAGTGGAGAACCTGGGGACAGAGAGACTCTGAGGATGCCTGTGCCGGGACAGGCATCCATCTGCCTCCCCATGGGTTGGCCTGGGTTACTCTCAGGAGTAAGAGGAGAAAACCCTTTCTTGCCCATGGAGCAGGCCTCTCCTTCTTAGCTGCTCATCTTGGAGCCCGAGCCCCTGTACCTGGCAGCGACTCTGGGGCAGCAGCCAGGTACACCTTGAGGGGGCACTGTGGTCTTCCACGGAATGGAGAATTGCCCACAGCCAGCTTTCCGCGCTGGCTGCTCCTGGGATCGCTGGGTCCCACCCCCACCAGCATGGTTCCCATGAAATCTCTTGGAACTCCAGTCCCTAACTCCCTCCTGCCCCACCTTCTTTGCTGCAGCCTGGGGCAGAACCAACACAGGGACAATATTGATTCGTGGTGGCGGGGCGCAGACACCCTCCTGGTGGGCTTGAGCTGAGCCACACAGGCCAAAGAGCCTGGGCCACTAGGCAGGGCTAGTGAGGGCAGCGGGGAGCATGGCAGGTCCCTCCGGCACCTACACAGGGGCCTGCCCCCACTGAGGGTGCTCTCTTCTTGGCATCCCCGGGGGCCTCCTCTTCCAAGGCTTCTCCTCCGTGGATTCTGCATGTCCGGCACTTCCGTGTATCCAGTGCTCACTTGAAGCACAGTGCTGTGGGCTTTCCCTGTGGGATCTCACCTGTTCCTACATCAGGAAATGAAAGTCCTATTTCCAGCTTTAGGGCAAAAACCTCAGAGTCCTCTCTGGCTCCTTCCTGTCACTTTACCTCGCCATCAGCAAACATTGTTATGTCTTTGAAAAGACTCTGACCTGCTTCTCACCCCCTCCACCAGCCACCATCTCTTACCTCGAAACAGCTCTCCCCTTTCGAGGCTTGCTCCTCACAGTCTAGTCTCCACAAAGCAGAGTGATCCCTTGAAAACAATGTCTTCATGCCTGTAATCCCAGTGACTCGGGAGGCTGAGGCAGTTGGATCGCTTGAGGCAAGGAATTTGAGACCAGCCTGGACAACATAGCAGACGCTGTCCCTGCAAAAAATTAAAATTAAAAAGTTAGCTGGGTGTGGTGGCACGCACCTGTAGTCCTATCTATTCAGGAGGCTGAAGTCGGGGGAACGGTTTGAGGCCGGGAGTTCAAGTCTGCTGTGAGCCACGGTCACACCACTGCACTACAGCTTGGGTGACAGAGTGAGATCCCATCTCTAAAAAAAAATATAAATATAAATAAATAAAAACAATGTCAGACCAGTCTCTCCTCTGCTTAAACCCTCCACCCCCCTCCCCTGCCAATATCTTCCCATCTGACTCAGAATAAAATCCAGTCCCTACCATCGATGATAAAGCCAGGCACAATCTTGTGTGCACCCCACCCGGACCCCACTCTCTGCTGCCTCTTGGACCATGTTCCCCTTCCACCCATCATGTTCACTCCTTTCCAGACACATTGGCCTCCCTGCTGGGCCTCACATGGCCAACCATGCCTCTGCCTCAGGGCCTTTGCGCATGCTGTCACCACTGCTTGAATGCTCTTCTCCTATAGATCCCCGTGGCTCAACCCCATGGCTCACCCCCACTCCTCACTAGGTTTCTTCTCAAAGTGATACCTTCTCAGAGAAGCTGTGATGGTGAATTCTAGGTGTCAACTTGACTGGGCCACAGGCTGCCCAGGTATTTGGTCAAACATTATTCTGGGTGTGTCTCTGAGGGTGTTTCTGGATGGGATTAACATCTGAATCAGTAGACTGCATAACACAGATGGCCCTCTGTATTAGTCTGTTTTCACACTGCTATAAAGATACTACCTGAGACTGGGTAACTTATAAACAAAGGAAGCTTAATTGACTCACAGTTCTGCATGGCTAGGGAGGTCTCAGGAAAATTACAATCATGGCGGAAGGGGAAGCAGGCATGTCTTACATGGCAGCAGGTAACAGAGAAAGAGAGAGCAAGAGCAGGGAAAACTGCCTTATAAAACCATCAGATCTCTGAGAACTCCCTCACTATCAGAGAACAGCATGGGGGAAACCACCCCCATGTTCCAATCATCTCCCACCAGGTCTTTCCCTGGACATGTGGGGATTACAGTTCGAGATAAGATTTGGGTGGGACACGGAGCCAAACCATATCACCCTCCCTAATGTGGGGGGACCTCACCCAATCACTTGAAGGCCTGAACAGAGCCGAAAGGCTGAGTAAGAGAGAACTCTCTCTGCCTGGCTGTCTTCGAGCTGGGACATTATTTTTTTCCAGCCTTCAGACTTGAACTGAACATCAGCCCTTCCTGGGTCTTGAGCCTAGCAGCTCTTGGGACTTGTCAGCCTCCATATTTGTGTGAGCCAATTCCTTACAATAAATGTCTTTATACATATGTGTGCACACATGTGTGTCCTCATTCTCTATGCCCTCACCTACTTGGTTAGACTTCACAGTTCTTTTCACAACCAGACACTCTATTTTATCATTTGTTGCCATGAGGCAGGACCCCATCTGTCTTCATCGTTGCTACATTTTCTGTGCCTCGAAGTGTGCCTGGCACATAGTAGGTGCTTAATAAGTATTTACTGAATAAACTCACAGATGAAATGAACCCAAGGTTGAGACTGTGCTTGGCAAACACAGAGAACACTCAGATGTGTGGAGCAACTAAACATCGGCCTCATTCTCTCCACTCCCCACTTCTTGGACCATCCACACAGGCTGACTCGGACGTCAGAGGCTCACATTTCCAGTTGCTTCATTAACAGAAACCAGCCCTTGTGTGGGTCCTCCTGCTGCAGAAGCCTATGCTTGTTGAAAACAATTCACAGCCTTTCCTCCCAAACCAGCAACCCTCCAGAGCTTTTCTGGCCAACACTCGACCCCGTCTAGGCATTCGTGGTAGGAGGGTTTCTCCCTATAAGTGACAAGGGGGCCATAGGAAACCCCCAACTCTCACCCCTCCAAACTGCTCCCTCCCACTTCCACTTAATAGGGAGGAAGCTTTCCTTGCAAAGGTAACAGGAAACAGAGCAGAAAGCATCTTCCTATGGAGGTGAAAATGGCTGAGATGGAGCCTTTCCTCAGAACTCACTGCATTTCACTGAAGTGGGAGTGGGGAGGGGGAAACAGGCTTTTGAGCCTGTTAGGAGCCTGTTAGGAGGAAAGGGAGGAGGAGGGGCAAGGGAGGGTAGGGGAGTTGGGGAGGGCAAAAAGGGGACCCAAGCAGGGCCCCACTAGCCCCAACAGACCCTTCGCGCAAATGAGAGAAAGGGGCCCCCTCTCCCAGACCTGCCAGTGTGGCCGGGCTCGTAGCCAGAGCTGGTTTCAGTCCCAGCTTGTCCCCTTGGCCATCACCTCTGTTCAAGGACAGTGGACACAGCCACATACCTCACAGGCTTGCTCCTGTCTGCCAACTGTGATTCCTCCCCCTGCCCCTGTTTCAGATCAGTCCTCAGGTTTTGCCTCCACAAGCCTCTTGGACCCCCTGCCACCCGCCTCACCAGCCCAACCTCCTGATTGTGGCCCGTCGCCCCTCCGGGAATAAGCTGTGTACTTGGCTGAGATTCCCACCTTCCCCGTGTCCCTCCTGGGACTTGGCAAGCATAAAACATGAGCTGGCGCATGGACAGAGGTCTTCAGCTTCCCTCTCCCGCTTTCTTCCCACGCAGGCTTTTGGACCAGGTTCTGAAAAGGACTTTCCTCAGGCCACTCCCCTGAAGAGGATAAGGGGTGAGGGACCCCAACCAGCATCTGAGATCGCACAGGGCACAGGGTGGTGAGGTTGGATCTCCTTCTGGCTCAAATGTGTGCCCCACCCTGTCCCACCAGCTCTTCTGCCTGGCACCCTCTGCACAGACAGGACCACCAGATCCTGCACTGTCCCTCCTCCCAAGCCCAGCCATAGTCCCAGCTTACCTCCCACCCCTCCTCCAGAAATTCCTTCCTCCTCTGTCAGAAAGTCTTCGCCATACACCCTTCTCCTCCCTTTCCCCATCCAAACCCTTGCCTGCTGAGTGGAGATAGATCAATCTCTCCTCTTTCCTGGAACTTCCCTTGGTACCTTAATCCCTTTCCCTGAATCCCTGCAGCTGGTGCCTCTGGGCCCTACATCTGCTCCTCAGTTGTTGGCTTGGCAGACGTCAATGAGTGCCTGCGCACGCCTTGCTCTGTGCTGGGAGCTGGGGATGTAGAGACAAGCCCACCACAGACCCTGTCCTCCAGGGGCCCCCAGATTAGAAGGGAAGTGTGGACATTTCTCCTTGGGTGCCCGGAGCCCTTCCAACTAAACATCCCGAAGCAAGCGCATCAGCCTCTCCTGGAGCCTGATCTTTCTCCTGGGCCGCTTCTTCCCATGGCACCAGCACAAATAATGATGGGGCAAAATCAGCATCCATGGGGACTGGACGAGGGTCCCAGTACTGCAAGGCCCGGGGAAGAAGATTCTCCAGGCTGAAAGGGGTGAAGGGGAGGAGGAAAGGAGGCTTCACCAAAGAGGTAATATTTGAGCTGAGCTGGGAAGGATGGGAGGGGTTTTAATCTGAGACGAGGAGGAGGAGGAGAGAGAATGGCAGAAGCCAAGGCTCAAGGCCGAGACATACACAGAGGGGCTGATTTGTAGGCACAGGAAGGGGAGAAGTGAGAGAAAAGGTGGGAAAGGATGTTCAGGCAAACCTTGGTGGTCCGTGCCAGGCGAAGAGCCTGCTTTTCCTCTACAGGCAATGGGCAGTCTCTGAAGGTTTTGGGAAAAACCTGCGAAATTGACTGGAGGAGGGAGAGGCTGCTGCAAGTCGGGGAGAAAACAGAGGCTTCGCAATGCTGCTGAGAGGTAATGGATGGAGGCTGACCCCGAAGGACGGACGTAGGAGAGGAGGCAGCAAATTTATGAGAATATAAGAGACAGGAAGGGGTAAGGCACAGGTCGTCTGGGAGGCAGGGAGAGGGGTCCCGGCGACGAGGACGAAGGGCAGCCACAGGAGTAGAGCGAGGTGGCTGGATCATATGCAGCATGCGGTCCAACGTAATAAACAGATGTCGGAGACCCACCACGTACGGGGTCGTTTTCTGCTCTCAAAGTGTAGGACTTGATAATGACAACGATCTGTGAAGGGCAGAATAGGGACAGTGGGAGGCAGACAGAGAAGCCGGCGGAGGAAGGAGGCGTACAAGCTTGGGGGCCTCGCTGAGTCCTGCACACCTCCGCTGTGGTCCAGGCTGAGCGCCTCCTCGCACTGTCCCTGCAGCCTGGCCAAGTGGCTGGGGTCCGCGGGCAGCCTGCGGGAACCGACCCGGCAGGAGCCCCGCCCACCTGGGAAGGAGGCGCCTCAGCGCCAGGGAGCCACGTAGCCACGCCCACCCCGGTGGGCCCGGGTGGGGCGTGGCCTCCAGAGACCGCAGGGACGCGACCCCCTGCCCTGAGCCGGGAACTCCAAGAGGAGGTCAGGCGGCCGAGCGCCACCGAGGTGTGGACACCTGGCACAGGTAGAGCCCCTGCGTTCAGTCCCAACTGTGCCCGCTGCCCGGGTGACCTTGGGTGGCTCAGTGAGTCTGTCTCAAAGGCCAGCGCTAACGCCTTTTAACTGTAAAACAGGGAGAGTTTCAGACACAAAGGAGGGGGTGTCCCTACCTCAGTGAAGGGAGGCTCCATCCTCCTGGCTGCTCCTGCCACCGCGGCCACCTTCACTTCCTCACCCCCCGTTTCTCAAAAGTCTCAGGGTCCAACTCCTAAACGTCTTCTGAATCTACCCACGTGTCTCCTGCCACCCTACCGCCCTGACCTGTAGAAGACCACCGTGCCCTCGCCATCTTATTGGCCACAGTGGCATTCTTCCTGGTCACTCCAAACCCACATTTGCCCCACTAATCCATGCGCTTCTCTGCATCCACAGTAACTTTTTAAATTCTTTTTTTTAAAGATGGGGCGGGGGGGTGGAGTCTCCCTATGCTGCCCAGCCTGGACTCCAACTCCTGGGCTCAAGGATTCTCCTGCTTCTGCTTCAGCCTTCCGAGTGGCTCTAATTTTTTAATGCAAATCTGCTTAAGCTCCTCCACTGCCTAAGAAACCTTTAAATCATTTCCTGCCACTCTTAAAATTAAATCACTCCTGATCACCTGCCTACTCCCCGGCTCCTCCTGTGTCAGTCTTTCCCTGTCTCCCAGTGTTTTGTCTCCCAGCTCCTTGCCTCTGGGCCTTTGCCCTTGCCGTCCCCTCTGCCAGGAACAACCTCCCTCCTACTCCGCCTGGATAACTCCCATGCAGCCTGCCACAGGGAGCTTAATTATCACTCCCCCTGCGAGACCTTCCCAGCACCCAAATTCAATCCACCCTGTTAGTCGGTTACATAGCACCCTGTACTACATCCTAGCACTTAATCTCCTTTTGCAAATACATACGTACCACTGTGATAGTTTTGTTTGTTTAATGTCTGTCCCACTGGACTATAAATCCATGAGGACAGAAGTGTCATCTTGTTAGCTGCTATATGCCCAGTAACCATAGTAAGTGTTGATGGAATGAAAGAAGGAAGGGAGGAATTAAACAAGGAAAGAAGGATGGAAAGAAAGGAGGAGGGGAGGAAAGACGGAAAGGAGGAGAGAGAGAGGGACAAAGGGAGGAGGGGAGGAGGAAGGTAAGATGGAAGGACTAGAGGCAGGAAACTGGAGGTCATCTCTGGATCCAGAGTCTGCAAGTATTCTAAGATTCAGGTCAACATAAGGTGGAAGATTGGTCAGTGTCTATGGAAAACTGACCTTACACAGCTCATCCCTGTCCACCAGGGGACAGAGGCAGAGCAGAAGCGCTGGGCCCAAGTTCTAATCTGGGTGTTTTCTGTCCACTGCTGCTGCTGCTTCCTCCTTTTTTTTTGAGGAGTCTCACTCTGTCACCCAGGCTGGAGTGCAGTGGCGTGATCTTGGCTCACAGCAACCTCTGCCTCCTGGGTTCAAGTGATTCTCCAGCCTCAGCTTCCCGAGTAGCTGGGATTATAGGTGCCCGCCACCACACCTGGCTACTTTTTGTATTTTTAGTAAAGATGAGGTTTCTCTATGTTGGTCAGGCTCATCTGAAACTCCTGACCTCAAGTGATCTGCCCGCCTTGGCCTCCCAAAGGGTGAGGCCTCATCACAAATGCTGATTTTGGACCTGTGTCTTCTTCTACGAGCCACATTGCTGCCACTTACAGAGGCTGACTCTTACTGCTCTTGGGCCCTCATGAGTGGCAGTGGGTTTTGCCAGCAGTAACTGAGATCTCCCTTTAAAGCCTCTGTATTCCTGTTATAATTGCTATGACCTCAAATGACCTTCTCTTTCCAGAGAGCTCTGGGAAGGGGTCTCTTCAAATGGGCATCCCACCTACTACTGCATACTATAGATGCTGTTACATAGTAGGCATTATAATATTGTGACTTTACCACCTGGTGAGTGACTTTTTACATCTTTCTTCATTTTAGTTTCATATTTCTTGATTTATCACCTGCGTGAGAACAAGCTGTCCCTGGTAATTTTCTCCATTTAGTGTTTATCATCCTTAGTTCATGTTAAAACAGAAGTATTTCTATTTTTTTTTTTTTTTTGGCGGGGGTGCGGGGGACAGAGTCTCACCCTGTCATCCAGGCTGGAGTGCAGTGGCATGATCTCTGCTCACTGCAGCCTCAACCCCCTGGGCTCAAGTGATCCTCCCATCTCAGCCTCCTGAGTAGCTGGGACTATAGGCACACACCACCACACCCAGCTAATTTTTGCATTTTTGGTAGAGATGGGATTTTGCCATGTTTCCCAGGCTAGTCTCAAACTCCTGGGCTCAAATGATCCACACACCTTGGCCTCCCAAAGTGCTGAGATTACAGGCATGAGCCACTGTGCCCGGCAAAACAGAAATATTTCTTATTCAAGTTTTACTCATTAATTTGTAGGCCACTATTTATACTCTTTTTATCAGCTCAGTAATAATATTTTCTGGATCTATTGTAAGTTCTTATTGTCTTCATAGTTTCATTAGCCATAAAATGAAACTAAATAGAGTAACAGTTGTTTAATTTAACATCTGAATCTTATTCTTGTTCAGGAAATAATTTAGATAAAAATAACTATTGTATACCCTGAATGGTGTATGAATCGACATATGGCTGTTTATAGAATTCCATTCTATTAATAATCTTAGAGTTTCCTGGTTTCTTTCTGATGCTAATAGAAATCCAACCTCCCATGCCCACTCCACCCGTCTGAACTTGCTATATCTGGGAATTTGGACTGTGAGGTAAGGGAGGGGCCTCAAAATCTGAAAGCTGTCATCCTTCACTGGGGGAATCTGACCTCAGGGAGAAAGAACTTTTCTCAAAGGTCAAATATTCACATGTGCAGACAGAACTCTTCCCCATTGCAAGTGAAGACCAGGTCTGGAGGCATCATCCCCTGAACTTGCAGGGAACAAGAGGCAACACAGAATGGCGCAGCTGGTGAACACACTGCACCCTAGGCGTGGCCCAGGGAGCTGTGCTGTTGCATCTGGGAGTGGCCCCAGAAACTGTGCTGTTGGACTGTAGGGGTGGCCCAGGGAGCTGTGCTGTTGCATCTGGGAGTGGCCCTGGAAGCTATGCTATTGCACCCTAGGAGTGGCCCAGGGAGCTGTGCTATTGCATCCTAGGAGTGGCCCCAGAAACTATGCTGTTGGACCCTAGGAGTGGCCCAGGGAGCTGCGCTCTTGGACCTGCCTGGAGAAACTCTCAGAGATGTTCTGGGGGCTCATAACTGTGGGCAAGGGGATGGCCAGGTAGCTGGGAGCTGGCTCAAACAGATGCAAGCAGAGGAGCTGGTCTGAAGAGTGTCTGGGGACAGGGAGAGGGGAGCAGAGAATCTGGGCTGGTTTTCCAGCTCTGTCCAGGAGGCAGCCTGCTCTGGAAGAGGCATTCACTCTCCAGGCCCTGCCCACCACACAGTGACCTCATCTGGGCTGGCAAGAAGGCCTCCAGTGACCCACACAGCTTCCTGGGTTGCGGTTCCAGACTCAGCCATGGGGCAGCTGCTGGACAAGAATGTAAGAGGCCCTGAAAAGTTGCTCCTGACCTCCTTCTACCCACAGTCAGGAGGCAAACCCACCATCAGGTTGTCTCTACTATTAGCCAGCCAGGGCCCTGGACCCTGGCACATCCCTAGGAGAATAGATGGGAAGTCATGATTCTGTCTCTGCGAAGGTTGTACCCAGACTTGGGGCCCAAAGCACAGGCCTAAATGAAGCCCTGAAGAAGAGCCACCTGCTGCCTCTCCCACCCTCTTCTGCCTCCCCTCTCCTTCTGCCTCACTATTTTCCTTTGGATTTCCCTCTCTAGGTCTCTGTCTTCTTCTTCTGTCCCTGCCTCGGTCTCTCTGCCTATTTCCCCATCAGACCTACCTCCAGTAGCAATCTGACTTTCTTCTTTCTAGGGCAATAAATAAAGCCAAAGGAGGAAAAGCAATGACAAAAGTGAAGGGGAAGGTGTTTTTTGCCCAATCCCCATGCAAGGTCTGTAGGATGGGGAGGTCGAGGCACACTGGGGCGGAGACTTGAGGCAAGTGAGGCCAATGGGTGCCAGCCATTTGCTGGGTGCCACAGCATGACTGTGGCATGAGGGAAAGAAAACCTGAACTCACGGTGTGGAAAGTCCATTTGGCATTGGGAGTAATTTTTACCACTTAGCTGGGGCAAAGAATGCAAAAACCTGCAGCTGGGCTTTCACTGCTGGCCATGTTGGAGTCACTAGTACTGGGCTCGCCCTCAAGACCTGAACAACAAAACATACAGAACAACTGTTTCCAGTCACTGGGTCACAGCCTGCACAGGACTGGAATTGGTGTTGGTTTTTGTTTTCCACACAGCAGAGCATTTCACCGAAGGACTGTAATTGTTGAGAAAGAGGAATACATGAGGTGAGAACTGCATTTGCCTTACATTTCTACCCACAGCACTTTCTAGATGGCAGAGATCAGATTGCGGGGCTGCTGAAATGGCTGGAATTTGAGGGCCAGTATACCTGTTATGGGCTGAACTGTGTCCCCCCAAAATATGTATGTTGAAGCTCTGACCCCAAGTCCTTCAGACTACAGTTGGAGATAAGGCCTGGCAAGAGGTTATTAAATTAAAAATGAGATTGTCAGGGTGGACCCTAATTTAATCTGACTGGTGTCCTTCTAAGAGGAAATTTGGACATACAGAGAGACAACTTCATTTGGTACTTCTAGCCTCTAGAACTGTGAGAAGGAAACTGTAGCATCTACAGGGGTTCCTGGTGGGTGATTGGCTAAGGGCTAGGTTGCTATACACAGGGAAAGACTTCACAAAGCCCATCAGAGAGTGGCTGCTGTGAGCTGAGAGCTGAACAGGGTTACCACAGTTCATGCAGGGCCCAGAGACAAAGTTCTAGTCCAGCAAAGAGTAGTGAGACCTCAGTGAGCACTTCAAGCATCTAGGAGTAATCTCAGAAAAACCACACCTTTAGGAGTAACAACCATACCCTAGAGTAGGTGCTGTACTCTGGGACTGAGGAAAAAACACATAGCAAAGAAAAAAAAAAACTAGTCTGGCAGGATCAGGATGATCCACCTGTAATTTAATGTGTTCCAGAACAAAACTCAATACCTTTTAAAGAAAGAAAATATAAACTGGATTCCCTACAATGTATCATCCATAATACTGGGCATATAATAAAACATCTTTAGACATGAAAAGAAGCAGGAAAATGTGGTCCATGATAAGCAAAATAGACCCACAGTTGTTTATTGTAACAACTATGGTTACATATTTGGGAGAAACAGGCTTCCAAATAACAGAGATGTTAGAATTAGTAGATAGAGACTCTTAAACAGCTATTATAAATATGGTCAGGGATTTAAAAGAAAAAGATATACATAACGAGTGAGCAAATGTAAGAATTTTAGCAGAAAATTGGAAACTATAAAAAAGATCCAAATGGAAATTCTAGAACTGAACACTATGAGATCTAAAATTAAAAATTCCTGGATAAACTTAATATCAGATTGGAGGCTGCAGAACAAAGGGCCTACAGTTACCTTGAAAACAGATCAACAGAAATGATCCAGTCTGAAGACCATAGGAAAAAATAATTTTTAAAAAATGACCAGAGACCAACTGACCCATGAAACAATGTAAGTTATCTATATGGTTTGGCTGTGTCCCCACCCAAATCTCATCTTGAATTGTAGCTCCCATAATTCCTACATGTTGAAGGAGGGACCCAGTGGGAGATCATTGAATCATGGGGGTGGTTTTCCCCATACTTTTCTCATGGTAGTCAATAAGTCTTAAGAGATCTGATGGTTTTGTAAGGGTTTCCTCTTTTACTTGGCTCTCATTTTCTCTCTTGCCTGCTGCCATGTAAGACATGACTTTCACCTTCCACCATGATTGTGAGGCCTCCCCAGCCACAGGAACTGTGAGTCTATTAAACCTCTTTTTCTTTATAAATTACCCAGTCATTTCAGCAAAAAATGGCTGAAAATTCCCACACATTTGGTGAAAAACATGAATGTACAGATCTAAGAAACTCAGGGAACTCCAACCAGGGTCAATACAAAGAAAAACACACTAGCCGCATCATAATCAAACTCCTGAAAACTAAAACACAAGAGAAAAATCTTAAAAACATCCAGAGGTGGGGGGAGGGCAAGAAGGACACATTAAGCACTACAAGTGACAGCTGACTTCCCATAAGAAGCAATGATGATGAGGAGACTATGGAACAACATCCTTCACCTGCTAAAAGAAAATAAAACCCTATCAACACAGAATTCTATATCCAGTGAAAATGTTTTTCAAAAATGAGGGAATACAGTTTCAAAAAGTAAAATAAAATAAAAGCTAAGAGAATTCATTGTCAGCAGATAAGCATACAAAAAATGATAAAGGAAGTTATTGAAGTTGAATGGAAATTCAACTACAGTCAGAATGAAAGGGTGGGGCCTTCCTCTCAGTCTCTCCACGTGGCATGCATCACCAGCAAGGCTCATGTTTGCAGCAATGGCTTCCCATTTCTCTCTGAGTCACACTGAAATTCTTACAATAGCAGAGAAGACCATGTTGTGCTGGCTTATGTTCTCCCCAGCCTCCTCTCCTCCGTTCTTCCCCTCCATCATTCTGTTGCAGCCACATTGGCCTCCTTGCTGTTCTTCAAACTCACCAGGCATGTTAAAGCCTTTGCTCTGGCTGTTCCCTATGCCTGGAATGCTGTTCCCCCAAATATCCCTGGATCTCTCCCTCCCTTCCTTCCAGTCTTTGTGCACATCTCACCTTCTCAACAAGGCATGTGCTGATGCCCTTATTTAATACTGCAACTGCCTTCTCTCTCGATTTCTCTACTGGCTTCTATGCCTCTATTTTTGTTTTTGCTATGGCACATTAACCCTCTAGTATACTTTATAATTTGCTTATTTCTTCTGTCTATTGTTTATTGTCTGTGTTGCCATGCTGGAAAGCAAGCTCCATGAGGACAGAGAGGTTTATTAGCTTATTTATTAATATACCCCAGGATGTAAAAACACTGCACAGTACACAGTAGGTTTCAATAAATATATGCTGAACAATGAGCAAAATGTTGTGTCTTTTGTTTATTGCTCTTTTTGTTATCTTTTTCTTATTGATTTATAGAAGGTCTTTATATATTATTAGCTGCATTTGGCCTTTGCTGGCTTCATACGTGGCTGATATTTTCTTCCAATTTGTGACTTTGACTTTTTTCACTCTACTTATGATTCATTTGATGAACAGAAGTTCTTAATTTTAATGTAGTCTGATCTACCAGTTCTATCCTCTATTGCTTATGTTTTTGTGTCTTGTTTAGAAACCCTTCCTTGCCTGAGATCATAAAGATAATCTGTTATCTTCTAAAAGTTATACAATTTTGCCTTTTAAGTTAGAGTACTGAGTATACATGGAATTGAGTTTTGTGAAGAATGTGATGTATGGGCACAGTTTTATTTTATTTTCTATATTGAAAACCAATTGTCCCCACACTATTTATTGAATAGCCCAATCTATCCCAACAAATCTGCAGTGCTCTTTCTTGTCTTGAATTAGATTTCCACATATGCACTTCTCTTTATCTATTTGTCTATTCCTATACTAAGACACAGTCTTAACTGTAGCATTAAGATAGTTTTTGATTTCTGGTAGCACAAATCTTCCCTTACAAGTTCATTTTCTACCTATGACATGTTTTAAAGTTTTTATCCAATGCGCAAATTGCTTACATTTTTAGAATAAAATGTATAGGTGTAGTAAAATATCTAACTAGGTGGAAATGTTCGTGATACATAGGTTTCAAAATCAGGATACAAAACACTTTGCATAGATGGTTTTAATTTGAAAGAATTAAAAAATTTTTTTATATTCAGCATAAATTTTTTAAAAGAGGAAAGGCCATCTTCCTAAATATTAACAGTGATTCTGTCTCTCTGGTTGGTGAAATCGTGGGTACTTTCTATTGTTTTCTTTGTCTTTATCTCTATTTTCCAAATTGTCTATCATGAGCATGAGAATTCGCCATGAGAACAAAAATTAACTTTATAATTATTTTTAGGTAATGATGTGTAACAGGAAGAACAGAAACGCAAAGTGCAGGAGGGGGCAGGGCTCGTCTGGGGTGGGGGCGTGTGGGCGGGCAGGAGGCCTCGCGGCCCAGATGTCCCTTGCGGTGCCTGGGAGGACAGAGCCACCGTCACAAAAAGAAACCAGAAGGAGGAGCTAATTTTGGGGCAAGGAGGAAATGTTAATCTGGTGCTTGGATTCCTTGAATTTGAGGGCCCAATAAGGCGGCAGGGGAAGAGTCCCGCCCAGAGCCAGAGCCCGAAGCTGGAGCTCCCAGAGCCTCTGAGTTAGGGCAGGAGGATTTGAGGAGCTGAGAGCAGAGCAGAGGGACCACCAAGGGTGGAGGGGGGAGGAGAGGGGGTCCCAGGACAGCCCGCTGGGGACTGGGACGGGGCCCAGGGATGAGGAGGAGCTAGAGATGGGGAGCAGGCTGGTAATCCGGGGTCAGATTAGGAGAGTGTAATGGACGCCTGGTAGGGGAGGAGGAGGAGGACAAGGGGAAGAAGAGGGGGATGGTGGGGAGGAGGGACGGTGCCAGCCGAGGAGAGAGGGCTCTGAGGAAGGACGTGAGCAGCCATGGGGACCTCAAGAGAGCAGCTTCAGGGAAATAAACCCCCGCAGAGCCCACAGTAAGGGCTTGAGTAAGGGGAAAGGGGAAAGTCAAGGAGCCCAAGGGGTTTTGTTTTATTTAGAAGCTTCCGGGTCAGGGGAATGGAAGCTGGGAAGCTGCTGCGCGCAGCTGCTGGGAAGGGTGATGGTTGAGGAGAGCTGTTGCTGTGGGGAAGGAAGCAATGCTGGGGAAAATGATTAAAAACAGAAGAAAATGCAAGACGTTTAAGGAGTCAAGCGGGTATGGGGCCCAGGGCTTAAATGAAGCACTTGGAAGCCCATTGAAAATACTGACACATTTTGAGAAAAAACAGAATACAGTGAATGATGCTTCAATGTGGCGAGAAAGGGCTGGTGGGCTCCAATCCCGAGAAGGTGCAGTGGCGAATAATACGCCATTCACACAAGAGCTCACATTTACACAATAGCAGGCACATCTGTTCCTGGGACAGCCCATGACAAAGAAGCCATTATTTTCCCCATTTTTACAGAAGAAGAAACTGAGGTACAGATAGGTAACATGAAACATCCAGGGTTCTACAACTAGTAAGTAGCAGAGCTGGGATCTGAACCCAGACAGTAAGTCTGGCTGACATGTCTCATTCTTAACCACTACACTACGACATCCAAATGAGAATTTAGTTTGGCCACTTGTATTATTCTGTTCTCACACTGCTCTAAAGAAATACCCGAGACTGGGTAATTTAGAAAGGAAAGAGCTTTAATTGACTCATAGCTCCACATGGCTGGGGAGGCCTCAGGAAACTTATAATCACAGGGGAAGGTGAAGGGGAAGCAAGGACCTTTTCACATGGCGGCAGGAGAGAGAAAAGTGGGGAGTGAAGGGGGAAGTGCCCCTTATGAAACCATCAGATCTTGTGAGAACTCACTCACTATCACTAGAACAGCATGGGGTAAATCGCACCCATGTTCCAATCACCTCCCACCAGATTCCTCCCTCAACACCTGGGGATTACAATTCAGGATGAAATTTACACAAAGCCAAACCACATCACCACTGGAACCACATGAGTTTGGGAAGCTGGATATGCCTGGAGGAATGCCATCCCACCTCTGGGAAACGGAGACGTAATCCCTGCCCTGCCCACCACACAGGGATGCGATGAGAGCCAGGTGGGAATGAATGTCCTTTGGGAATGCTTAAGGATTCATCCGATGTAACTTGTGGTTCCTATGAATCAAATGTTTTCTCAGGATCCTAGGAACAAGGCCACCTGCTGAGGGCTCCAGCTTCTATGTGGGGACTGCAAATGGGGAGATAGAAGAGACCCAGCTGTGAGGGCCTGTGCTGGGAACAGCTGGACTTGAGCCATCCTGGTTTTGAGGCGCTATCTAATTATGCTCAGGTGTGCTAGGAGAGGCAAACAGGAAAGGGAAAAGGATGATTGAACCCCCAAAAGAAAATGATTTTTGTTTGTGAATTACCTGCTCTGGTCTACATGATGTGCAGGGCACTTCCCTCAACCATCTCATAGAATCCATCTTCAGGATGTAGCTATCACATCGGTATAACCATTTGCATTTCACAGATGAGACTAAGGCTCATGGAAGTTCAGAAACTTGCCAAAGCCATGTGGATTGTGAATGGCAGGGCAGGACTGAGATCCAGATGCAAACACACAACTCTTAGGTTAGGTCTGGTGTGGTGGTTACAGGATTGGAGGAGGGGCCGGAGGGGGAAGGGATTCTAGAGGATTCTAGAGGTCTGGAGGGGGCTTCCCTGACATGGTTAGCTGGGAGAGGCAGGATGCAGAGCGGAAGGTAAAGGAAACCTCCTTCTCTACTTGAAATGTGACCCTAGAGTAATGATTCCTAAACATTAAGGTCACAGAGTGCTTTTAGAAGCTGATAAAAATTGGACTCTCACCTCAGAAAAGATATTCAGGTTTTTTTCACATGGTATTAGGGGGTTCATGGCCCCTCCAAATCAGCCAGTCCATGCAGGAGCTGAGCCCAGGACAGGCTCCGATGACCGATGCATTGGCCAGCTCATCCCAGCCAAGTTCCTGCTTGTCTGTGTGCAGCCATGCTAATAATAGTGTAGTTTGATGGATGCATTAGGGCGTGTTGTGATGCACAGGCCAGATCCCCTTTTACAACAGAAGGACTTAGTCCCCAGCTGCTGGGAGTGCTGCCACCCTGACAGTCCTCATCCCTCCTCAGGAACTGTCCTTGACTAAAGAAAGTCACGTTATCCAAAGTCAAACCTCCTTCCCGCGGCAAACCACTTCAGCAGCTGACTCTGGAGAGCTCTGCAGGGCTGTCTCCACTTCAGAGCTTCCCTGAAGTCAGGGGAGGTCTTCACAGGGCCTGTGCTGCAGCCTAGCCTCTCCTCCTGCCCAATCCTGCTTCCCCTCCGCAGGTGTGGATCCTGAGGGCATGCCCAGATAAACCCCCATGTGCCACTCACCCTCTCAGAGAACCCAACAGTGAACACAGACTCTGCTTTAATTAGGAAAGTGACTGGCAGGGGAAATCTAAGTCTTGTCCCCTTTTTGCAGATGAGAAAACTGAAACTCAGAGATGGCCACTTGCCCAAGGTCACACAGCTGGCAATGGTGCAGTCAGGGTTTGAACCCAGTGTTTTGGAAGCCAAATCTCACAGCCACTGTACCCTTCTGGCATCTGGAGGTGGCCAGCCCCAGAAGAACATGCCAAGAAGGGGAGGTGAGGGCTCGGTCACTGTGAAATGGGGGCAGGTCCCTTGGTCCTGGAAGGCTGCGCTGTGTTCCCCAGCTTCCTGGGCACCTTCAGGGTTGGACACCTTCCCCAGCCACCCAGAGGCCAGGCACAGGCAAGGAGGAATGATGGCATCGTCTGGGCCGAGCTGCACTGCAGGCCACCTGAGCCACTCTCTCATCGATGCCCTAACTGCCTGAAGTGGAAGAGCAAGGGCTCAGGTTCTAGGTCCTGCAGGACAGCAGGTGCCCATAGGTCACACCCTCACCAGGAAGGCCACCTGCTGTCCTCTAAGGAGCCCCAGACCTGGGTGTGTGCCACCCTACCATTTACTAGCAGGGGGCTCTTGAGCAGGTCACTCGGGTCACACCCCATCCACTTCATGCCCTGGCATCATTTAGGGTGACCTCAGTGTCCATATAAAGGCCTGTTCCTGGGGCCAGCCTCCTGGGCCCTGTGCCTCCAGCTCCCTAAGGCACCCACACCCAAGCCAATTCCCTGCAGCCCCGTCCCCACCAGTCCCCTTGCTCCCAGCCTATCAGGCTAGTGGGGACATTCCCTGGCTGGGCCAGCCTGCTTGCCTGATCACCTGAGCCACTCTCCTGTCGATGCCCTAACTGCCCGAAGTGGAAGCAGGGGCTCAGGCACCCCCTGTCCCAGAATGCCCTCCACATTAGCACACACGTCCTGTTGTCCCAACATGATGTCCCAGCAGCACAGACGTTTTGTAACTGTCAAGAACGTGGCAGAGCATGGAATCCGTTACATAAGTGATCTAGCTTAAGCCATGGTGCATCCTGTTTGTTTTGTGACAGGGCAGAAATGGAAAATTTTGCCTCAAGGTGGAAATATAAAGCAAAGACAAACTATGATAGCGTCTTGCAGAGAGGCCTGCGTGCTGTGTGTGTCCTCTTCTGCTCCTTGCCGTTCCCTGGCTGACATGGGACCTGCGCAACTCCCTGGCCTCGCTGTCTGCCTTCCACACTCATCCATCAACACCCAGTCTGGATCAGCCCCACTCCCACAGTGTCTCTAAGAGGAATAATGAAAAACCTTGCAAACTGATGCCACCTAAAGCCATGGTTTTTAACCTCATTGGGGCCTCTGCACCCCCTGGCAATCCTCTGGGTTGTCCCCACTTCTCTTGGCAACTGTTTTCAATGTTCATAATCTGCCTCAAGTCCTCACCTACCAACCCTGCAGACAATCTTGCTCCCACAGCCCTGACGCCCACCAAAGCTTCCAGCTGTGCCCTGCTCTGACGTCGTTGTACCCTCTGCAGATTTAATCTATGCCACCCGCCTTGCCCTCCTTCATTCCAGAACAGTCCAGGTGATGGTTCTGTTCTCTTCCTGCTGGTGGCCCCAGGACACTGGTGTGCTGGCCCTGCTGCCGTCTCTCTCCCCTGGTGCCTCGTTGCTCTCCTCCTTCTCTCATATCCCCAAGTTCTTCCTCTTCTTGGCTACATCCCCAAAGCCTATTAATATGCTCGCAATGTCCACTTCCTCCACCCTGGGTCTCGCTAGAGTTCTG
The DNA here is from genome assembly GCF_000001405.40 of Homo sapiens. Taxonomy (NCBI): domain Eukaryota; kingdom Metazoa; phylum Chordata; class Mammalia; order Primates; family Hominidae; genus Homo; species Homo sapiens. The sequence goes on along the minus strand of NC_000007.14, from coordinate 128,188,319 downwards.
GCCCTCTCTTTTCTCCCCATCTCAGCTAAGCTTTTTGGAAGAGCAATCTATATTCTCAGATACCAACATTAGTGAGAACAAAAATAAAATATTACAAATAGAATTCAGCAGAAGAATAATAAAAATAATAACATAATGACAAAGTAAAGTTTTTTTCCAGGAATTTGAAAATTGTCAACATCGGGAAATCTCTCTCTCTCTTTTTTTTTTTTTTTATTTTTGAGACGGAGTTTCACTCTTATTGCTCAGGGTGGAGTACAATGGTGCGATCTCGGCTCACCACAATCTCCGCCTCCCGGGTTCAAGCGATTCTCCTACCTCAGCCTCCCGAGTAGCTGGGATTACAGGCATGTGCCACCACACCCAGCTAACTTTTTGGGTATTTTTATTAGAGACGGGGTTTCTCCATGTTGGTCAGGCTGGTCTCAAACTCCCGACCTCAGGTGATCGGCCCGCCTTGGCCTCCCAAAGTGTTAAGATTACAGGCGTAAGCCACTGTGCCCAGCCTTGGGAAATCTCTTAATGCAATTTATCTCATGAATAGATGAAAGGAGAAAATCATACCATCATTTGATAGAAGCCCAAAGGACATTTGATAAAATCCAATACACTTTTTTAAAAAAAATATTCTTACTAAACTAGCAATAAAGAGATAATCCCAAAGCAGGATAAAGAACAAATCTAAACCAAGAGCTAACATTATACTTAAAGATAAAACTCTGACCTGTGAATGCATAAGAATTTCCTTGATGAACGCTGTCATGAAATGTTGTTTGAAAGTGAGTTCTAGTCAAAAGAAAAATAAGGCCGGGTGTGGTGGCCCTTCCTGTATCCCAGCACTTTGGGAAGCCAAGGCATGAGGATCACTTGAGTTCGGGAGTTCGAGACCAGCCTGGCCAACATGGTGAAACCCCGTCTCTACTAAAAATACAAAAATTAGCCAAGTGTGCTGGCACACACCTGTAATTCCAGCTACTCGGGAGGCTGAGGCAGGAGAATCGCTTGAACCCAGGAGGCGATGGTTGCAGTGAGCCAAGATCGGGCCACTACACTCCGGCCTGGGAGACAGATTGAGACTTTGTCTTAAAAAAGAACAAAAAAAAAGAGACTTTTTCTTTTTTTAAAAAAAATGTGATTTAATTATTATAAAGAGGGAGTCAAAAACCCGATTTACTCCACAGAAAATCTGAAGATCAAGTGAAATTTATAATTAATAAGAGAGTTCAATAAGGCAGTTATAAAATAAATGTAGATAATTTTCTTAGCTTTTGAACACAGTGGCAACAACCAACCTGAAAATAGAATGGGAAAGAGAATTTCATTCATAGTAGCAACTAAAATATAAAATATTAGGGAAGAATTTTAACAAGAAGAGTGCAAGACCCCGTACAGAAAAGCCCTTATGCTTTACTGAATAATTTGAATTAAGAGGAGGCCATACTTTGTTTCAAGATGAGGAGACTTGATATTGTAAAAATGTCAGTCTTGCCCAAATTCACCTAATGCATTTCCCATAATTGCAATCAAAATCTCAATTGAGTTTTGAGTAGAATTTGATAAAATGAATCTCACATTAATCTGGATGAATAAGTATGAGGAAATTAATAAGAAAATGTCGGGGAAAAAGACTGAATTAGAACAGGGCACACTTGTCATACCAAGTATGAAAAAGGTATATTTTAAATCTGTAGTAATTGCAGCAGTAAAATTCTGGTGTCAGAGGAAACAGACAGATCAAAGGAGCAGAATATAAAATCCAATTGGCATTTCAAGTTGGTGAGGGAAAGAAGGTGCTGTTCAAGAAAAGGTGCTGGGATAACATGAATGCTGTTTTCTCCTCATTTGAGGGAAGGAAGAGAAGAAGGGAGGAAGGGAGGAAGGGAGGAAAGGAGGAAGGGAGGAAAGGAGGAAGGAAGGCCGGAAGGGAGGGAGGAAGGAAGGAAGGGAGGAAAGGGAAGGAGGGAGGGAGAGATACCTAAGGGGGGGATACATGTATGTGTCCTTTCAAAGGTACCCTGTATCTATACAAAATTATTTATATAGAAAAAAGTAGTCATTTGTCTGCCACGTATGCTTCTAAATATCTCTTCTCAATTTATCATAATGTAAGATCTTATATATGTGGCTTTTTTCCAGTGCAGAAGTAAGTCATTTTTATATAGTTGATTTAATTTTTTTTTTGAGACAGGGTCTCGCTGTGTCACCCAGGCTAGAATGCAGTGGCTCAATCTCAGATCACTGCAACCTTGGCCTCCTGGGTTCAAGCAATTCCCCTGCCTCAGCCTCCCGAGTAGCTGGGATTACAGGCACATGCCACCACACCCAGCTAACTTTTTGGGTATTTTTAGTAGAGACGAGGTTTCACCATGTGGCCCAGGATGGTCTTGAACTCCTGGCCTCAAGCAGTCTACCAGCCTCAAGTAGTCTATCTGCCTCAGCCTCCCAGAGTGCTAGGATTACAGGCATGAGCCACCATGCCCGGCTGATTTAATTTTTGTGTGTGTTATGGCTTCATGAGTCTTTCTTTACTCCAAGACTTTGTGTGTGTGTGTGTGTGTGTGTGTGTACAGGGGTGTTGGTGTGTGTCTATGCTCCGTGTTTTCTTCTAGTGCTTTTATGACTTCAGCTTTAACTTGAATATTTTCTCCATTATTTTGATGTAAAGAGTAATGTGGGAATCATCTTTTCTCCTAATGTATCTTCCGCTGTCCCAGCCCTATATATTGCACCACCTGTCTTTTCCCCTCTGATATGAGATGCCATTTTACGACACACTAAATTCCCACATAAATTTGGGTCTATTTCTGAGCTCTTCATTCTGTTCTGTTGATCTGACCAAATATTCCTACGTACTTCTCTATTTTAATTATGTTTTCATATATGATGAAACTGATCTCATCTCATGGGTTTTTTTTTTTTAAAGAAAACTTCCTGGATATTTGTGCATATTTATTTTTCTGTATAAACTTAAGAATAAGCTTGTCTGGTTGCAAGAAAAGAGTTATCTAGGTATTTAAGTGTAAAGCATAATTTAGAAGAATTAACAACTTTATAATACTTCGGATCAACATTTTCCAATTCAAGAATGGAGTTTCTTATTTCCATTTCACAAGTTCTTCTATTATGTTCCTCAATAATGTTTTAAAATTCTTCACATGAACCTTGCACGTTCATTGTTATTACAATTGGTTTTCACCTTCCATTGTATTTTTAAACTTCCTATTGTTTTATGTGGGAGTGCTATTAATTTGCCATATTAATTTCATATCAGAAATTGTATAGAATTCTTACTATTTATATTTTTTCCCATTGACTATCTTGGGATTTCAAGTTATGAAATCACTCATTTCATATTACTGATACAAAATTACTTCCTGTTTTCTAATTTGGTGCTTCATTTCCTTTTTCCTATTTAACTGCTTTATTTAATACTTCATGTAAGTGCTCCTTACTCTGGTGGGAGTTTCATCATATTTTTCTATAGTTTTATCATTCAGCTAGACAATGGATCTAGCTTTAAATTTAATAGAAATAGAAAAATGATTGAAACCCAAAATAGGTATTTCACAGAAAGGGAAACAAAAATGACTCAGGAATAGATGAAAAGATATTCAACCTTATCTAGGGCATTATTAGCCTGCCCTTTAAATGCTAAAATCCGGGTTTTTGTCCCTGGTCCACCATTTTTCTCAGTAGCTGCTCTTTGGGCCACTGCCCCATTGCCCAGCAAAGACTGATGGCCCCTAAGTCTACACTTCCAAGACTGACCTTTCCCCAGGGCATCTAATTTGTATCTTCAGCAGGCTCCTAGACATCTTCATGGTGTTTCCTGAAAGCACCTCAAGCTCAACATGTTCAACACTGAATCAACATCTCAACCACCAAACCTCTACCTTATTTAGTGAGTTGCCTGGTCATCTGCCCATTCCTCCAGGTAAAGCCTCCTCATCCTTTGTGTTCAATCAATCAAGTCTTGCTGTACATTTACCCTCTAAATATTTGCCTTAATTTGCTTCCCCCAACCCTCCACCCACTGTCTTGGTTCAGACCACCATATCCTCCCCTACCTGGTTGCTGCAATGGCCTCCTAAATGGATTTTCCTTTTCCATTGCTGACCCATTTAGAATCAGCTTCCAGAATGATTGCTATCAAGGTGTATTTCTAAAACCCAAATTCAATCATATCACTTTCCTTCTGATAACCCCTAAGCGGCTCCTCATTGCCACAGGGATGGAGTCCAAGTCTCTGCCAGAGTCTACATTGCTCCTGTGACCTGGTCCCACCAGCCTTCCTCGTTTTCCGGGCAGCCCATCTTGGACATCATGCTCCAGGGATACTAAAGCCTGCTAGTAATACCACACTGGTCATCTTCACCACCGGCCAGCCTCTCGGTCCAGGCTGCCTGCATCTTCCCTCAATGCATGCTGCTTGTCATTTACCACATTTGCTTTTATTTTATTTTATTTTGAGATGGAGTCTCAGTCTGTCACCCAGGATGGAATGCAATGGCGCAATCTTGGCTCACTGCAACCTCTGCCTCCCAGGTTCAAGCGATTCTCCTGCCTCAGCCTCCTGAGTAGCTGTGATTACAGGCGTCTGCCACCATACCCAGCTAATTTTTGTATTTGTAGTAGAGACAGGGTTTCACCATGTTGGTCAGGCTGATCTCAAACTCCTGACCTCAGGTGATCCACCCACCTCGGCCTCCCAAAGAGCTGGGATTACAGGCGTGAGCCACTGCGCCCGGACCGCTTTTTAATTTTATGTAGAGCTGAGGTCTCACTACGTTGCCCAGGCTGGTCAATAACTCCTGAGCTCAAGCAATCCTTCTGCCTTGGTCTCCCAAAGTGCTAGGATTACAAGTATGAGCCACCATGCCTGACCACTGAGCACATTTTGATTTGAGGTTTTTATATGTTTATCAAACCAATATGTGCACATGGTTAAAAAAAGTCAAACTATCGAAAGACTGATAATGGATAAAATCCAACCCAGGTCCATCTCTCCCATCCCAGGTCCATTGCCTGGAGGCAACCACTTTTAACTCTTCAGCTGTTTCTTTGGTATTTATTTTCATATCTCTAAATAATATATTTATACAGTTATTTCCTGATTGATCAAATGTATATGTCATTTTTACATCTTACATAAGAGAGGAGGGCTTGGTTGTATCATGCTGCCTGTCCTATTCTATCACTATCTTTGGTTAAATAATGTTTCCATTATTGTGACTATGTTAACCTTGTTGCTGCAGAATCAATTAAGGTACAAGGTTACATTTTATTTGTGTGTGTAGATTTTGATTTTTTGGTTTTCCAGGGATTTCTAATTGTCTTTATTTTACTTTTTTTCATAAGCTCCTTTAAACATTCCTCTATGCTTTGTTGAGAAGCTCTGGCACCTAGGGACTTTATCAAAAGTCTCCATCTTTTCAGGGCACTCCCTGCCATGAGCCCTCTGTCCTCAGCTCCCTATGCTCCCTGCACAGCTATCAGCCTGGGACTTCTCCCAACTGCACTCCAGAATGGGGCCATTGTCTCTGAATTTTTCAGTCTGGCTTTCTTGGCTTACTTTTTTATTTTGCTGGAACACATGATTAATAACTTCCATAAATAGGGTGCTGAGTCCTGACATATCTGAAAAGTATCTTTATTCTACCCTCATGCTTGATGATACTTTGTCCGAGTGCTGAATTCTGGATTGAAATTATTTTCTCTCTGGGTTTTGAAGGCCAGGTTGCCCTGCATTCTAGGGCCTAGTGTTGTCATTAAGAATTCTTTGGCAGGGGATGGTCGTGCATGCCTGTAGTCTCAGCTACTCGGGAGGCTGAGGTGGAAGGATTGCTTGAGCCCAGGAGTTCGAGGCTGCAGCAAGCTGTGATCTCGCCACTGCACTCCAGCCTGGGCGACAGAGTGAGACCCGATCTTAAAAACAAAACAAAACAAAGAATTCTTGTGCCATTGTAACATTTATTGGGATTTTGTATTTTCTCTGTGGAAGTTTTTTGGTTATTCTCTTTGTCTCTGATACTCTGAGATTTTAGGTTGACATGCATTGCTGTGGATCTATTTTCATTCTTTTTGCTGGGTGGACTCAGTGGACTCTTTAAAGGCCTCTAAACTTCAGGGTTGAGAATTTTCCAGTATTATGTATTTGATAACTTCCTCCCTTCAATTTTCTGTTCTTTCTGGAACTCCTATAGTCCAACATAAACCTATCAAATTGATTCTCTTTTCATTTTGATGATCTTTTCCTTTTGTCTTGTTACTCTGCTTTCTGGGAGATTTCTTCAACTGCATTTTCCAATTCTGCTAAAATTTTATCTTCCACTTTCTGGGGGATTTCCTTAACTTTATCGCTAATTCTACTGAATATTTTATTTGGGCAGCAGTCATTTTTAAAATATTTTAATTTCCAAGAGCACTTTCTTGTCCTCTGAGGTTTCCTTTTTAGTATTGTGAACATTAAAGTGAGGTTTGTTTTGTTTTGTTTTCAGTTCTTTTCTGTTTCTTATGTTGTTTCCATTCCCTCAGGGGTTTTCTCTTTGTTTTCCTCGGTCTCAATCACACTGGACTTTCCTTGGGGGTGGATTAGCTTTGGCTATATATTTATATATTTAAGAATAAGACACTGATCATGTGGGAGCTGTGTGTTCTGGAGTGGGGTTTTCTTAGGAGCTGAGGGTGGCTTTTGGGATTTCAGTGGGAGCTGGCTCAGTGGCATCCTCACATGCCTGTCCTCTGGGACAACTCAGTCATCCTGAGACGAGACTTCCAATGTTCTGGCCTAAGGATAGGGCTCTGCCTGTAAATACTGCATTTGGTGTAGGGGCTGACTGCTTTGTAAGTGGCCTTTCAAATAATCCCCTTATTCTGGTACCAGCTTGCTTTCTTGCCTTCTGCCACACCTGGCCCTTGGGGACCCCCTCTTAGGGATTCTCCAGGGGCAAATAAGTTCCTTCTTTCCCAAACCCCCTTCTTTGAGTGCTCTAAGCTAATGTTTTCTCCTCTCTGTTACACTGCTATCCCACACCTCTGCTCCACCTGCTCTTCTAGAACTTGGTAGAATCTTCATCTGCCGATGGCCTCTCTTCCTCACTGTGTGTTAATGTTTTCTTTTAAATCTCCTTCCTATAAGTCTAGAGGATGTCTTGGGAGAAAAGGGAGATGAATATGTGTTTAATTCTCCATTTTGTGGGACTGTTTCACTGCTGGCTGAGCTCCCAGGGACAACAGCTGCTTCTAAATCATCTTTGTGTCCATAGAGCTGAGCACAGTGAATGGCATAGGTCAGTCAACAATCTGTAAAATAAACATTGAACGGAATTGAACCTACTGGTCTCTCTGAATCCCTCATGCTTAGTACAGTGCCTGGATTGGCCAGGATAACAAGGAGGCACAAGAATGTCACATACAGAATGGTGAATTCTGTCTGGAGAAGAGAAGAGAGTAGTGGGGGGGCATGGGGTAAAGAGTCACTGTTATGGTTTGGATCTGTGTCCTCACCCAAATGTCACATTCAATTGTAATACCCCATGTTGGAGGTAGGGCCTGGTGGGAGGTGATTGGATTGTGGGGGTGCATCCTTCATGAATGGTTTAGCACCATCCTTTGGTGCTATTCTCATGATAGAGTTCTCAGGAAATCTGGTTGTTTACAAGTGTGTGGCACCTCCCCTCTCTCTCTTCCTCATGCTCCAGCCACATAAGATGTGCCTGCTTCCCCCTTCACTTTCCTCCATGTAAGTTTCCTGAGGCATCCCCAGAAGCTGAGCAGATGCTGCCATGTTTCTCTTACAGCCTGCAGAACCATGAACCGATTAAACCTCTTTTCTTTATAAATTACCCAGTCTCAGGTATCTCTTTACAGTTATGCAAAAATGGACTAATGCAGTCATCTACAAGTATTAAGGATATCTCATGTAGAAGAGCTGACTTGTTCTGTGTAGCCTTGAAAGGCATGACCAGGACCAGTCAGAGGTGGGAGATGCTCAATGACAGGTTCAGCTCCTTGTGTGCGATCCCTTTCTAACAGCCAGCTCCCTGATGATGGGACAGATGACCTGGAGAGGGGATGAGTTCCCTGCCCTGAAGATATTCAAGCAGAGCTGGGCAGCCAGTTGTTAGAGCTGCTATAGAGAGAATTCAACTCACCGAGTGAGAGATTGTAACGAGATCCTTTTATAACCGCCAGAATAAAAACACCCTCTTTTATAGCAAATATTTGATAATATCCTCTTATTATCCTGAAATAAAGTAACAGAGTAAAACCCTACTTTTTAAAAACTGACATATTTTTAAAAATCAATAGAATTCCCTAACTGATATATAAAACTAAAATGACATAATTTATAAGAATATGCTTTTCAACATGTAAACCTTCAGGCATGATTATGCATAATAGAATGAAATAATGACGTGCTTGCGTCTATATGTAGAATCATCATGAATGCATGTGATGCAAATGTAGACTGATACAGTGGTGTTGTTTTAATCACTCAATTACTGTTGGGAGCTTTGCCTTCAGAGATGTGATTTTCCAAAATGACACACAACTCTTAGTAAAGTTTTGACATACAATCTCTCGACTTTTCTGGAACTAACATTATGGCTACGTTTTTTTTGTTGTTAGAGACGGGGTCTTGCTATGTTCCCCAGGCAGGATTCAAATTCCTGGGCTCAAGCGATCCTCTCACCTCAGCCTTGCAAGTAGCTGGGATTACAGGCATACACCATGCTCAGTACTCCTTGATTTATATACAGAAACATTCCTAGACAATTAAACTGTTTCTGTTAACCATAGTTCACAGAGAGTCTGGACACGTTTTTACTGCTTGGCAAGGCATTCAGAAGCCATGGGAGGATAGGCACAATAGCTCATGCCTGTAATCCCAGTGCTTTGGGAGGCAGAGGTGGGGAGACTGCTTGAGGCCGGGAGTTTGAGACCAGCCTGGGCAGCATAGCAAGACCTCATCTCTACAAAAAAAAGAAAAAATTAGTTGGGTATGGTGGCATCTGTCTGTAGTTCCAGCTACCCAGGAGGTCGAGACAGGAAGATGGCTTGAGCCTGTGAGTTTGAGGTTATAGTGAGCTATGATGGTGCCACTGCACTCCAGCCTGAGTAACAGAGCCAGACCCTGTCTCTCAATAAATAAATAAAGAAGTAAATAAAGCCATGGGAGTAAGGGACAGAATTTGCTGTGCAGGATTGAATTGTGCATTGCACAAGGCCAGGCATACCTGGCCTATACCTACTAAATATGGGGAGCATTCTTCTAATTGTTGTGCCATTTTAGACATATCCCCACATATGTCCAAAATGCCTATAGGGGTCACCACTGCCTGAGAACCACTGGACTAGTTGTTCACTAAGGTCTCTTCCAACCCCGGGATCCCCGGATTCCTTCAGGAGCTGGAGAGTCAACCCTGGGGCAGGTGAGCCTGCTGGTCTCCATTCTCTACAGCCGTCTGGGCTGGAGGCTGCCTCTGGGGACACAGAGAAGAAGCTGCCTCTGGGGACACAGAGCAGAAGCTGCCTCTGGGGACACAGAGCAGAAGCTGCCTCTGGGGACATCTGTGGGGCTTCCTCCTTCCAAACAGAACTAGCCCAGCTGAGGGACCAGCAGCCCATTAGCCAACATCCCCCAGGAAGAAGGTTCATTGAGTGGGGGTGACTGCCCCTGCATTTGACCTTCCTGAGACAAAGGGCAGGGAAATTTGACCCTGAATATGGTGGCGCCAGTGGTGCTCTCACAGCACCCTTGTCCTTCCTTTCTTGCCCTTTAGTTTGCCTAATCCCCAAACTTGAGGGAAACCACCCACCTTCATTCTGCTCACCTCCTGAGCCTCTGTAGCTGGAAAAAATACAATGCAATGCAGGCTGCTGGGGCCACTGCAGACAGGGGCCCCATCTCCCACCTCTGTCCCACTCCGCAGAGGCCCAGCCACCGACTCAGGCCGCCCAGCCCAGCATTTCCTCCCAGCTGTCAGCAGACGCCTTTGTGCCTTGTCAGAGAACACTGATGGGAACAACGTCCATCTCCCTCTGCTTTCCAAGATTCATTCCTCTATGTGCTCTGAATCCCATCTACTCCCAGCGCCTGGAGATGCAGCTCTGTAGTTACCTTCTCTCCCTCTGCATCTTTAACCACTTAACTTTTTCCTCTTAGCTCAGAAACTGGCTAATGGCCTCATTATCAAACCCCATTGCTAGTCCCCATCTCCTGCTTACATTCTCTGCAGCACTTTACTCCACAGTCATGCTCTTCCTCCTGAATGTGTTTTTGTTTCCAGGAGTTCTGTTTCCTCTTCTGATCCGTTCTTTCAAGTTTTGTCTTCGCTGGCTCCTTCCCACTCTCCAACCTCCCTCCCCACTTCTCCTTTTCTTCTTCCTCCAATCCACCTTTGAATAATGTGGTCCCAGTGTCTGTTCTCCTCTCCCTTTCCCACCCTAAGTTACTCCACTCACTCCTATGGCTTCAGCAGCCCCCTGGATGCTGCTGACACCCTGATCTACTTCCAGCCTCGGCTTCTCAGCTCCAGTCCTGAATTCACAATTTCCTGCTCCACCTGTCCAGGCTCGCTCTGCCTCCAGAGTTCTGTTTTTTGTTTGTTTGTTTGTTTGTTTGTTTGTTTGAGATGGAGTTTCACTCTGTCGCCCAGGCTGGAGTGCAGTGGCGCAATCTTGGCTCACTGCAACCTCCGCCTCCTGGGTTCAAGCAATTCTCCTGCCTCAGCCTCCTGAGTTGCTGGGATTACAGGCAAGCGCCACCACGCCCAGCTAATTTTTGTATTTTTAGTAGAGATGGGGTTTCACCATGTTGGCCAGGCTGGTCTTGAACTCCTAACCTCGTGATCCACTCGCCTTGGCCTCCCAAAGTGCTGGGATTACATGCATGAGCCACTGTGCCCGGCGCTCCAGAGTTCTTTATCTCACTGAATGGTGCCACCTCCACGAAGTTGCCTGAACTACACATCTGGGAGTCATGCTCATCCTCACTCCTTCTCACCCTGTATGCAATCTGCCTAAATCCTGTGGACCTAGATCCTCTCTCAGAACCATCTCCTGAACCTGGCCCTCCTCTCCACCCCCTCTGCCATCCTCCTCATCAAGAGGCCTCTGGATTCTTTTTTTGTTTCGTTTATTTTTTCTTTTTTTTTGTAGAGATGGAGTCGCACTATGTTTCTCAGGCTGGTCTTGAACTCTTGGCCTCAAGCAATCCTCCCTGCTAGGCCTCCCAAAGCACTGAGATTACAGGTGTGAGCCACCACACACCCAGCCAGCCTCTGGATTCTTTCTGAGTCCCAACTACTGTTGTCGATGACCACCAGGTTTTCTCTATTCCAGTTCTTCCACTTTCTCTTCTAGAGTTCTCTACCACAAAGGCCAGTCTGACTCATAACATTCTTCTCCTTCTTATCTAAAGTCTCCAGAGGCACCTCATTGTCCACAGCGAATGCCAAGGCTCCTCTGAAGGACACGGGCGCCCTTCATCATCCTGTACTGCTCACCTCTCCTGCAGCTGTCCTGAGCATCTGTTACCTCTGAACATCCCAGGCCCTGCGAGACGATTCCTTTGCTTCCTAGGCAGTGAAGGGCACATTCCTGTGCTCTCTCGCACAGTGTGCTCTGCAAGCTTCCATAGGTGCTGGTATTACCCTTGTGTTATAACCAAGAGCTGTGTGCCTGCCTCACCCCTGGCTTTGTTCCTTTTTGAATACGCAGCACCCGGCGTGTGCTAGCACAGTGATACACAGTGTAGTCAGTGATTGTCAGTAAAATGACTGCATAAATGAATGAGCAGAGGGATTGGCTTGAACATTACACCCTTATTTGCCTCATCATCATATCATTCCCTAGGCCACATTTTAACAGGTATACAAATCACCTGGGAATCTTGTTAAAATGCAGATTCTAGACCAGCCTGGCCAACATGGTGAAACCCCGTCTCTACTAAAAATATAAAAATTAGCTGGGCATGGTGGTGCATGTCTGTAATCCCAGCTACTCGGGAGGCTGAGGCAGGAGAATCTCTTGAACCTGGGAGGCGGAGGTTGTAGTGAGCTGAGATTGTGCCACTGCACTTCAGCCTGGGTGACAAGAGCGAAACTCCATCTCGAAAAAAGAAAAAGAAGGAAAAAAAAAAAGAAAGAGAAAGAAAGAAAATGCAGATTCTGATTCAATGGGTCCAGGGTGCAGCCTGAGATTCTGCATTTCTAATAAGCTCTTGGGTGACCTGGTTGCTGCTGGTCTGCTGACCACACTCAGAGGAGCAAGGCCCCTATCCTGTGCCAATGGTTTTCAAACTTTGCTGAATATTAGAATCGTCTGAAGAACTTCTTTAAAATCTTAAAATTTTTTTTTTCTTTGAGATGGAGTTGCACTCTGTCACCCAGGCTGGAGTGCAGTGGTATGATCTTGGCTCACTGCAACCTCTGCCTCCTGGATTCAAGCGATTCTCTTGCTTCAGCCTCCCAAGTAGCTGGGATTACAAGTACCTGCCACCATGTTCAGCTAATTTTTGTATTTTTAGTAGAGATGGGGTTTCACTATGTTGGCCAGGCTGGTCTCAACCTCTTGATCTCAAGTGATCTGCCCACCGCGGCCTCCCACAGTCCTGGGATTACAGGCGTGAGCCACTGTGCCCAACGTTAAATTTTTCTTTTTTTAGAGACAGTCTCACTCTATCACCCAGGCTGGAGTGCAGTGGTGCCATCATAGCTCACTGCATCCTAGAACTCTTGGGTTCAAGGGATCCTCCTTCCTTAGTCTCCCCAGTAGCTAAGAATACAGGTGCATGCCACCATGTCTGGCTAATTTTTAATTTTTTAAAATAGAGATGGGGGTGCAGGGGATGTTGCCCTGGCTGGTGTCGAACTCCTGGCCTCAAGTGATCCTCCCCCCTCAGCCTTCCAAAGTGCTGGGATTATAGGCTCAAGCCACCACGTCTGGCCAAAAGCCTGATTTTTACACTAATCAAATCAGAATGTCCGGGGGAGGGAGCAAGCTGTCAGTATTTTTAAAGATCCCCCATGATTCCAATGTGCAGTAAGGTCTGGGAGCCCCTGGCCGACGCCATCTCTCACTTCCTCAGTGATGACCCTTAGCCCTGTGTGCTCCTTAGAATCATCTGGGAGCTTTCACTACCCACTGGTGCCTGGCAGCACCCAGATGAACTAAATCAGAATCTCTGGAGGTTGAACCTGAGCATTTGTAAACCTCCCTAAGTGATTCTCATATGCAGCCAGGGTGACAGCCTTTATTTGCAGGCTCTACCTCCAAGGAATGGCCACAGATATGAGAGATCATGACTCCAGAAGGAAGAGTAAGTGTGAAGTCAGGCCTGAGGCTCTCTAGCTACGCACTGTGTCATCTCAGAGAAGTTAATTTAGCCTCATCTCCAAAATGAGATTTAAAATTCACGCTCCCACTTCCTTACCCCAATTTTAGTGGAGATGTCTGGAAGTCATGAAGCCCCAAATGGAATTTGGACGAGTACCCACATAGGAGCCTGTCTTCACCTCCCCGAAATATGGAGGACATCACTGCATCCCAACCCATCAGGTTGGCTTCAAACGCCAAACGCTGGCAGGAAAAGTTCCTATCATGCATGAACTCCCAGCTGCAAGCCCAGCTAGGGAGCAGATGGTTCAGTAACAGCCCAGGCCACCAAAGGGGAAGTCACGAGGACTTGCATTTGTCGGCAGACTGAGAGGTGGAATCAAACACAACCCCTGCAAAGCAATCTGGCCTGCAGCCTGAATACGTCATGGTGGGCTGGTTGGCCCTGCACAGGGACAGGGCCCACCCGCTGCTCTCAGCACACACCGCGGCGCTGCCACCTGACCCACGGCAATAAGCCTGCAGGTTTGCACCAGATTCCTCTCTTGTGAGCTGACTCTGTAAATCTACCCTGGCGCTGAAAGAAGAGCACAAAACGACACAAAAACTCAGGTTCAAATCCAGCCCACCCCTGGTGATATGAGCTTGGAACTCAGCTTTCTCAGCTGCTGTTATTATTTTTTGTTTTATCAGCATCATACAGACATATACCAAGTCCCTGGGCCAAGCTGACACACTCCTGTCCCTGGAGGCGGAAGAAACCCTGGGCCTTCAAAGTGCAAGAGGCTGAGGACAGAGGAGACAGATTCCGGATAAGGACAGGTTCTGGGTCCTAGGAACAGGGAATCTTGAGACATATTTATATTAAAACTTGTTTGACACTGGGTGCAGTGGCTCACACCTGTAATCCTAGCACTTTGGGAGACCAGCCTGGGCAACATGACAAGACACTGTCTCTACAATTTTTTTTTTTGCAATTAGCCGAGCAGGGTGAGGCACTTGTAGTCCCAGCTACTCAGGAGGCTGAGGCAGGAGGATCACTTGAGCCCAGGAGTTTGCAGCTGCAATGAGCTGTGATTGCACCACTGCACTCCAGCCTGTGCAAAAGAACAAGACCCTGTGTCTAAAAAAATAATAATTGTATTTATCTGAAATTAAAATTTCACTGGGCATTTATTTGCTAAATCCAGCAACCCTACAGGAGGGGAAGGAAGACATTAAAAGGTGTAGCAAATGCCCATGCCCCAAGAGATGGGTCTGGAGGTGAGGGTCTGCCTGGCTGAGCTGGGTTTGGGCTGACAACTTCAGGGCTCCAGGGCTCTAAAAACCAGGTGGCAAAATTTCACAGACTTTTCTGTCCTCAGAGCACTTTCTGGAAATAGGCCTTAGCCAGCAAAGTACGGTCAATTTCTTAAGGCAGGCGAGGCTGGGCTGGGTTGGGGGCTGGGGAAAGATTCAGACTTACACTCCTACCATCTTACCATCTATTAACCCCAAAAGACGAAGTCAACATGACTCTTCCCGACTCCACAGGAGCAAAAATGTCCTCCCACCACTTGCCTTCTAATCCTCTGCCTGCATGCATAGGACCTTTTATTCCACACGTAAAGACTTTGAGGATTCATCGCCCAATGAAACTGAAAGGCCACCTGGGCAGGATGGCTCACACCTGTAATCGTAACACTTTAGGAGGCTGAGGTGGGACGATTGCTTGAAGCCAGGAGTTCGAGGCTGCAGTGACCTATGTTTGCACCACTGCATTCTGGGCTAAGCAACAGAGCAAGATCCCATCTCAAAACAAAACTGAAAGCGTCTTCAGGCCCATCTAGTCCCCTCTGGTTACTGCTGAGAAGTCTGAACCCAGAGGAGGAAAGGTTGCCCAAAGCCACAAAGTGAGGGAGGGGCTGGGCTAGGCTGGAACCCAGGTCTCCCCACCAATCTGGTCAGCTCAACTCCACACTCGGAAGCCTTGACCTTCAGAATAGAAATATCATTGACTTAATATGCAAATCCATTTACCAGCTCCACAATCTGCAATCAATAGGCACCAAAGAGGGTCTGAGGTTCTGTTCAATTACATCCCAACTAGAAACAAAGCTGCAGAGAATCCTCTTCTGAAAAGGGCAGAGAACTTCCAGGGCATCCGGAGACAGTGCCACTTGCTGCGCCAGCTTTGGGAAGTGATTACAGCTTACAGGTGTCTTCCCTGACAGACACAGACAGCATGTACTGTGGAGTCAGGAGACCTGGGTACAAAACCTGACCTGGGTGGTCTTGGTTCATACCCTGCCTCAGTTTCCTCATCTGTGAAATGTAACTCACAGGGATGTTGCAAAGGTTAGTGAGATTGGGCACAGGGCCTGAAGCACTTTATTATAAGGCCCACAATGCAAGGGCTGTCTTGACATCTTTGAGTCCCAAAGGCCTAACCACGAATTCCCCAGCTCTCTCCAGACATGCTCTTTCCCACCCAGGGAGAAAAGCTCCCCACCTGGCTAGTTTCCTATTGGTCAGAACAGCCGCATTGCACCTGGTCTTCAGCCTAATGGGTTTCAGTACCCAGCCAGCCCACGTATTTATTCAAACAAGCCAATCACAGCCTCCTGCAGGAACCAGGGATACCACACCCTTTGTCACTATAAAGCTGCCTCCCACAGCCCCTGCTGTTGGCTCAGCTCCTGGTGCCACTCCCGGCTGCAACCCTCGTATGCCCTGCATGGCGTGCTGTGTCCTCCTCCCCCAGGCTGTGAAGGCAGGTGGCGAATAAACTGCTGCCAATCTCATCTGCCATTGTCCAATGTTGTATGTTCAGCCATCTCATACTATTTAGGGCAGGGAATCCCTTGTTTACCAACAGGGCAGATAGGAGGTGGCCAGAACAGGTCACTTAACAAAGCTGTGGACTCTGATGCTAACTTACACCCTAAATCCCCCCCTCCTGGAGTGGGGACCTCCTTGTATTCTTGAATGGCGGTGCTTGGGCTTTCATTCACAGAGAGAGGCTGAGACCCTGGCAGCAGGAGAGCTTGCCAGGAGGGAACAGCATTTGGGGTCTTCTCGGGGTCAACAGTACCTGCCCACTCCCGTGACACACTTGTCTTCACTGTATCTCATCAACTGTAACTACAGCCCCATGAAGGGCCATGGCTGGTGCTTCATTTGTGTTCGTACTGTGAGAAGAAATGTTGAGTCCAAGGTCACACAGCCAGGAGAGATAGGGCTAGGTCAATCCTGCCCCCTCCCCACTGTCAGCACCGACCCTGCACCCTGCAGCCTCTGGGGAAGCAGAGCCACTGCCCACGGGGTGCTCTTCTACGCTGAGGGGATGCCCTCCCAGTCTCACGGACTTCACCCTCAATAAAATGGCTCGAGGGCACTCACACTGTGAGTATTCCTGTGATGGCTGCACAATCCAAACAGCGGCCTTGGGCATGAGATCTGGGTATCCTGGGAAGCTCCACTTGGGGACGAGCACACAGTTAGTTACCTATCCCAGCTCTCTCAGACCTTGGCTCAGCCCCCACTGTGCCCAGGGGTCCAGCTGCCACACAGTGAGGTAATCACGAGGACTCCACATGATTTCCTGTAGGATGGAAGACCCTGAGCTTCTTGTCCCCAAGAGTAAACTTTAGAACTCTTTCCATTTTTCCATAGATCCTCCTGTCTTTGTTTTGGGGCATAGGGGCTGCCAGCTGGAGTCCTGATTTGGAATCAGGGAGGGGTGGTTTTGGCCAGCCTGGAGCTGTTCTCCATACATGCTTCCCGTGGGCACAGTGGGTCCCCAGTTTCTGAACAGTGGGACGTGGGCTTCCATCTACAGGGAGAGGCCGAGACCCTGGCAGGAAGAGAACTTGGCCAGGAGATGATAAAGTTACCACTGAACCTGAATCAGCCTTTCCCATACCCGAAGGCACCCTGAGCCTCTCAGGAACCCAGACATTTTAGTGAACAAAGGAGCCAGCTCTCCTGACAAGCTCTGACTTCAGATGCAAATAAAATGTTGTTCAGACACACTCAGGACAAGCCTGTGGGTGCCTTCTCTGCTTCAGTTAACCCCCATTATGCAGATGGAGAAACTGAGGCTCATCATAAGGACTTGCTTAAGAAAACAGCATGGGGCTGAAGGGAGAATCTGACCCCCTGTTTTGGGCATGGTGCTGCATCAGTCCAGCTCCCTGCTAAGCACCTGACCCAGGGCACTTAAAAGACCAGAAGCTCCTCTGGCCCATGATGTCTGCAGTCAGACAAGGACAACTGCAGAGGCTCAGGCTCTCTCCCCAATGACCAGTACCATGTCACTGTGCTGGCTTCCTGCAGGGTGGGGTCCTGCACCTTCCCTGGCTTTCCTCTCCAAGGTCTCTGCTGTGCAAAACCAGAGAAGCCATGCTCATATCCACAAGCAAACTTCTCTGTACCTGCCCGATCTTGGCCAGCCTTCCCATGAGGCTGCAGCCAGATGTTACCCAGCTGAGCACAGAGGAAGGTCATGGAGCCAGAGAAGCTTGGAAAGTGGTCAGGCATGGGGCTAGGCAGATGGTGGCAGCTTTGCACTCCCAGGGGACTGAATTTGGGCTGAAAGACCCTGGGGAGACCACTGACCTTTAGTGGAAGGCTCATCCTCTTGCTCTCTGTGTGTTTTGTCCACACTGCCACCTCCTTAACTGAGTCATACGCTGTTCTTTTTGTCTGAAAAGTAATTCATTTGAGAGAACAGCCATTTTCAGCTTCCCTCGAGACCCGTGGACACTCTGAGAATGTCACAGGAGCTGGGCTTAGACTTCTACCCTGTCAGAAGGAAGTGCCACTGGACTGGGGTGGCTGCCTCTCCTTCCCTTGTCCCCAGCCTGGGGGGATTTTTCTCTCCTCTCTCTGGTAGCTCAGCAGTAGGCAGAACAATGTCTGCTTCAGAGAAAAGGCCATTTTGTGCGGAGAGTGTGACTGCCTCACCCCAGGTCCCAGAGCTTCTGCAAAGAGGCACCCTCCTCTCCAAGCCCAGATCTCCTCTCCTGCCCTTTGCCTCAGTGGAACAAAGACAACACATGGATCTGTCCTGGGCCAGATCCGACAAGGTTGGCCTAGTCTCTGCTGCCTGAGAGAGAAGAATGTGGAGAGAGGAAAAATTGCCCAATTCCCTGGTAGGAGAAGGGCTCCCCATCTCCAGCTTACCAAAGTTCTCAGAAGTAGGATAGGCAGGATGGAGAGAGGGGACTTCTCCTTGACTTTCTTCACCTATCCCTGAATCAGCTAGGGCATCACACAGGCCCTTTCTGCTCTTCCTGGAGGGTTTGGGATGACACTAAGGAGACACCTTTCTCTCTCACTAAGGAGAGGTGTCTAGGACGATATTCCACACAACATACGAGCATTTGTCAGCTAAAGGAGTGGGGAGAGCCACAGGTAGAGTTGCTGTATCCTGGATTCCACTTGGGATGCGAGCATCCTCAGAGGTCTCTGGGTGGCCACATCCCAGTGAAAGCAGTCTGCACAGAGCCGTGGTCCCACAAAAGTCACCTCTAGAGGTGTCTTGGGGAGCCCAGGGCACATCTGTGGTGAGAATCTGCACATACATCTCCCATCCAGCGCCCCCAAAGCCATGACATCATCTGAACCCTCTCTGCTGCTGGAAATGGAGAGATGGTTGGGGTTCATTCCATCCCCTTCCACCGGAGGAGGCCTGGATTTAGAAAAAGAGAGGAAGGAGGGGCTGTGAGAATGTCTGGAAGGGGGTCTAGGGTCCACCAGTTGCGTTTCAAGAATCCAGAAAATCCTAGATCTAAGAGTGCCTTCTGAAGTCTGGCTAGCCTTTGGGGAAGGAATCTGGCTTTATTCACTTATTTTAATGAACTGAGGTGGGAAAGGGAGCCTGTAGCAGGGCTGTAGCAGTCTCTCTTCAGTCACTGCCCTTTGGAGAAAGACAGGCTGTGATGTGGTGACGCCTGCCAGTCAGTTTCAGAGATTTCCCAGGCAGGTTCTGGCCCTGGGTGCTCCTGGCCACCCGACAGAAGTCCGGGATGGGAAGGCCGGATGTGTGTTTGTGTTGGGGGCAGGGAAGAGGGTCTAGGATAGGGTACTGGAGCTAGCTGGAAGCTATAAAGGCCAGGGCGGGGGCGTTCCAGGCCAGGGCAAGGAAAGAGGCCCCTCAGGGCCAGGTGGGGAGCTGTCCGGATCCTGGTGCTGAAAACCGAGAGCGGCGATCAAGGGGGCGGAGAGCACCCAGCAGAGCTTGCGCCTCCGCCCTAGGTGAGGGGGTCGCGGGGGATGGAAACGGATTCCTCCCCATCCCCTCTTCTACTCACTCTCCAAGGAGGGAAGGGCACAACGAGTTGGGGCGAGAAGGCAGGATGAGCACTAAGAAGTGTGCAGCCGCCGGAAGCTGCGGCTATGGGGAAAGTGGGCCGCGACCCGGGTGTGAGTAGGGTGTAATCTGGGCCAGCTGGAGGGATGAGCAGGGAAGAGACCCTGGAGCAGGGCCGCTCCCTCGCTGGCTTCCTACTCTCCGGGCAAGTACCATGGGTGCACGAGGTGTTCCCACGCCTATGGCACAGACACGCATGCACAGAGGACTTCCGTGGGCGCATACACACCCCGTGGACACACGGGGTACGCTCCCAGAAGTGACACACACCAAGCACACGCAGGCAGCCCCGTACACGCACCCTGCAGTGGGCACCAGCTCCCACCAGGCTGCCGAGGCTCCCGCCCCAGCCCGCGTCCTCTGGCCTGGACGCCCCTCCAGCTTTGCTTCCGACCTCAGATGGCGCCCCTAAGGGAAGCGCGGCCGATGGGAAGCCCCAGTTCTAGCCCGAGACCAGGAAGGTGCGGGAGAGGGGCAGGCAGCCCGCTCCTACGCCCAGAAAGAGCGGGGCGACACCGGCGGAGGGGTAGGTCTCAGACACCCATTCTTCTTTCCCCAGACTCCCAGTCATGGAGCCAGGACACGAGAGGAGTGTGGACGGGAGCGACTGTGCGTGTCTCCCTCCCAAACTGGGGACACCCCGAGGACCAGCGCGTACCTGTGCGTGGGAGGCCCCGCGTGGAGCCCCCTCAGCGAGTCCCGACCTGCTGGCTCCTCTGGCTGCCCCTGGATAAAGGTGGGGTGGGAGTGGGGGTTACCCGCCTGCCCTCCACAAGCCTCCCGGATGTCCGTGGGCTACGGAGAAACTCCTGCCCGGGCGGCGGGAAGTTGCCTGGGTTCGGGCGCTGGGAGGGGGCGCCCTCCCGTCCCCGGGCTTAGCCGGGGCTCCCGCGCCCCCGCGCCAGCCGCCCTCGCCACCTCGCCGGCGCCCTCCCGCCCGCAGACTGCGCCGAGCCCGAAAGCCGGGAGCCCGCCCGCCCTCCCGGAGAGTCTGCTGCTGACCTGCATTGACGTCATTGCGTCATTAGGTTTCCCCTGGAAACACTGGCTCGCCCGAAATAGTAACACATTAATTCAGGCCGGGGGAGCAGGGAGATACTGTTTGTAACCCTGCAGCTAACTCGGCTCGCGCGAGCGAGCGCGGAGCCCCCACCCCTCGCCAGGGCAGCGCCGGCCGCGCTCGCCTACTATTTTGAGAACAAAGAAAGGCAAAATATAGAACCCGGCAGAGAGGGTGCGGGGGACGCCAAGACCCTCTTGCCTCGCTCGCACGCACACCCACAGACACACGCGCGCGTGCACACCACGCCTAGGTCTGTCTACCCTCGGGCGGACTCTCGGGAACCTGCTGGGGGAGGGGGTGCCCAGATCCCCCGCGCTCAAGGACAGGTCCGAGTCGGGGTTTCCTACCCAGCTGAGGGGGACAGACAAGGTCCCTCCTCCCACCCTCTACCTAGCACGGAGGCGGACACGGCCCCTCCCCACCCACACCTGCGGGCCCGACTGGGAGGAGCTGCTCTCCCAGACGGACGGCGGAGAGCCCCTGCCCTTTCTCCCTCGGCCGCTCGGGCTCCCGAAAGTGGGGGAAGCCCTGCAGGGGTCCAGCCGGCCGCCCGCCGTCCCCCACAAGCTCCTCGGCTGGGGTGGGCCAAGCCCGCCTGCCGCGCCCCCGCACCTCCTCCAGGGAGGAGGACTGGGGGACCAGTTGCTCTCGCCGGCTCCACAATCGTTTGGGCCGGGTAGCGACCGACTTTTGTGAGCGTCCTCTCTCTGCGGCTCTCCGCCGGCCAGGCGGGCAGAGTTCCTTTACTAGCTGTCCCTTCTTCCCAGCCTGGGCCCTTGACCCAGTCTCTCTCCGAGGGTGAGGAGAATGCGCCTCCAGATCGAAATGGCAAACGCGGAGCCTCGGAATGTCGGCGGAGGCGGGGAGGCGGCGCGCGGAGCCGCGGAACTCCGAGGGCGGTCGAGGGCGCGCCGGCTGGGCAGAGCGGGTTCCGCGGGCTCCCTCACACACCTGAGTAGATGCGGGAAGCAGGGAAGAGCATTTGAGAGGGCATTAGCCTTCCCCTTCCTCCCAAAGGCCGCTCCCGGGCATTGGCGTTCCCCTTCCTCCCAGAGGAACCGGGTGAAGGGCGCAGAGAGGTCCCTGTTGGTTCATTTCACCCTGGGCTTGTCTCGCCCAGGGTGAGATTTTTTCTGGCGGGGGGTGGCGGGGGGTTAGAGGGTGTAAGAGTGTGCCTGAGATTTAGGGAAACGTCCCCCAAGGTCTCTGTGCATGCACAGAGCCTACTGATGTCTTGCACAGCACGCCGTTCCCCCAGCCCCCTGACCCCAGGTATTCTCCTATTGGCCTTTGTTCCTTGCTGACCACAGAGATGATGAGCAGGCAACCACGCACTGACCTTCGTGGACAAACAAACCCAGCTGCCCGCCTCAGGTAGGAGCCCACCAAAGAACAAGTTCTGCAGAGGACATGCCTGGCCTGGCCCCCTGGGAGCTGCCTGGCCCTCCCTCTGCATGTGCCCCGCTGGTCTCGCCCTGAGCTGCAGGGGCCTCGACTGTAAAACCGGGTCATGGAGCCCACCCCACAGGCGGTTGTGAAGATGACAAGCAATAGTACCTAGAATGTGCTGAAGAAATGAGATGCCCTCTTCCTGCCCCTGCCCCTGCCGTTGTGCACGGTTCACTCAGCAATGAGTGAACCAACACTTGCCACCATATGCATATTCCCTGGAGACATATTTGGGGAAACCTGATCAAGGGACACTCGGAGAATAGTGACATTGAGAGGCTGGCCCCCAAAAAGATGGCATCTGTGGTCTTTCCCTCCATATCATCAGCCTCTGCTCCAGACTTCCGAAAGCAGCTCTCCAATGCCTTCAGATTCAGGTTCAATCAAGTGGAGATGGGGAGGGTCAGGTTATGGCTCCACCTCCCTCTCTCTGTGCTTGTTTCCCAGCAAGACATGCACCAAGGCTGCTTTGCTGGGCTCCACCGCTGCTGCCCTTCCCTCACCTGCAGCTCCTGTCCCACTGAGCTGCAGCCAAAATCTGCCTGTTTGGCCCTCTCTCATGGCAGGGACCACATGGCACTCACCTCTGTTCCCCCAGCTGCTTCTGGCACAGTCCTGGGCACAACTGACATTAATGTTGTGTCAGCAA
The DNA here is from genome assembly GCF_000001405.40 of Homo sapiens. Lineage (NCBI taxonomy): Eukaryota > Metazoa > Chordata > Mammalia > Primates > Hominidae > Homo > Homo sapiens. The sequence goes on along the minus strand of NC_000007.14, from coordinate 128,165,462 downwards.
AGATTGAAAGTCCCTTTTTTGGGAACCTACTGCCTCAGTCCATTGCTCCCATCTACCTCTCCATGTCGAAGTCCATGCAGCCGCCAAAACCCAGGTCTAATGCTGATTCCTCCGTGCAGGCCTCTCTGATCCCCAGAGCTATGAGCTCACCTACCGTTAGTCCCTGGATCATGGGGAATGGCTCTCAAGGCTTTGATCACATTGCAGTGTCAATGTGGGATGATTAGTTCTCTAAGCTGCACATCTCCCTGCTGGGTTGTAACTTCTCAGAGCTGGAAGCTGGTCTCACCCATCTCCATGTGCTCCATGTGGCCCAGCTGTGCCACTCAGGCACACAGTAGGTGCCTAGGAAGCTCTGCAATCTGCTTACTGTCTCTCAGCCGAGGGCCTGTCCTGAGATGCAGAGTGGTGCTGATGTTGATATCTCTGAAGACCTGGGCTAGGAGAGGCCTGGCTATTTCAGCAGGAGATCCTGGAGTCCACCCAGGTCCAAGGAGAGAGGCCCTGGATCTGCGCAATGAGCTGTTTGGCAGGAAAGCCAGTGCCTTACAATCACAAGACAGACAGACCCCAGTCTCATCTGGGCCCACAGAAACTTCTGTTATTCAGTGAATAACAATAAACTGGAGACTCAGTGACCAAGGGGTCTGACTCAGCCAGCAAGGATGTGGCAGCTGCCTGCCCAGCACACACATGCAGGCTTGTGACTGGTTCTCTGTGGCCCAGCCCTATCTTGGACACACTGTTGCCCCAGGTTGTTCAGCCTTGCATCCCAGGCCTGTCAGCACATTGATGGCAGCCTGTGAGTCCCAGGGGCCTGCCGGGTCTCCTCATGTAACACTCCCTATCCTCCAAGGTGGGAGTGGAGGAGTTCTCTGTGTGGGAGGGACAGCTGCACCCCACTTTGCCTCTGAGATGCTCTTCCCCAGTAGTGTCTGTGCTGCCACTGAGGGGGCCTTTGGTAACAGGCTGCTTCAGGTAACCAGGCTCATTGTGAGGAGGCACAAGGGTAGGAGGGAATTAGGAGTCCAGGTATGTTCAGACTTAGCTATCGTTGGAATGCAGCGGGGTGGGGCCAGGGGAAGGGGGCTGGGAACCTGGAATGCTGTTTGGCACTGGGGCTCTATTGACTCCCTGGGCTATCTTGTAGCTCTGAGGCAGCAGGAGCTGCAAGATGCCAGGTTGGAGTGCTGCGCTGAAGGTTGCTCATGACTCATTTGTCCCTGCCTCCTTCTGGCTTTCTCACCACATCTCCAGTTCAAATTACTATGAAGGAGAGAATCAGAATGACTCAGGTCGGCACCAGGTTAATGAGAGCCTCTGATTCAGGCCACTTCTAGGCTCCTGGGGTGTCCAGAGATCACAGCCCTTGGGTTAGACATTCCCCACAGGCCCAGTCACCTGGGCTGGAGTACAATTGAGGGGTGAGGGTTGTTGCCTGAACTGAAGTTGTCGTGGCTCCCCCATGGCAGCACTGCAGGAATGGCCACATTTGTGGAAAGACTTCTTTGATGTGTTGAGCACCTTGGCTGTCTTGTCCAATCCAATCATGCTCTGGAATAGGTCTTAACCTCTCCTTCTATCAGCAGTCTGCTGAGATCAGGATGTTGTTGATCACATGGGCCATAGGTTTCATTGCTGAGCTGAGCTCTTCACACCAGGCCTCCCATGGGGCTTGGAGGCAGCTGATCTCACTATATGACGCTGATGGCAATGGGGCCAGAAGGGCCAATGACCTAGTGAGGATCCACAAGGCTGTCTCCCCAGAGGCCACTCTATGTCCTACATCAGCCCCCACATAGTTTGCAAGAATAGGCTCAGCCAGGGAAGACCCGGGACCTCCTGTTGAACATGGGCCAGGAGGAGAGCCCCCCAGTCCCCAACCAGAGGCCCTGTTCTGAGCCCCACAATGGCAAAGTGACTAACTTTGGCAACAGAGTCAAGAAGAAAGAGCCTGGTCAGGAATTAAGAGAGCTGGCTTCTGATTCCAGGACTGCCATTAGGTCCTGGTATAACTCAAGATAAGTGATGCTCCTTCCCTGCAATTCCTTTCACCACCTCCTTCATACACTGGAGGAAAGGGATCATCAAGCAGAGTTATCAGCACAGACGTGGAGACCTGGCAATGACCTCGACTGCAGTGGAAATTGGCCCAGCCAAGGAATCAATGGCCCTCAAATCCAGGGGCTACAGGTGGGCAGATGGCCGAGTGAGATACCCTCTTGGGATTTGGCTTCTGGCTGGCTGGGCCTCTGGTGGCCACAGACTCTCTCCTTTCCAACAGACCCTCCATCTGACCCCTTCTTTGCCTCTCTTGTCTGGCAGCGAAGGTGCTGCAGCCCCCCAAATTCTTCCTAAGAATACAACTGAAGAGCCATTCATTCAGTCATTCAACAACCTCAGTTGGCCCAATGTCACTTATGCTGAAATTGTTCCTCTCTCAATTCCTCTTCCGTGACCAACAAATTCTAACCCAGGCCCTGCCCAGGCTTTTCTCTCAACATTTCCCAGCTCATAGGTCCAAACGTCCCTAGAGGCACCATCATTCCATCATCATCCTGCCACTTTCCAAGCTTGCATCTGAGAGGCATGCAGGGCCCTCTCCACACTCCTCTGCCATGCTGATGCCCCTGCCCCTCAGTCACAATCTGTTTCCCCACATGTTTCTGGTTTCCAATCCCTAGGAAAAGAGCCCTGGGCCAAAAATACCACTTGGCAGAACCCTGAGTTCAAGTCTTGCTTTCAGATAGAGGCATGATTATGCTTGTCACTCTTTTTGGGGTAGAGGTGGAGGTAGCTGAGAAGCAAATGACTAAATATGGAAACTTACCAGGGATCCAGTGGCATAAAATCAAGAGCTAAATTCCAACCGAGGGGCAGAATAGGTGCCAGCTCAGCTGGGGTGGACAAGTTTTGCAATTGGCGTTCAGAGAATGGAGCACTCTGGCAGGCTGGAGAAAGCAGGCCGGGTCCACACAGGAGATGACACTTAGACTGAATCCCAAAGGCCAGTAGGACGTGGGGTGGAGAGAAGGAACTAGAGGAAGAGACATAGATGGGAGCAACTGGATAAAGAAGTGTTCTCAGCCCCAGCTACACACTGGAATCACTTAGGGGTAAGGCTGGGCTGACCCTAAAGCTAATGCAAAGACACTCCAGCCCCACTCCTCAGAAATTCAGATGCCATTGGTTTGGGGTGAGATCTACGCAGTTATATATTTTTTAAATTTTCACTCATACTTTGTGATTTATTGGCAATTATGTGGTATACTATCAGAAATAATTATTTTTTAACTTGTAATATAGTTTAAGAGACTATAGAGTAGTGGTTTAGAGGGAAATCTTATCTGCTGAAATCCTGGCTTCCCACTCACTGGCCATCTGACCAGGAACCATGTCCTAAACTTCCTAAGTTTCTTGTTCCCTCCTCTGTAGAATGGTGACAGTAAGAGTACTACATCTTACAGGGTAGTTTTGTGGCTCACATGAGAGAATGCCTTCCAGCATTGAGCGCTAACACACAGGGCACCATCTTGAATGGCTCTGTAGCTGATTCTAATGTGCGGCCAGGGTGGAAACCCTCTAGGATAAAGCAAAGGCAAAGACATTGAACAAAATGGGCTGTGTTGGGGGCTCTCTTGGGTGTTGGGGAAGGTGTGTATCAGAGGGAGGAGAAACAGAAAAGTTAGGTTAGGACTATATTATCGAATGGTTTAATGATGTGGCAAGATGTTGGGACTCCATCCTATTAAGCACAATAGCAGCCCACATTTGAGCGGTTTGAGGTGATGCCTCAGGATGAACGTAATACCTCAGGAATCTGGGGAGCTGGCAGTCTTGATTGGACAGAGGGGGATGGAATCCAGAGAATACTGTGGGACCAGAAAGGCGATGGAAATTGAAAAGCAAGGATGAGTGTGAGGTGAAGCACAAAGGAAGAATCAACAGGATTTAGTGCGTTGGTGGACATAAGAGCTTAAAGAGATTGAAGGAAGAAAAATAAATTTAAGTTTTCAAGTCTAGAGGGACTAAGGAAATAACCCTGTGTTGGTTAGGATTATATCTAACTGTGAGCATCAGACAACTCACATCAACTGTGGCTTAAACAAAATAGAAGTCTATATCCCTATCAGTTAAAAGTTCAGAAGTATGCAGTTCAAAGCTGGCAAGGCAGTTCTGTCCCACAAAGTCCCTGGAGACAAAGGGCCCTGCCAGCTCACTCATCTGCCATCCCTAGGGTGTGGTCTCTATTCTCATGGTACAAGATGGTGGCACTTGGGTTCCGGCATCCACATGGAGAAAGAAAAGGAGAAGAACTGGCAAAAAGCAAAAGCCAGGATCTCTTGAGTGAGGTTCCTCGTAGCTACTCATCACATTCACTTACATTCCATTGTCCAGAAATTAATCTGATGGCTACACCTGGTTGCAAGGGAAGCTAAGAGTGGCCTTGTACTCAGCTAAAAATTCTGCAGCATTCTCTATGGTAGAGTAGGCACTGTCTCAAAAAGAAAAGGAATTCAGATACTGAGGGAGAGCTGTCTCTGCCATGGCCTCATTTCCTTAAATGGTGAACTTGAAACATGGAGTCAGTTTGGGAACATTTTAAAAAAATATTTTGAGTTTGAAAAATGAGGCAATAGGGCATAGACTCATGGGCTATATGGTAAGCAGAATTCTAAGATGGTCCCAAGAGTCCTGGCTTCTGGCATGCACACCTGTATAACCCTTCCCCCTGGGTGGGACTTGGAAATATGATGGGAGCTTTCAAGGGAGCGTTTAGAGTGGCCTGGTGGGGATGCAAGTCAAATGTAGGGAGTTCCTGAGGAAGCGGCTAATGAGAAAGGAGGCAGTCACCACCATGGAGAAGGCTTTGCACAGCACACAAAATCCTTCCTGAGCTGGCTGCTGTCTCTCTCTCCCAACTCTTCTTCTGCCAGTGTCTTCCTTCCACATTGACCCAAATGCTCTGAAGCTACGGGCCTCCCCACTGTGCTACCTGCAACGCCCTTCGCCTGTTCCCTTTGGTGTGATTAACTCTTATACAACCTCCCAAACTCAGCTCAGACATTGCCTTACCGGGAAATCTTCCCTGACCCACAAGGGCAGTTAGGTGTCTCCCCAGGGCACTCCCATGATACCCCAATCCTTGCTTCACCCCTGCATTTATCACATTTTTAGAATTTTACAGTTGATTATGAGTTTATCACCCCTCTGAGCTCCTGGAAGGCAAGCACAGAACTGACTGTCTTTGTAGCCACAAAATGTAGCACAACTCCTGGGGTGCAGTCAAATCTCAAATACATGGGCAGCAGATAAATAGAGAACCCTCAAAAGCTGGGGTTAAAGGAACCTAGGACAAGGGACATTCACTCCGGAACTGGTAGAATGAGAGGACAAATGTGGAGTGAGATGCTTTAAAGGAGGACTCATTACATCACATTCCACTATCACAAACTAGTAAGGAAGTTTCTTGGCATTTTTAATCATCAAGCTCAATGAGGGTTAGTTTAGGGAGTTAGAAACGTGATCTTGCTAAGAAGGTAGGATGGGACAGTGCAGGTGAGGCAAGGAAGTCTATTTCCAAAGCAAAAAGAAAACCTGAACTGACAAGAGAAAAACAAAAACAAAGAGGCAATGATAAAGCCAACATTCAACTCATGAATTGACTACAAATCTCAACAGGAATAGGGGGCTGTCAAATTCTGAGTAGAACCTCAGGGCTCTTTTTTCCTAGGCACCCCTCACCTAACCCCAGTTCAATTTAATTCAGTGTAATTCAGCAACTATTACTTGATTACCTACTGTGTGCCTGAGTATTCTCTGTGGCTGTAGGCCAGGCATCAGGATGTAGCCATGAAGAAAACAGACACAGGCTCTTTGCTCATGAATAAAGGAAGACAAGCATTAAGCAGGTGTAGTAATTGCAAGTGCAATGAGATGGTTGTGGGAGGTGTTTCTTTGTTTCTTTGGTTCCTCGTCTTGGATTCCTTTGACCCACCTTTTTCTTTTTTTTTTTTTTTTTTTTTGAGGCAGAGTCTTCCTCTGTCACCTAGGCTGGACTGCAATGGCGCAATTTGGCTCACTGCAACCTCCACCTCCCAGGTTCAAGCGATTCTCCTGCCTCAGCCTCCCGAGTAGCTGGGATTACAGGCATGCGCCACCATGCCCGGCTAATTTTTGTATTTTTAGTGGAGACAGAGTTTCACCATCTTGGCCAGGCTGGTCTCGAACTCCCGGCCTCAAGTGATCCACTCGCCTTGGCCTCCCAAAGTGCTGGGATTACAGGCAAAAGCCACCATGCCCAGCCATTGACCCACCTCTGATTTCGGCCATGGCTGTGGTGGACAGTCCCGCATGAGCACAAATTCATCGCTTGCCATAAGTCGCCCCCTTGAAGCTTGTGCACTGACAGGTTTTCATTTCCTGCCCCGGGTTCTTCTCCAACTCTGTGTGAGCCCTCTTGGAAATGACAGGAGAGAGTCCTGGAGTAGTCAGCCTCCTTGTAAACCCAGCAACCTTAGTAACACCCCCTTCCCTTCCACGGGCCTCTCCTCCTTCTCCATCTCTCCCCATTTCTGTACTCTTGATTTCTGTGCTTGCATCTCCAATACATGACCTGTTCTCAAGTCTTTAACCCATACTTTGTTTTGGGGGGACCTAACTTTAGACAATAAAATTACATGGTTCTACGAGAGGGTATGACAAGGGGATTGAACCTGGTTGGACTTCCTAAGGCCTCCTTAGCAAGGTCTTCTTAGGAGGTGATCTAAACTGAAGAGACCTGAAGAATAGCTAGGAGTTCTCCAGAGGAGGAGATGGAGGATGGATGTGCACAGAGCCCGGATGTGCAAAGGCCCTGAGTCCACACTGGGCATAGCATCTTTGAGGAGCTGAACAAAGACCATGGGGGCTGGAGCGATCCCTTGGGAGGAAGAGTGAAAGGAGGTGAGACTTGGATGCAGAGCAGGCCTATCCCGGGGAGCCTTGCACTGTTGAGAACTTCTGATCTCATCCTAAGACAATAGGTAGCAACTGGAGGGTTTTAAACAGGCATGAAACAGATTCATACATTTTTTAAAGATCATATTGGCTGCAGTGTGCAGAGTGGATGGGAGCAGGGGAGAAATGAGACAATTTGAATAGTTCAAAGGCTGATCAAATAATCCAGGGACAAAAATCATGGTGGAGGGAATGGAGGGAGGGGCAGATTCAAGGAGGAAGAATTTGGAGCACTCAGTGTTGGGTTAGATGTGACAGTGAGGGAGAGGGATGAGACAAGGAGACCCTCGGACTTTCAATTTGAGAAAGTGGGTGGCCACAGTGGAAAATACTGGCAAAAGCATGGATCTGAGAAAGAAGACAAGCAGTTCTATTTTGATTTAGTTTGAGGTGTCCCTGAGAATACCAGTGGAGAGAGCCCCGAAACAGTTGGAATGCTCCGAGGGATGGTAAGAGACAACTCCTGCTGGCCTCAGAGGATCGCTTCCCCACTTCTTATAAATCAGCCGTTTGCCACTCAGCCCAGTGCGGAGCTTGGAGATGCTCCTTTCTAGCACGGCCACTTCCTTGACCAGGGAGCTTCCACTGTCACAGGGCTGCACAGATGTTTCTGCCCACCCCACCCCCGGCTCTATAAATAGGTACAGTAAGAGAAGAGTCCCTCCCAACCAAATGGTTCCAAGTCTCATCTTTAGATGTCTCCATCAGTATCTGTGAAACAGAGTCTAGGAAAAAGACTAAAAAAGCTATCTTTATTTAGCCTGGAGAAGAGAAGGAGGGAGAGCTGTGATTCTGCTAGGAATAAACTGCTGCTCTTATCTTTTCCTCCTAAGAAGGCCCGAGGAGGTGGATTTGGGATACAGTTAGAGAACTGATTCTCAAGGGTGGAAGATTTTTGCTCCCATCCACTCCCACCCTGGGACATTGGACACCGTCTGGATGCATTTTTTGGTTATCAGAACTGGTGGTGGGTGGGTGTGGGGTGCTACTGGCACCTGGTGGGTAGAGGCCAGGGATGTCTGGGCATCCTGCAATTAATAGGACTGTCCCCACGACAAAGAATTATCTGGCCCCAAATGTCAATAGTGCCCAGGCTGAGATACCCTGAGTTGGAGGAATCTTAGTTACTTAATTTCTTTTGAAACAAAGAGCAAGCAGTCCCTCCATCCGACTTAAGGGAAAGGGTATTTTATTTGCATGTTTGTTTAGGGTTACAGGTGGTTGGGAGCTGGGATTAAGACACGACAGCAGTCAGGGACCCAGGTCTCTCAGCCATAATTTCCTTGTTTCTGTTTCTCTCTTCTCACTGCTGATTGGCTAAACCTTTAAAAATTCTAAAGAAAGCAACCTGATAGACTCAGCCAATCATCACTGCTCCCTTCAGAGACACCATCATAGGCCACCTTCTTTCACTCTGGCCAACCGGTGAATAGAAGAATGCCTTTTGGTCAGCAGTCCACCTCTCTATCCAATTAGAGGCCACTCTTCTGCAAGGAACAGTCTAGACACCTTCCCTGGATGGGAGACTGTGAGCAGGGCAGTGTAAGTCACAAGAAAATGTTGGAACCAAACACACCAGAGCCGGCATTTACATTGGTCTTCCTGGCACACAGCTATCTTTTTCTTGCCATAGCAAAGATAGGGCTGAATACAAAGCTCTGATTTTCCTTCTTACTCCAAAGCTGCACTGTCCTATATGGTAGCCACTAGCTGCATGTGGCTATTTATTTTATCTTATTATTATTATTTTTTTGAAACAGGGTCTCACTCTGTTGCCCAGGTTGGAGTACAGTGGCGTGACCACAGCTTGCTGCAGCCTTGACCTCCTGGGCTCAAGAGATCCTCCCGCCTCAGCCTGCCAAGTAACTGGGACTACAGGCATGCACCACCACACCTGGCTGATTGTCCTGATTTTTAGTAGAGACGAGGTCTCACTGTGTTGCCCATGCTGGTCTCAAACTCCTGAGCACAAAAAATCCTCTCACGTCAGCCTCTCAAAGTACTAGGATTACAGGCTTAAATCACCACGTCAGGCCACATGTGGCTATTTAAATTTTAATTATTTAAAATTAAATAAAATAGCAGGGCACGGTGGCTCACACCTGTAATCCCAGCACTTTGGGAGGCCGAGGCGGGTGGATCACGAGGTCAGGAGATCGAAACCATCCTGGCTAACACAGTGAAACCCCATCTCTACTAAAAACACAAAAAATTAGCCGGGCGTGGTGGCGGGTGACTGTAGTCCCAGGTACTCCGGAGGCTGAGGCAGGAGAATGGTGTGAACCTGGGAAGTGGAGGTTGCAGTGAGCCAAGATTGTGCCACTGCACTCTAGCCTGGGCGACAGAGTGAGACTCCATCTCAAAAAAAATAAAAATAAAAATAAAAATAAATAAATAAATAAATAAAATGAAAAATGCAGTGCCTCAGTGGTATTAGCCACATTTCAAGTGTTCTGTAGCCTGGTGTGGCTAGGGGCTACCACATTAGATGGTGCAGAGAATATTGCAATTATTGCAGAAGTTTCTGTTAGACAGCACTGATGCAAACAAAGATACTGACCCAACTGGACATGAATTGAAAAGAGGTCTTAGGGTTAGCCCTGAAGAACATCGGAGTCGTCTTGGATTCATTCACAGTCTTTAAAGCTACCATGTGTGAAATGTGTGCAACTGTTTGTTACGGAGTTCATGTCTCAGCTTGGTATGTCCCCAGCAATTATATGCCTCTGCTCACTGAAGCAAGAGCTTGGAGGATAATCTTACCTGAGGAGGACTGCGGTAACTTACCTATTTAGAAGGGTGCTATACATGTTTAAGAGCAAAGAGTAGTTGAAGAGCTACGAATAGTGCATAATCAGCTTTTCAAACACCATGACAATAGATGACACACAGGAATTTACAGCTCAACTGAACAAGAGCACGTGACCAGATTGTTAGCCACAGTGACACAGGACTTGTGGTGGGTGGCTGTGGAAGCACCTACAAGATCTTACTTTCCCAGCTCCCATCTTTCTCGCCCTCTCCTCTCCTACCCCGGTCTTGTCTTGCCTCTAAAGGGAATGCATTTTCTTCCCACTGTGTGGTTGTCATTACTGCCGTTCATCAAATACTCCCAGCCCTCTCCTCTCTGCCTTCCAGGCACAAGACGGGATTGCATGGCCTGTCCCTTGTGATTGGGGCTGGGCCCACATCACTGATCTGGTTGGCCCCCTGCACTCCTCCAGCTGCTGATGTGAGAACATCCAGAGGTCTCTTTCCAGCACGGCAACCGGCAACATTCAAGATGCAGCTGCTCCACCGTCCTGAATCCCTGAGTGTCCCCGTGTCCGATGGCCCTGTCAGCCCCTGATGGAGGTGTAATGACAGCATAAAACAAACCTGGGTTGTTTTCAGACACTGAGATTTGGCTATTGCTTTGTTTTGCAGCATAATCTAGCCAATCTGGCCTGGTGACTGAGCCTTTCAAATAGTTACACCCCAGCCTTACCGTGTGTACATTGCTGTCTGTTGTATTTATTAGCTGAGGCTGTTTCCTGTTACTTAGAAAAATAGGTGAGTTGAAACTTTCTGTATTTGTGACAGTCACTAAACTTGGATGTTGACATGACTAATCTTTTTTGTTAATACAGATTGGGGCTTTTTATACTAGAAGAAAGGGGCCCCTTCACCTGCTGAGAAGGGGAAACCTTTCTTCCTTACACTGGTTAAGTTGCAGCTGTCTCCTTGCTTCCTTGCATAATGACCTTAAGGCTGACAACACATTTGGAAAAGGAACTCCTGGTGGTTAATAACAGCAGTGAATGCAAGAGGAGAGTAAAACACTGAGGAGGAACTGATGGGATTTTTTTTTTTCCGAGACAGAGTCCAGCTCTGTTGCCTAGGCTGGAGTTCAGTGGCATGATCACAGCTCACTGCAGACAGCCTTGACTCCTGGGCACAAGTGATCCTCTCACCTCAGCCTCCCAAGTAGCTGGGATCACAGATGCATGCTACCATGCCCAGCTACTTTTTGTATTTTTTGTAGAGACAAGGTTTCACCATGTTGCCCAAGCTGGTCTCCAACTCCTGGACTTAAGCAATCTGTCCACCTCGGCCTCCCAAAGTATTGAGATTGCAGATGTGAGCCACCATACCCAGCCGGAATTGATGGAAATTATTTCAATCTAGGATACAGAAGTCTCCCTTCTAGGGAAATAGATACACAACTCCTAGGCTAAGAAAGGCCTCATTCATTCATTCCTCAACAAACATTCATTGAGCATTTAATAAATGTTCTGCCCAGATGGAGCTTATGTCCTGGTGGGGGTGTCAGACAATAAGCATGAGGACAAAAGTGCAATGAAGGAAATAAACAGGGACTGAGACAGAATGGCTGAGGGAAGGAGTGGACAGGGAAGGCCCTTCTGAATAGGTGAGGCCGATCCATTTCAACCAAAACCTGGGGAGAATGACGCCTTTCTTAGCCTAGGAGTTGTGTGTCTATTTCCCTAGAAGGGAGACTTCTGTATCCTAGATTGACATAATTTCCCACGAGCACTCCAGCCAGAGAGGCAGTGGCTCAGAGGCCTGAGAGGGAAACAGCCTCGTATATAAAATCAATAGGGAGAGAAGGCGACCCAAAGCACGAGTGTAGTGCAGTGATGCAGGGGAGAAGCGGGAGATAAGTCAGAGTGGCACAGGCCTTTAGGCCAAAGCAAGGACTTCGGGTTACCCTGTAAGAGGAACGGGAGGCCCCTGGAGGAGATTGAGAGGGGAATGCTGTCAGCAGACATTTTCTATAAAGGCCCTGACAGTAAACATTTTAGGGTTTGTAGGCCACAGCATCTCTGTTGCAACTGTTCCACTCTGTGGAAGCAGACACAGACACTATACACATAAACGAGCGTGGCTGGCTGGGCACGGTAGCTCACATGAGCCTGTAATCCCAGCACTTTGGGAGGCCAAGGCTGGAGGCTGGCTTGAACCCAGGAGTTCAAGACCAGCCTAGGCAAAGTAGGAAGACCCCATTTCTGCCAAAAAAAAAAAAAACAGCTGGGGTGTGGTGATGCACCCCCATAGTCCCAGCTACTTGGGAGGCTGAGGTGGGAGGACTGCTTGAGCCTGGGAGGTTGAGGCTGCAGTGAGCTGTGATTGTGCCACTGTACTCCAGTCTGGGCGACAGAGTGAGATCCTGCCTCAGAAAATAAAATAGAAAATAAGTGTGGCTTATTTTCCAATAAAACTTTACTTACAGAAAATAAAATTGGAATTTCATGTTTTCTGAGGCACAAAATACTATTCTTCTGATTTTTTCAACCACTTAATAATATAAAAATATTTTTTTGCTCATGGACCATACAAAGCCAGCTGGCAGCCTGGATTTGGCCTGCGGGGTGTAGTTGGTGGAGCTCTGATTTGGATCACTCAGGCAGAATGATAGCTGAAGCAGAGAAACTGTTTAGGAGGCTTTTGCAAAAGAAACCATCAGAAGGGCATGAAGGCTCGACTTGGGTAGCTGTGGTGAAGGTGATGAGAGGATTCAAGATGTGCTTTGGGGCTGGGGCACAGGACACACTGACGTACAAGGCACGGGGGTGAGAGACAGCGGAGTCCAGGATAATTCAATGATGGTGCCATTTACTGCAAAGGACTGCTGCAAAGGAGTAGGTGTGAAGGAAGCAGGAGCTGCAGCTGGACCATATTTTGAGTTGGTTTCAGTTTGCATCTTGACGGACTTAACCAAGCTTGACTTGAAGTCCAGGGAGTAGGATGTCTCCACACCTGGATTTTTTCAGAGGCTGTTACTTACAAGCTGTGTGTGACCTCAGGCTTATCATTTTTGTTCAATCTTTTTTGTCCTCTCAATAATGGAGATATTATTTCTTGCTCATCCCTTTCTAGATAGTGATGAGGATCAAGTGAGATTTAACTTGAACCTGATCAAGAATTCCCACCAGACCTGGCACTTCAGTACCCACCCCCTGCTTATAACCAAATCCAACTCCAAATGGATTGATGGCTGAGTCTAGATTTTGTGGGGGAATTGTGGAGGCATATCACTCATTGCACAGCAAAACTGGAAATCCTCTTTCAACTTTTCTGTTCTTTCTGGGAAGTCTCTTTCTCTGCTCCAGGTGCCTCAATGGTCTTGCCTCATTTTTCCCACGCTCTTCTTAGTCTCTCACGTCACTCACTCAAAAACCCCTGATTGGGGTTGAAGGAGGAGGAAGGGGCGTATCCTGGTGATGGTAGAACTGTTCTGTATCTTAACTGTGGTGGTGGATATAAGAGCCTACACATGTGATAATGTGCTGTGGACCTAAACACGCGTGCACGGTGATAATGTGCTGTGGACCTAAACACGCGTGCACGGTGATAAAGTGCTGTGGACCTAAACACGCGTACACGGTGATAATGTGCTGTGGACCTAAACACGCGTGCACGGTGATAATGTGCTGTGGACCTAAACACATGTGCACGGTGATAAAGTGCTGTGGACCTAAACACGCGTGCATGGTAAGAAAGTGGTGTGTACTTAAACACGCGTGCACACACAGGAACACGGAGAGTACAAGCGAAACTGGAAACTGGAGTAAGATTGGTAGATTGTTTCAATGTAGCTTGCCTACATTGAAAGATACATCTTGTATCTGTGGTTTTGCAAGATGTGACCATTGGGGGAAGTGGATAAATGGCATGTGAAATCTCTCTGTGTCATTTCTTACAAAAGCGTGTGACTCTGCAATGATCTCAAAATAAAAATTTTCATTGAATTAAAAAACATAGCCCAAAAACTCTGGCTGGTAAGCCCCACTCGGGAAGGTAGAAGCTAGCCTAACTTTGAGAGCAAAACCCCCTCACTGGGTTCGTTAAACAATTTTCTCTGCTTTTATCTATGTCTAAAATTGTTTATTAAATGAAAGTTAATAAACATTTCTCCTTACTAGCAAAACACAATCACCCATTTGTCAAACCTGAGGAACTTTAATTTACCCCATCCTTAAACTAAGAAAATACTTTTAAATATGTAAAAGTGAGGGTACAAGGTGAAGAACTGTGTTAATGGTTAAACCAGCATGTACTGAGCACTAACTTTGTACCAGCCCTCGTGTTAGGGATTGAGGGGAGAGTGCAGGACAACCCAGGTCTCCCGGCTCTTAGACAAGTGAGGAGGGGAAGGTAGAGATGGAGGTGGAGGAGATGTGAGTTGAAGAAGTTCTCTAGGTGGCTAAAATATGAGACCCCTGTCCTTCCTACCCCCATGATGAAGGATAAAATCGGGTGCTTTGGAATTGGGGCACAGTCCCACACCTAGCCCAAGGCTTGAGATAGCAAAGAATGGTGATAAAAATTGTTGGAATTGAATCATATAACCTATTTACCTAGTAATCCAATTTCCATAACAGCGTTCCTGAGACTCTAGTTCTACAGGAGACTTACAGGTGTTCTTTGAACAAAAGCCCCATAGTCCAGGAAGTTTTGGAGAACTGTATACAGTTCTCCTATTAAATTTCTCCTTGGAAATTCACAAGGTGCATAGAATTGAGAGGTCCAAACAATTCCTGCAATAAACCTGTTTAAATCAGCAATGTTCCAGTTTGTTAGATACCTATTCATATATTGCTTATCCAAGATTTGTAGGAGGGCACTTTTGCTATAATCTAATGGGCACTTGCAATGCACCAGGCATTGTACCATCCTGGTTCCTTTTGCTTCAGAAGTGAGAGTTCAGACGGTCTTCTCTTTGCCTCCCTTTACTGCCCTGGAGGGGCTGTAGGCTTAAATCTTCCCAGAAAGGGGAATGAGTTTTAGGCTGATTCATTCCCTGGGGTTAATGAACTCTCAAGTATTATTATGAAATAAATGAGGAGGGAGAAGGGATTTCCTGAGAAGGCAATTTCCTAAGAGGAGGGGCCCAGCCTGAAAAGAGATCAGAGGGTAGACCTAGCAAAGACCACTAAAGAAGGATTATGTGAAGCCTAGCCCCTGATGAAAGCAGAGTCGTCGCCTGGGAGGGCCTCTCTTCCATTCTAACAGTTATTGCTACCACCTATACCCAGGTCCGCTCGCTGCCCATTCCGCCAGCATTCCCCCCAGCCGGGTGACCACCAGCAGGGGTGATGCTTGGTGCAATCCACCATGTGGTTTTCCACACAACCCTTCCATGTCCCCCAACCTTTCTATACCCCCTCAAAGCCCAGAAAAGCAGGGGATGAAATTCTAAACTCTTAATGTGGTTGGGGCTGGGTCAGTGATTACTAGCACCTCTGCAAGGTTAGTGATATTATCCCTATTATACAGATGAGAAAACTGAGGCTCTAGCAGTTTAAGTGATGTTTCAGAAATTTATGTAGCTACTTAGAGGCAAAGTAAGAATTTGAACCCAAGTGGATCCTACTCAAAAAGCCTGGATTTTTTTTTTTTTGAAACGGAGTCTTGCTCTGTTGCCCAGGCTGGAGGCTGAAGTGCAGTGGCACAATCGCAGCTCACTGCAACCTCTGCCTCCCAGGGTCAAGCAATTTTCTTGCCTCAGGCTCCCGAGTAGCTGGGATTACAGGCATGAGCCACCATGCCTGGCTAATTTTTTTGTATTTTTAGTAGAGACAGGGTTTCACTATGTTGGCCAGACTGGTCTTGAACTCCTGACCTGAAGTGATCCACCTGCCTCGGCCTCCCAAAGTGCTGGGATTACAGGCGTGAGCCACTGCACCCAGCCATAAAGTCTGGGTTCTTGACAGCAGTCAAGCCCATTCCCACCCCACCCAGGACACGCCTCCATCCCCATGCTCACCACACCCACCTCCTCCTCCCCAGCAAGGCAGAAGACCAGCGTCTTCTGCAAGTCTTCACTGCAAGACTTCTCCAAAGCAGTTATTGCCACGTCTCTATCTCCACTTACTTTTTCAAATCAGCAAACAATTATTGGGGACTCTCATTATAAAGCACTGTTTAGTCCACAGGACAGTTTATGTCTAAGATCTTAATTGATCTTCATAACCTCTCTGAATAGCAAATGGTTAAGGTTTTAAGTTAAATTAATACAAAAAAGTACAAAGATAAAGATGCCATTATCTGTACTCTCCTGCCCAAGAAATTACCTCTGTATAACATTTTGGCATTTTTGCTCCTCTGTCTTGTATTTTATGTTTATACTTTTTGGAAGTATATAAATAAGAATACAGTGTCCCTTAACAAAAAAATTTTAGTCATAATGAATAAAGCTGACCTCCACCACCTCCACTCATCTCGCCTGACCTCCACCACCTTCCCATCCTGATCCCTTCCCACCACCAGGAGAAACATTCTCGTGAATTTGATGAGTTCTTTCCAATCTTAAAAACTGCGTTTCAGGTACATAATTGTGTCTACAGAAATTATGCAACTTTGTTATGCGGTTTTTATTTACATAAACCAGTGTCATGCTGCACCTTTCATTCAGCATCATGCTTTTTTCACTCCTTATGATTTGCTGAGATCTACCCATGTTGCTATATATTTGTTCTAACTCATTTCCTATAACTGCTAGGTAGGGTGAGAGGCTAGACACTGGCAAACTGCCCAGTTTCAAGGGTTGGAGAGAGGAATTTGGACTTGACTACGTTTTCTTTCAAGGCTTCTTAATGGTGCAAATGCACAGAACTGGCTCATCCCCACACTCCATACCTGCCCCCACCCCTACCCCAGTGGGATAGGAAGGGGGTGCCTGCCTTTCACAGTGTCCCGTAAGGAGTGAGGATGCCACGTGGTTAGAAAATTAAAGGATTCTGGGCTCACCGTTTGGAGGTGGCTGTGTCTACTCCCAACATCCATACCCAGCATTCGAGCCTAGGGGTTTATCATCATTTGCTGCACCTTAGAAACAGATACTTTCCTGTTCTACTCCCTGTGCCATGGGTCTAGTCAAGATTCTAAGGCATCAGTCTGGCAAAGACAAAAGGCAGGTACCATCGGACACCAATCCAAGGATGTACCTAGTCTGCTTACCCATTCTTCTTTGGTGGGACATTGAGATTGCTGCTGCACTGAATGTCCATTCATGGGACTCCCTGAACATGGGTATTGATTGATTGATTGATTGATTGTAGAGATGGAGTCTCACTTTGCCACCTGGGCTGGTTTTGAACTCCTGGCCTCACATGATCTGCCTGCCTCAGCTTCCCAAAGTGCTGGGATTACAAGCTCGAGCCACTGTGCCTGGCCTGCACATGGGTTTGACCAGCAGTGGAGTCACCACTGAATTACCAGCAAAGCCAGTGAGCCAATTTATGCCCAGACCAGCACTGGGGTGCTATTTCCCCACACCAATGACAACACTTGAAATTATCACTTTAAAACTTTTTACTTAGCCTCCCCTATCCACATAGTTGTTCAAGACAAAAACAAAACAAAACAACAACAACAAACCCACATCCACGGGGCCAAATTTAAAATCCCTCCTCCCTCCCCGTCTCTCTACCACCTCTCCCACCCATCCCACTGCAAAAACCACCACTGTGTCTCCCTTGCTTCGAATCCATTCTCCATCGGCTACAGAATGCTTTCTTTAAATGAAACATTTCAAAACTTGAGACAAGTAAAGAGAATAATATATTAAAATGCCAATGTGCCCACTTATCAAATATTCAGCTTTTATCAATTTTTAACATGTTGTTGTATTTACTTCCCATCCAGATTTTTATACATTTCCTACACATTTATATAGTAACTATAACCATAAACAATATATAGAATTGTTTTGCATATTTTTACATATTTTGAAACTTTTTATAAATGGCATCATACAGTATGTATTCTTCTGCCTTGCTTGATTTAGATCCTGTGGGTTTAGAGGCATCCACATTGATATATGTAGCTCTTGTTCATTTACTCTAACTGCTGCACTGCACTCTATATGGATACATCACAATTTATCCATTCTCCTGTAATTCTAGTTTTCATCATTACAAACAGTGCTGGGGGAGTATGGGCATTCCTGTACACAGTCTCTTTATGAATATGTGTAATAACTTCCCTAGGGAATATGCCTATAGTGGAATTGCTGGGTGTAGGGATATACCCCTCAGCTCTGCTAGATTTTGCTAAGCTGCTCTCGAAAGTGGTTATATCAGTTTACCCTCTTAAGAGTGCAAACGTTAATTAATATTAAATGTTTAATATCCAACAATACTATCTTGATGTGTATTTAATGTGCAATTTCCTGATTACTATTGAGGTCAAGCAGTTTTTCAGATGCTTATTGACCATTTGGGCTTCCACTTCTTTGAAATGTCTGTTTGCATCATTTGTGATGCAAATTTAAAAAAAAAAACAAAAAAACTTTTGTAAGACTTTTTAATATATACTAGATGCTAATTTGTTGCTTATTTGCATTGCAAAATTTTCTCCAATCTGTGTCTTGTCTTTAAGTTCATAGTATCTTTTATTGTGCTAAAGTTCTAAATTTTAATGAAGTCAAATGTATCAATCATTTTTTTGAATTAAGAGCTTCTAGCTGGGCGTGGAGGCTCACGCCTGTAATCCTAGCACTTTGGGAGGCCAAGGTGGGTGGATTACTTGAGGTCAGGAGTTTAGACCAGCCTGGCCAACATGGTGAAACCCCGTCTCTGTTAAAAATATGGAAATTAGCCAGGCATGGTGATGCATGCCTGTAATCCCAGTTACTCAGGAGGCTGAGGCAGGAGAATCGCTTGAACCCCGGGGGGGTTGGGGGACGGAGGTTGCAGTGAGCCGAGATCATGCCAATGCACTCCAGCCTGGGTGACAGAGTGAGACTCTGTCTCAAAAAAAAAAAAAAAAAAAAGAGCTTCTGTGTCTTGTTTAAGAAATCCAAGCCAGGCATAGTGACTCACCCCTGTAATCCCAGCACTTTGGGAAGCCAAGGCAGGCAGATCGCTTGACTCCAGGAGTTTGACACCAGCCTGGGCAACATGGTGAAACCCCATTTCTACAAAAAATACAAAAATTAGCTGGGCATTGTGGTGCATGCCTGTAGTCCCAGCTACTAGGGAGGCTGAGATGGGAGGATCGCTTGAGCCCAGGAGGTCGAGGCTGCAGTGAGCTGTTTGCATGTCACTATATTCCAGCCTGGACGACAGAGTGAGACTGTCTCTCAAAAAAGAAAAAAAATCCTTCCCCTTCCAACTTGAGGCCACAAAGATATGTCACGATCATGATGTATTTTCTTCTAAGAATTATAAAGTTTTGCTTTTCACATTAAAGCCCTTAATCCACACAGAGTTTTTGTATAATATCTATGGAGATTTATTATCCCATAAAAATAACAATTTCTCCCAGCATTATTTATTAAATAGTCCTTCTTTCCCCCACAAATGTAATGCAATCTCTCTCATATATCAAGTTTCCAAATATGACGAGGTTTATTTTCTGGACTCTATTTAAATCCATAGAGCTACTTTTCTGTCCCTGTGCTGAAACCACTCTGTCTGAGCTAGTACAACTTATAATAAATCTTCATATTTTGTATGGAAAGTCCCCTTCCCACACACTTCACAATTATATTAGCACTTCTTTTCATTTTGTTGTTCCACATTAATATTAGAATCAGCTTGCCAAGTTCCACAAAAAATTCTACAGAAATTTTCATTTGTGTTGTATTAAAGTTATAGATTAAATTGAGAAGAGCTGACACCTTTATGATAGCATCTTCCAACCCACGGGTATTACCCAGGAGCATTTAAAAATTCCCATTTATTCATATCTTCTTTTATGTCCTTTGATAATATTTTTGCAATTTTTTCTCCTTAAAGGTCTTGTATATCTTTTGCTAGATTTATTCCTAAGCATCTTAAAGAGTATTATCATTATAAATGATTTTTTTCTTTTATATTTTCTAATTGGCTGTTACTGGTGTATAGGGATAATATGAATTTTTTTATATTGGCTTCTTTCAGTAAACTTGCTGAATTCTCTTACTAGCTCTGTTTGTTTTTCTGGGTGTTTTCATGGTAAAAAAATTCCTGGGACTTCCATTTCTGCAAGTAACAGCCTAGGTACCCTGACAAGTCTTGTCACGATCATGTCTATCCTGCTGGAAGCAGGATTCCTCATGCACAGCTGGGATTGCAGGAAATAAGTGAAATCTCCAAGGTACCAAGTGAGCTGAAACCACGGGAAAAAACAACCATACAGGGGAAATGGGGTTGCCCTGAGTGCAGATGTCCACACATGTAAGTGCAGCAAGATAACTTTGCAAGACTAAACTTTGGGCCAGCAGCAAGAAGCAGCTAAACCAGGACCCAGGTGGTAAGCTGGGACCCTGGAAGATGTTAAAGTGAGCAGGTTGGCATCTTGGCACCCAGAAAAAGTAAATGTAAATCTTATCTGGAGAAAGTCATCCTCAATTAAGGCCCAAAGATTCTCACAGATTAATATCTACCAATGTGAACTCACAATTGATAATCACCAAAGGCCAGGTGTGGTGGCTCAAGCCTGTAATCCCAACGCTTTGGGAGGCCAAGGCAGGAGGATCATTTGAGGCCAGGAGATTGAGACCAGGCTGGGCAACATAGTGAGACCTTGTCTCTACAAAAAAAAATTGTTTAATTAGCCAGGTATGGTGGCACGTGCCTGTAGTTCCTGGTACTCAGGAGGCTGATGCAGGAGAATCACTTGAACCCAGCATGTTGAGGCTGCAGTGAGCCATGGTTGCACCACTGCACTCCAGTCTAGATGACAGAGTGAGACCTGTCTCTTAAAAAAATTTTTTTTAGTCACCAAAAACACAAGGAGACAAACTTCCATGAGTGAGAGCCAGGAGAAACAATCAACAACAGAATTAGGTCCTCAAGGATATCAGATATTGATATCATCAGGTAACGTAAAATAACTGTGTAAGGGAATACGTAAGGAAAAAAATATTAAATTGCAAAATTGACTAGCAATAAAATACTATCAAAATTTACTAATAAGAACGAACTGACCTCCACTGATAAATATGTAGAACTTTTATTTATTTAGTTCTCTCTCTGTGTTTTCTTTTTTTGTCTTGATTTGTTTTGTTTTGTTTTTTAGACAGGGCCTCACTCTGTCATGCAGGCTGGAGTGTGGTGTGATCTTTGCTCACTTCAGCCTCGACCTCCTAGGCTCAGGTGATCCTCCCACTTCAGCCTCCAGAGTAGTCGGGACTACAGGCGCCACCACACCCAGCAAATTTTTTGTATTTATTGTACAGATGGGATTTTGCCATGTTGCCAAGGCTTATGGAGAACTCTTATAAGTAAAAAATATAATTTTAAAATAACAAAGCCAGGCTGGGTGCAGTGGCTCACACCTGTAATCCCATTACTCTGGGAGGCTGAGGTAGGTGGATTGCCTGAGCACAAGAGTTTGAGACCAGCCTGGGCAACATAGTGAGACCTAATCTCTACAAACAAAAATTTTAAAAATTAGCTGAGTGTGGTGGCACACACCTGTGGTCACAGCTACTGGTAAGGCTGAGGCAGGAGAATCGACCTGGGGGGTCAAGGCTGAGGTGAGATGTGTTTGCCCTACTGCACTCCAGCCTGGTTGACAGAGTGAGACCCTGTCTCAAAAAAAAGAAAAAAAAAAGCCAGAATGTCGTGAATAGTATATTAGACCCAATTGAAGACTTAGTTGAGGAGAGAATTAGTGAACTGGAAGATAAATATGAAGATACTACCAATAGTTCAGTATAGATACATTAAGATATAGAAACTATAAAAGAGGTTAAGTATATAAAATAATCTGATAGATGTCTAACAAGAATTCCAGGGGAGAAAATAGGGGAGCTTTAAAGAGATAATGGTCGAGAATTTCCTAAAATTGATACATATCAATCTTGATTTATCCAAAGTATCATACCTTTAAAAAAATCCACTCTGAGTGTGATGTATAGACTATCCACTAATTATTTGACATTTCTCCCTCCAAAAGATGGAGGCTAATTCTCCTCCCCTTGACTATGGCTTCGTTTAATGACTTCCATGTCTTTTAGTTTTTGTTTTCTATTTTTTTGTCCTTTCCTTCTTCCTTCTTGAGGATTTCCTCATTTGACACTCCAATTCATTCCTCAGCCTGTAATTATCCTATTATGTTGTTTATTTTAACTGTGATACTTTCCATGTCTAATACTGTATTTCAACTACTATATTTTTCAAACCTAATGCTGTGCTTCTCCTAGGTTCTTTTTTATGTTTTCTTATTTTGCTTTATTTTGCTTATATCTTTATCTTTCTATGTTTATAAAGCAAATTAGAAGATTTTTGCCCATCTGTTTTAATATTTAGGCTTCTGTTAGAATCTAAAATACAATATGTTGTTTTTCTTGTGGAATATTTGTGCTTCTTAGTGCTGATTTTTCCCTAGGGCACTGGCTATTCTGCCAGGCAATGCTGAAGGCCAGGCCTCTGTGCTTGTTGATTGCAACTACCTCTGTGGGCGTGAGGGTAGAGCAGATGAGATTTAGGGTGAAAAGCCCTAGTTATCAGAAAAATCTCAGTTCTCACCCACAAAACAACTTCTTGTGTCAAGGCATCATTCTTCGTACCCTTGTTCCTCTCCCCTAGAGAAAAAGCAGCATTAGGAGGTGAAACTTAGATTATAATTTACCAGCCTTAGGAGGTTGTAGAATAAGGGGGAAGAAAGATACTACCCAAGGATGGTTATTCCCTATATATTTTTCTCGGCTCCTCACAAGTATGGGGCTTCTAATTTTACTCTCAATGACCCCTGGACCAAAGGTCTGAGTCACAGCAGCTGTGCACAGAGCAGGTACTAAGCTCCCAAAGTAACAGCAGAGAACAACTCCAAGAAGCAAGAGAACAACTCCAACAGTTCTCAGGGGATCCTTAGAGCTTTCTTGGTTTCTCTAGCATTGATCTCTAGAGAAGGAGCCAGAAGTTATGCTAGTCCAGCTTCCTGGTAAGAAACAGACTGCATCCTGTTCTCATTTCATGCATGCAAAATGTCTCTTTTTGCCTTTGAAGATATGTATGATAGCTCTTTTTATTTCTTAAAGCTTTCTTTTATAGTCTGTTTCTGCCAGCTTGTTCTTTATTGGCCCCTATTTTTCAGGTTAGAGGCTTTCTTCAGATGTTGATAATCCTTGGTTGTCTGCTTATGACCAAGAGCGAGAAGCCACAATGCTGTTTGAAAGCTCTGAGCCCATGGGAGGGGTGGGAGGTGGGGTGGGAATGTCAACTCTGAGCTTCTTTGCCGAGCCATCCGGATGGATGGTTTGGTGGAGCCCAGTGTTAGTACTTTTAGGTCTTTCTTTTTGGGAACCTAATAGCAAAGAACGCCAGACAGTTTCAGCGTTCGTGAAGCATATATTAATAATTCTCTCTTTCTTGGATACAGTCTCCATAACTGGATTTCTCAGTCCAGAAAAATACTTCCCCCAGCTTCTGCCAGGGTGGGAGAGGGCATTGCTTTGCAGTGTAAAACTAGGAGAGTGCTGAGATCCTGGGTCTAACTGCTTCCTAAACAGCTTTCAATCAGTTATCCCTATTTATCCCCATCCATCACACCCCATCCCAGCAGTGGCAGAGGCTGTGAGGATGCCGCTGGGTCAGGTGGTGTCCTACTTAACCACTGTCAGCTTGGGATATGGCATTCTTGGACCTGCTAAGTCAGCAACTTCTTTCCCATCTGCTTCCCAGTTTCTAAAATGTTATTGCTCGTAACTTCTCTCCTGTTTTTCTTGTCCTTGTAGAGTTATGTCTATATTTTAAAATCCCTTTGCTGTAATTTTAGTGGAATATCAGGAGGAAAAAAAATTAGATTCATGCGTTCAATTTGCCGTCTTTGCCTGAAAGCCTACATTTTTTATGTAGGAAATTCATTACATCTGCAACTAACAACAGTGTTTTCTTTCTTTCTATTCTTACATCTTTTCTTGCTCTTTTTCCTTTTTGTCATTTTGCATAGGCTCTCACATGCAATTCTGAGTAGAAGTGCTAGCAGGAATTTTTGTCTTGGTTCTGATTTCTGTAGGAATGATTCCAAAGGGACTCCTATGCTGTGTTTGCCACTAGTTTTTTGATAGATCCTTTTTGCCAGTTTCATTACACAAGTTTATGTTTTGATTATAAGCAACAGAAAATAGCACAAAAGAGCAGTTTAAACAAGTTAGAAGTTTATTTATTTATAGATATGGGGTCTTGCCATGCTGCCCAGGCTGGGATGCACTAGCTATTTGCAGGCACAATCACTGCGTACTACAGCCTTGAGCTCCTGGGCTCAAGTGATCATCTTGCCTCAGCCTCAGTTGCTGAGTAGCTGGGACTACAGGTGTGCACTACCACAATGGGCTGAAGTTTATTTCTATCAGCAGTCCCAAGCTGGAGTGCAAGTTCCTAAATCCTTAGAGACTTGGGCTCTCTCCATTCTTTCTCCTCTGTCTTCAATATGAGGCTCACATCTCATGGTCCAAAATGGCTGCTCTAACATTAGCCAGCAAGTCTGCATTCCAGGATGCAGGAATGAGAAAAAGGAAAGGGAAGGGCATCCCCCTGCCATCCCCCTAAGGACTTTATAATGGGACTTCATAGAAGTTTTACACATCATTTCTTTTTTTTTTTTCTTTTTTTGAGACGGAGTCTCGCTCTGTTGCCCAGGCTGGAGTCTCCTGCCTCAGCCTCCTAAGTAGCTGGGACTACAGGCGCCCGCTACCACGCCCAGCTAATTTTTTGTATTTTTAGTAGAGACGGGGTTTCACCATGTTAGCCAGGATGGTCTTGATCTCCTGACCTCATGATCTGCCTGCCTCGGCCTCCCAAAGTGCTGGGATTACAGGCATGAGCCACTGTGCCAGGGCTCATCATTTCTATTTACATCCCACTGGCCAGAACAGATTCATGGGAGCCCACCTAGCTGCAAGGGAGTCTGGGGAAGGTAGTTTTTAATTTTAGACTGTTATGTGCTTGGCTAATTTGATGAGTTTCTAGTTTTACCTTTATCCATAGTAATACTAATACTCCTCTTCATTCTTAATATAACTTATGACTTTTATTCCTCAACCTGATTTTATGTTGTTAATCTTTTCTATTGTTTTCTATTTCACTAATCTCTACTCTACGTCTTTATTATTTCCTTCCATTTATTTTTTAATTGTTGGTTTTTTCCAGCTCTTTGCAGTGAATGCTTAACTCAATTGTTATTATTTTGTTTTGTTCCTTAATAAATTTATTTAAGATGATAAATTTATCATCATGCACTGCTTTAACTGCATTCCATAAGTTTTGATATGTAAAACTCTCACTGTTACTCAGTTATAAATACTTTGTACATCTCATTTGATTTTTTTTCAAACTGTAAATTAAGTTTCTCAAAATGTGAAAATGGTATTTGTATTAGTCTGTTCCCATGCTGCTATAAAGATACCACCTGAGACTGGGTAATTTATAAAGAAAGGAGGTTTAATTGACTCACAGTTCCACATTGCTGAGGATGCCTCAGGAAACTTACAATCATGAGGGTAGGCAAAGGAGAAGCAAGTACCTTCTTCAGAAGGTGGTAGAAGAGAGGGAGAAGGGAAAGGAAAGAGGGAGGGAGGGAGGCAGGGAGGGAGAGAAAGAAAGAGAAGAGGGGGAACTGCCAAACACTTTTAAAGCATCAGATCTTGTGTGCACTCACTATCAGGAGAACAGCATGGGGGAAACCGCCCCCATGATCCAGTCACCTCCCACCAGGTTGCTCCCTCCACACCTGGGGATTACAAGTCGAGATGAGATTTGAGTGGGGACACAGAGCCAAATCATATCAGTATTTGTTTGTTTGGTTTATTTTTACTACATTTAAAATCATTTAAAAATGTAATTGGCTGGGTCAGTGGCTCACACATATTATCTCAACACTTTGGGAGGCTGAGGCAGGCAGGTGGCTTGAGTTTAGGAGTTCAACATGGTGAACTGGGCAACATGGTGAGACTCTGTCTCTACAAAAAAATTTTTTTTTTATATTAGCCATCATGGTGGTGCACACCTGTAGTCCTAGCTATTCAGGAGGTTGAGGTGGGAGGATCGCTTGAATCTGGGAGGCCAAGGCTGCAGTGAGCCATGATCATGCCACTGTACTCCAACATGGGCGACAGAAAGAGACATTGTCTCAAAAACAATAACAACAACAACAACAAAAAGCCCAACTTTGTCTGATATTAGCATTGCTATATTAACTTCCTTTGTTTTGTATTTTTTATGATATATCTTTTCCATGTCTTTAATTTCAATTATATTTCATGGTTTTGTTTTAAGCATGTTACTTATAAGCAGTATATAGATGCTTTTTAAAAAAATTCAATCTAGTGAATTTAATCAGTTTTCATTTAATTTGATTACTGATTATTTGGACTCATTTCTACCACCTTATTTTGTCATATATGTTTACGTCCTTTTTCTTTGCTTCTTTTTTCTTCTTTCTCACCTTCCGTTGGATTGATCAAGCTTTCTGCATTTCTTCTGCTGATTTGAAAGGATTGCATTTCTTTTCCTTTAACAATTACTTTTACATTTTTAATATGCACACTTCACTATAAACTATTCTGACACTGTCAAAAATCTAGTATTTCTATTCTCCTCCCAAATACAAGTCCATTCGTTTACTTTAATCACCAACAGAACACCACCCCTCCCTATGCTTATATTGTCTTTTCGGAATTTTCACTTTACCTTTTTTAAGTCACAAAAACTTTCTTTTTAAAGTTGGAAATTAGTTAAATGTACTAACATTTTATCAATGTCCATGCTGACCATTGTTTATTACATCCCACGTCCTCTCTCTGGGTTCATTTCTCTTCTTGCTGAATTACTTTTCTTGTAGTGAACATCTGTGGGAGGTAGATCCTCTTAGTCTTTGTATGTCTGAAAATATCTCTATTTTGCCTTTGTTCCTGAATGATAATTTAGCTGCATATAAACTCAGGGCTTTAAAGATATTATTCCATTGCTTATGAGGAGTAGGCTGACAGTCTAATAGACATGCCTTTAGGTGGATTTTATCTTTTCTTTTTGATAGCTTCTGCTATTGTCTTGTTATCCTTTATGTTCCGCAGTTGCAGACAATGTGCTTAGGTGTAGACTTATTTTTATTTACCTTGCTTGGCACCTTGAGTGCACTTATAATCAAATAATTCATGTCCTCTTCAATCCAGGAAATTCTTAGCTTTATTGTTCCAAATATTATTTTTCCATTCTCTTCTTCTGAGATTCCTATTTTCATACATCAGAGTCTATTTTAATCCATCATTCATGTGTCTTAATTCGTTCTTATTTTAGTCTCTTCATCAGTCTGTGCTGCATTCTAAACTAATTCTTTTTTTTTTTACCATCTTCAGATTTACTAATATACTCTTTGTTTCTATTTTGGAATTCATCCTATAACTTTTTTTTCAACAGCCAATACTTATTTTATTTCTAAGATGTCTACTTCTTGGTTCATTTCTGCCTATTTGAATGTCTTGGTTTTTTTTTTTATTTAATAGAAGTTGTTCCTTCAGTCATTTCCTTAAGCTCCTCAAACACATTTACTTACAATATTTGTCAAACTATTCTATAAAATTAACGTCATCTGCAGTGAATTCATCTTCTGATTGTAGATTTTGTTTGTCTTAGCATTAGAATTCCTCATGTATTTTATAATTTTCAGTGGGGGGTTTCAATCCTTTGTTTAAGCTTTTTTCTTTTTCTTTCTATGTCCACCTCTCTCTTTTTGGCATTTTTTGCCGTTATAGTCTCTAGCGGGTACTCCCAGGACCCTTAATCTAGAACTAGATTTTTAAATAAATTATTGTCCCTGCCTTTGTGGGGTTTCAATATTAATGGGGAAGAATAAACAATAAATAAATCAATTTGGCAGGTGGTAATAAGTGCTATGGAAAAAATAAAGCAGAATAAGGGGACAAGGGTTGCACGGGTAGGGGTTCATTTGAGCAGAAACTGGAAGGAAGTTATAGAGCCACGCAGCTATCTGGGGGAGGGCACGAAAGGCAGAAAGAAATGTGAGTCAGGAATTCCTGCCGCTGTAGCATTTAGCACGTGCCAGAGACATATTAGTTGACCAATATGTTTGCAAGAACCCAGAGGAGGGGCCTCTAAGCACAGGGTTCTGTGTGATGTTTACTCATGGCTGAAGTTTATGGCCCACGGCACGTGCAACTCTCCAAAACTCTATGAGGCAATGAAGGCCGCTCACAGGGCTGGTGCCCACCTCTTACCCAAGCAGAAAACTGGCAGCCGCCATTGTTACCAGCTGAGAGCTTATCCCTCTAGCTGAGCCTCCACTGGACGGGCCAGGTAAGGCCAGCTCTTACATGGCCCAGGGGAGTCCCGTGCCCCAGGCCGATGTCCCAGGCCCAGCTGCCTCCTTTCCCAGACAGGATTCTCCCTTTCCAGCTGCCTCGAGCGCCTCATTTAACCCTCACAATGATTCCTGTGGCAGGTGCCTTAATTAGTCCCATGACTCAGTGTAACTGGGGAGAAAGGGGGCCCTGGAGAGTTCCCCCAGGTGGTTAACAGGGATTTTTTTTTTTTTGAGACGGAGTCTTGCTCTGTCGCCCAGGCTGGAGTGCAGTGGCGCGATCTCGGCTCACTGCAACCTCCGCCTCCTGGGTTCACGCCATTCTCCTGCCTCAGCCTCCCGAGTAGCTGGGACTACAGGCGCCCGCCACCAGGCCCGGCTAATTTTTTTTTTTTTTTTGTATTTTTAGTAGAGACGGGGTTTCACCGTGTTAGCCAGGATGGTCTCGATCTCCTGACCTCGTGATCCGCGCGTCTCGGCCTCCCAAAGTGCTGGGATTACAGGCATGATCCGCCGCGCCCGGCCGGTTAACAGGGATTTGAACCTGGGGTTGTCACTGTCATCACCACAGAGGAGGGGGAGCTGGTTAAGGACCCCTCCTGGAGAAGGGGGTCCTAACGTCGCGGTGCTGCAGGGCGTACATAGCTCATGCATTCAGTCCGTGAAAACTTGTTAAGGGCCTGCTGTGCTTCAGAGGCAAAGCCCACCCCTCCTACGGCTGACTCCCGCAGTGGCGCCTCCTAGAAGCACAAGCAGCCAGAAAAAGCCTGTGTCTGAGCAAGGAGGGTGGGATGTGTGCTGCGGGAGGAGGGTCCCTGCCCCGGCGCCGTCTCACGTTTTCTCTGACCAAGTCTTTCTCCTTAACCCGTAACTCTGGGGCGGGAGGGGGAGGTGTAGAAACGGGCACTAGGTAGGACGTTCTCTGGGATCTGGGGCCATCCTAGCTGAGCCTCGGGCCAGAATCGGAACCCAGGGCGCGGGGACCCGCTTCCTCCCCACCCCACCACGCCCCTTCTGTCATTTATTCCCCAAATAGGCGGCCTAAAGCCACCCGCGTGCGTCGCCCTCTTCCTCCGGGCTTCTTTTAATATGTCAGCATCAGAGCGCCTGCGGGGGCGTAACTTGGGAAACCTCTAACGTCGCGATGCGGCAGGGCTTACATAGCTCACGCATTCAGTCCGTGAAAACTTGTTAAGGGCCTGCTGTGCTTCAGAGGCAAAGCCCACCTCTCCTACCGCTGCGGTTTGCTGGGGACCCACGGGACAGGGAACCCGGGCGCCCCAGGGTCCGCCCCGCCACTCTTTGTGCCCCGCGGCCTCCCGCTCCCGCTGGGGCGCCGCCGCCGCCGCCGAGCTCGCGCGCCCCCTCGTGGGCGCTCCCGGCACTGCGCGGTGCCGCCCCAGCCGGAAGCACGTGGAGGCTCCCTCCAGATCCAGGGGAGCAGGCGGGGGCCTGGACAAGCCTTCCACTTGGCTCGGTCCCTGGGACCCCTTCCCACGCTCTAGAAGCCTAGCCCCTCCATCCTCCTTTTGGCCCGGACCCCCAGCTCTTCCCCTCTCACGCTCTCGCCGCTGTTTCTAGGTCCCCGGGAACTCCTCCGGAGCTCCCGGCGGTGCAGGCGGGAGGTGGAAACGGGGGTGGGGGGCACCCAGACCCCCATTCCAGGGAAACCTCTCACAGCCTGCTCCTGGCTTGAGGAGGTCCCAGGGGGAGCTTCTGTGGCTGCTGAAGACAGGGGCTTTTCCAAATATGACCCCAAAGTGAGGCTTCTGCTTTCAAGGTCTCATTCATATTCTCTCCCCTCTCCCCTCTCCTAGCAGGATCAGCGCTGGCGTGATTTCCCAGGAGAGGGGGAAGGGCCGTCACCTGGCCTTTAAAGACTCACCACATGGATAATCGTGATGAGGGCGAAGCACTAGGTAGGAGGGTTTTCACCACGGTGTTTCATCAAATGAGAATGATCTAGATAAACCAGGAGTGCAACCAACTCCAAAGAAAAAGATGATTTGAAGAACAAAAGTGTGTGTGTGTGTGTGTGTGTGTGTGTGTGTGTGGAGAGAGAGAGAGGGAGACGCTCTAATATCCTTAGAAAGATTCAGAAAATTTTATAGCCACAGAACAAGAACAGAATGCTTTTCAAAGGGGAACAAGTAAGAATTTAGAAAATTAGAAAGGTGACTGCCAAAATAACAGGCTCCGAAATCCACGTAGACAATCCATCCAGCTCTTCCACCTCTTGATCCCTGGTCTCTTCTCCAGTAATTTCTACCCCCGCGCGGTAGCCGCTCCACGGTCATGTCATAGACGTTGTCCTTATTAATTCCCACATCCCTCCAAAATTTACATTTCAACCATCCCGCTCGACCACCACCACCTCCTAAATTTTCATCAAGCTCCCGCTGGTGTTCTGACGCACGTGTTTCTAATCGCTCCCTTGCATACATCCTTCACTTTCGGTGTCCCGCCCCCTCACTGTATTTTCCTAACCAAACTCCAACTTTGATTAAATCCAGAGCTTCGCGTCTTCCACACCCTCCTGAGGCACTGAAGAGAGCTGACTGTCGGTACTTCTTTTTTTTTTTTTGAGACGGAATTTCGCTCTTGTCACCCAGGCTGGAGTGCAATGGCGCGATCTCAGCTCACTGCAACCTCCGCCTCCCGGGTTCAAGCGATTCTCCTGCCTCAGCCTTCCAAGTAGTTGGGATTACAGACGCCTACCACCACGCCTGGCTAAGTTTTGTACTTTTAGTAGAGACCAGGTTTCACCATGTTGGCCAGGCTGGTCTCGACCTCCTGATTTCAGGTGATCCGCCCGCCTTGGCCTCCCAAAGTGCTGGGATTACAGGCGTGAGGCGCCCCACCTGGCACTCCTTTAATTCCATGAAGGCAGCCCTCCAAAGGGGCCAACTGATTTCTGGCATTGCTTCTGCGCTCAGTTCACTCCACTCTCCTCCTCATTGAGCATTTCTCATCTTCTCTCCTCTCCTAAAATCTCTGACACTCCCTCACTCTTCACTGACAGATGCCCTTGCTCCTTTTTTTTTTTTTTTTTTAAATGATAAAATATAGACCTGGAATGCCCTTCCTTCCTTTTTCACTGAGGAACATCGTCGGTTGGAAGAGGATTTCTTCACTCTCACAGCCGCCTAGACAGAGCCCCTGGCAGAGACAGGGTGGTACCTCCATTTTTTACCCGTACCCCATGCTCTCTTGCCAACTAAGGATCTTCACCTGCTATTATTCCCTGTCTTTCATTGTGCATACTTTTTTTCTCTGTACTGGATTCTCCTTATTAGCATACTAATATGCCTCAATAATAATCATTTTAAAAGAAAAAACAAAAACTCCCTTGTCCCCGTATTCCATCCACCTCCAGGCATGATCCCATTTCTCTGATATTTTCTGCAGCAAAACTCCTCAAAAGACCCATCTACAGTGGCTATCTCAACTTACTCTTTCTGCATTTATTTTTATTATAATTTTTTTCTGAGACGGAGTCTTGCTCTGTCGCCCAGGCTGGAGTGCAATGGCATGCTCTCAGCTCACTGAAACCTCCGCCTCCTGGGCTCAAGTGATTCTACTGCCTCAGCCTCCTGAGTAGCTGGGACTACAGGCGCTCACTGCCATGCCTGGCTAGTGTGTGTGTGTGTGTGTGTGTGTGTGTGTGTGTGTGTGTGTATTTTTAGTAGAGATGGTGTTTCACCATGTTGGCCAGGCTGGTCTTGAACTCCTGACCTCAGGTGATCTGCCCGCCTTGACCTCCCAAAGTGCTGGGATTACAGGCGTGAGCTACTGTGCCTGGCCTATTATGAAAATTTTTATTATGAAAAACATTCATCAAAATGAGAGACTATGGTAACCCCCATATACCTGTTGTAGGTTAAACCGCATCCCCTAAAATTCATGTTGAAGTCCTAACCCTCAGTACCTAAGAATGTGACTTTATGTGGAGATAGGGCCTTCAAAGAGGTAATTAAGGTAAAATGAGGTCATATGGATGGGCCCAATCCAGTATGACCAGTGTCCTTAGAAAAAGAGATTAGGACCACAGACAACACAGACTGAGAGAAGACTGTGAGGACACGGCCAGGTGGCTGTCTTCAAGTGGAGACACCTCGGGAGAAAACAAACCTGCTGGCACCTTGATCTTGGACTTCCAGCCTGCACACTGAGAAAATAAATTTCTGTTTTTTAAAGTCACTCCAACAGCCTGAGCCGACTAACACAACACTTATAATCTGGATTCAATAATTATCAAAGGTCTTTCTCTATTTGTTGTGTCTCTCCCTTTTCTGTCAACTATTAGCCAGACCTCATGTCATTTTATTCCCACGTGCTTCAATATGCGTCTGAAAAATACCCCCACGTGTTTTTACATAATCACAATGGCTTTTTCACACTTAGAATATTAGCAAGAATAACTTGGTAATATCTCATAGCCAGTCCATATTCGGATATCCCTGATTATCTTTAAAATGTCTTTCCAGGGCTCATCTGTTGGAATCGGGATGTTTACCGGTATGAATCTTGTTAGTCTACATCAGCTCCTCCCCTCCATCCTGCCTTTTTATTTCT
The DNA here is from genome assembly GCF_000001405.40 of Homo sapiens. Taxonomy (NCBI): domain Eukaryota; kingdom Metazoa; phylum Chordata; class Mammalia; order Primates; family Hominidae; genus Homo; species Homo sapiens. The sequence continues at coordinate 128,132,636 of NC_000007.14, read as the reverse complement.
CATCTCACTGGCACTTGAAGAAACCCAGCCAACCGCTTCCTGGAATTGTCTCTGGGCTTCCTCATCCATTTTTTTTGTGTATTTGTTTTTTGTTTTATTCTTTTTGTTTTAAAATATTTTAAACTTGAAAAGGTGCAAGAACAGTATTAAAAATGTTCTTTTCCTTGTACTATTTGAGAATAGGTTGCTGACATGTTGTCCTATCACTCGAGAATACTTTAATGCACATTTGCTACAAATAAGGACAATACACTAGCAAAATGAGGAAATTAACATAGATACATCTCTGCCACCTAATTTGCACTGCCAATCAAATTTCACCAATTTTCTCAATAATGTCTTTCCTACCAAAAGGACCCAATCCAAGATCACAATGTTTTGCTTAGTTTTCACATCACGTTTCCTTCAGTCTAGAACAGTCCCTCAGTTTTTCCTTGAATTTCATGATCTTGATATTTTTCAAGATTACAGGCCAGTTATTTTGTAGCGTGAACCCAATTCGGGCTATGCGTCTCTGGCAGGAGTATCACAGAAGTGATGCTGGTGTTCCTCATTGAGTCCTGGCAGGTGGTACATGATTTCAGTTTGTCCAATAGTGACGTTGTTAGCCTTGATTAGTTGATTGAGGTATCGACTGCCAGGTTTCACCACTGAAAGCCTCTTTCCCCATGGTAGTCAATAAGTATTTTGAAGCTCTGTAATATCCTGTTATTCTTCAAACTTCCACTTACTAGTTTTAGCATCCATTGATGTTTCTTGGCTGAGTAAGTTATTACTATGAGGGCTGCCAACTTTTCTAATTCCATTGTTCCTTCTATATTTATTAGTTGGCATTCTATTGTAAAAAAAAAAGCTTT